>NC_000007.14:122506779-123131779 GCF_000001405.40 Homo sapiens | reverse complement strand
CTTGGTGTCCACTATCTGTTAAACACTGCACAGATTCATGCTCCAGCTAATTTTTCAGTGTCCTTTTCTGTCTGCCAAGGTGTTTACCTCCAGAGATTTTAGATTGACAGACGGAAATTATCAGCCGCTCCCCTGGCAAACTAGCATACATTCTGATTAGTATGTTGGGTATTAACACAGTTAACTCACCCATTATAAATGATCCCAACATACCTGAGAAGAGGAGCTCATCTGTCAGTGCCATTCAATTATTTAAATGGAGAGTTTGATGCATTGTCATAGGCTTTGTCAGTAGCTTTGTGAAGGCATTAACCTTCATTTGTAGCAATGCCAATTTGGCTTTCGACTTAACTATTTATTGTCTGCAACCAAAATGATAAACTATATATGCAATGTACTGGGTGGAAAATTGTTTCTAAGGAGACTCATCTCCTTCTTTACTATGATTTTCTCTTCTACAGATTGCTCTCTAGGTGGCACATTAATTAGTTTCTTATAATAGTATTTATGTCATGACAAGGGGTAAAAGTTTGAGACTGGCACTAGTCAGTAATTTAACTGAGATTGTAAAAAGCAATTATTTCCTAATTGATCATAAATGTAGCACTGTCCATTCACTCATATTCAGGCATTGAAGTGTATGCATGAAGGTGATTATGAATGTATAGGCTTGCCCCAGATACTTTACGAAAGAAAATGTCCTTTCTGTCTATACTTACACAAAATGTAAACTAACTGAGCTGCTCATAAACATTCCAAGAGATAATCCATAAGAATCTAGCCATTTTTTCATTTAGTTCTTCCTCTGGAGGAATTTTTTTAAAAGTCTCCATCTAGAACAGTATTTCACAAAAACTGTTCAGTTTCGAAGACACTGGACTTCAAGACAGAAAATTAGTGAGGAAGGAGGTCACTAAAACAAGCAGCTGAAAACAATAAAAAGTGGCAGTTACTATTGGAAATAAACAGGAAAATTATGTTGTGGGTGCTATTAGGACATATGAGTAAAGAAACTTAAAGAAAAAAATGTAATAGAGTTTTACTTCTTTTTTAAATTTTATCTTAAGTTCCATGATACATGTGCAGGATGTGCAGGTTTGTTATGTAGGCAAACGTGTGCCATGATGGTTTGTTGCACCTATCAACCCATCACCTAGGTATTAAGCCCCACATGCATTACCTGTTTATCTTGATGCTCTCCCTCCCTCCACACCCCTGACAGGCCCCAGTGTGTGTTGTTCTTCTCCCTGGTTCCATGTGTTCTCCTTGTTCAGCTCCCACTTATGAGTGAGAACATGTGGTGTTTGGTTTTCTGTTACTGTGTTAGTTTGCTGAGGATAATGAATTCCAGCTCCATCCATGTCCCTGCAAAGGACATGATCTTGTTCCTTGTTTTGGCTGCATAGTATTCCATAGTGTATATGTACCACATTTTATTTATCCAGTCTATCATTGATGGGAATTTGGGTTGATTCCATGTCTTTGCTATTGTGAATAGTGCTGCAGTGAACATATGTATGCATGTATCATTAAAACAGAATGATTTATATTCCTTTGGGTATATACCAAGTAATGGGATTGCTGGGTCAAATGGTATTTATGGTGAGTTTATTTTACTTCTAAGACTAGGCTTAGTTTAGTCTCTGACCATGATCAGTCCCTGCACTAGTGTAAAACTCGAGTTTAGCATACTTTGTGAAAATTGATGGATCTGACCCCAACTGTCTCATACATTTGCCAAAGGTACTATTGGATTGATGTGTCAGGTATTTACTGTGTATGTTCAGAGGTAGCAGTGTTCAGAGATAGCAGGCCAAAGGAAACATCTATGACCACCTCACTGTCCTTGCCCTCAAATAATTTAACTAGTGGGCTAAAACTTACATGCGTGGAAGAATTAACAACCAAGATACACAATAAATACATTTTAAATATATAAGATCCAGTACGTAATAAAATGTTAGTTAGAGATAAGTGGCACATGGCAAAATTCCAATGGTACAAAATAACTTGGAAAAAGGAAGAGATTGGTAAAGGATGTCATGGAAAATATGCAATGAAAATTGAACACGAAAAAGTGAGCAAACCAGGCAAAAACAGAAAAGACAGAAAACATTCAAAAAAGGAGGTGGAGGTAGAGGTGAAAAGCACAGATATCTGTTATTAACGGGGAGATTCATATTGCATGAAGGGAGATTCATATTGCGTGAAGATGACAACGTTTTACAAAAATATCTTCCTTACAGGGAGGTGGTAGTAAAAGAATTTCTTGCTTACAGGCTTAATTATTCTTTGCAGTTTTAAGGAGATGTTCAAATGTGGCAAAACCAAAACAGTCCAACAAAAAGCTTGTGCTGAGGTGATTAAGCAAGAATACCAAAAGCTTGGGCCAATAAGGTAAGACAAACACACACACACACACACACACACACACACACACACACACACACACACAGAGAAGAGAGAAATGCTGTTTACACTGCAAGTAGCTGTTGAAAAGCAAACAAGCACATAATTGCTTGCAAGGTATTTATAACACTTGATTAGGGCCCCAAATTTGCTAAGCTATGGAGATTATAGACTATAACTCAACATGATAAAACACATACCCTGTCTAACTAAAATTTGCCAGGTAAAATGAAAAGAAGCTGAGAGACCCCAAAGAGGAGAAAGGGCTTTTTCAAACTGCACTGATGCTCTCAAATTATTGACACATCTAGTTCTTACAGTGTTTAGTGTTCTACTGCGATCATTCCTGACAATAGCTCAAGGAGTTTCTACAAATGTCCCGACTGAGAAAATAAGAAGTGATGCCATTGGAATTTTTCCACAGGTATCAAGAAATTGTGACCTTGGTCCTCTTCATTATAATGGCTCTGCTATGGTTTAGTCGAGACCCCGGATTTGTTCCTGGTTGGTCTGCACTTTTTTCAGAGTAAGCTTTGCACGTTATGTTTGTCAGCCCTTCCTGTTTTATACTCTGCTTCTCTCCTGTGTGGTTCCTGTAATTCTGAAAGATTGGATGAGATATTTTTCTTTCTTTCCCTTGAAAAGATATTTTAAGTTCTAATCTTTTCAGGAAAAAAATTATAAGGAATGAAATCTAGGATAAGAGCACAGAAAGAATAACCATATTACTTACTCTGTTACTGAAAGGCAAAGTCCATTAGACAAAATTATTCCCATCCCTACAAAATTCCCATCCCTACAAAATTATTCCCATCCCTGAAATATAACAGCACAAAGGCTATGTTCTGTGGTGGTTGGGAGCATAGATTTCAGAGCCACACTGCTTGGGTTCCTTTCCTGACTCATCCCCTTACTTTGGACAAGTCACTTAATTCTCAGGGTCTTCATCTGTAAGATGGAGGTAATTATAGCATTTACAATAGTGCTGGACTTCTCCCTATTGGAAGTGCTATACTAATGTTATTATGTGAAGTAAATACCACTCAATGCCTCTTAATAATCTGGTATAAATTCATATTATGTGATTTTTACCCACTTTGTTTTTTAATTCTATGGAGGACTATTTGTTTGGTGTAGTATCTTGTCTTTTTTCTTCATTTATTTACATTTTTGCACTAGTTCACTACAAGTTCAGCCCAGCCTCCATTTCATAGATAAGGAATTTCTGAAGAAATAATAGGACTGATTTTAAAAGCTGGTGCTAGAAGCTAGGTCAGAGTTAATTTTATATCTCAGTGTCTTATATACCAGTAATCAATTGCTGAGTTGTGTGAAGTGAGGGGGAAGGGTATAGCATAATTTTCTAAATTAAGGACCATCCTATATGTCAATATAAATAACTCAGTTGTGAGATTTGTGTTCCCAATCTATCTTTCACTGAACTACTCTAATTTCTAAATTCAGCACATGTCTTACTTGGACTTCCTGTCTCAAATCCCCCAGCAAAAAAAAAAAAAAAAAAAAAAAAAAAATTGTATTTTGGGGTAGAAACCAAAATTGTTTAGGTCATATGTATTTTGCCCACATACAATAAAGAAATTCTTCCCTCCCTGAATCAGAACCTTCTGGTTTTATAGGCATTGTCAATGTTTCTGAAGGGTGCGAAGTCTGAGTCCAAATTCCTAATGACCACACAAGTCAATATGGTGGTGTGTTTTAAAGCATCAGCTTCATTTTTATAAACTTTTTGATTCCCTTAGAAATAAAACTTTTCATTTTGAGAGGTTTAGACATTCAGTTATTTAAATCAAGTTATTATGTAATATTTAATTAATATTTTGTGGTTTTGTGGTAGGATCTAGATCAACATAAAAAATAATGCTTCCCCCTTTTAAAATCCAACTTCTGTCATCCTAGACAGGGAGAGTCTTTATCTAAACACCAGTGCGTAAGAATTAAATGAAATCAGAGATAGCTAATAAAGCCCAGGCAGAAATCCCAATAGGTAATTCAATATAATCAGCTTCCAATTTCTGTTTCTTATGCGAGGAAACAGGAATTGTTTTGTTTGTAGCAGGAAAGCAGTGTATTGGCTATGAGCAGGCACTCATGCCACCTACAATTCTGAGAGAAAACAATAAGAAAGGAACAAAGGTTTGAGAGAGGATGGGATTTTAAAATATAAATCTAATTGGCAAACCCAAAACAAATAAAATTTATATAAGCTTAATAGTTTCTAATACTGAGACAACCTAACTGCATTCCTGAGAAACTAAAAATAAGTTATAATATGATAAGAATAGTTTTTAAAGTACTTTGAAAAGAAATTATTTCAGTATTTATGCCTTGATTTAATTTAATGTATATATTTTGTAGGACATATTTGTTATGTAGAGTTTCAGGCATTAAGAATTTCTAAAGCTAACATGATGTATCAAGATTTATAGCTACCACCTAATGTTTTCATTCCATCTGTTTGTACCTGGACTGAATTCAATGTGTCTTTTTATATAAAACGAAATCTGGTTACATGATGCCTGGCCCAATTTGCCAAAAATACAACCAAAAATTATAACTGAAATAAAAGAAATAAGGTATAATAAAATTATAAATATCGGTCCAGTTTGTAAGATAAATTATGGTAAGGTAGATTTTTAACTAGTAATGAAAGAAAATGTGTCTATACTTAAAGAAAGTAGACTGCTTTAAAAATTGCTAGATTGAGAAAGATACGGCATTTCTTTGGCTTTTTAGATTTTTCAAATAAATTATAGAAGTAGAGAAGCTTCGGTAGTGTATACATATTACTGAGTTGCAAGATAGTAAAAGAATCTTTAGCATGGTACATATTTCTTCTCAGGCTACAGAAATGCACTAGTTAATATTGCTGACTTTTAACACTAAATGCTAATTATTAATGCCTATTTCAGTTATATCTGGTCTCCAGGTTCTTTCCTGTTGAGGCTTCTGGGAATCTGTCTTATTTGTTACAATGGTCTGGTGATTCTAAGACCCCATCTGTTCCTGAATCAGTCTTAATTTATATGGTGATCATTTGTGAGCATTGGCTAAACCACTCCAACAATTAATATTCTTGATTGAATTTCATGGGGTGCAAAAAATTAAGTAGGTTGCTTTCCTTTGTATGATATGGTTAGAGCTTATAAACACAGAAGCAGGTGTGATATCTCAGAAAACAGATCAATTCCTTTTCACAATTTATAGAAGAGCTTTAGAGGAACACAGAAATATCACGCCTTGCCACAATTTAATAGAAGGATGTTATAAATCAATTATATGGGGCTTTCCATGCTCTAGCAATGTTTCAACTTCAAATCTTGATCAATATTATTAAATTAAATAATTCAAAGAAGAAATTGTTTAACAAATCTGTAAGCTTATCTAAAAGGGAAATTTGCCACTTTGGCCTAGTATGTCAGCATGTGTATACGTGGTATTGAAAATAAGAAGAGATATATGGGAACAATAAGACTATGGTCTGAGATTATTGTTTTTAGTGTTGTGTCATTTAATCGGGAATCCATATATTTTAGGGCAGATTATTGAGGATAAATAACCTACACCACCTACTACTGATAATAACCTATTACTGATATGTTATTAGCAAAATTGGTGTTTTAGCTCATTTAAGTTCTTGATGCTATTTTTAATACATGTATTTGTCCCTTTTACAGGTACCCTGGTTTTGCTACAGATTCAACTGTTGCTTTACTTATAGGGCTGCTATTCTTTCTTATCCCAGCTAAGACACTGACTAAAACTACACCTACAGGAGAAATTGGTTGAGTATCATTTATAATTCTGCATAAATTTAACAGAAGAGCAAAAATTACAAAATTCCATTGGTTTCGCTTGGCACCTAGAGCAGAAAGAAAGTCTATGCTGGCACAATCCCTGGCCTAGCATGCCCTATTTGCAAACTGCAATGCTGTCTTCAAGCCAGCACAGCTTCCACCTTCAAGAGAGATCGTCTTACTTTGCAGAAGTGAGAAGTAGATTTCCTTTTGTATCATGGCTAGGGCTCTGCTACAAGCGATACTATTTGACCCATGGTAAACTCACTTCAAAATTAATCTTACTATTGGCAAACAGAGGAAAAAGAACTTGGAAGACACTGCTTCATTATGATACCTTGGTAATAAATGCAGAGGATCTAAAAAGGTGATGAATTTCAAGAGAAAGAGTATTTACATTCTCAAAGTAGTTCTGGAACAAAAGCTAAATAAACCTCACATAGCCATATCCTAGGATCACAGCTGAAATAAAAGGGCCAGATGTGGTGGCTCACACCTGCAATCACAGCACTTTGGGAGACTGAGGCAGGAGGATCACTTGAGGCCAGTAGTTTGAAACAAGCCTTGGCAGCATGGTGAGACCCCAGCTCTATCAAAAAATTAAAAAAATTAGCCAGGTGTGGTGGCCAATCTGGAGGCCAACGCAGGAGGATCACTTGAGCCCAGGAGTTGGAGGCTGTAGTGAGCTATGATTGTGCCACTGCCCTGGGCAACAGAGGGAGACTCGGTCTCTAAAAATAATGATAGTAATAAAAATAAAGAAAAGGTATTCTGTGACAGCATTCATTGTATTTACAACACATGAACAAAGAAGTGTGCACATTTGCCTGAGCATACCATCCTCTCAACACACACACACACACACAGACACACACACTTTTTAAACACAAGATTCATCCATATCTTTGCTTTACAACACAGCATGTTTTGAGTAGTCAGATTCCTATCTTGTCAATGTGGGACAACTAATTTGTAATTGTCTGGAAATTAACTAGTAGACTTGTGGTTTTGTTTGTTTGTTCTTATGGGGATGGAACTGGGATTTATGTAGTTGTGTTGGCCCACTTGACTCTTGTCAGAATCTATAAATGACTAATGTATCAGATTTCCAGGACATATGTGACCAGCACAGCATAGAAACAAATGTACTTTGTTTTTCACTTGAGATTAGAATATCTCAATGTGTGTTAAGGAGGTGATGCAATATGGAGCATTGATTCCTATGGGACCCCAAGGACTCTGATCATTGCAGTCAAAGCCCTGAGGTCTGGCAGTGGCAAGTACTGAGGAATCCATGTTTGGCTTTAGCTTCCCTGGTTTCCACATCTGAATTCCCTCCCTTAGAAAGAGCCTTGCTCCTACCCACCTTTCTCTCTCCCCTCATTCTTCAAAACCTCTTCTCCCTGCTAAAGTCATTCATACAAGGCTTAAAAATGACAAATAATATATAAATATGTTAAATTTTAAATAAGAAGTACTTGTCAGAGATGTTTACATTTTAACAAGATATATGACCTTAAAGTAAGAAACCTGGTGACATAATTTCAGTTATCAGTGAGGATGGGTTTGGTTTGGATTTGGGGGAAGATGATAGGAAGGAAGCTTATTGGTAAACTTAAAATCTTACCATGTAGAAGGCTGCCTGTTATACACAAGTTAAATGGGCAGAATATGTCTCCAAATGAACTTCTTTATCAACAAAGCAATGGAGAGATCAGAAGCCAAATATAAAGAGAAATCTTTATGATAATCCTTTTATAAGCACTTTAAGAACCTCATAAATAATACTTTATTTAATCTGAATCTTGAATTATTTTTAAACTGAAATCTTGGTGAATCTATCATGATCCTCCTTATGACCTAAAAACTAATAAAATGTTCAAATATTAATGGATAATAATTAAAATGCTACAAGATGCTATTGGAACCAATGGAATATTATGGACATTTTGCATAGCAAAGAATATTATAGTCTAATGCACTGTGCTATTCACAGTTGGCAAAGATGTTAGTGGAATATAAATGAATGAGTGAGTGAATGAATGAGTACCATTATAAGTGACAATGTTATAATTTATTGAAATATATTCTATAATATTACCCAAAGGATTTTTTTAAGTTATGGAGTTTTCTCTTTTTTATAGTAGAATGTTCCACCTAGTCCAGGTGGAAATTACTCAAACTCCAGATTAATTCCCCTCTTTAAAAACAATATAGGAATATTACAAACTTCCTGTAAGATGGCTACTTAGGATGCTGAAGCAAATGTCATATTGTAATATTTTAAGCAATGTGTAACTGTAGGATTTTTGTTTTGCAGTTGCTTTTGATTACTCTCCACTGATTACTTGGAAAGAATTCCAGTCATTCATGCCCTGGGATATAGCCATTCTTGTTGGTGGAGGGTTTGCCCTGGCAGATGGTTGTGAGGTAATACTCTGTGTGTAAGATATTTAACAATTAACCAGACTGTTCAAAAGAAGAGCACAGAGACATTCAATCTTTGGGCATATTCAATTTCACTCTGTCATTTTAATGTTGCAAATTTTGCTAGCTATGCAGTGAATATACCACACAAATGAGATGAGTTCAGAGTTCAAGAAATATTACAGGCTGCAAGCATAAAACATAGTTTTTATGGTGCTCCAGAATGTCAAAAGAAATAATACAAAGAAGATTAAAATGTTTAATTCATGAAATAGTATTAGAAGGCTAGTAAGGAAAAATGTATATGAAAATATGTAAAGTGACTCCTAGTGAAATATACTTTTCGTTTGCTTATGCCTTTACCTTATTTCATTATGAATTTGAGTAGCTCTTGGACTTCAGTATATCATGATGCTATTGCTGATTTAAAAAAAAAGAGAATGAGAAATAATATTAGCTTTAAAGATAATTAGTAAATGTTTATTGAATAAAGTCTGGAGAAAAATTCACATAACCCTTTCTAACATTATATTATGTCTAATCTTAGTAAGAAATAAAAACACCATGAGATGTTGGTTGACTTTATTTGACCTGTCTGTCCAGTTGATATAAAGCAACAGTTTGGGGAGGCCCTCATCCCTTGCAATTGCCCTGGTCTTTGTAGAGTTGTTGGAAGAAAATTATCTTCTCCCAAATTTCCATGAAAATTAATTACTCCTAGATTAATTAAAACCACTCATTCTGGTTTTCATAGACTTATTTGAAATATTCAAAGCTTATGGCTCTTCCATTTCCTTACTCAGTCATCAAATTGAACAGAATGGTGAGAGAACTGTCATGTTCAGCCCTTTGGCTTCCAGGAGGTTAAATTTCTATACTACTCAAGACAAATCACTGTCTCTTCTCTTCTTGATAACTTATTGGAAGATACTCCTTTGCTTCTAACTTTATTGACAATTTTTCTGCACAGAGTTATGTGTCTGGATTGGATCCTAGACACTCAAAGTGATTTTGAAAGCATCAGCCAGACCCTAGCATACAAAATCTGAGGAAACGAAAAGGTGTGGACTCAGCCTGATGCACAAGGTTCTCTCAGTAGAAGAATTTGGGAACCCAGAGAGGGAGGTCTAGTTTGCTATAAAAATCTCAATATACAGAGCCAAATGTCTACAGGATACCCAGAATAACTCTACCTCTAAGTGCCCAGATTGAAGCCATGAGCTTCAAGAGTATGGCTGTGGACAAATATGCCCCTAAAAACTGGACTGTAAAAAATTTGGAGGCAATTAATTTTCAACACTTTTCTTTCAAATTGTAGTCTGGCAAGTGTCCAGAACCAGATACTCTTTCTAGTTGGGAACAGAACAGTGAAACAGCAACTACTATGGAATTCACCTCATTGCAATTACTTTTCTTTTAAATGCCCCTGGGTTTTTGTTTTAACATGATTTCTCTCTCATGAGCAGATAGACAGTTTCAAATTCTTATCAGTGAATATCTCCTCTTCAATTTTCATACATTCTTGAAATTTTCTCTCCTAGGTTAAACATGCAGGATTTATTTTTTATTTCAGATATCCATTAAAATTGCAATAACAACAAAAACATGTCAATCCATAAAGACAAAGACTATATGACAGGGACAAGAAGAGGCAAGAAATGTTTATCACATTTAGAAAGTGGAAAGAGGATATTTGAGAGGAACTGACTTTGTACAAATAGAAAAATAGTAAAATATGAAACATATAGGCTGGCAAAATGAAGAGCCAACAAGAAACATGCTGGTTATCCATAGCATACTGGCAGACCTCAGGAACTGGAGGCAGCAGATAACTCTGAAAGCAACAGTAAAAGCCAGAGCTGAATATGGAGGATGGTTTAAAAAGTGTATAAAGATCTATGGGCTTCCCAGATGCTTTCCCCAGTCCTGCTGTTGTTCTCTGTCCTCCGTGATAGAAAATTGAGATTTACTTTGTAGCAAAATTGAGCCAATGAGACACTGGCTCACAAAGAGATAAGAACATTAGAACATCAATCCAAAATGTTCAACAGTCAACTAACAGGCATTTCAGAAAAAAAGAGAAAAAAATAGAAAAGAAGAACATTTCCACAAAATAACACAAGAAATTTCTTAGAGCTAGAGACTTTGAGATTCTGGACTGAGAGAGCTACTGAGTACCCAATACCAAAGCACTTTATGTAGAATTTTGGAACTGTGGGGATGAAGATATGATTTCAGTGGCCTACAGGTAGGGGAAACAGTATGTAGTATAATCATTTCCACATCTAATTAGACATAGATAAAACCTATTCTTAAAGTATACCTATTCTAGGATTAATTTGTGTCAATGTGACTAAAATGGTGGATAATCTTTTTCTACCTAAAAGTCATAAGCAAAAACAAGCAGATAAACAAAAATACAAGCCAAAACCACACATGATATCTGGTGCTCACATCTAGGAATTTCTGTGCCAGCTTTTGATCTGAGGGTATACTGCTTGTAATTAGAGTATTTCTCATGCCACTTCTAGTTGTCATAAAGATTCATACATGCAATAGCTCACTGAAATTTCACAAAAGGAGGATTTTCCCTTCCATGTGGGGGAGAAACACAGAACAACATCCTTGCTAATCTGAGTATAGCCAGTTTTTCTGCACTATGTATAATGAATCAAAGGAGCAGAATATGACCAGGCTTCTAAAGAATCCAACTGGAAACCACAGGAAATGGAGTAATGGCTTAGAAGTGTGGAGTTATAATTATTTTGAACCTAGAATTCTACAAATGCAAAACAATAAGAACAGTGGGAACAGAAAAGAAAAAGGTTTTCAAGCATGCAAAGACTCTTATACCAATTCTCAGGAAGTTATAGAAGGAAGTGCTCCCCCAATGCAAAAGAGTAGATTAAAAAATGATTCCCACAAAGTGGGGAGGAGAAGGAACGTCATAATATTATAGTGAAAAGGGGTCCCAGAACAACAACAGTTGAATAGATTTAAAGGGAAACTAAGCCAAATGGAGCAGGAGGAGGAAATATTCCAGAATAGATATTTCTGTGAGGGAACATGAAAAGACATCAATTACCTGATATGTTCATCTATTTGTGGGGAGTTTTTTAGTTTTAATTTCAGATGAATTAGTGATAGGTACTTGGAAAGCTAAGCAAACAAAATAATGAGATAGTTATTCCTTGTGGGGAAGGGAGAGTAAACGCACTGATAGTATGCTAAGTGGTGTAGCTATGAACAATATTTATTTAATCATAGGGGTAAACATTAAATATTGATTTAAACAAAAATGTTAATATATGAATGTGGGGGAATGAAGAAACAAAAAATATATGTTTGGTAGATGGTGTAAGAGAGCTGAATTATCATGTAACATATTAGAAAGTCAGTAAATAATGTCTAAATTTTAAAAGTAAGCAAAAATCATAATTAAAATATTATTTTAAAAGGTAACTATGAATACCTAAATATAGCTAGCTATAAGTGGCTAATAAGGGTTGAAAGTTGTTGCCTCTGCAGAATATAACTTAGGAATAGAGAGAGGTGAATCAGAAGGGTTGCTCTTCTCTTAAAGCCCTCTATATGATCTATTAAAATATCCACATATATAAATTAGATAAAATTAAAATGTAATTGAAAAAAGTGGTAATACATTTCAAACTTTCTAAACCATGTTCCCAGTGTCAAAATAAGACTAAGCAATAGCTCCTTCCTACCAAAGCCACCCAGACCTACCAAACCACAGAAAAAAAGAGAGATTAAAATTATATTTTAGAAAGTGAGTTTTCAAAGGAAATAATGTTTTTTTATGGATTTTATTGT
Organism: Homo sapiens; assembly: GCF_000001405.40. NCBI lineage: Eukaryota > Metazoa > Chordata > Mammalia > Primates > Hominidae > Homo > Homo sapiens. Next base: position 123,119,297 of record NC_000007.14, on the reverse strand, counting down.
GTCTGATTACAAAGAATTATTCATGAGTAACAAATATTGCAAATTTGTTTTTTAGGAGTCTGGATTATCTAAGTGGATAGGAAATAAATTATCTCCTCTGGGTTCATTACCAGCATGGCTAATAATTCTGATATCTTCTTTGATGGTGACATCTTTAACTGAGGTAGCCAGCAATCCAGCTACCATTACACTCTTTCTCCCAATATTATCTCCATTGGTGAGTATCTCATTTATCCCCTTTTTACTCTTCATTAAGAGCAGTACTCTGCTTCGGAATGCTGGTTTTCATGTTGTGGTATGGAATCTCTTTTGGTCTAAATGGGCCTCCTGTAAGTAACTTACAGGGTGGTCTTTATTTGTATTAATGCTTTCAGGGGACCTTCACTCTAGGTAACTGTTTTTAAGTTTTCATGTTCAAGCAGCATGATCTTAAGTGAACAACTTACTTTTTCTCAGTCCAGCTTTTTTCGTTATAAATAAGAGAGAGGGTCAGACTAGATCCATTTCAGATGTAAGACTTGGAATTCAGTGTTTGCTGGTAACTTTATTATTTAGATCTCTACCGCTGACACTTTTGCCTCTCAAACATTGTTCCTAAATTTCTGAGAAGTGGTTCATATAAGTGATTTGCAAATGAATGAAAAACTAGGCTCACACTTCAGGCTTGAGGCTTAAATATCTTAGACAGTTTTCTACTGCCCAGGGAAGAATTTTTAAAAAGTAAGTGGGTTTGCTAAAAGAGAGAGGGAAAGAATGTCTTTTCTTCTTTTCTCAATCTAGGTAGCAATTACAAGAAACAGCTTTAAGTAAAATGTTTTTCTTATTGGGATGGACTGGTTTGGTGAAAGGAAAGCACTTTAAGAAGGATTGTCTTTCTGGAATTATGCTGCTACAAGCTCAAAGGGCATATGTTGGTGTTCATAAGCTGCTGATTGAAAGTAGAAAAAATGTAGGCTGTGTATATTGGTACAATATCATTTTGTGTTGTTTTCTGCTTTTTTAAAATTTCTCAACATGGAACAGTTAGAAAATTATGTGTTGATTTAAAAATAGTAGTAACTCTTCTTATATGATGAACCCTAAGCAAATCTTAAATTGCATATATCACAGAGGCAGTAAAGTTATTAGTGTAATGAGAACTGCTGGAGCCACAGGGACTTGAAAACCTACCTGAGCTCTGTTGCTCACCAGCTGTATGCTCGGACAAGTTACTTTAGCCTCTCTGGGCCTCTGTTTCTTTATGTTATTTGAGGTTATAGTAGCCATCTCATAAGATCATTGTAAAAATTCAATATATATATAAATATGTGACATTTATTATATATTATAAACTATATTATGTGTAAATATATGAATATATACGTATATGTAAACATTTAGCCCAACACCTAGCAATAGATAAGTAATAAATGGTTGCTGTTTTTGTTTAGTTTCTGGAATAAATAATATTTTATTTTCTAAATGAACTGGACTGTAATGTTTAAGTGGGCATCTGTAACTGTATCAACAACAAGAGGATGAGATATTTTCTTAAAAATATTCAAGTTATAACTGCAATAATTTATATAATTTTATATCATTAGGTTCCAACATGCTTCTGGGAAGGCTTATTGTAATACTTTTTTTTTTTTTATGTTTCGTGTCTACCCTCAAAATTTTACTTAGACTCTTTTTTATCTCTTACAACAGGCCGAAGCCATTCATGTGAACCCTCTTTATATTCTGATACCTTCTACTCTGTGTACTTCATTTGCATTCCTCCTACCAGTAGCAAATCCACCCAATGCTATTGTCTTTTCATATGGTCATCTGAAAGTCATTGACATGGTGAGTTAGCTGAAAAAAATACTATCAAATCCAATACACATCTTGGTGTGTGCCATGTCTTGAATTATCTTCCCTTTTATACACCAATCAACCACCAGGAAAAGCAGGGCCTGAATTCTGTTTATGAATGCAGTGTGCATGACTAATCACAAAATTGTTTTTAAGAGTGATTATCAGAAGTGAACATGCCATTAAAACTTACGGTCACAAACAGAGAGATGTTGAATGCATCATTAATGCTTTGGACGAAGGAAAAGAGCACTGAACATGCTCCACACGACAGCATAAACCTACAAGTCAACACTAGGATCCAAACTGATCCAGGCAAAAGGAAAAAATAGGGTTAAAGAAATCAGCAATCAAAACAACACTGTGATTTTCTATCACAAACATTTATGCACCAACATTTCCTCTGAATGAGACACTGAGTCAGTGCCTCACTGATGAAGAAGTATCTTTCTTGTTGTGATTTCAATACCAGGACCTAACGTGAAAACACAAGCAAACAATAAGTAAGAATTTCACTGATAAAGCATGCACATTTTTGCCAAATACAAAAGTACTGGCAGAATATTCAGTACTTTATAAGAACTGGCTTGAGAATATTCTAGTAGTTTCCAAATCTTCATCACCAATTTCCAAACCAACCCAAATGATAATATAGCCAAAGTAAATTTAGTGAGCTTCCTATGCAAATACAGTTCCAAGATAAGTCCCAGCTCCCTTTCTTTCACACAGACTGCTGTTCCTAAGCTCCTGCAACATAAACATTCTAGAACTGCCTCTACACAAAAATAATATGCATTTGGTAAGGAAAACGTGCATAATAGAATATAAGTAATGCCTGATGTATGTGTATTAAAAAGGATAAAAACAGGATTCTGGGATAAATAAGTGGCTGGCTTGCATGGACAGGAAAGAGGGCATCTGTTATCACCCTTGCTAGGTATTCCTCTTTTGCTTCAGGGCTCCATGTTTTAATGCAGAGAATGCAGGAGTAAGCAAACTTTCTCTGTAAAAAGGCAAATGATATTTGAGGCCCTGTGGGGCCATATGTTCTCTGTCACAACTACTCAACTCTGCCATTGTATCATGAAAGCAAAGAAAATATGTAAACAAATAAGCGTAGTTGTGGTCCAATAAAACTTTATTTACCAAAACAAATCAAGGGCAGTAATTTGCCAATTTTTATTTTAATAGATACAAAGCAACTCTGAGATTGTTTAATGGACTGTAGAATAATGATATAAGAGCTAAAACCATGAGAATGCTAAGAAAGATAATAGACATGGCATAAAATCTCAATAAGAAAATATCGAAGGTTAAATTAACAATTACGTTGAGTGAATATAAAAGATACAGTTGCCATATGGCGTCCTGAATTTTATTCATTGAAATATAAAACCACAAAACTGAAATTCTGCTTTAACATGAAATGGCAGATTTCTAAGGGATTTTCCTCTAATCAGAATTACTTAGGTATATTCCTAAGAGGAACTTCTCTGAGAATCTCCAACTCAACGATGTTTAGTTGGAGACAGATTTTTCTCTTGCTACGAATGGAGAAGAACCCCTGGATTTAAGAAATGACGAGTTAATGGGTGCAGCACACCAACATGACCCATGTATACATATGTAACAAACCTGCACGTTGTGCACATGTACCCTAGAACTTAAAGTATAATTTAAAAAATGACAATTTATACTAATCATTTAGGATGCATGTAAATTTGGCATATACATCCTACAATAGGATTCTAATCTCCTGTAGGCTTTCTTCTGGGACACTGACATTTATGCTCTTTCCTGTTCAAGGTTAAAGCTGGACTTGGTGTCAACATTGTTGGTGTTGCTGTGGTTATGCTTGGCATATGTACTTGGATTGTACCCATGTTTGACCTCTACACTTACCCTTCGTGGGCTCCTGCTATGAGTAATGAGACCATGCCATAATAAGCACAAAATTTCTGACTATCTTGCGGTAATTTCTGGAAGACATTAATGATTGACTGTAAAATGTGGCTCTAAATAACTAATGACACACATTTAAATCAGTTATGGTGTAGCTGCTGCAATTCCTGTGAATACCCGAAACCTGCTGTTATAACTCAGAGTCCATATTTGTTATTGCAGTGCAACTAAAGAGCATCTATGTGCCTTCATCAAGAAGCCCATGTTTTGAGATTTTGCTCATGAACCATCTGCAACTTGCTTCATCATAAGAATAATTTATAACTTGACCTTCAAAGAGATTAGAGCATTTGTTTCATCTTACAGTTGGAGTTCAATGTAACATTTTAAATGCAATTTATTATTTCAGAAATTTCCCATGAAACTAAAAATAGAAAATAAGATATACAAGTTAATTCGGTACTTGGATAAATCATTTCTGCATTGTTGTTCCAGAGAATTTGCTGAGAAATCAAAGCCATGGTCATCTGGTGATGAAGAGAAAAGTTTAATCTAAATGATATGTGCATTTCCTCATTTAAAAAATCCAATTGGATTATTCTTAATATATACATGTAATATGAAAATTGAGATTGAAGCACTAATTCCAAAATTATGGCTGAATATACTAAATAACAGAAAAGTTACAGATAAGAATTTATTTCTACTGAACTCTATAGTTAGTGTAATATAATTCATATTTTTATGATATTGGCACACTGAGAAATTCATTTTGTAGAGCTATGGATAAGGCTTGCTATGATTTGCACTATTAGTACAGTATAGTTAGAAAGGAAAGCTGAACACTATAAAACTATTAACATATTTTCGTATATGAGTAACAACTTTGCTTAAGTGTTTATCTTAGTTCAGAAATACATAATGTCATATGTTAAAAATAAAGAGATGTAGAAATCTAAATGAATTATCACTGTGTATACAGACAGAAAAATCACATAACTCTGGTGTGTTAACATTGCAATGAAAAAATGAAAAAAAGAAGGAAAAAAGAATAAGAATGAAAACTGCTGACGTATTACAAAACAGAAAAATAAATGATTTAAAATCAAATCAAAAAGAAAAAACTAAACATTTAAACAAAAATGGGATAAGAATAGTCTTCTAGAAGTGAGGATGCGAAAAAGAATGAGTTTCCAATTACCCTGATGTGACAATTACACATTGTAGACAGGTAGCAAAATATCACATACACCCCCAAAATATGTACAAATATTATATATCAATAAATAAATTTTTAAAGAGTAAGTGCTATTGGCATTCCAAAATTCAGCTAAAGGAAAAATGATCAAAAACAAAGTAAGGTGCACAGTTAGCAAAAGATGCAGATGTTATATCACAGCAATTCTCATGCTAAAAATACAACAAAAGACAAAGCAAAAAATAAACCTTTGCTTTTTTTTTTTTTTTTTTTTTTTTGAGACGGAGTCTCGCTCTGTCGCCCAGGCTGGAGTGCAGTGGCGGGATCTCGGCTCACTGCAAGCTCCGCCTCCCAGGTTCACGCCATTCTCCTGCCTCAGCCAAACCTTTGCTATTTTTAATCTTCGTTGGCACTTTCCAGCTGTTACTGACCTTGTCATTTTTTATTCAAATAAGATTATTTACAAACTTATTCTTGAAACTAAATATAGTAAAGAGGGTTTTTAAAATAATATTTAACATACGAATTATTAATTGGCCATGTTCATTATTTATCTATGTTTATTAATGGGCCAATGCAAAAAATCATTTTTTCAAAGAAAAATTTGTCCATGTAAAGCTTAAATTATAATATTGCTGCTTTGTATAACTCTTCTATGTTTATTCTATTCATTTGTTCCTTTCCCTACCATATTTTACACATGTATTTATAATCTGTAGTATTTATTACATTTCTGCTTTTTTCTAGTCATTCAATTTATCACTGCTGAATTGCATCAGATCATGGATGCATTTTTATTATGAAAAAATAAAATGACTTTTCAAATTATAATGAGTAAGTTTTGGTCTCAATAAAATAATGCAAACATTTCAGCTTGGATAATTTTAATGAATTACTTCCAATAGCTGCTAGCTGAGTATGTGAAAAATAATACTTAGTGAAAATTTGTTTAATTGAGTGATATAGTTCTCTTACCACAGCTCTATGTTTGATATATCAAAAATGACTTAAATGACCCATTTCACATTTGTCCCATTTACATTAATGTTCTCAAGTTATTTTAGTTTGAGAGTTGCATACTGTCTTTGAAAGTTTCCAGAAAGCAATTCTAAACAGATGATCAAAAATCCTTTGTCCTCCCACTCTATGGTAGACAGTATTTTTGTCATTATCCTGATCATTACTTAGAGGTTAACTAGAAATCTTTGTCACTTTGAATTTCAGCATCTTACTTAGGATTGGATCTTGTCTAGATGATAGCAGCAATTCTACTAAGTGCCTACCTACTGTCTGTTCATGCAGGCACTTGGAAGGCTGCACTGGCATATGTATATCTTTCAGTCACCTCAACTGCTGCTGTACATGTCAGCATCTCTACAATTCAGACTTCTTTTCTCTCATATGTGTGCAGTATTTTCACCATGGTGTCCAAACCTTTCTTTTTTCAGCCTGGGAGGTACATAATTTTAGACAGTGGTTCTAATGAGCATTATTAGCAAAAATTGACAAAACGACATCATGGCACATTCATTGTATCTTGACATGTGTACCATGTATTATTATGTGTCAAAGAGTATTAGATATATTATTATATCTCTATCATGGCTAAATATAAGAGTCCTTGTGATGACATTTCAGTTCTAAAATTTTATTGGTTTAGTTAATAAATTTTATTTTTGCTTGAGTATGTAGATTTTACCAAATGAAATGTTTTTAAAAAATTTTAGTAGAGGAAGGATTGGATTAGGAATGCAAGAGTAAAACTGAACAAACTGTATCAGTTTATTATTTTAGCATAATCTAAAAAATGAAATAGTTAAAATTATTCTCTGGGGGCAGTATTAATCATGTTATTTCTAGATGAATCAAATTTTTCAGTAAAAACTTACTAGGTTAGTTTCGGGAATGCAAATATCAAAATCTCAGGTCCCCAACATAGAGGCAAGACCATATTAATCTAGAAGTAAACAGTAAAAATAATATATAAGGGAGGCAGAAATTAAAAGGTTTTTCCAAATATGGGAATCTCTGTCTGGAAAGAAAAAGCAGGGTTTTATAAAAGAAATAAAGGGAATTTTCTTACTGATAGTATAGTGGTACAGATACAGCATGGGATCTTTTTGAAGCTAAATAATAAGAAATATTGGATAACATAATTGCGTCTACAAGAAAAAATGGAAGTCCTCAGAAGACAAAGATGAAGCACAAGCAAGAATCCAGAGATTTAAACAAGAACTGAAGGTGGTAACTGCTGATCCCTAGAGATCTCTTAATGGGTTCATAGGAATAGGAGACAAAGCTAGGGTCTATCCAAGTTAAGGGTGGATGGAAACCAATATAGGGTTAGGATCCCAAAGGACTATATTCTTAGTGAGAATGTGAGCTAGGGAAAAATCTCACCACATAGAGGAAAATATCAGGAGAACTTTCATATTTTGGTTTACACACTAGGTGGAGGAAGCCTAAAGTCTCAATACCAATGTGTGTGTTGGGGGCAGGGCAGAGAACAAAGCATGGGAAAGAGTTGGACTTAATCTGAAACCCTATTTTAAAATAATTTTGAATTGGTAGTATTCTCAAGTACCTGGGAAAAGAAGGATGACCTTTTTCAATCAAGGGCTTAAAACAGTACTAAGGCTAAACTTCATGTGCGATTTTAATCAAAACTTACAAATTATATCAGAACATATTGCACAATGTGCAGGAGCCAAGATAACCGAAAGAAAGAGATCCAAAGTACAAGGGCAACATATGTTAAGACTATCACATATAGAATATAAAATGAGGATGTATAATGTTTGGAAACATACGTATGGTAAACAGAATTCTAAAAATGTACCCCTAAAATTTCTGTTTCTTGGTTATTCAATCAAACACTAACGTAGGTACTGCTGCAAAGGGACTTTACAGATGTGATTAAGGTTAGTAATCAGCTAACATTAAAATAGGGAGAGTAGCCTAAATTATACAGTTGTGCACAATGTGGCCAAATGAGCACTTAAATGCAAATGAGGATGACAGAAGAGTCAGATGGGCAAGATGAAACACAATGAGAAGTCAGAGAGATGTGATGCATAAGAAGGCTCAAACCACCATTGCTGGCTTTGAAGATAAAAGGGACCACAAGCCAGGGTGTGCAGGAAGCCTCTAGAAGTTGAGAATGACCCCCAGCTGAAACCCAGCAAGGAGACAGGGACCTCATTCCTACAGTTGCGTGTGACTGAATTCTGCCAACAACCTTCATGAGCCTGGGAGCAGATTCAACCTAAGAGTCTCCAATAAAAAATGAAGCCCTGAAGACACCATAATTTTAGTCCCATGAAACTTGTTCTGAACTTCAAATCTACAGAACTTTAAGATAATAATGGGTTTTATTTTCAGCCTATAAATTTGCAGAATTTGTTAAAGCAACAATACGAAACAAATACAAACAACAAACTGTGAAAAGTAACCAAAGAGAACTAAAAAGGTATCAGACAGAAATTTTAGCAGTGAAAAGTATACTAATTTAAATTAAAACCATAATAGGTTAAATAGCACATTATGCAAACCAGAAAAGAAAGTGTGTGAACTGGAAGACACATTCCAAAACATTAATGAGAATACAGCACAGAGAGAGACAAAAGGTGGAACTCTAAGAGGGAGGCTAAGAAAAATAAAATGAGAATGGGAAATGTAACAAATATTTAATCAGAATTCCAGGAATATATGATAAAAAGAATAAAGGAGGCATAATAAAACATATGGTGACTGAGAATTTTTTAAATATTAATAGGAGAGTCAGTTTTTCCAAGATTGTGGATTAGAGGCTTTCAGCATGCCTCAGCCACTTGGAAATAGCAATATAGTACATAAAGATCAACTCTGTGAGCTTTGATTCAGGAAGGAAAATGGCAATTCACTGGAATAGCAAAGGACACCCATGACCCTGGGTAGGATAAAGTGGGCAAGCAGCCCCCATGATGACATTTGGCTGATAAAAATGAGTGAAGCCCCAGTATGTGAGAAGGGCTGTCAGTCTCCCTCTGTGACTCACCTTTTCACTAAGGATCTGTACAACCCAGGCCAAGGGAGAGCACCCTGTTTCTCCCAATTTCAGGAGCTAACTTGGGGAAAGGCTGAGAGATGAAGAGAGGGAAAGACATCAGGAAAAGCAGCAGGCATTCTCCAAGACCTGAGACTGAGAAAACGATGCCAGTTTTAATCCAGGCTCATATAAAGACATCCATCATTTGCAGACCTGGCAGTGGCAGCCACTGCGGGCATTTTCATCTAGGGCCAGAGATTGGAGAACTTGCCCTGGAATAGTGGAAGGGCTCCCATGTCCAGAACTCAGTGGCGAGTATGGAGAGTGCCCTAGCAGTAGGCACTGACATTAGGCTCTCTCCCATTGCAGGACTGGAGCCAGGAGGAGAATTGCTGAAGACAAGGTTTCTCCTGGTTAGTGAGGCTTGCAGCCAGACTCAGCTTTATGACCTGGAAATGGTCTCCGTGTGCCATTGCTGGGTGCCCAGCCTGTTCTCTTGGTCAGTTGGGGGACAGTGCCCCACCAGCTTTAAGGAGTGGGAAGAAGGAGTCCCCTCTTTCCTGGAGATCTAACCCTCAGTGCAGATTACCCTTAAGAAGGGGGTGGAGCGCAGCCCACCAAAGCACTGGGTCAGAGAAAACATGAGCACAGCACCAGCTGCTGAAGTGGGCACCACCAAAGCTCAGGAATGAACTTGGAGAGGGGGTCATCCCTTGCTCCTTGCCTCTGCACCCCAGTGCACTGCAGCAGACATGACAGCAGCTCTTCAAATTGGAGCCGGGAGGAGTGTGGGCTGAAAGAGACTGCTTCTTGGGCTTCTCCAATGACTCCATCCATACTTAAAATCAGAAAAAAAAAAATTTAAAATTAATATGGAACCAAAAAAGAGCCTAAATAGCCAAAGCATTCTCAAGCAAAAAGAACAAAGCTGAAGATATCACCTTACCCAACTTCAAACTATATTACAAGGCTACAGTAACCGAAACAGCATGGTACTGGCACAAAAACAGACACATAGACCAATGGAACAGAATATAAATAATGCTGGAAACCTACAACCATCTGATCTTTGACAAAGTTGACAAAAATAAACAATGGGGAAAGAACTCCCCATTTAAGAAATGGTGCTGGGATAGCTGATTAGCCATACGCAGAAGATTGAAACTGGACCTCTTCCTTATACCATATGTAAAAATCAACTCAAGGTGGATTAAAGACTTAAATGTAATTATGAAAACCATAAAACCCCTGGGAGACAACCTAGGCAATACCATTCTTGACATAGGACCTAGCAAAGATGATGAAGATGCCAAAAGCAATTGCAACAAAAATAAGAATTGACAATTGGTACCTAATTCAACTAAAGACCTTCTGCACAGCAAAAGAAACTACCAACACAATAAACAAACAACTCACAGAATGGGAGAAAATATTTGCTAACTATCCATCTGACAATGATCTAATATTCAGCATGTATAAGGAACTTAAATCAACAACAAAAAGTGAACAACCCCATTAAAAAGTGGGCAAGGGACATGAACAGACACTTCTCATCAGAAGACATACACATAGCCAACAAGAATATGAAAAAGTGCTCAACATCACTAATCATTAGAGAAATGCACATTAAAACCACAATGAGATACAATCTAACACCAGTCAGAATGGCTTTTATTAAAAAGTCAATAAATAACAGATGCTAGCAAGGTTGCAGAGAAAAGGGAACATTTATATACTGCTGGTGGTAATATAAATGAGCTCAGCCATTGTGCAAAGCAGTTTGGCGATTTCCCAAAGAACTCAAAGCAGAATTACCATTCAACACAGCAATTCCATTATTGAGTATACACCCAAAGAAATATACATCATTCTACCATAAAGACACAGGCACAGATATGTTCATCACAGCATCATTCACAATAGCAAAGACATAGAATCAACCTAAATGCTCATCAACAGTACACTGGATAAAGAGAACGTGGTACATATACACCATGGAATACTATACAGCCATTAAAAAGAATGAAATCATGTCTCTTGCAGCAACATTGATGGAGCTAGAGGCCATTATTCTAAGCAAACTAATGCAGGAAGTGAAAACCAAATACTCCATGTTCTCACTTATGAGTGGGAGCTAAACACTGAGTACATATGGACACAAAGAAGTGAACAACAGACATAGGGGCCTACTTGAGGGGAGAGGGAAATGGTGTGAGGATCAAAAATCTACCATTCAGATACTATGCTTATTATCTGGGTGGCAAAATAATCTGTACACCAAACCCCTATGACATGCAATTTGCCTATATGAGAAACCTGCACATATACCCCTGAACCTAAAATGAAAGTTAAAAAACTAAAAAATAAAATAAATTCCTTAAGAAAAATAGTGTCAGAAAAAGACCTAGAATAGACATTAAACTTAATAGTGTTCAATATCTAGTTCAGAATCCAGTATCCAGTCTGAAATAAGATTAATAATTATAATTAGGGTTAAAGTTAAAACTTTCCTTTTTGATGAAGATTAAAACCAAAATGCCCAATAACACCACTTTTATTAAACATTTAACCAGAAACCCTAGATAATGGAGTAAAACAGAGAAACAGAAAGCAATAATAGACAATTCTTACTGAAATGGAAACAAGAAACTATCATTTTTATATAATGTGATTTTCTACACAGATAATCAAAATTATTATTTTAATGATGTTTCTACATACAATATACAGAAATCAATTGCATTTCTGTACAATGGAAATGAACTATTAGAAAATGCAATTTTTTAAAAATGTACTATTGTGCCTAGGAATAAATTTATCATAATGTGAACAAAAATTTTGGCCAGGCGCGGTGGCTCACACCTGTAATCCCAGCACTTTGGGAGGCTGAGGCAGGCGGATCACGAGGTTAGGAGATCGAGACCATCCTGGCTCACACAGTGAAACCCTGTCTCTACTAAAAATACAAAAAAATTAGCCGGGCGCGGTGGCGGGCGCCTGTAGTTGCAGCTACTCAGGAGGCTGAGGCAGGAGAATGGCGTGAACCCGGGAGGCGGAGCTTGCAGTGAGCCAAGATCGCGCCACTGCACTCCAGCCTGGGCGACAGAGCGAGACTCCGTCTCAAAAAAAAAAAAAAAAAATAATAATAATAATAATAATGAAGAAAATTATAAAACTTTAGAAAGACACTAAAGAAGGCCTAAGTAAATCGAGAGACCTATAATCTCTAAACTTTTAGCTCATGTACCTCCTCCACATTCTCTTGGGAAGGGAAAATAAAAATAGGGTATTATATCTGTAGGCATGGTTACTTGTCAGTTTGTCTTTTAGGTCTTCCAAAATAAAAAAGCTTTAGACAATCTATACATCATGACTAAGAAATATACACTCTTCAGGAAAATACACAAGGGACTAACTCATAAGCACATCAATTACTTTTTAAAAAATTTCTCCAAGGCCTGCTCAATAAGTGAATTATAAATGATGTCTTATAATCCTTACATTAGAGTTCTTAAAAAGGAGCTGTAGCTGATTGATATATACAATAACCCCATGATAAAAACACACTGTCATCTGCTTTTCTGAAACAGATAGTTTTTGTTATTTCTTCGATGATGGTTCTGTTCAAATAGTTATGCCACCAGCTTCTATATATAGTACACAATATTTCCTAAATTGTTTCCTTCATTTTAGCCTGTAGGCAGGAAGACTTTCAGTTCACCTTCTTCTGGTCCATTCTTTTCTTCTTCTTTATTCTTACATTGCAGAAAGTAAAAAAAAAAAATAGCTCAAGAATAATTTTGAAGTCCTCTTTTCTTTTAAATTAGTTATAACTAGATGAGATACTATTTTCTCCTCCAATCATACTTAAAATTACTAAAGAAAAAAGGGAAATTGAATCAGGGTGGAGTTGAAGTGAGCTTCTTTCTCAGTCTTAAGCAGCAATTGCTGCATAAACTGTTCATCTTCATTCACTGTATTTGCCATTGGAACCATGATGTTGAAGAATTGGATCAACATAGACCCACAAATCCTTCCTTCAGCCTGCCCCAGATAAAACCAAACAGACTTGCTAGCTTCATCACTCAAAACATTGGCTTGAATTTGAAGATCTCCAGAGTAATGACCATGTAATGAAGACCTGGCTTACTTAATAGTCTGGGATTATGAGAAAATCTTACGGCTTTATAAACCCACTCTGCTTTTGGCTGTGTTAACATGTTGTTCATTTAGTAGTTCCTCTTTCACATTTAGAGCAGAAATTTCCCTTCTTTAGTTGTTTTGGTAGTAATCAACATTATATAAATGAAATCAATGTGGCTCCACTGAAAGAGTGCAGGTTTTGGACTCAGAAGACATTAACTCAAGTTTCAATTCCACCATTTATTGGCAGTGAAGCACTGAGTTAGTCAGATAACTGCTCCGAGCCTCATTTATCTAATTTGTAATATTGAATAATATGATTATTTTGCCCTACTCAGTATTCTTCCCTATCTCTTCCCACCATAGAAAGGAAAGTCATTGTTACGGCATCATATTCCTGTGCATTAAAACTTGAGTGTATACAGCAATTTTACAGCCTTGTATTTGAGTGTCCAAAATGAAATTGTCTTTTATTTTCATATCTTCATATAATTTCACTCTCAAGCTGCAATTTGGCTTGGTAGCAGAAGACTTAATCTAATGAAATCGAAGTCAATTTAGTCATTTCAGTGTTTTAACTGTGATTTCAAACTGAACTTATTCAACTTAGTTTTTGTTTTAGGTCCCCTCTCTTGCTCTTTTCTCCTTGCAGTGTTCATCCAAGTGCTGTAGACCTTACATATGAAGCTCCTAGTGAGTGAGATGCATCTGGTTTTGTGATTAGCAGTTGTCCATGGTGGATTCCACTGAGATGTACAATTCCACTGAGATTATCTGAAATATATTATTCCCATGTTTTATCATCCACTTCTGATTCCAAGATCTACTCATGCTTTTTGGCTCATGAAACTCATATCATCCTTGAGATCAACATGTCTTCATCACTGCCACAAGCCCTATTGATCCACCACTTCAAGGGCCTCTGGGACTTCGGATGCTCTGTACCTCTTTGAGGACCCAGGTGTCTTGGGAGGAAAGTGCTTCCTGTTCTCATCTGTGCCTAGATGCTCCTTGCCACTAGCCTACTCTACTGCAGGACTCCATGCCGAGTGAAAGGGAGAGGGAGCCTAAAGCTTGCATCTTAAACTCAGAGGAGTCAACATATTAATTAGTTGATGGCAAAAATATTAGAAGTAACCATATAGCCAGAGAACAGAGCAAATTAGCCTAGCTCAAATGGGGACCAAAACGATTATCTGTCTATAGTGGTGCCTATAAACACAGGATCTGGAGGCTGACTACCAGGACCAAATCCCTGCTTCACCACTTACCTCTTGTGTACCCTTAGATGTGTTATTTGACCTCTATATGTTGCAGTTTTCCTCATTCTTAAAATAGGCTACTAATAGTATAAGAATATCTTCATAGTGTTGTGAGGATTAAATAAGTTAATAGACATAAAACGTGGAGCAGTGTTGCCTATAATAAAACTCAATATTAGATAGCAGTCTTACAATTGCTGTAATATTCTTATTCCTTAGTGAATCACACAGAAGTAATTGCCTATATATCCACTAGCCTTGCTAAAACTCTTTCTTCAGAAGGTTATTTAGCCAAAATCTCCTTAAAACTCTAGATAAGTGAATTTTATTTAAGTTAGAAAGGTTACTCCTAGTTCATAACCCCTAAGCAGAGATTTCCAGAGGATCATTTAATTTTAATTCATTTCTCCTTGGTTGAGAGAGAACACTGGAAGTAAGAGTGAACATAGTATGTATTTAAAAAGCAAATCTCCATTTACAAAATTCAGCATAAAAAGAAAATATAGGAAAATTTAAACTCTGTATACAACACTAAACACAAGTTCAATATCTTATTGAAATAATGTGGCATGTCAGTATAGACTGAGCCTCTCACTTCATTAACTCATTGTTGTCGTTAGTTTTCACTTCAGGGATTTTTACATAGTTCAAAATTCCCCATGTTTCCAGAGCTCCCTGGAGCATTTTCTGCAAGGTTGTTGATTTACCCCAGCAGCTGTAGTTCTTTACACCTGCTGAGCTGAACCTACCCTTTGACCCCCTCACAGCAGCAAGTCTATGGTGGAGCCACTGAGTTAGACTCCATGCCTTTGTGGTAATTTTTCTGTAAAAAAAAAAATGTATTGAAGATTACCAAAATATTGGAAATGTCATGTAGCCTCTACTTTATCCAAAGAAGATCAATTTGCTCTCATATTCATGCACAATAGCCAGCATTTTCATTATTATTTACTTAGTTATTCTAATTGCTTCATTCTGCCCTTTTTTAAAACTTAGCTCATATTTCTTTCATGACACATTCCCTCTCTTTTGTAAAGCTGTACATGTTCTTGGACTCTTCAGAAGAGTCAGATGCTGTTTATCAGAGTCTCTAAGAATAGTGGCCTCTTATAATACTCCTACATAAAGAAATCACAAATAGACACCTTTCTACATCTCCATATTCTATGACCTATGAATAAATTTTCAAATGAAGCTTGAAAATGAAATAAAAACCTTACATTTCATGCAATGACTTTTAAACTCCAAGTCATCCTGAAAGAGAATGGGGAGAATTTTGGTGGAAGAAACTTAGGATAAAGGGAAAGAGATGTTTTGAAAACAGCACTTCTGATCAACCCAGATATGGCTGCTATGAAATCTGCTTCTGATGTGAAGAAAGATCTCAGCTCTGCAAAAAATTTTGTATGTATAAGATGTTGGGCTTTCAGACTAGCTTCCAGGGTCTTTTCTTATCTTACACTTCCTGAAAGAGTTTGTGGACTTTTAGCACCTTAGACAGTCTAAAACAAACTGTATACTAGAGTGAAAATTTTGGGGACTAGAACAGGAATCTAGTCTGTTCATGAACTCTAGTCATAATCAATAGATCAACTGGAATAGAAATGACATCTTAAATATATGAGTCTCCAGATCCATGAACACACTATAGCTCTCTATTTAGATAGTGTTTAATTTTGCTGAGCAGCATTATATAGTTTTCAGCATACGGTTTTGCTCTTCTTTAAAAATATTTTATATTTTTGGTGCTGTTGTATTTCACTTTTCATACTATTATAAATCATATTGGTTTTTAGCTTCAGTTTCTGATTTTTGCTAGAATCTAGGAATACATTTTCATAAATTTATTTTGTATCCTGCACACTTGCTAAACTTTCTTATTAGGTCTAGTGGCTTTCTTGTAAGTTCATAGGATTTTTATACATAAACAATGATGTTTCTTTGAATAAAGCCAGTGATACTTCCTCCCTTCCAACCTCGGTCTTTCATTTCTTACTCTTGCCTTAAGACATCCATGCCTTTTTCTTTATTTTAGTGGCAAAGCACTTTTTACCATTAATTGTGAATGCTACCGGTAAAATTTTCATAAAGACTCTTTAGAAATTTGAAGCAACTCTCTTCTATTGCTAGCTAGCTGAGATTATTTTTTATCAGAAATGAATGTTAGTATTTGTCAAATGCTTTTTCTGCATCTTTTGAAATGATCTTATGGCTTTTTCAGTTTGTTACTGTACTGAATTATATTGAATTAAACCAACTTTGAACATGATACTTTATGAATACAATTTATATAGTGCTAGATTTTATTTACTAACATTTTGTGAAGAATTTTTACATTAATTTTCAGGAGGGACATTGGTCTATAGCTTTCTTTTCTTGTTTTTCTTTTTTTGATCAGGTTTTTGGTATTAAAGTTATGCTGGCCTCAGAGAATGAGTTAGGAAGCACTCTCTCCATTTATCTTGAAAGGTCTGTATAAAATTTAAGTCCTTCGATTTTTATTGAAATTTGCTTATAAAATAATATGGTTTATCTTGGTAAATATTCTGTGTGTCATTGAAAATAACACATATTCTGCTGTTGGTGGTGAAATAGCGTAAAATGTCAATTGGGTCAAAACAGTTGAGAGTGGTGTTCAATTATTCTATGTCCTTACTGATTTTCTATTTGTTCTGTCAATTATTGAGAAAGGTGTGTTGAAATCTTTGCCTATAATTACAGATTTTTCTCTTCTCCTGGCATTTTTATCAGGTTTGACTTATGATTTTTGAAGCTGTTATTCAGTGTATAAACACTGAAGTTTGCTATGTACTTTTTATAAGTTTATGCCATTGTCATAATGAATTTCCCTTGTCATTGCTAATATTTTTCAGTTAACATACTTCACCTACATATACTGATATTAGTGTAACTTTTTTAAGCTTTTAATTAGTTTTGGCATGAGTTTTCTTTTTTATCCTTTTATTTTTAACCTATTTGTGTTTTTTTTTTTAAGTGAGTTTCTTACAGGCAAATGTCTTGCTTTCTCATTTTCCAATTAATTCTGCCAGGCTCTGCCTTTTAATTTGTGTGCTTAGGTCATCTACGTTTAATGTGATTATTGATATGATTGCATTTAAACCTACCATTATGCTATTTGTTTTATTTGCTCCAGGCTTTATTTTAAATCTTGCACTGCCAATTCTTTTGGATTAATTGACTTTTTACATAATTTTATTTTATTTTGTTTGTTGACTTACTTGTTGATTTTTTTTTTGGTTGCTTGAGAGTTTATAGTCTGCAACTTTAACTTATTACAGTTTAATTTAAGTAATATATCACTTCATGTATGATATAGTTGGATATTTTTTCCCTCAAATCTCATGTTGAAATGTGATCCTCATTGTTGGAGGTGGACCCTAGTGGGAGGTGTTTGAATAATGGTGGTGGATCCCTCATGAATGGCTTGGTGCCCTCCCTGCAGTAATGAGTGAGTTATTGCTCTATTAGTTCATGCGAGAGCTGGTTGCTACAAAGAGCTTGGCACCTCCTCCCCATTCTCTCTTACTCCCTCTCTTACCATGTGACGTGCCTGCTCCCCCTTCAACTTCCACCATGATTGTAAGCTTCCTGAGGCCTCACCAGAAGCAGATGACAGCACTAAGTTTCTTGTACAGTCTGCAGAACCATAAGCCAAAATAAATCTCTTGTCATTATAAATTACCCCATTTCAGGTATTCTTTTATAGCAATATAAAATAAACTAACACAATGTATAAGAGGCTTACAAGATTCCATTTTCTACCTCACAATTTTACCCCATCATTACATACCATGTTTGTATCATAAACCCAAGGATACATTGCTATTGTGTTTTCTTTAAACACACAATTATCTTTTACAAAGATTTTAAAATACAAAAATACCAAAAATCAAAATGTTTTGTCTATTTCCCCTCATTCTTTATTCTTGTTGGGTAGGCTTGTTCTTTCTATTTCCATCTTATCTAATTCACATTCTTTTAGCTTCTGTAAGTTTGAAAAAATTCTCCATTTTGTCTTCATTTTTGAAAGATATTTTCACTGGACATAAAATTCTAGATTGACAGTGTTTTTCCTTAGAGACTTAAAGATGTTCTTTCATAGTCTTCTGGTTTATATGCTTTCTGATAAGAAATGTGTTTTCATTCCTTGCCTTGTTTTTCTTTTTCTCCTCTAGATACTTTTAAGATTTTTCTTTTTATCACCGATTTTAAGCAATTTAATTGTGAGGTATCTTGATGTAGTTTTATTTGTGTTTCTATGTGTTCAGGGTTCCTTAAGCTTTAAGGTATTTATAGATTTTTAAAAATCAAACTTGGAAAAACCTTATTCCACTATTCCTAAAAATGTCCCCTCCCCACTTCCTTTCTTCAGGGACAACTACAATTATACATATAGTTGCCATTTGAAATTGTTCCAATGTACACTGAATCTCTTGTTTGTTTGTGGGTTTTCTAGTCAGTTTCGTCTCTGTGTTTCATTCTGGATAGTTTCTACAGCTTTAGTCTCAATAGTTAATTCTTCTGTAATGTGTAATCTGCTATTAATTCCATTAAGCATTTTTTACCTCAAATATTTTCAACTCAAGAAATTTGATTGGGGTTTTAATGTTTATTCCTTGTATTATTCTAAGGTCTCACATTACATATTATAAATTATAGTTTAAAAAACATGCAGATAAAGTTTGGGACAGAAAATATCAAAGGGGTAGCACTGCTGATAAATGGGCTCATAGAGGTACAGTACAACATTCCAGCTACACCTGAACTTTAATGAGCCAAGAAGAGAAATGCAACACTTTCTGCATGTGAAGGAGTGACATTGAACCTCATTTTCCTGTCCCTATTTTTATTCTTTACAATCCATCTGTTTTTAATTCCTATTACCTAAATGGCTGATGGAGTACCTTTTTAAAACACTCAGAATGTCAGCATGTGAACTGAAAGATGCATCATACCATAATCGCATTTTCTCTAGGAATTTTCACATTGTTCATTTTTATTCAAGCCTGATTAAGTGCCTCCAAAGAGACAAAGTGACATTATCTGAATTAACAATGTAGTCTTTGCCAGCATTACTTCTAACTCGTTTCCATTGAAGAAATGTCAGCTTGTGAATTAGGAGACTTTACACAAATCACTTGTTGACATTTTCCAATCTCTCTTTTTATTCTATTAGAAAAATATATATATAACAAATGATGATTTAATAGTGCTTGTTCCCAATTATTACTCCAAATTTCTATGAATATGTATAGCGTTCTCAGGAGAGTTGGAAAATCAGCTATTTCCCCTCATTCAGAAGTTAGAATTAGTCATGGGCTGATTGAATCAACTGTGCAAAGCATTATTTAAAAGCAAGGCTCTGATGGGTTCTTGTTCTTCGTGAAAATGCGCCATTGTAATAAATATTCCAGCCACTCTAAGGAAAAAGAAAATCAAAATTGACAGTGGTCTTCTGAAGAAGACCATTTATTCCACATTTTCACTTTAGGAGTGAAATAAAGATATTTGATTATGAAAAGCATATTGATCAGTTGATTCTAACGAAGTTGTGAACAAGTTGTTTTGAAGGTTTGAGTGGAATTGTGAAAGCCTGGGGGAGGGAGTGGAAAGGTAAGATGAAGAGAGATTTCTTAAAAGGGTAGAGTAGAAAGATTTTTATATAATATTATCTGACATTATATTACATTTAAGTTATTTGCTAGGTAGTATTGTCTAGTATAAGATTAGGAAAGTCAAATGTAAATGCCAAGAGCCTTGCTCTGGAGTTAAAAATACCAGGGCTTGAATATTGTCATTTTCTAGTTGCATAACTTTGGCCCAGTATTTAATTTAATTCTTAAAGTCCCAGTTGCACTGTCTGTAAGATGTCATAATAATAGTGCCTACCTCATTAGAATTACAAGATATAATACATGTGTTTAGTTTTAGGACTCACTTTAAAATAGTACTATCTTTTTATTGTTTATAAGATGTGTTTTTGCCTACATGGATCACTGATTTTATGTAAGAGAAGGATTAAGGATTCAACTCCTTTGTAAAATCCTCCTGATAATTTCTTTAATTTTTTATTTTTAATGTTTAATTGACAAATAAAGATTATATATATTCAAGATGTACAATGTTATGGTTTTAAATACATATGCATTGAGTAATTATTACCACCATCAAATTAATTAACACATCCATCACTGCCCATGTTGTGCACTAGATCACCAGAACTTGATCATTTTGCAACTGAAAATTTGTGCCCTTTGACAAACATCTCCCCACTTCCCTCACCCCCCCAGCTTCTGGTAACCACTGTTCTACTCACTGTAGTTATGAATTCAATACATTTTTAGATTCCACATATAAGTGAGATCATCCAGTCATTAGCTTTCTGTGTCTGGCTTATTTTACTTAGCATAATATATTCCAGGTTCATTCATAAGTTGCAAATGATATAATTGCCATTAGTTTTATGGCTGAATAGTATTCATCCATTAATAGAATTTAGGTTGTTTCCAACTTTGGGTATTGTAAATAATGCTGTAACAAACATGAGGATACAAATATCTCTGAGATACTGATTTCATTCCAACTTTGGGTATTATAAATAATGCTGTAACAAACATGAGGATACAAATATCTCTGAGATACTGATTTCATTTCCTTTGGATGTAAACTTAGAAGGATTACTGAATTAGGAGGTGGTTCTAGTTTTAATTTTTGAGGCACCTCCATACTGTTTTCCGTAATGGCTACACCAATTTACATTCCAATCAACAGTATATGTGAGTTCCCTTTTCTCTATCCCCAACATTTGTTATCTTTCTTTTTTTGATAATAGCCATCTTAACAGGTGTAAGGTAATATCTCATTGTAGTTTGTTTTGCCTTCCTCTGATGATTAGTGATGTTGAGCACCTTTTTATATATCTGTTGGTCACTGTATGTCTTCTTTGAAAAAAGTGAATATTCAGAGCTTTTTGCCGATTTTAATTGGGTTATTTGTTTTTTAATTTTTTTTCATAATAAAAGCTCTCAACAAAATAGGCATAGGAGAAATGTATCTCAACATAATAAAGGTCATTAATTAAAAGTCCACAGATAACTTCATACTCAATGGTGAAAAGCTAAAAGTTTTTCCTCTAAGGTTAAGAACTCTTGCCAGTTTTATTTAACATAGTGCTAGAAGTCCTAGCCAGAGCAATCAGGCAAGAAAAAGAAATAGAAGGCATCCATCCAAATAGAAAAAGAAGTTAAATTGTCCCTATTTACAGACAACATAATTTCAGATATAGAAAACCCTAAAGATTTCACCAAAAAATGTTAGAACTAATAATCAAATTTAGTAAAGTTACAGGATACAAAATCAATGTACAAAGTGTTGTAGCTTTATATACTAACAAACTACCTGAAAAAGAAAGTAAGAAAATGATCTCATTTATAATAGCATCATGATTAAAATATTTAGAAATAAATTTAAGAAAGAGAAGGATTTGTACAATAAAAACTATAAGATACTGATGAAAGAAATTAAAGATATAAATACATTAAATGGAAAGATATTCCATGGTTATTTTATTCAACACTTCCTCAGAAGCCGATTAGGACCAGGGATAAGTCCTGGTGCTCAGTAACCCCATGCAGTGTTCCCAGCTACCTCCCTCTTCAGTCCTAGTGTCTGCATCATCTCTCCATTTACTTTCAGTGTTTTCTCTCAACAGATCTGTTGGAAATATGCCAGTTTACTGGATATTTTGGTCTCTCTCACTGGAAGAGGCTCTTCCTGGCTGTGTCTAGTTAGCCACCTTGTCTCTCTTACAAATTAATTTTAGACAATGTCTTCTGACCACAATGTGATGAAATTAGAGCTTAATGGCAAAAAGATCATTCAAAACAGCCCCCATATACTTTGAGACTGGAAAATATTTCTAATAAGTTTTAACACAATGTGACTTGTATATTATAGTTTTTGTGTATGTTACATATGTTGTATATATTATTCATTAAAATCAACTGTGATCAAAGCATTTATTGCTACCAACTATTTGTGGTTATATTCAATATGTATTTTTCTTTTGTACTACATTTGTTCAAGTCTCATTTTATATCCTTTAATAAGATGCTGAAGTTTTATTTTTATAGTTATCATGCTTATTTTATGTTACTAATGTTATCATTGGAAGAATAAATACTTTTGAACTGTGTGAGTTACTCTTTCTGTGGGATTCCATATAGAGTTCAACCAATTTGCTATACTTAGTACATGCCTCCTTTCACTTGTCTTAACATGACTAAGCCCTGTCATCCCATCTGTTCTTGTGGTGAGAAGCATGTGTCACTTATTTTTATTATTCATATTTCTGTTCCTATTCAGATTACTTATTCTTTTTCTGACTTTGAAAAGGGGTTACTTGAAGAACATTTACTAGACACATAGAATGACAATTGTGCATCGTGCATTGATGTAACTGGTATTGGTATTTTAGAAAAAAATATTCCTCTTATCATTGAATGAGATTTTTTCCCTGATGTTCCCGATCAGCAACATAAAGTCTTCTGGACTGAGAAGAATGTACTTATGCTTTCTTCACTTGGTTAGTCACAAGATACTTATTAGATTTAAAGCAATATTGGAACATAGCCTTAATAAAAATAGTAGCTCATACTTACTGAGTGCTTATTGTGTAGCAGGTATGGCTCTAGGGGATTTATATAGATTTACTAATATAGTTTGGATGTGGATATTTTATTCAAAGTAATCATAAACAGCATTTTACATTTCTTCCTACAGTGAGATGAGCTTGCTGTTTGTCTCACTAATTTGTTTAAGGTGGAAAAATTGGTTTAGTTCAGATTAAGTGTTAGGAGAGTTAGTGATAAACAAGTTTTCAGCATTTTCCTCTTGCCCTCATTATTATGATTAAGTTAAGATTGCCACAACACATTAGAATAGCATAATTTCAGTTATTATTTGCATAGGCTATGGAAAAATATACAAAGTCAGCCAAATGTAATATATTATTTGGCCTTTAATACACTTAAACTCTTGCCATTGAATATAAGAGATTATAAATGATTCTTCCATTTTTAAAAATCTCCCTTCTCTGTTCATTTGATGCTATTTATGAAAGCTATATTCACTGCCTTTGCATGCTTAGTTTTCACTATTGCTTAGATAAATGAGGGGAAATTACATATACAGTTCTCATATACTCTGTGGAGACAGGATCTGGTCTTACTATGTTTTCATAAAAACTTATGTCTCCTGTAGACAATTATTTCCAAATGTAACTATTCACTTACACTTCATTTTTTAGCTCCATAGTGTATTTATAGGTCACAGAATCAAGAAATTCAGATTTTAACTCTCTTTTGACTCAAACTCTTTAGGCTTGCCTTTAATCTTCACCTATTCTGGGCAAAAACTCCATCTTTCTAATCACTAGATAGATAAGTGTTTGCCCTCAGGCAGGATTCTACCCCACTTCTATTCCTTTGAAGTTTAGTGAATAGAACAGGGGTACTGCTACCAACTCTTACTGAGGGAAAGAAGTAAATAAAATAAACAAAACATACAAGCTTTTAATATGCACTGAAATAGTTTATTTCAGGAAATTCTAATTTCTGTTATGTATTTGTTCGCTTTGAAGAACTAGCTTGCTAGTTAGTCTTTGAATGTTCATGTTTCATTTTTCCTCTCCCTTCAGTATAAATCAGGGTTATTTGGCATTTTAGCATTATTGGCATTTTAGTCCAGATAAGTCTTTTTTTGTGTGTGAGGAATCTATCCTAGGCATTGCAGGATATGTAGCAGCAGCAGCCCTGGCCTCTACCCACTAGATGCCAATAGCAGCCTCCCTTGAGTTGTGACAACCAAACATAGCTATGGACCTTGCCAAATGTCCCATTAGAGGCAAAAGTACCTGCAATTGAGGACTACTGTTTTATGTTATATTTAATTGCAGATATTTAATTATAATCATAGATAATATTAATCTAATATTTAGAAATAAATAATTACAGAAAGCAAAGGTAGTTATTCTTATGAAATGTTTTAGAAGTTTGTATTTAAAAGCAAGTGCAGTTTACCTTAGAACAACAGAGGTTTGAACTGCACAGGTCCACTTACACTTGGATGTTCTTCTGCCTCTGCTACCCCTGAGACAGCAAGACCAATCCCCTCTCTTCCTCCTGTCCCTCAGCCTATGAAACATGAAGACAAGGAGGATGAAGATCTTTATCCTGATCTATTAACACATCCTCTTAATGAATGCAAATTATATTTTTCTTTCTTACGATTTTCTTAATAACATTTTCTTTTTTCTAGATTACTTTTATTGTAGACTACAGTACATAATACATATACAAAATATGTGTTAATTAACTCTTTATGTTATTGGTAAGGTTTCTGGTCAACAGTCGGCTATTTGTGGTTAAGTTTCAGGGGAATCAAAAGGTATATGTGGTTTGACTACCCAGAGGGTTGGCACATCTAACCCTCATGTTGTTTAAGGTTTAACTGTAGAATATTTTTTAAAACTTATCTGATTGGTGAAAAACCTTAAATAATTCAGAATATTGGAATAATGTTACTATGTTCAAGAACATTGCAGGGCAGAGCAGCTAGCTGTTAGGCCTTTTGTGTGATAGTGACTAAGATGCACTACTCATTCTTTCATTCAGCAATTTTGAAATTATTACTCTGCCCTAGAAACTGAGCAAAGAACAAGAGATACAGAAATGGAAAAACAGCATCATTGCCTTCAGGTAAAATGTTGTATGATAAATAATTTTTCAGAAGATATAATCTTCATAAACTTAAGAAATAGCATGAGGTAGACATTAAATAAAAGTTTAATTCTACATTTTATCAGTTTTTGCCAAACTAATCTATTGCATACTTTTGCAGGTTTCCACAAAAAGTAAAATTTTACTAATTTTAGTTAGTGAAAGATTGTTATATGTTATCCAAAATTATCTAATAATCCTTTTTTGCTTTTTCCATATTTAGTCAAACAAGATTAATAAGAACTTTGCCAATTAAAAATTTTAGGTGTCTATTATCATGACTACATAAAAATAATTTGAAATTGATTTGTCATTTGTTTATGTTCATATACTTGTTCCAACTTGTGTATTTCTCTTAACATTATATATTCAAGATACATCATGAAAAATACACGTATTTCATTCATATACAATAAATGTAGAAAATGTCTTTGTAAGAGTATGCTATGCAGTATTTGCATTTGCCCCACTGTCTTAGTCCATTTTGTGCTGCTATAACAGAATACCTGAAATTGGTTAATTTTTAACTTAATTTTGTGCTGCTATAACAGGATACCTGAGATTGGTAACTTATAACAGAAACTTATTGGCTCATGGTTCAGAAGTCTGGGAAGTCCAAGATTGAGGGCCTGGCATCTAGTGAGGGTCTTCTTCCTGAGTCATCTCATAGCAGAAGACAAGAGGGTGAGAGAGAGAACAAAAGGGGAGCCACACTCACCTTTTTATAATAAACTCACTCCCAAAAAACAGCAGTAAGCCATTCATGAGGGCAGAGCTGTCATGGCCCAATCACCTCTCATTAGACCCCACCACCGGACACCATTGTATAGGGGATTAAATTCCCAACACATGCTTTTTGGGGGATGCTTTCAAAACCTTAACACTAATAGACATTGAAATCATTTCCAGTGGTTCCTTATTGCAAATGATATTACCATGAAAAGTCTTGTGATTCTTGTGCACCTGTGTGAGAATTTCTGTACAGCAGACATCTAGTGCTATGTGCACAACTTTGCTATATATTGCCAAGTAGCACTCTAAAGTAATTATGACAATTTCCACTCCCACAAAAATTCCTGATAATTTCTATATACCTTCATTCTTTGCAACAGTTGATATTCTTACTTTTCTTATAATCTGGGGCAATTTGATGGATGGATAAGTATCACTTCGTGGTTTAAGTTTGCATTTTCCTGATGATTAATAAGAATGAATGTTTTTTATTTCTTTTTCCATAAATTGCCTGTTCATATGTTTTTCCCGTTTATTTTTCTATTGAGTTGTTTGGCTTCTACTTACTACTCTGAAGAATTTATGTATTCTTGTTTGTAGTCCTTTGTCACTTGTCTGAGTTGCATATATTTCCTCCTGGTGAATTACTGTCTTTTCCATTTGTTTATTTGTTTTTTATCAAATTGAAGTTTTTAGCTTTATACTTTCATTAAATTAACTTTAAATTCTTATTAATTTCATCAAATTAACCCATTTCCTTAAGTTTTATTCTATATGTATCTTATTTAAAAAAACCTTTCCCTACTCCACTATTGTAATTTTTCTCTGTGATCTCTTTTAGAATGTTTAATTTTGCTTTTCACATTTGCTTTTAACCCATTTAAAATATATTTTTGTAGATCCTGACAATAGAAATATATTTTTACTTTTTTAGTATGAATAAATCTATTCCTTCAGTAATATTATTTGAGAAATTTAGTATTTTCCCATTGGTTTGTAAAACTACATTTCTCACATGCCAAATTTCCTTATAAGAATAATCCTTGTGGGTGGACTACATCCTCTTTCTTGGACTTATTGGTCCTAGTTTTCTAAAATAAAGTTTTAATAAAGTTAAAGTTTTTAAAATAAACTTTATTTTTTAGAACAGTTTTAGATTTTGCAAAAATCTAAATTGCAAATATAGTACAGAGTTCCGACATATTACTTTTCTTTTTCTTTTTTTCTTTTTTTTTTGAGACAGAGTCTTACTCTGTCACCCAGAATGGAATGCAGTGGCATAATCTCGGCTCACTGCAACCTGCACCTCCTGGGTTCAAGCCATTCTCCTGCCTCAGCCTCCTGAGTAGCTGGGATTACAGGCATGCACCACCACATCTGGCTAATTTTTTTTTGTATTTTTAGTAGAGACAGGGTTTTACCATGGTGGTCAGGCTGGTCTCAAATTCCTGACCTCAAATGTTCTGCCCATCTTGGCCTCCCAAATCCTGGGATTACAGGTGTGAGCCACCATGCCCGGCCCAGAGTTCCCACACATTTTCCACATAATTTCTTCTATCATTAATATATTAGTATGGTAATTTGTTACAGTTTATGAAATAAATTAGTACATTATTAACTCCAGTCCATTCTTTAGTCATATTTTCCTAGTTTTTATCTAATGTCTTCTGTCTGTCGCAAGATCTCATCCAGAAGACCACATTACATTTAGATGTCCTATGTTCTTAGGCTCCTCTAGGTTGACAGCTTCTCAGACTTTCCTAGTTTCTGATGACTTTCACAATTTTTAGGAGTGTTTATCAGATATTTTGTAGAATGTCACTCCATTGGTTTTTGTCTGATGTTTTTCTCATGATTAGACTGGGGTTTTAAGTTTTCGGACCCACTTATGTTCCTGGCATGCTCTCTTCAGAAAGCTTTAATATGTGAATCATAAAACTTTACATACATTTTTGGTGCACGAAACTGACATCTGAACCAAATTTTGGGAGGTGGGCGCAGTCAATCCTGTCTAAGTATGGTAATGTCTTCGTCCATTTGAATTGCTATAAAGGGATACCTGAGACTAGGTAATTTACCAAGAAAAGAGGTTCATTTGGCTCGCAGTTCTGCAGGCTATACAGGAAGCATGGTACCAGCATCTCCTTCTGGTGAGGGCCTCAGGAAACTTTTAATCATGGCAGAAGGCAGAGGGGAGCTGGCATCACATGGCAAGAGAGAAGGAACGAGAGAAGAGGAGGCACCAGGCTTTTTTCCAGCAGCCAGATCTCATGGCAACTAAGAGTGAGAGATTCACTGATGCTAGGATGACACTAAGCCATTAGTGAAGGATTTGCTCCTATGACCCATCACCTCTCACCAGACCCCATTATGAATACGGAAATCAAATTTCAACATGAGATGTGGAGGGGACAAATATCCAAACAATACCAGGTAGCTACAACAGTTATATTTGTGGAGACAACAGTGACTCCATTTTGGATGTTCTCTGCCATGTAGATTTTTGATTAGCCCCATTCCCATGAATGCCTCCTGGTTCTTACTTTATTTGCTGTCCCTAGTGTAAGAACATGTCAACTTTGATGTTATTGCACAAGTTATAGGCTACATTCCACATAGCATTCTTGCCTGTTCTGGAAGGCTGCCTTTAACTGTCTTTATACTACATATATCCTTTTTCTATGGTATGTAAGCCCTGAGTCTGGGGAGTAACAATGTCAAAGTCTACGTGTCTTGCTGTCACCCAAGACTACGCTTCTGTCTGCAAGTTCTCCCCAATAAAATACCCTTTGCCAACAAACTGGATTTGTCTGCCTTGTTCTTTGGTTTCTCAGCTCCTTGGTATTTGGGGTCATTTTGCAGACATGGCCCTTTCACAGAACACATTGTTCATTGAAACAAATTTAAAACTCTTTGAATTAAGTTCTAAACTATATCCTAGTGAATGCAAAATAACAGATTATTCTTGTAAATGTCTCCACAGAATGTCAATTATGAATCTGTGGTGATAATCTTTGTGAGATGTCTGATTTTCTCCTATTGTCTAACATATTACTCTTCCTGAGATCAGTTATTGTCTTATATATTTTCAAAAAAGGTTTCAACTTTGCTTTTAATATTTGAATATTCAATATAGCTTGAATGTATTTTGTTCTGCTGTCAGAAAAAGGTATAATTTTATTTTTTCTTTATGGACAATCAGTTATACCAATACTGTTTGTTGAACACTCTGGTCTTCCCCCACTGATTTGAAAGACTCTGTCATAGAAAAGGGTCTTCATATATTTTGTACAATTCCACCCATAGCTTCCAGAAGAGGAACATCTGGCTTAGCATGCATACTTCAAAGGGTCTAATCAGTTCTTCCTCCTGCCATATCTCTTTGTATGGTGAAAAGAGACTGCAAGACTAGGGACATTTCCATTCAGAATCCATGCCTCAATTTTAAACCTACCTAATGATATCCTAGATGCTAGAATTTCCTACCCAAATAACGCTGAGCTTACTTATAAGACCTGCACAATCGGTTTTCCCCGAGGAGGAAAGACAATGCCACTAATAGGCGTACTTCTAAGCATGAGGGCTGGCCAAGTGGAGGCTGTTTTGGAGTGTCTGTGTGTGTGTGTGTGTGTGTGTGTGTGTGTGTGTGTGTGTGTAAAGAGCTTAGCTATATAGGCCAGAGCTCTGGCGTCCACACATATGTGTGCACGAAACACTTGGGAATAGGAAGATAACAAGGGTGGGTGAAGTCTCTCAGGAGTGGTAGTCAGAGACCTGCTTTTCCTGCACCACCACATACTTTTGCACACTTACCCCAGACCTCACAGATTTTAGGGATTTCTTTTATTTGGGTTTCTAGGTTCTCTATCATATTTCATTGTTCTATTTGTCTATTTCTATACCAGTATTATAGTGTTAATATAACAACTAATCAAAAGAGCAAAATTTCTGATTTTGTTCAAAATTATTTGTTATTCTTGTTTTTTTTATTCTCTATTATAGTTTTTGAGTCAGCCTATCAAGTTCCAAAAGGAAGCATCTCCCTTAAACTATCATTTTTTTAAATTTATAAAAGAAAGAGCTTTAATTGACTCACAGTTCCACATGGCTGGGGAGGCCTCAGGAAACTTACAATCATAGCAAAAGGTGAAGGGGAAGCAAGGGCCTTCTTCACATGGTGGCAGCAGAGAGAGGAGTGAAGAGAAAAGCGGGGAGAGGCCCTAATAAAAAAAATTTAAAATCTCATTAGATCTAATGAGATCCAAATTAAATCAGATCTAATGAGAACTCACTCACTATCACAAGAACAGCATGGGGAAAACCACCCCCATGATCCAATCACCTTCCACCAGGTATCTCTCTAGACACGTGGGGATTATGGGGATTGCAATTCAATGTGAGATTTGGGTAGGGACACAACCAAACCATATCAAGTATTGTCAGTGTTGTTTTGAAATCCTTGGTTAGCATAGCTGGAGTACAGATCTCAAAAAAGGAAAAAGAAAACCCCATATCTATAGTTTTAAAATATGGTCTTTTAGCGCTATAGGCATTACAAGCAAATGAGAAGTTCACTAAATTATTGGTTTAGAGGGAATGCATTCATATGGACTCAGATGTAGTTCCCATATTTCATTTCTATACACATTAACATATGCACAGTGCTGTCTCCTGAGTCTGAAGGTGACTTGGGGGCTTCATACAAATATTCTCCAAGTTGCAGATAAATGGAAAGAACAAAAGATGTGTCTCTTTTCTCATTTTCTTTTAAAGCTACCATTTTATTGGGTGCTTATTATGGACCGAATGACTTGCAAAGGGCTTTATATATATTACCTCGTTTCACCTTTGCATGAAACACATGAACTAAAACTAATTGTCTTCACCTTGCCCATGAGAAATTGAGGCTCTGGGAGGGGAAAATCATTTGTCCAGGGTCACACAGTTAATGAGCATAAACTAACCCTTTTAAAAATCATCATTTTTTTCTCTTTTCAGTTTAAAGGCTTTCTTTTAGCCTAATCAATTAATTTTCTTTTTTATATTTTTACTTCCTCATATTGATGCTTGCTGTCTTAGCCTCTAAATCAGTGGTTCTAGATAGAGATAACTTTTCTCTCAGGGGAATATTTGGCAATGTCTAAAGATATTTTTTATTATCACAGCTGGAGGAAGGGTCGCCACTAGCATCTAGTGGGTGGAGACCAAGGATGCTGCTAAACATCCTTCAGTTCACAGGACAATATCCACAACAAAGAACTGTCTAAACCAAAATGTCAATAGTGGTGATGTTGAGAAACCCATTTCCAGATAACACAGGGACATGTAAAACTTATTATAAAACATATGCACACATAAATATATGTGTGTATATGTTTGCATGTGTGTGAGTATATTGTAATCACTATTTAGCTAACACTTTCTTACTTGATGCCCTTCATCTGAGATTCTCAAAGCAATTTACCAATATTACCTTGTTAATCTTGGTCTAATGCTCTACAATAGGTGACAACATGATTACCCTTGTTTTATTAATTAGGAGACACAGATTATATACTTTGTAAGAGAAAAACTATTGAAAAACACATTTCATTGTCTTCTGTATCAAACATTATGTGATAATTGATAGTTTCTTCCTTTCTTCTGCTTCTAAAAGGTGGGTGACTTTTTTCAGGTAACAATACATTTTCTACTTTTCAAGATGCTATTGAATTCTGAGTACTTAATTCTTAGCACAAAAAGGAATCTATTTTTTTTTGCCCCAAACTGGAAAATACCCAATAGCCCATCAAAAGTAGAACAGATAATTAAATACTGGTATATTCATACAGTAGAACAGCAATAAGTGAATGAATTACAGTTACAGCAATAGGAATTACATATACATAATGTTGAGCAAAAAAAACAACAAACACACACTTTTAAACTTTATGTGTGTGTGTGTATCAACAGTTTGTTTCTTTTTATTTTTTATTTTTCTAATTATACTTTAAGTTCTGGGATACATGTACAGAACATGCAGGTTTGTTACATAGGTACACATGTGCCATGGTGGTTTGCTGCACCCATCAATCCATCACCTACTTTAGGTATTTCTTCTAAAGCTATTCCTCCCCTAGCCCCCTGACCCCCCAACACACCCCAGTGTGTGATGTTCCCCTCTCTGTCCAGGTGATCTCATTATTCAACTCCCACTTATAAGTGAGAACATGCAGTGTTTGGTTTTCTGTTCCTGTGTTAGTTTGCTGAGAATGATGGCTTCCAGCTTCATCCATGTCCCGGCAAAGAACATGAACTCATCCTTTTTCATGGCTGCATAGTATTCCATGGTGTATATGTGCCACATTTTCTTTATCCAGTCTATCATTGATGGCATTTGGGTTGGTTCCAAGTCTTTGCTATTGTGAACAGTGCCACAATAAACATATGTCTGCATGTGTCTTTATAGTAGAATGATTTATAATCCTTTGGGTATATAACCAGTAATGGGATTGCTGGATCAAATGGTATTTCTGGTTCTAGATCCTTGAGGAATCGCCACACTGTCTTCCACATTTTAAAACTTTATTTGGGTAGGTATAACTATTTTTCAACTTGAAGTAAAATACAAGGAAAAGTTTTATAAAAGACTGAAATAGTTTAGGGATTTAGAATCCCTGCAAAAACTAAATGAAGAAATTGACTAATCAGGAAAAAACACCACCATTAAGTCTTAGACTTAATATTTGAAAGCAAATCATTTTAGAGTCATTCTGAAAAGACTGTTACTAAAATCATTGATTTTTAATGAATCATAAATCTAGATGTGGCTGTTAAAGAATATTTCATGCTGGGGGCATCAGTTACAAGGGCAAGTCTCCCTTGTTCTCAGAATTAGTGGAATTATTACATTTGAGTATGTAATGAAATGATTTATTAATTATGTATCAACAAAGTAAAGAAAGATGGATTGATAGGCACAAATCTTCATCTAAGTGGGATTATATATATAATTGAGTAGTCAGTTCCATTGTCTTTTATCCAGATAATTGACTTATACACTTTTCCAACTTCTGTACTCTCAGATCCCATACAAGTGATACATGTATCACAAAAATGTGAGTAAAAATAACATGTCACTTCCATACAGAGGTTAAGAAAAACAGAAACAAAAACATAAAACCCTGTGCAATTCTCCATTCTCCTTTTTCTGATACTGCAGCAAACCCTGAACCTCATGTTGAGATGTCAGTTCCTCCCTTAACCAGGACCCTTGGCAACTGTGAAGCAGGGCCTCTTCTGTGCTTCTTTAACCATGTAATAAAGCTTTATTGTATTAAACCACTGAAATTCATGAATAATGTTTTACTACAGCGTAACCTCCTTTATCCTGACTGGTGTATATGGCAACACTTCTTTGGTACATAAATACTACAATAAAAGCTGGTTGCAACTATATCTTTATGAAGCACTATTGTCTTCTCTGAAAGAATAATAACAAGTAGATACAGAATTAATGTAAGTTCTAATATTAGCACTACCACTATTGCCTGATGCTATGGCTGAATTTAAATCTAAGCCTGTTCATCTGTATAGATATTGTCCAAATAATTTAAATTTCCTGTGCCACTATCTTTTTTTAACCACAATAAAGTTATAAAAGTTAGGAAAAGGGGCCAGGTGCAGTGGCTCACACCTGTAATCCCAGAACTTTGGGAGGCTGAGGCAGGTGGATCACCTGAGGTAAGAAGCTTGAGACCAGCCTGGCCTACATGGTAAAACCCATCTCTACTAAAAATACAAAGATTAGTCAGGCATGATAGCGAGCACCTGTAATCCCAGCTACTTGAAAGGCTGAGGTGGGAGAATCGCTTGAACCTGGGAGGTGAAGGTTGCAGTTGGCTGAGATTGCACCACTGCACTCCGGCTTGGGAAACAGAGTGCGTCTACATCTCTAAAAAATATTTTTAAAAGGTTAGAGAGCTACAGCTCCCAGCGTGAGCGACGCAGAAGACGGGTGATTTCTGCATTTCCAACTGAGGTACTGGGTTCATCTCACTGGGGCTTGTCAGACAGTGTGTGCAGGACAGTGGGTGCAGCACACCAAGCATGAGCTGAAGCAGGGCAAGGCATCACCTCACCCGGGAAGTACAAGGGGTCAGGGAATTTCCTTTCCTAGCCAAGCAAAGCTGTGACAGACAGCACCTGGAAAATTGGGTCACTCCCACCGTAATACTGCACTTTTCCAATGGTCTTAGCAAACGGCACACCAGGAGATTATATCCCCCGCCTGGCTTGGAGGGTCCCATGCCCACAGAGCCTCCCTCATTGCTAGCACAGCAGCCTGAGATCGAACTGCAAGGCGGCAGTGAGGCAGGGGAGGGGCACCTGCCGTTGCTGAGGCTTGAGTAGGTAAACAAAGCGGCCAAGAAGCTCGAACTGGGTGGAGCCCACCGCAGCTCAAGGAGGCTTGCCTGCCTCTGTAGATTCCACCTCTGGGGGCAGGGCATAGCCAAACAAAAGGAAGGAGAAACCTCTGCAGACTTAAATGTCCCTGTCTGACAGCTTTGAAGAGAGTAGTGGTTCTCCCAGCATGGAGTTTGAGATCTGAGAACAGACACACTGCCTCCTCAAGTGGGTCCCTGACCCCCGAGTAGCTTAACTGGGAGGCACCCCCTAGTAGGGGCAGACTGACACCTCACACGGCCGGGTACCCAGCTGAGATGAAACTTACAGAGGAATGATTAGGCAGCAACATTTGCTGTTCAGCAATATTCGCTGTTCTGCAGCCTCCGCTGCTGATACCCAGGCAAACGGGGTCTGGAGTGGACCTCCAGCAAACTCCAACAGACCTGCAGCTGAGGGTCCTGACTGTTAGAAGGAAAACTAACAAACAGAAAGGACATCACACCAAAACCTCATCTGTATGGCACCATCATCAAAGACCAAAGGTAGATAAAACCACAAAGATGGGGAAAAAACAGAGCAGAAAAGTTGAAAATTCAAAAAATCAGAGTGCCTCTCCCCCTCCAAAGGAATGCAGATCCTCACCAGCAACAGAAAAAAGCTGGATGGAGAATGACTTTGACGAGTTGAGAGAAGAAGGCTTCAGATGATCAAACTTCTCCAAGCTAAAGGAGGAAGTTCGAACCCATCACAAAGAAGCTAAAAACCTTGAAAAAAGATTAAACAAATAGCTAACTAGAATAACTAGTGTAGAGAAGTTCTTAAATGACCTGATGGAGCTGAAAACAATGGCACGAGAACTACGTGACGAATGCACAAGCTTCAGTAGCCGATTTGATCAACTGGAAGAAAGGGTATCAGTGATGGAAGATGAAATGAATGAAATGAAGCAGGAAGAGAAGTTTAGAGAAAAAAGAGTGAAAAGAAACGAACAAAGCCTCCAAAAAATATGGGACTATGTGAAAAGACCAAATCTACGTCTGATTGGTGTACCTGAAAGTGACGGGGAGAATGGAACCAAGTTGGAAAACACTCTGAAGGATATTATCCAGGAGAACTTACCCAACCTCGCAAGGCAGGCCAACATTCAAATTCAGGAAATACAGAGAACGCTACAAAGATACTCCTCGAGAAGAGCAACTCCAAGACGCATAATTGTCAGATTCACCAAAGTTGAAATGAAGGAAAAAATATTAAGGGCAGCCAGAGAGAAAGGTTGGGTTACCCACAAAGGGAAGCCCATCAGATTAACAGCGGATCTCTCAGCAGAAACTCTACAAGCCAGAAGAGAGTGGGGGCCAATATTCAACGTTCTTAAAGAAAAAGAATTTTCAACCCAGAATTTCATATCCAGCCAAACTAAGCTTCATAAGTGAAGGAGAAATAAAATCCTTTACAGAAAACCAAATGCTGAGAGATTTTGTCACCACCAGGCCTGTCCTACAAGAGCTCCTGAAGGAAGCACTAAACATGGAAAGGAAAAACCGGTATCAGCCACTGTAAAAACATGCCAAATTGTAAAGACCATCTATGCTAGGAAGAAACTGCATCAACTAACAAGCAAAATAACCAACTAATATCATAATGACAGGATCAAATTCACACATAACAATATTAATCTTAAATGTAAATGGGCTAAATGCTCCAATTAAAAGACACAGCCTGGCAAATTGAATAAAGAGTCAAGACCCATCAGTGTGCTGTCTTCAGGAGACCCATCTCATGTGCAGAGACACACATAGGCTCAAAATAAAGGGATGGAGGAAGATCTACCAAGCAAATGGAACAAAAAAAGGAAGGGGTTGCAATGCTAGTCTCTGATAAAACAGACTTTAAACCAACAAAGGTCAAAAGAGACAAAGAAGGCCATTACATAATGGTAAAGGAATCAACGCAACAAGAAGAGCTAACTATCCTAAATATATATGCACTCAATACAGGAGCACCCAGATTCGTAAAGCAAGTCCTTAGAGACCTACAAAGAGACATAGACTCCCACACGATAATAACTGGAGACTTTAACACCCCACTGTCAACATTAGACAGATCAATGAGACAGAAAGTTAACAAGGATATCCAGGAATTGAACTCAGCTCTGCACCAAGTGGACCTAATAGACATCTATAGAACTCTCCACCCCAAATCAACAGAATATACATTTTTCTCAGCACCACATCACACTTATTCCAAAACTGACCACATAGTTGGAAGTAAAGCACTCCTCAGCAAATGTAAAAGAACAGAAATTATAACAAACTGTATCTCAGACCACAGTGCAATCAAACTAGAACTCAGGATTAAGAAACTCACTCAAAACCGCTCAACTACATGGAAACTGAACAACCTGCTCCTGAATGACTACTGGGTACATAACGAAATGAAGGCAGAAATAAAGATGTTCTTTGAAACCAATGAGAGCAAAGACACAACATACCAGAATCTCTGGGACACATTTAAAGCAGTGCGTAGAGAGAAATTTATAGCACTAAATGCCCACAAGAGAAAGCAGGAAAGATCTAAAATTGACACCCTAATATCACAATTAAAAGAACTAGAGAAGCAAGAGCAAACACATTCAAAAGCTAGCAGAAGGCAAGAAATAACTAAGATCAGAGCAGAACTGAAGGAGATAGAGACACAAAACGCACTTCAAAAAATCAATGAATCCAGGAGCTGGTTTTTTGAAAAGATCAACAAAATTGATAGACCACTAGTAAGACTAATAAAGAAGAAAAGAGAGAAGAATCAAATAGACGCAATAAAAAATGACAAAGGGGATATCACCACTGATCCCACAGAAATACAAACTACCATTGGAGAATACTATAAACACCTCTACGCAAATAAACTAGAAAATCTAGAAGAAATGGATAAATTCCTCAACACATACACCCTCTGAAGTCTAAACCAGGAAGAAGTTGAATCTCTGAATAGACCAATAACAGGCTCTGAAATTGAGGCAATAATTAATAGCTTACCAACTAAAAAAGAGTCCAGGACCAGATGGATTCACAGCCGAATTCTACCGGAGGTACAAGGAGGAGCTGGTACCATTCCTTCCGAAACTATTCCAGTCAATAGAAAAAGAGAGAATCCTCCCTAACTCATTTTATGAGTCCAGCATCATCCTGATACCAAGCCTGGCAGAGACAGAACAACAAAAAAAGAGAATTTTAGACAAATATCCCTGATGAACATCGATGCAAAAATCCTCAATAAAATACTGGCAAACTGAATCCAGCAGCACATCAAAAAGCTTATCCACCATGATCAAATGGGCTTCATCCCTGGGACGCAAGGCTGGTTCAACATATGCAAATCAATAAACGTAATCCAGCATATAAACAGAACCAAAGACAAAAAACACATGATTATCTCAATAGAGGCAGAAAAGGCCTTTGACAAAATTCAACAGCCCTTCATGTTAAAAACTCTCAATAAATTTGGTATTGATGGGACGTATCTCAAAATAATAAGAGCAATTTATGACAAACCCACAGCCAATATCATACTGAATGGGCAAAAACTGGAAGAATTCCCTTTGAAAACTGGCACAAGTCAGGGATGCCCTCTCTCACCACTCCTATTCAACATAGTGTTGGAAGTTCTGGCCAAGGCAATCAGGCAGGAGAAAGAAATAAAGTGTATTCAATTAGGAAAATAGGAAGTCAAATTGTCCCTGTTTTCAGATGACATGATTGTATATCTAGAAAACCCCATCGTCTCAGCCCAAAATCTCCTTAAGCTGATAAGCAACTTCAGGAAACTCTCAGGATACAAAAGCAATGTGCAAAAATCACAAGCATTCTTCTACACCAATAGCAGACAAACAAGAGAGCCAAATCATGAGTGAACTCCCATTCACAATTGCTTCAAAGAGAATAAAACGCCTAGGAATCCAACTTACAAGGGATATGAAGGGCCTCTTCAAGGAGAACTACAAACCATTGCTCAGCGAAATAAAACAGGACACAAACAAATGGAATAACATTCCATGCTCATGGATAGGAAGAATCAATATCGTGAAAATGGTCATACTGCCCAAGGTAATTTATAGATTCAATACCATCCCCATCAAGCTACCAATGACTTTCTTCACAGAATTGGAAAAAACTACTTTAAAGTTCATATGGAACCAAAAAAGAGCCCGCATTGCCAAGACAATCCTAAGCCAAAAGAACAAAGCTGGAGGCATCATGTTACCTGACTTCAAACTATACTACAAGGCTACAGTCACCAAAACAGCATGATACTGGTACCAAAACAGAGATATAGACCAATGGAACAGAACAGAGCCCTCAGAAATAATACCACACATCTACAACCATCTGATCTTTGACAAACCTGACAAAAACAAGAAATGGGGAAAGGATTCCCTATTTAATAAAGGGTGCTGGGAAAAGTGGCTAGCCATATGAAGAAAGCTGAAACTGGATCTCTTCCTTACACCTTATACAAAAATTAATTCAAGATGGATTAAAGACTTAAATGTTAGACATAAAACCATAAAAACCCTAGAAGAAAACCTAGGCAATACCATTCATGACATAGGCATGGGCAAGGACTTCATGTCTAAAACACCAAAAGCCAAAATTGACAAATGGGATCTAATTAAACTAAAGAGCTTCTGCACAGGAAACCACCATCAGAGTGAACAGGCAACCTACAGAATGGGAAAACATTTTTGCAATCTACTCATCTGACAAAGTACTAATATCCAGAATCTACAATGAACTCAAACAAATTCACAAGAAAAAAACAAACAACCCCATCAAAAAGTGGGCGAAGGATATGAACAGACACTTCTCAAAAGAAGACATTAATGCAGCCAAAAGACACATGAAAAAATGCTCATCATCACCGGCCATCAGAGAAATACAAATCAAAACCACAATGAGATACCATCTCACACCAGTTAGAATGGCAATCATTAAAAAGTCAGGAAACAACAGGTGCTGGAGAGGATGTGGAGAAATAGGAACGCCTTTACACTGTTGGTGGGACTGTAAACTAGTTCAACCATTGTGGAAATCAGTGTGGCAATTCCTCAAGGATCTAGAACTAGAAATACCATTTGACCCAGCAATCCCATTACTGGGTATGTACCCAAAGGATTAGAAATCATGCTGCTATAAAGACACTCGCACACATATGTTTATTGTGGTGCTATTCACAATAGCAAAGACTTGGAACCAACACAAATGTCCATCAATGATAGACTGATTAAGAAAATGTGGCACATATACACCATGGAATACTATGCAGCCATAAAAAAGGATGAGTTCATGTCCTTTACAGGGACATGGATGAAGCTGGAAACCATCATTCTCAGCAAACTATTGCAAGGACAGAAAAACCAAACACCGCATGTTCTCACTCATAGGTGGGAATTGAACAATGAGAACACTTGGACACAGGAAAGGGAACATCACACACCAGGGCCTGTTGTGGGGTGGGGGGACGGGGGAGGGATAGCATTAGGAGATACACCTAATGTAAATGACGAGTTAATGGGTGCAGCACACCAACATGGCACACGTATACATATGTAACAAACCTGCACTTTGTGCACATGTACCCTAGAACTTAAAGTATAATTAAAAAAAAAAAGTTTAGAGAAAGGAATTGTT
Source organism: Homo sapiens (assembly GCF_000001405.40). NCBI lineage: Eukaryota > Metazoa > Chordata > Mammalia > Primates > Hominidae > Homo > Homo sapiens. Next base: position 123,079,323 of record NC_000007.14, on the reverse strand, counting down.
TTAGAACATGGTGAGTGAGCTTCTTAGAGAATGTCCTTTAATAACAGCACAAAGTTTATTTTATGTTAATCTTCCAAGACACATATCAATTAAAAAGTGATGATTATGTAGTTTTAGTTCCATAAACATATCATAAGGTGGTATGAATTGACATTATGTAGTGCCTATCTTAGTTCTTTTATTCTACTTCCTGCCATTTTAGACATTTTAGAAATGATGAAACACAGATATATCACAATATTTCTCTAGTTCCTGAGCTAGCCTTCCCACTTACATGGAAAATGTAATTCTCAAGAAACAACAACAACAACAAACTTCAAAGCTCAAACTTAAGTTAGCAGCAACAGGCACTGAATCTTAGTCACTCGCACTGCCAAATGATGGGTGCATCATTTTGTAAACCCCTCTTCAAAATCTGAAAGTTTTTTTAATGAGAAAAGTACTAAATTTGTCTTACTTTTTGGGTGCAAACTCTGAATCTAAAAATTACTAGCTTTGTGATCCTAAACAAGTCATTTAATCTCCATTACCTTCAGTTTCCTCGATCCAAAAACAAATTCATAAATATGTAACTCATATGGTTGTGTCTGGCACTTAATAATTATTTAAACTATTTGTTGATAGAATAAATACAAGAACAAATGGGTGGGTGGTAGCTAACAAGTTAGATTAAAATAATGTTTGTGAAAATATTTCAAAAGAATTAAGTGTTGTAAAGAAATAAGGTATTATCAATAAATAAAGTGTTTAAAAATATAATTTTTATATGTTTGTTAGATATGAGTTTAATAACTGACTTAGGTTAACAATGCAGAAGAATTCTTATGGACCTCATAAACATTGAGTGAACTACTCAGAAATTGGGGAAATCCCTGTCATTACAAGTGAGCAGAAGACAGCTCCTGTGTCCTGCCTTCACCTATCTCTGGAGATGCTCGTTCACTAAGTTTGGACTTCCTAATGGGGTGGAGTTTCTGTGCTAGAAAGATAATGATTGCCCTTTGTTTTTAAATTGAGTCAGAAGTAGTTTGTGAGGGACCAGATAAAGAATGCCTTTAAATCTTAACCTTTTATATTCGCTTCTCAGACAAGAGGGGCTACCAGGAAAATATCCACTTCTGTGGGTTCCAGAAGCAGGTCTTTTTCACAAGAAGTAAATATATATGAAAAACTTTTGACTCTGAAATGTTGCAGTGACTAGTATTGCAATGATCTGCAACATAATTTAGGACTTTGATACGATGGGAGCCTCCAAAAGTTGAAGCAACTGCTTCAAACCAGATCTTCGAAGAAAGCCTCTAGTGAGCTCTACCTAAAATGCCTCAAAACAGTTGCAGACTCTGACATGTGTAAGTTCTGAAAAAGATCAATTTGCATCTGGTTCTGCTTTGCCATTGAGTTAGAGAAAATGCTTTATTTTTCCTTAGGTATCAAAACTTACTTCCGTCATAACCAGAAGTTTCCCATCTCTCACCACATAGACCCCAATCCCAATCTCATAGCCTCCTTCATTCTTTCCAGAATTCTGAAAGTATTTCATCATCAAGAAAGACTAACTTTCACTTTTACTTTGCTTACAACTTTAAAGGCATTAAGTAATTTACCGTTATAGATGAAATTGAGCTTCAGCTATTAAATTGTGTTATTAATATTGCTAGGAGAATGGGGCAGCCCAATTAGATAATAGCTGGTGATTACAATCTTACCACCTTTTGTGTTCCAAACTCTACTCCACTCCTCTCCCAACTCTGCCTCCCTCCGCAACACACACGCAACCAACCTCTTGGGTTTAATTATGTCCTGTGGGAATGGTTTGTAAGACAAACAGCAACAAAAAATACTCTCAAGAGAAATAATTCAATTAATGATGTAGCTAACATTTCCACAGCTCTTTGTGTTTTTAATAAATTTTTAAAAGTTCAATTCATACTAGACAGCCACTGGAGGCCTCCAGATGGGTACAATCTTCTCTAAGTCCAAAGATGCTTCCAAAAATAGCACTCTTAATGTCACTATAGTAAGTCAGAAGCAATTAAGGTGAGAGTAGGAAGTTCCTTCTGGTTTACACTACCACCCTCCAACAACCAGTATGATGTGGAATGTGGGAGACACAAATATTTCTCCCTCACCCGAGCTAGTAAATTTCCTGAGAGAAAACAAAACAGAATGCGTTATTAACAGCAGAAGTTGTCAAACTACTTGTAATAAAACTACACAAATAATAAAATGTAATTCATGGTTTTATTCTGCTAGTTTCATTAAGATGGAATATATGAAGTGACAAAGTCTGGCCACTACCTCCAAATAAATTTTTCTCTCACCCCAACCTACCTTTCTCCTCCACCAAATGTCCTTCTAGTCACCTAATCCTATGAGGCACTATAGAACTGTAGGATTTATAATGTTCCGTAAGAGGCTTTCAGACATTTTCAGACATACATGTGACTGTCTGTGAATACACAGACATTCACATTTGGGTGCCTAAGTCAGGTTCTTGTGAGGGCCGTCTTCCCTGTTATCACATGGTCTTCCTTGTATGCACTGGGGTTGGGGGGGTGGGGCAGAGAGTGTTTTCTAGTCTCTTTCCCTTCACATAAGAACAACAATTTGGTCATGGAGACTCCACCATCATGACTGCATCTAAACCTAATTACCTCCCAAAGATTCTACCTTCTAATACTGTCCCATTGGAGGTTAAAGTTTCAACATATGAATTTGGGAGTGGGGTGGGGCGGGCACAAACATGCAGTCCATAAGTGTCAAAGCAAAAATTCCACCAAAGTTAAACAGACAAGGAAGACTTTATTCAAGGCTATTGCAACAGGTAAGAGATGCCAGGGCTGAGTTTTAACTCAAATTCATTGAAACAAAAGGTCGAAATGTTTTTAAGTACTGCTGTGAGCTAACAGAAAACTACTGGAGGACATTAGGGAAGAGGTTGATTGATGCAGTGTGTGGGGCACATTGAGTTATTCCTGAGAGTGCAAGTGTTTCTCTCTGTAATAAGACCACCTGTGTTTGCTAACAGGCACCCATTGAAGTTACACTCCTACCCTTTCCTTAGAGCCTGGGTTGATAGAAGCTTTATCTTTCTTGATTACATTTTAAAAGGATAGCTTCGGGTCCTGGAGAAAGACACTCTCGGCTTGTAAAACTGGCAGGAGACTTTTTAAAAGATTTACATCTGGAAGGAGCAGAAAGAGAATTTACACGTCTTCTAAAGTAAATGTTCTAAGAAAAGGGAAGTCAAGAGCCTAGAGTCAGAAAGAAACTTGTCTCAAGTTAGGCAAGCTGAGAGGAATGTCTTGGTAATGAGTGTTTTTCAGTTTCTGCTGAACCAGAGCCTCTCTGCAGTATGATTTGCTACAAAACAAAATGTTGTAAGAAATGAATTTAACTTCATACAAGAAGGTTTGGCAACAGAATGGCCTCACTGGGAGAAGTTTCCCCTCTAAGGCAGAACTCTGCCCAAGCTTGCATTGAGAACTGCATGATATCAGTATAGTTTTCCAGAGCCTGACTGTTGTGATTAAAGTATAAATCTTACTTCCAAATGAAAACAAGTCACCATATGGTTCAGGTGATGAAGAAAGACTAATTCATTTCTGAGCACTTGCTTTACCCTCAAACATAGAAGAGAAATCCATAGATTTTATTTTATGAAATGCAATAATGGAGTTGCTAGTTTTTCCCTGCCTCCCGTACATCACAGAATATATTTTATCATCAAGAATTTGAGACTTTAGTTTTCATTCCTATCTCAAACCCTCCTTTACTTCCACCCCTGGCACTTAAATTTGGGGATGACCAGGGGAAGTTGAGAAGCTTATTTAACATTTTGCTCTTAAAACAACACCTAGAAGCCAGAAGCCTCGCATAAATAAAATTAACTGCAGTCTGAACCACACTCTAAGCTGGTTAATGGAAACTGGATGAATTGCTTCTGAATGGAAATAAACTCTCATCCCTGCAATTGTTAACGCTTGTCCCAGTAAATAAAAGGACTGTTGTTTAAAGAACGATCCAGGTATAAATTTATCTGTATGTTTCTGATTCTACTTATTGCCATACAAGCAAAGATAAATTAGAAGGAAGCTCACTTTGCGGTAATATGATCTTCATTTCCTAACACCATCCACTAAACCTCAGTTGGAATTAATCACTCATACCTGCACAAATTTTTTCTCATAACATTTTTTGCTTCTACCATCACCAAAAATTACCCAAACTCTGGGCTAGAATATTGCCCTCATTGCAGTTTTTTTTAATACAAATTGCTCAATGCCAACCACCCATGGAACAGCTTTTTTTTTTCTTTTTTTTAACAAGACATGGTTTCTTAGTATTCCCATGTGTTTTCTTCAGAAGAAATTCTGTTCCTTTAGCGTATGTTTGGCTACTCAGTGGAGTTAGTGGACACATGTTGCATCTTTTTAAAAACACTGACCATCCACATTTACTCTTAACTCAGGTCTTAATATTTCTATAGTAATTATGCTGATGGTCATCTAACCAAAAGAAAATAATTCAGGTTCACCACTGCAAGGTATATGTTTGAGGCTGTTTTGCTTTGCACTTGCAGGGTGCAGGGTTTCTGTTTTTGCTTTCCTCTCACCCTCTCATGTTTTCTTCTCAATGTGTTGTCTTATCATCCCTTCTTTTATCTACTGTTTTTTAAAGTTTATGAAGGTTTGGTTTTATTTTATTTTGAGAACACAAAACGAGTGTTTTCTAAAGTTTCTTTCAGCTTCTTCTATATAGTAATTTTTTCCTCCTTCAAAATATGTATTTTGTACATGAGTGTAATGTTTTCCTCACTCTTATTTCGTTAGGGTAAATAAGCTTTTTCTTCCTTTCAGTTATTTATCCAGCCCTTATCTCATGCTAACTTTCCACTTGGTATTGCTAACACTGAAACTTCCTGCTTGATGTAACTAAACTTGGACCTTTCGTTGAATATTTATGTTGAATACAGGCTACATTAGTGTTGAATGGTGGCTAATCAAGGTCTAAATGGTGTTCAATCCTCAGGAAGTGTGGGTGACTTTCTGGAGGGTCCCCTTGATTTTGTTCCCATTGATGCTGCTGTTTCTCAGCATAACCAAGCAGATTTAGCAGTTCCATCCACCAGGCTTTCTTTGATGTTTCTGACTCATGGATGATACCTCTTCCTACTTTCTAACACGGTTACAGGTTTAACTACCATTTAAATGTCCTTGGTTATTTCACTAATAAGCCGAGAATATAAAAAAAAGTGCCTTTGCTTCTCCCATCCAAGTTTACATGGAAGTTTTGTGGTTTACTTTTCTATTTTTGTTTTCTAGAATAGAATTTTAAAGGTCACAACAAAGGCATCTTTCATTGTTTTGTGAGAGTAAATTATACGTGTTTGTGTATATATATATCTATATATATATGAATATATAGAGAGAGAAATCATGTATCTATGATTCCTACAGCAACTCAGATTCTCATTGTATTTACATGCTTTTGTTATAGATTTTTTTCTGTCTTTGTACACCTTGCTGGAACATCTTATAGACTCCTAAGTAGTACAGCAGCAGATGTGCAATGTCATTTATAAGTATGTGTGTTGCTGGAAATAGACATTGTCCAGGTCAAGGAATCCTTTGATGATGGAAACAGAAAATCTGTTTGAATAAAATATACCTAGCAAAATTATTCATACACAGTTTATCCTAGTAAAAGTATGATTTTGTCATCTTGACAGAGACAGCAAGACCTGCAATGGTGATTTCTTGAATATTTTACAGTTTGTCAAACTACTAACTCTAGAAAATCTTAGTCATTATGCAAATTGTCAGCATGAACCTTTTGGCTTCATCATTTCTAACAGATTTTAAGACCCAATTTCTCTGAGCCATCTCAAACCCCTTTGCTTTTTGGGCACCCTAACTTGCAAACCCACAGCTACATCTGAAGAAGAAAAGTGGAATTTGAGAGTGATAAAAGAGAACGCTCATAAAGAGAGAACTTCATGCTATTTGCTTTTTAAAAGTTGAAATCTATAAAACCAAAGACAAAACTTGAACTGAACATCCAGGGGCACTGGGTGGACGTAATCTGCAAGGAAATTACCATACACAGGACTGTTAGATCCTTGAAAGGAAGAATCACATAGATAGTGCCAACTGCTGTGTTAGAGCTCAAGAAAAGGAATAAATCACTTCAATTCTCATTCTTTAATAATTCACATTAAACGTACAAATAAACCTAACTCAATAAAAATGTTTTATTGGACAGTTTTTAATGGCAACCGCTGAATTTTTTTTCTTTGTTTAATGTCTACCAAATATATGTGTTCAAAGAGTAAAAAATAAAAATAAAAAATTTCTACTCTATTGCAAGTGGTATGTTAGGTGGATTCCATTGTAGACAACACTTGAGTTTTTAAAAGATTTTAAATGTTCCTCCTTATATGTTTAAAAGAAACATATAAATAAACAGATAAACTCATGCCCCCTTCACTATTGTGGATCATGAGATAGTCAAATTATGCAAACTGATAACTTTAAAACCCCAAGCATCTTATAATGAGATCAAAATAATCTGTTGTTATCAGAGATAAACATTTTCAATACCCACTATGTTTCTTGTTCCTCTCCAGAAACACAAACTAAAACAAGTTCAAAAGAAACAAAACAAAACAAAAAAAACTAAAGTGGTAAGTACTAGCAAAATTTTAAATGCTAATAAAAAGTATCTAGCTCCAATTTATCTGATTTGAGAGCTAGCTACTTGATCATCATTTTATTTTTATATGTGGATGCTATGTTACAAACTAGATTATTATCTCCTAATCAGTGCTGTCTAACAGAAATGTAGTGCAAGCTACATGTGTAATATTAAATTTTCTACTGTATAGTTTAAAGAAACAAAAAGAGGTAAAATTAATTTCAATAATATATTTTATTTAATCCAAAATGTTATCATTTCATCGTGTTGTATTAGCCACATTTCAAGTGCCCAATATTCAGATGTGGTTGCCATATTTGATAGTACAGATCTAGATTGTTAAATATGGTAGATATTGTGCCATATTCAGATATATATTTCTCCATGCCCAGCATAGCTCTTTGCACAGAGTAAGCACTTAATAAATGTTAAATACATTGCTAAATTTGTAGCTGAGAGAATATCCTGCTTGAGGTCACAGGGTTTCTTGGAGATTTAGTTTTCCATTAAGTTTGAGAAATATTTAGTCATTGTTTTCAAACAGTTTCTTCTATCCATTCTCATTTTTTTCTTATCCTGGGACTCAAGTAATATGTATGTTACACTATTTGATATTGTCACACATATTTCTGAAGGAAAGTTCATTTTTTTCTCCAACCTTTTTCTCTGTATTAGTATTATTATTTTTTGACGGAGTCTCGCTCTGTCACCCAGGCTGGAGTGCAGTGGCATGATCTTGGCTCACTGCAAGCTCCAACTTCCAGGTTCACGCCATTCTCCCGCCTCAGCCTCCCGATTAGCTGGGACTACAGGTGCCCGCCACCATGCCTGGCTACTTTGTGTGTGTGTGTGTGTGTGTGTGTGTGTGTGTGTGTATTTTTAGTAGAGACGGGGTTTCACTGTGTTAGCCAGAATGGTCTTGATCTCCTGACCTCGTGATCTGCCCACCTAAGCCTCCCAAAGTGCTGGGATTACAGGCGCCAGCCTCTGCGTCCAGCCTCTCTGTATTCTTCTGACTAGAATATATCTGATATATCTTCAAGATCACTGACTCAATTTTCCACCATCTCAAATCTTCTGTTAAGCCTACGTAGTAAATGGTTTATCTCAGTTACTGTAATTTTCAGTTCTAGAATTTACATTTTAAAAATATTTTCCATTTCCTTGTTGAGATTTCTTAATTGTTCCCTTAATAAAAGAAAAATTTTCCTTAGTTATTTGAACATATTTTCCATAAATTTAAAAGTATTTTTGTAGTGTGTCTTTAAAATGTCTGTCTACAAGTTTAACATGTGGGCTGGGTTTTGTCAGGGCCTGGACCAGGGGTGTTGATGGCTTTTTTTCTTGACTTTGAGTCATGGGTTCCTGTTTCTTTGCATGTCTAGTAAGTTTTTACTGTACTTGGGCTTTAGGGATGATTCCTTATAAAGACTCTGGATTCTGTTATCTTCCTGTGAATAGTACCACATTTTTTATAGCAGACAGATTAGTTATAGGCCAATTGCCTCGAACCTGAGTAGCACTGCTTTTAAATGTTGTTTGGCATGTATGCAGGATGCCCAAAGTGTTTCCCAGGCCCCTCTAATTTGGTGGGTCTGAAACTCCAAACGCTATTTTCCTGTTGCCACTCTTTCTACCCTATGGAACATTTCTTTGCAACAACTAGAAGGACTTACACATTAAAACACAAAAGAGACCACAACACTTTCCTGCTTAAAACTCTCGGGTGTCCTCTAGTGGCTGCGAGAATAGAATCCACCTATTAATGGTCTATAAGCTTTGAGTGATTTGGTTTCCTCTACCTCTTCAACTTCAACTCCTCGATTCTCTCATTCATTTTCTACTCTCCAGCATTTCTCTTAGTTCTTTAAAAAGTTGAACCTCACTTCTGCTTCAAATGTTTTTCACATATATTTCCTTCAGTCACTTGCATGGTTAAAGTCTTAGCATTCAGATTTCAACAACATTGTCTGCAAGATATTGTCTAACATGCCAAAGCTCACTTCTAAACATTCTCAGATATATCCCCCTGTTTAATTTTTCATAGCAATTACTGTTACCTGGAATTAATTTGTTAAATTATTTGTTTGTTTATTTTGTGTCTCCCTGAACTTGAATATAATATAGATGCCATGAGGAGGGACCTTGTCTGTTTTATGTTCCTAGCATCCAAAACAGTATCTGAATCACTGTGAGTGTGTAGCAAATATTCCTTGAAAAAAATTAATGAATAAATAAATCTTTTCCTTACCTTGAAAATTACTCATATTTCAGATATATATGTTAGATAACATTATATATAGTGAAGTATACATTTATTGCAGTGTATATGTACAACACAAATAAGTATATGTACATATAGTTTATATTTGAGTGTCAGGAAGGATGTACATGTATGAGTTTAGAACTAGCATGAAAATGAGCCTACCTCGAAACTGTAAAACTGGTAACTATCCAAAAAAATCAACACAGCAACATCAGAATTGAATTATCTCTCCCTTCTGTTTCACAGGTCTTGTCTCCTTCCAAAGGAGAATGAAGGGGTGTTTACATTTTTTAATCCTTATGTTGCGCTCTGACATGAGGTGTCCTTCCTCACTGAAGCTCAAACAAAAAGGTACTTCTGGATTTATTTCTGAGTATCTCAAACCTGCTGATCTCTGCAAAGTGTGAGAGGACTTTTGCTAAAGTGCTATCAACAATCTTATTTGGGAAACACTCTACTACTGGGATAGCAAATTTGGGGGTGCATGGTAACCAGAAGCCTAGATAGCTGGACGGTGCTGAACTCAGGGTAAGTATCTACCTTTCCCTGCTCACCCAGAATTTTCTGGCTTCAGGTGCCTGGCTTGTGCCTGCCTCACCTCTGGGCCTCCAAGTATAACCTAAAGTTCTGGTCACAATTTAGTCCATGGCACTGTTTTATTTTTACACTTCATGAGTAACTTCACTGATAGCAATAATTCAAGGGTTTGGGGGAAAATCTAAGTTTGGAAGAAACCGTTAGTCATCTTTCAGAGCTGCATTGAATAATACAGGTGTTTCTGTTTCACTAAACTGCACTTCAGGCTTCTTGGGATCCCTCATGGGAAGCTCTCTTTTTTTTTTTTTCAGATTAACTTGAAGTATGTACTACACTGCTACACACTTCTGAAACTGGAGTACAGTTTCAACTCTGTGCAGGGAGGGTGCATGAGAGCAGAATATCTGTGGGACATCTCTCTGGAACATCAATATTACTACAGGATTTGGAAGAAAAAATTAAAAAAATTTCCAAGAGTGATAAGGGGACTCTCCAACTGTACCACCTGTCATCTGAGCATACTCCAGCCCATGACCATCAGCCCCAGCACCTCCAGATTGGCAAAGCATCAGAACTGATCCTAACACCTTCACAGCACCAACCTCACCCAAACAGCCTTTGCAGAGAAAAAGGCCACCCAGACCATCCTGCTACTATGAGTTTTTTCTTTAATTTTGAAAAGCTGGAGGGAGCCAAGATGGCCAACTGGATGCAGCCAGGAGGAACATCTCCCACCAAGGGACCAGGACATCAGGAAGACTGGCACACTGAGCAGACCTTTGGAGAGAAGGCATTGAAAGTGGATGGAGGGAGGATGCAGACACTGGACTGAAGAGAGAGAAAGCTGGGAACCCTGTGCAGGGCTGCTGAACATCAAGGACCTGCTCCTGGCTCCCAGTGACTCCTGGGAAAGGGGTGAGTTGAAAAGGTGAGGAGTGGCCTGCTCTTGCCACTCACCTCTGGAACCCTACCTGCAGGAGAACCCAAGACACCCATGAACACTTGAGCTAGAAGAGAGGGCCATTTAGAAAAGTGGCAGGGGCAAGACTCCAGCATGTATGGAGCCCAAAGGTTTTGGCATGAGAACAGCTGCAGTGGAGTATCGCTAGGGACACCTTCACCTCAAGGCTTGCCATGCTCCTCTAGGAGAGACTTTAGCCTGAGGGTTAATGTTAGAGCTTGACAGAACAGGGCAGTCTTGCCTGTTGGACGAGGTCAGTCCAATCTGAGCACCCCCACTAGTGGCCTCTCCTGGGGCCCCAGCCTGGCTATGCCTACTTGCCTTGCAACCTGGGATACCCAACTAGGGTGCTTCCCTCATGGTAACTCGTTCACTGGCAAACTGTGCATAACCATGGGAGAGCTCCTACAGACCAGCCCAAGCTCATGCAGCGAGGCCACTTGCAGCCTCCACCCACTGCAGCATACTCCCACCACTTTGCAGACAGGCACTTGCCCATAGCTCCCCACCAACCACTTCACCAGTGCAAACATGTCAGTGGACCTCACTCCCCTCCCCCAATGCTGTGCATGTGTGCAACACCCTGCTGCCACACTGGTGTTGGGCATGCAAGCACACCTTATAGCCTCACTCACCCCAAATGGGGCCACCACCACTTCCAGTACAAGTGTGTGCACACGCTGAAACATCCATCTCTGCCATGCTTCCCCTGCCACCTCTGGCACAAGGGTGTACACAGAAATCCAGCACCCCCACTAGTGCCCTACCCCCACTGTACTGCTGCAACCTCCAATGTGAATGCCTGTACATACACCAGCAGACCCATTACCACCCCACCACCACTGGCGCCCCCAGTCCCGCAGGTGCCCTACCCAGCCAATGCATGTGTACCATGCTGTACTACCACAGCTGCTGGCATGTGTGAGCAAGCATGGATTCTACTGCCACAACCCTAAGTGCTTTGGTATGCACCCCCATCAGAATTTTGGGGTCAGTGGAGCAGGAGCATCTTAGCCCTTTCAGGGAAGCAAGTTCCTAACCTTGGGAGGCCAGAGAACAAAGTGGGGCTCTCAGTACCAGACCCCTAAAGTTAGAACACGCAGCCCAGGAGTACTGAGCTGAGCCTTGGCCCCCTGAAATCTTCTATAATCAAAGCCAATTGACTGAACCCACCTTATACCACAATCAAACCCCCAAGGCATCAAAGAAGATAAAAGCAAATAAACCTCACCCAAATTCCAGCAACTTCAAAGATTAAAGGAACATCAGTCCACACAGATGACAAAGAACCAGTGCATTAACTCTGGCAACTCCCAAAGCCAGAGTGTCTTGTTACTTCCAAAGCACCAAATTTTCCCTAGCAGTGGTTCTTAACCTGGTTGAAATGACAGACATAAAATTCAGAATATGGACAGGAATGAAGATCATTGAGATTCAGCAGAAAGTTGAAACCCAATCCAAGAAATCAAAGGAATACAATAAAATGTTACAGGAGCTGAAAGGATGAAATGGTCATGTTAAGAAGGAACCAAACTGATCTGATAAAGCCAAAAAACACACTACAAGAATGTCATAATATGATTGTAAATATTAACAGCAGAATAGACTAAAATGAAGACAGAATCTCAGAGCTCCAAAAACAGTTCTTTAAATTTATTCAGTCAGACAAAAATAAAAAAGAATAACAAAACCTCTAAGAAATATGAGATTATGTAAAGAGACCAATTCTACAACTCAGTGGCATCCCTGAAAGAGAGGGAAAGAAAGCAAGCAACTTGGAAAACACACTTGAGGATATAAACCATGCAAATTTTCCTAAGCTTGCTAGAGAGGTCAACATTCAAATCTAGGAAATTCAGAGAACCCCTGTGAGACACCATAGAAGACAACCATCCCCAAGACAAATAGTCATCAGGTTATCCAAGGTTGACATGAAATAAAAAATATTAACAGCAGCTAGAGAAAAGAGGCAGGTCACCTACAAAGAGAATCCCATCAGGATAACAGTGGACCTTTCAGCAGAAACCCTACAATCCAGAGGGGACTATATACAGCATTCTTAAAAGAAATTCCAACTAAGACTTTCTTATCCAGCCAAACTACACTTCATAAGTGAAGGAGAAAAAAGATCTTTTTCAAACAAGTAAATGCTAAGGGAATTCATTACCACAAACCTGCCTTACAAGAAATCCTTAAGGGAGTGCTAAATATGGAAATTAAAGACTGTTACCAGCCATCACAAAAACACATGTAAGTACACAGACCATCAAGCAACTACACAATTAAGTCTTCCTAATAACCAGCTAACAAGACAATGACCAGGTCAAATCCACACATATCAATATTAACCTGGAAGATAAACAGTCAAAATGCCACAGTTAAAAGCCACAAGGTAGCACATTGGATAAAGAAGCAAGACCCAATGGTATACTGTCTTTAAGAGAGCCATCTCACATGTAATAACACCTGTAGGCTCAAAGTAAATGGAAGGAGAAAAATCTACCAAGCAAATGGAAAACAGGAAACAAGCAGAAGCTGTGATTCTAACTTCAGATAAAACAGACTTTAAAGCAACAACAGTCAATAAAAGGATGAAGAAGGGCATTACATAATGGTAAAAATTTCAATTCAACAGAAATAACTATCATAAATATATATGTACCCAACACAGGAGCACTCAGATTCATGAAACAGTTTTTAGAAACCTACAAAGAGACTTAGATAACCACTTAATAACAATGGGAGACTTCAACACACCACTGACAGTCACAGACAGATCACTGAGGCAGAAAACTAACAAAGATATTCAGGACCTGAAGTTGACCCTTGACCAAATGGACATAACAGACATCTGCAGAACTCTCTACCCCAAAACAACAGAATATACATTCTTCTCATCTGCATATGGCACATACTCTAAAATCAACCTTACTATTGGTCATAAAACGGTTCTCAGCAAATTCAAAAGAAAAGAAAACATACCAATTACACTCTTAAACCATAGCACAATAAAAATGGAAATAAATATTAAGAAGATAATTTAAAGCCATACGTTTTGGAAATTAAACAATCTGCTCCTGAATGACTTCTGGGTAAATAATTACATTAAGGAAGAAATTTAAAAAAGTTTGAAACTAATGAGAACAAAGATACAATATACCAGAATATCTGGGACACAGCTAACACAGTGCTAAATGAAAGGTTAGAGAATTAAACACCCACATCAAAAAGATACAAAGACCTCAAAGTAAAAACCTAACATCATTCTTTAAGAAACTAGTAAAACAAGAGCAAACCAACCCCAAACCTAGCAGAAGGCAAGAAATAACCAGAATGAGAGCTGAACTGAGTGATATTCATATGTGAAAAACCATACAAAAGGTCAGTGAATCCAGCAATGAGTTTTTTGAAAGAAGAAAATTGAAAGACTGCTAGCTAGAATAAAGGAAAAAAGAGAAAAGATCCAAATAAACACCATTAGAATTGACAAAGGTGACATTACCACAATCCCCACAGTAATATAAAAATTTGAAAAAAAAAATCCCTCAGAGACTATTACAAACACCTCTATGCACACAAGCTGGAAAACTTGGAAGAAATGGATAAGTTCCTGGACACATAACACCCTCTCAAGACTGAACCAAGAATAAATGGGAACTCTGAACAGACCAATAATTAGTTCTAAAATTGAATTGGTAATAAAAAGCCTACCAACAAGAAAAAGTTCAGGACTATATAGATTCACAACCAAATTCTACCAGATGTATAAAGAAAAGCTGATAACATTCCTACTGAAACCATTCCAAAATATTGAGGATGAGGGACTCATCCCCAGCTCATTCTATGAGGGCAGCATCATCCTAATACTAAAACCTAGCTGACACATAACAAAAAAAGAAAATTTCAGGCCAATATCCTTGATAATACAGATGCAAAAATCCTCAACAAAAAAATAGCAAACTGAGCACAGAACCTGCAGCACATCAAAAAGCTAATCTGCCAAGATCAAGTAGATTGTATCTCTGGGATGCAAAATTGGTACAACAGATGCAAACCAATAAATGTGATCTATTACATAAACAGCATTAAAAACAAAAACCATATGATTATCTCAGTAGATAGAATAGGCTTTTGATAAGGTACACTTCATGTTAAACATCACTTCATGTTAAAAACCCTTAACAAACTAGGCATTGAAGGAACATACAACAAAATAATAAGAGTTGCCTATGACAAACCCACAGCCAACATCATACTGAATGGGCAAAAGCTGGAAGCATTCCCCTTGAAAACTTGCACAAGACAAGGATGTCCCCTCTCACCTCTCCTATTCAACACAGTACTGGAAGTCCTAGCCAGAGCAATCAGGCAAGAGAAAGAAATAAAAGGCATCCAAATAGGAAGAGAGGAAGTCAAAATATCTGTTTGTAGATGATATAACTTTTTTTTTTTTTGAGACGGAGCCTCACTCTGTAGCCCAGGCTGGAGTGCAGTGACATGATCTCAGCTCATAGCAACCTCTGCCTCCCAGGTTCGAGCAATTCTCCTGCTCTCAGCCTCCCAAGTAGCTGAGATTACAGGTGCCCACCACCACACCCTGCTAATTTTTGTATTTTTAGTGGAGACAGGGTTTCGCCATTTTGGCCAGGCTGGTTTTGAACTCCTGACCTCAAGTGATCCACCAGCCTTGGCCTCCCAAAGTGTTGGGATTATAGGCGTGAGCCACCACGCCTGGCCTGATATAATTTTATACCTAGAAAACCTGATAGTCTCTGCCCAAAACCTCCTAGATCTAATAAACAACTTCAACAAAGTTTTGGGATACAAAATCAATTTTAAATTATCAGTAGCTTTTCCATACACCAACAACATCCAAGGTGAGAGCCAAATCACGAATGCAATTCCATTCACAATAGCCACCAAAAGAAACAAATACCTTGGAATATGCTAAGCAGGGAAGTGAAAGATCTCTATAACAAGAATAACAAAACACTTCTGAAATAAATCAGAGATGACACAAACGAATGGAAAAACTTTGCATGCCCATTGATAGGAAGAATCAATATTATTCAAATAGCCACACTTCCCAAAGCAATGTACAGATCCAGTGCTATTCCTATGAAACTACTAATGGCAGTCTTCACAGAATTAGAAAAAAAAAACTATTCCAAAATACATATGAAACCAAAACAAAGCCTAAATAGCCAAAGCAATACTAAGTGAAAAGAACAAAGCTGGAGGTGTCACATTATTTGACTTCACACTATACTGCAGGGCTACAGGAAAAAAAAAAAAAAGAAAAGAAAACCAGAATATCCACCAAAACCTCTTCATAGACCTTCAGTGTTAATCTCGTCTGACCTCATGGTCCAACCAGCTCTTATCAGGCCTCACTTGCAACACCGAGGATTACAATTTGATATGAGATTTGGGTGGGAAAGCAGAAGCAAACCATATCAATGCCCATCAAAGATAGACTGGATAAAGAAAATGTGGTACATATATATCATAGAATTCTATGCAGCCATAAAAAAGAATGAGATCATGTCCTTTGCAGCAAGCAATGTGGATGGAGCTGGAGGCCATTATACTAGGTCAACTAGCCCAGGAACAGAAAACCAAATACCTGAATACTACATGTTCTCATTTATAAATGAAAACTAAACATTGAGTACACATGGATACAAAGAAGGGAACAATAGACACCAGGGTCTACTTGAGGGTGGAGGTTAGGGAATAAGAGGAGATTGAGATTGAAAAATTACCTATTGGGTACTATGGTTATTACATGGGTGACTAAATAATCTGTGCACCAAACCCTTATGACATACAATTTACCTGTATAGGAAACCTGCACATGTACACCTGAAACTAAAATAAAAATCAAAAAATAAACTGCACTTCATACCATCTGTCTAATTGGAACCCTGTCCATGTCTCCTAAGCACATACGTAGGGCATGTGTCTACCTTTTCCTCTATATCTACATATGATTTCAGTGTGTTAACCCAGCAACCACACCCCTTGTTTTATGCTCTTTCTATGATTGATGATCATTCTTTTACACAACTCAGGGTGGACATAAATATTTCCTAATGCTGAACACTGCTAACTATCCTGTTAACTCTCTGCTTAGCCCCCAAGATCTATAAGACCTAATGTAATTCATTGCTTTTTCCCACCGTTAAGCAAAGTCTTCTTCCCTCATCTGATGTGATGATACCTGTGAAATTTCCGGGGGCAAACAACTTATAGCAGTGGTACCCAAACCTACTTGATCTTGGTAGCCCCGTCTCCATGAGACCTAGTCTCAGCTATTAAAAAGGTCCCATCTATTTATGAGTTTTAGAGATCTTGGCTCCCTTTCCAGGAAGGATTCTAATTCTTAAATGCAATGGTTCTAAGGAGGCAAGAAAAAAACTTATTTCTAGCCTACAAGTTTGAAATAGAGTTTCTTATACTATTTCATTCTGGATATCTCACATAACATTTCCTAAATCTAATTATGCTATGTGGGGAAAAATAATAAAAATATAATAGACTAGGAAATGTGAAGTATGGCTTTTGTGTGTGTTCTGGAAAACAGTGAGAGCACCTGCCAGAGACTGGGGACTGCCAAATATTTCTTGACATATGAGCGTGCAGTTCAACCTTAGGTTCTCTCACATATACACATAGGAATTGCTTTTAGAATCCACAGTGGAAGGTGAGCCTTTAACCAAAAGAGAACAGACCTCATAAGGCTACTACATTTCAAAAGAGATTCAAGAGTATGCATTTTAAAAGAAAGGGAGTTAGATAATCAGAAGAACAAAGACGAGATTGACATTGAAGGTCTATGAAGAGGTTTTGATGAATATTCAAGGAGTAAACCATTAAGGATATTTTAAAATTGAGTTTTTAACTTTTAGAAAGTGTGACAAAAGTTATATTGATTACTGGAAGCTTAATTTTCTCTTCCATTCTTTAGCACATCAGTTTCCAGGTTGCATTCTCATAGTAGTTGTAATTCCTATTTCAGACTAGTTTATAATCTTCTTATTCTAAAGTGGTTGCCTTCCATTCTTTTAAAACCATAAATCAAGCATCCTGGAAAATGTGATGTCAGAGGATACCAACTCAATCAAAGTTGCAGGTAGGCAACTCAAATCATAGACCTTTTATTCTATTCATATATTATTATTATTTTCATATTCAGAGGATACATGTGCAGTTTATATTGTGTAGTGGCGAATTCTGGGCTTTTAGCGTAACCATCACCTGAATAACGAAAATCGTACCCAGTAGGTAATTTTGAAGCCCTCCCCCTTCTCTCATCCTCCCGCCTTTTGGGGTCCCCAGTGTCTGTTAGTCCCCTCTGCTTGGTTATATGTACCTATCGTCTTGCTCCCACTTGTAAGTAAGGATACACAGTATTTTATTTTCTGTTTCTGAGTTATTTAACTTAGGAAAATAGCCTTCAGCTCCATCTATGTTGCTGCAAAAGACATAATTTTATTATTTAAAAAATTGTAGATCTTAAATTTTAATATGGCCGTAATAAAACTGGGTCATCTGGGGATTCAAAATGATAATGCATCAGAAAAACACACTTACACACCCCAGAGATCTGTTTAGATGTTTCTCTTTCTCCTTAAATTTCTACTCTTGGACACAGCTGGTCAAAAATTGGGCCAATTTTCTCAAAAACAAAACAACAAAAACAACCTCATTGGAATTCCTAAACTTGAATGTACAAACAGAAGTTTGGATTTAGACTCTGCCATCCAGAGTTGACTGCAAAGGCTCTTCTCACTGATGTCTTAGGATATGTGGAGGAACCCATTCACTTCTGCCTCCAGGCCACTCTGGTCCTAATTGGGAATATTTTCTTCTCACTCAACTGTGCTTTATAACAGCGTATTTGTAATGTAACCACTTTCTTTTCTTTTTCTTCTTTGCAGTGAATAATTTCAGGGAAAATAAATAAGATAGGGTATCATTAGATAGGGTAAATAAATAAGTCCAAAGACACAAAATTAAATTCTAAAGTTTCATAGTTTGGCATCCCTTGCTCCTAAGTGAATTACAAAGTTCAATTTCTGACTTGGGCTTTCTAGGCTCCCTGTATCCTGTCTGTTATCTGATTATATTTCTCAGAGAAGCAGTGAATTTCAGTGGTTATGAGGGCAGGCCATGAAACTCCTGACTCCACACTTATTGGCAGGTTATTTAACCAATCTGTGCCCCATTTCTATATGACAGATGATGATCAGTGGGAGGTGCTGGCAGCAGGACAGTTACTCAGGTGGCTGTGATGTGTCCTGAGATTCCCCCTTTCCCATTTGTCTGTAAGATACAGCCTCATTACCAAGTTCACCTGAGCACATCTCTTCCTTTCAATCTTGAAGATTGTAAGGCTAACTACTGTTCACATGAGAAAATCTGGGGTGCTCTCAGTCTCTAGTTATTTTTTTATGTTGGAAGCCACTTGAATTTCACACAGAACAGTCCCAAAAAATTGATCAAAAACTAAACGAACTATACCCAGGATAATCCTAATGTTTCACAAAGTGATTTTTAAAAAAATGTAAGTACATATTTCTCTTTTAAAAAAAGCTAGTAAGTGATTTTTTTAATCAATTCCAACAGTTTTGAAATTTTATTATTTGAGAAATTCTAGGTATCTTAAAGGAGACAGTTATAAGACTTTCATTTAAAGTTTCTATGTTAGTCAAAAGGAATTAATGTAACTTTCCTGAAATTTTTTAAATAAATTATCCTTTTTATTATATGAAGACTTTGTAAAGAAAAAAAGTCAAAACAGATAGAAAGTAGCTCACCAACTTTCCTCTTCAGAGCACATACTTTTAGTGCCTTGCACAATGTCTTTTCTGTTCTATATTACTTTTAGCAAAGGTTTTTCAATTTGATGTGTAATTCAGGATAGGCTTATGAACTTTTTTCACTCTTAGACTACATATGAATAGACTTCCAAAGATGTTATAATTAACAAATGGTATTTAAATGGCATTTTTCGATAGTAAAATAGAAGGCTATGATTAATAGCCATTACTGAAATGTCAAAATATGAAACACTGTCTCAAATTCTGTAGTCTATCATTAGCCCATTTGGAGGAAAAATGTATTCCTGATATGTTGCCTTTGTTTTACACATATTCCAAAGATTATTTGAAATTATATTAGTTTCAACTTTCTGTTTAAATGAACTTATCTCAGATTAGATTAAGTAAGATATCAGATGGCTGTTTGGAATGGGCTTTTGCCAAAACAGTGTCTATTTATCGTCCCTTTTAAATCAATCTAACTCAGTTGTGTCAACCGCAGGCATAAATTAGAGTCACCTGGGAAGGCTTAATTTTTTTTAATATTAATAGAGGAGGACCCTTGAAATTTTAACTGAATTGTGCTGGAGTGGGGCTTCTAAAAGGAGCCAAGGTTTGAACCACTGAGTCTTCCTAAAAGGGAAAATGGAAGAGTCAGGGGGAACTGTAGGATCAGGGGTATCTGTTTGTATATTAGTTGATACTGCTTTATTCAATCAAAGATTTAAGGCTGATTGTGCAAAAGTTCCTTATCTGCTTTCATGTATTTACTATTCATATATATTTTCCTAAATGTGATCTATCCAAGTTTTTGTAGGAACTTTATTTTTTAGCAGGCATATGGAGGAGATAAACTTGACAGAAAAACTAAGACTTTAGATGTGAACCTCACAGACAAGCTTCCTTACATATAGATACTTTAGACAATCAGCTCAAGACTTTACCCAGGAGGGTGTAAGGACTTGTAAAGGGTGACACGCCTCAGAAAACACGATGATTCTAAAATTGCAAGTGTGGAGAGGTTATATATAATCTTCTGCTGATGCAGAAAACAATAGAAAATCTTTGAAAATAAGAGTTCTTGACTGTGCCCATGGATGTGGAAAGCCTGGGGAGAAATAGCAAAACCCATACTCCCTATTTCCCAAAGTATTGAGTTCAGCGGCATTTTTCTCATCCGATTGACACATCTTTGGCAACATCCTTCACTCCTGGCATATAACAGGTGCTCTGCGAATATTTTGGGATTTGATTAGAAAAATGGCAATAATAAAATGCTGAGTCCATGAAGACAGAAGTCTTCTTTTGAGCCTCATATAAAAGCCCACTGATTTAAAATAATGAGGAAATAATTGATTTACCCTAATAAACTCAGTCATCTTTGTACCTAGATTTCATAAAACAGCCTTTTAGAAAGACCAGCATGACTGTTGTGCTAAATGCTAGTGTTGGGAAAGAATGGCTGATGTAAGATGCAGAGCTGGAAAAACTAGAGTTTCACTGTAATCACAATAAAACCTCAAAAATTCAACTTTATCACTGGAACTTAGCAGAGTAAGAGAAGTTTATATTTTGGTCGAAATACTCTGTGTAAAAGGTAGGGAAATACCAATATACATTTAAAAGATGTGGCTTAGATATCTAAATGGCTTAAATATCCCAGTGAATAAATTCTAGGCCTCAATTATTATAAAATTTTAATTATGGAAAACAACCCATTTTCTGATAAAGCTGAATAGATAAAATGATAGCCTTTTTTCTACATGAGATTAAGACTCATGGTCCTAGAACAGATACATACACTGAATGCCCTCACTAAAACCCACATTTAATTGCCACACTTTTTCCTATTACAGTTCTAGCAATGTATTGCACACAAGTCAATGTTTGCTGCTGACTCCTGGGGGCTTCTGAAGCTTGCATGCTGACTCTGTAATTAAAAGTCCATATGAGGAAGCAACTGTCAGCTCAAGGCTTACCTCCTACTGTTGGATGTCTGTCAACTCAAGGATTTATTTTTTTTAATATGAGAAAATGTCAGTTGCCATCTGAAATAATTTTTTGATGATTCAAGTAAACATTGAATTTCTGATGATTAAATAAGAAAAACATAAAAAATACACCAATGCTTTGAAAGCAACTCATTTTACATTTGGAAAATGATTTTACTTAGGAACTCAACATATATTATAAATGTTACTTATTCCCATTTTATAGATAAAAGAATACACACACATACACACACATAAATACATGCACATATGTATATTCTAGGTTTAGAATTTTTTAATTGAAGGACTTAGAAAAACTTGGGATTCTTTTATCACTACATCTGTTCTTGTAAGTACAAAAACATTCTTAGTAAGAAAATACCATGGAGTTTAGTTGCAAAGATGATATTTATTCATTGTGAACTTTAACACTTAATCAAACAACAGTATGCTTATCCTGACTACATGCCAAAATAGCAAGATAATATTTTTTGATTCCGAAAAAATAGCTAGTTGACATGAATATATGCACATGGTTGTATTTCTTTACTGAATTCATTCATGTAAGTTTTTAATATGCCTTATCTACATTTATAACAACCAATGCTATGATTTTGATGAGAACAGAGTAATGATAATAGCTCATTTCATTTCTGTTCTACCTGTCAACTAAAACTTCAGCTCCTGTAGATTTGCATCAATGGTTTCTGGGAGTCCTATGAATCTCCATTATATTCACAAACAATTCCAACTCTGCAAGACATCGTCACTGCTCCACCACATTTCTTGCCATTGAGGTTTTCCCTAGAAAGGACCACTGGGACCATAGGACACTAACGTTTTCACAGAAGTGTGGCTGCACCATTTCATGTGTTCATTCTTCTTTTCTGCACATCCCTTCTCACCTAGAATGTTTGGCTATAGCTATATATCACATCATCCCCTGCACTTTCTCCTTTTCTCTTCCTTCCTTCCAGAGCCCTTTTGGCACTTTTTCCCTCTTCTATTGTCATAAAAGGCCTCATGCAAAACAATTCATAAAAATCAATCCCTTCAAGGTATATCCTAAAGTGCTTACTGGAACCGTAAGTCATAAGGAAGGATAGACCCTACACATTCTTTTCTTCAATAAGGATTTATTGAGACCTTTCAAGATTTCCAGAGCATCATTAGAAGTACCTATACAGGATGAAGAGTAATGAGAGGGTGTTAAGGAAGATAAGCACACCAAGGTAAGAGAAACATGAATTTCATTCCTCTTTCTAAACTAAACGAGCTCCTAAACTAGATGTAGGTGTACATGTGTGGTTATATTCAATACCTGCTTTTATGAATTGCCTCTAGATGACTTTCATTATAAACCTTAACACCAAAAATTCCATCTTTATTTCATAGTTTTATGAATATATCTAGAGGCCTATTTGAGGAGTACACTCAATAAATCCTGTTAATAACTAATAACTCTCAAGATCACTCAATTGCTTAAAGAAGTTTTATTCACAGGCACTGAAATAAATGACTACATTTTTATTCCACACAGCTAGAAGCAGAGATTACTAAAGACTCTAAACCCCATTACTAATTTCTTGCACAATCGATAAATACATTTTGACCTCCCACTGTATCTGAGAATAGTAGATATTTTTGATGCATTAAAAAATAAAAATAACCAATGACTTGAAGGTATATATGATCTAGTTTTGGGATACATTATATTCCAAATTAGTAGAATTGATAAAGTTATGAAAATTTAGAGTTTTCTTATACAACAACATGAACTTCTGACTAGTAACTGTTCAGAGATCAATTTTCTGGGATTAATCTTTTGTCACATAATTTGTATGCAGCCTAGCAAAACTGACTAGTTGAGACTTTGTCATGGACATATGAATTTTATTCTTTTTACATAAAAATATGGTACCTTTGAAATTCTTTTTTTGTTATTTAATTGATAATGCATGCATTTGGTAGAATATTCACAAAGTGAAGTGTATCAACAGTGAAAGGTAAATCCCAATCCCTTTTCTCTTCTCTGGTTACCAGGCCCTTTCCTCTGAGCCAAGACTTTAACCAGTTTCTTCTATATGTTTCTAGAGAAATAGTATGCCTTTGGAAACTATATATGCATATTCTGATTTTTAATATAAATGGTAGCATAATATAAACCCCATTTTGTACCTTTTTTCTTCACTACTATATATTAAAAGTCTTTCCAGATCAGTCCATATAAAAGTGGATATACCATAATATATTGAATCACTCCCCTATTGAAGGACATTTAGTTATTTTTCCAATTTGCTTGTACAAGCAATGCTTTAGTGAATTTCCTTGTACATATGTTACTTTACGCATGAAGTGTAATTGCTGGATTAAAAGAGATACATTTTAAATTTTGATAGATACTGCCAATTGTTCTTCAGCAATACATTCTTTAATAGCAAATTACTTGAGAATAGCAAATCCATGGAAGATACATCTACCTTGGTATAATAAACCTTCTTGTTTTTCAGGGATATAAAGATTTTTGTCTTAATGAGAAGAAGAAATCAGGATGTAATAGTTTCCTTAGAAATACCATGGATGTGCAGATCTTCAAGTAAGCCAAATATTTGTTTTCTCAAATAAGAGGCAAGTGGTTTAAAGCCTTATACTGTAAGACTATAGTTATAATCAGGGTGGTAAAAGTAAAATTATTTAAGAACTATTAAAAATTTAAACTTCATATTAAAAATTAGCCACAGAGATTGGACTGGAGGTGGAGAAAGATGGCCACATAGAATCTTCCACCAATCATCCTTCCCACACAACACTAAAATGAAAAACTATTCACACAAAAAATGCACCTTCATAAGAACCAAAAATCAGATGAGTGATCACAGTACCTGGTTTTAACTTGATATGACTGAAAGAGGAACAGAAGATGGTAGGAAAGACAGTCTTGAATTGCTAACATCATCCCGTTCCTGTTTCCTAGCAGTAACCACATGACACAGAGAGAGAATCTATGTGCTTGGAAGAGGGACACACAGTGATTGTGGGACTTCTCATTGGAACTCAGTGCTGCCCTGTCACAGTAGAAAGCAACACCAAGCAGAACTCAGCTGGCACCTGCAGAGGGAGCATTTAGATAAGCCCTATCCAAATGGGAGTCAGCTGTCAGAGCCTGAGTTCCAGCAAGCCTTGCCACTGAGGGCTAAGTGCTCTGGGGTCCTAAATAAACTTGAAAGGCAGTCTAGGCCACAAGGACTGCAATTCCTGGACAAGTCCTGGTGCTGTGCTTGCCTCAGAGCCAGTAGACTTAGGGGGGACACAACCTAGTGAGACATCAGCTGGGCAGCCAAGGAAGTGCTTGTATTAGTCTGTTCTCATGCTGCTAATAAAGACATACCTGGGACTGGGTAATTTATAAAGGAAAGAGGCTTAATTGACTCGCAGTTTCACATGGCTGGGGAGGCCTCATAATCACGGTGGAAAGCAAAGGGGAAATGAGACATGTCTTACATGGCAGCAGGCAAGAGAGAGCTCATGCAGGGGAACTCCCATTTATGGAATCATCAGATCTCTTGAGACTTATTCACCACCGTAGGTGGAAACCACTCCCATTATTCAATTATCTCCACCTGGGTCCCTCTCATGACACGTGGGACTTATGGGAGCTACAATTCAAGATGAGATTTAGGTAGGCACACAGCCAAACCATATCAGTGCTTGTGTACTGCCCCCCGCCCCCCCAACCCCAAGCAGCATAACTTGGAGCTCTGGGAGAGACTCTGTCTTTCCACTTGAGGAGAGAAGAGAGAGTAAAGGGGACTTTGTCTTGCAACTTGTATACCATTCAGACACATTAGGATAAGGCACCAGGAAGAGTACTGAGGCCCCCATTCTAAGTCCTAGCTCCTAAAATCATTTCTAAGCATACCTTGGGCCAGAAGGGAACCTGCTGCTTTGAAGGGAAGGACCCAGCCTGGCAGGATTAATCACCTGCTGACTAAAGAGCCCTTGGACACTGAATAATTACCAATGATAAACAGGCAGTACTCCTCCAGGGCCTTGTATGAGACTCAGAGATGTGCTTGCTTCAGGTGTGACCCAGCACATGCGCAGCTTGGTGGCTATGGGGAGATCCCTTCTGCTTAAGAAAAGGAGATGGAAGAGTAAAGGAGACTTTATACAGCAGCTTAGATACCAGGTTGGCAACAGTGGGTAGAGTAGTGGTCCCCAACCTTTTTGGCACCCGTGACTGGTTTTGTGGAAGACGGTTTTTCCACAGACTGGGGTGGTGGGGGGATGGTTTCTGGATGAAAGTGTTCCAGTGCAGATCATCAGGCATTAGGTTCTCATAAAGAGCATACAACCTAGATCCCTCACATATACAGTTCGCAATAGGGTTCAAGCTACCATGAGAATCTAATGCTGCTACTGATTTGACAAGAGGCAGAGCTCAGACTGTAATGCGTGCTCACCTGATGCTCACCTCCTGCTGTGTGGCCCAGTTCCTAACAGTCCATGGACCAGTACCAGTCCATGGCTCAGGGGTTGGGGACCCCTAAGGTAGCACACCAAGTGAGATCTTGGGGTCTCCATTTCCAGGCCTTGGCTCTTGGATGGCATTTCTGGACCTATCCTGGGTCAGAGGACAGCCCACTGCCCTGAAGAGAGAGACTCAATACTGGCAGCATTCACCACAGACTGACTGAACAGTCCTTAGGCATTGAGAGGACATTGGCAGTAGCCAGGCAGTACGTGCTACAGGCCTGGGGTGGTGGTGACCACAGGGAGAGACTTCTTTGTTTGTGGAAAGAGCTGAAAACAGTGGGAAGGGCTTTGATCTGTGGCTTGGGTGCCAATTCAGCAAAGGTAGAATAAAGAAGCAGGTAGACTCCTAAATTTTTCAACTCCAGGCCCTGGCTCCTGGACAGCATCTCTGGACCTGCCCTGGGACGGGAGGATCTTGCCACCCTGAAGAGGGCGTAAGCCTGGCTAGCCTCACCACCTGCTAATTATAGAGCCCTGGGGCCTTGAGTGAACATAGGCAGTAGCCAGACACTGGTTACCGCAGGCCTTGAGTGAGACCCAGTACTGTGCTGGCTTCAGGTTTGACCCAGTGCAATCCCAGTGGTGATAGCCACAAAGATCCTTATGTCACCCCTCCCCTAGCTCCAGGCAGCTCAGCAGAAAGAGATTCCATTTGTTTGGGAGAAAGGAAAGTGAATAAGAATCTCTCCTGGTAATCGAGGAAATTCTTCTGGATTTTGCCCAAGACCACCAAGGTGGTACATCTACAAGTGTATAAGAACCACAGCATTACTGGGCTTGGGGTACACCCTGATGCAGATATGGCTATGGTAATAATTAAAAAAAAACTTAGATCACAACACCAAAGTCTCTTTGAAGACCTGGATATGCCTTCTCAAAAAGGAGAGGTACAAACAAACCCAAGACTATAAAGACCACAGTAAAAACCTAACTCTTCAATACCCAGACACTGACAAACATCCGCAAGCATCAAGACCATCAAGGAAAACATGACATCACGAAATGAAATAAATAAGGCACTAGGAACCAATCCTGCAGAGATGGAGATATGTGACTTTTCAGACAGAATTCAAAAAAGCTGATTTGAGGAAACTCAATGAAGTTCAAGAAAACATAGAGAATTAATTCAGAATTCTAGCAGATAAATTTAACAAATAGATTTAAATAATTAAGCAGAGTCAAGCAGAAATTCTGGAGTTGAAAAATGCAATTGACATAATAAAGAACTCACCAGAGTCTCTTAACAGCAGAACTAATCAAGCAGAAGAAAGAATTAGTGAGCTTGAAGTCAGGCTATTTGAAAATACACAGTCATAGGGGACAAAAGAAAAAAGAGTAAAAGACAATGAAGCATGCCCACAAGATCTAGAAAATAGCCTTAAAACAGCAAAGCTAAGAATTCTTGGCCTTGGCCAGGCGTTGTGACTCATGTCTGTAATTCCAGCATGTTGGGAGGCCAAGGAGACTGATCACTTGAGGTCAGGAGTTCAAGACCAGTCTGGCCAACATGGTGAAACCCCATATATATTAAAAATACAAGAATTAGCTGGACTACATGCCTGTAGTCCCAGCTACTCAAGAGGCTAAGGCAGGAGAATTGCTTGAACCCAGGAGGCAAATGCTGCAGTAAGCTGAGATCATGCCACTGAACTGCAGCCTGGGTGACAGAGTAAGACTCTGTCTCAAAAAAACAAAACAAAACAGCAAAATAATAATAATAATAATAATTGGCCTTAAAAAAGAGGTAGAGAAAGAGGAAGTTTATTCAAAGGGATAATAACAAAGAACTTCCCAAACCTAGAGAAAGATACTGATATTCAATTACAAGAAGGTTATAGAACACCAAGCAGATTTAACCCAAAGAAGATTACCTCAACACATATAATAATCACATTCCCAAAGATCAAAGATAAAGAAAAGATCCTAAAGGCAGCAAGAGAAAATAAACAAATAACATACAATGGAGCTCCAATGTCTGGCAGCAGACTTCTCAGTAGAAAACTTTACAGGCAAGGAGAGATTGGCATGGCATATTTAAAGTACTGAAGAAAATAAATCCTTTGCCCTAGAATAGTGTATCTGGCAAAAATATCCTTCAAACACGAAGAAATAAAGACTTTCTCAGTGATATGGTTTGACTGTGTCCCCACCCAAATCTCATTTTGAAATGTAGCTCCCATAATTCCTATGTGTTGTGGAAGGGACCTGGTGGGAGATAATTGAATCATAGAGGTGGCTTCCCCCATACTGTTCTCATGGTAGTGAATAAGTCAAATGAGATTGATGATTTTATAAGCCTAAACCCCTTCACTTGGTTCTGACCCTCTCCTGTCTGCTGCCATGTAGACTCTCTCTCTTGACTTCTGCCATGATTGTGAGGCCTCCCCAGCCATGTGGAACTGTGAGTCCGTTAAACCTCTTTTTCTTTATAAATTACCCAGTCTCAGGTATGCCTTTATCAGCCGCCTGAAAATGGACTAATATAGTAAATTGGGACCAGTAGAGTGGGGTGCTGCTGTAAATATACCCAAAAATGTGGGAGCAACTTTAGAACTGGGTAACACACAAGGGTTGGAACAGTTTGTAAGGCTCAGAAGAAGACAGAAAAATGTGGGAAAGTTTAGAACTTCATAGACACTTGATGAATGGCTTTGATCAAAATGCTGATAGCGATATGGACAATAAAGTCCAGGTTGACATGGTCTCAGATGGAGATGAGGAACTTGTTGACACTGGAGTAAATGTGACTCTTGTTATGTTTTAGCAAAGAGACTGGTGGCATTTTGCCCCTGCCCTAGAGATTTGTGGAACTTCAAACTTGAGGGAGATGATTCAGGGCATCTGGCAGAAGAAATTTCTAAGCAGCAAAGCATTCAAGAGTTGACTTGGATGCTGTTAAAAGCATTCAGTTTTAAAAAGGAAACAGAACATAAAAGTTCAGAAAATTTGCAGCCTGATGATGCAATAGAAAAGGAGAAACAGCCGGGCGCGGTGGCTCACGCCTGTAATCCCAGCACTTTGGGAGGCCGAGGCGGGCGGATCACGAGGTCAGGAGATCGAGACCATCCTGGCTAACACGGTGAAACCCTGTCTCTACTAAAAATACAAAAAATTAGCCAGGCGTGGTAGCGGGCGCCTGTAGTCCCAGCTACTCGGGAGGCTGAGGCAGGAGAATGGCGTGAACCCGGGAGGCGGAGCTTGCAGTGAGCCGAGATCGCGCCACTGCACTCCAGCCTGGGCAACAGAGCTAGACTCCGTCTCAAAAAAAAAAAAAAAGAAAAAAAAAAAAAAAAGAAAAGGAGAAACAATTTTCTATGGAGAAATTCAAGTTGGCTGCAGAAATTGCATAAGTAACAAGGAGCCAAATGTTAATCACCAAGACAATGCGCAAAATGTCTCCAGCGCATGTCAGAGAACTTTGAAGTAGCCACTCCCCATCACTGGCCCAGAGGCCTAGGAGGAAAACATGGTTTCCTGGGCCAGGCCCAGGGACCCCTGCTGTCTGTAGCCTAGGGACTTGGTGCCCTGCATCCCAGCCACTCTAGCCATAGCTAAAAGGGGTCAAGGTACAGCTCAGGCCATGATTTCAGAGTGTACAAGCCCCAAACCATGACAGCTTCCACGTGGTGTTGCACCTGCGGGTGCACAGAGGTACTGAGGTTTGGGAACCTCCACCTAGTTTTCAGAGGATGTAGGAAACACCTGAATGTCCAGGTAGAAGTTTGCTGCAGGGGTGGGGCCCTCATTTAGAACCTCTGCTAGAGAAGAGTGTGGAAGGAAAATGTTGGGATAAAGCCCCCACACAGAGTCCTCAGTGGGGCATTGCCTAGTGGAGCTGTAAGAAGAGGGCCACCATCCTTCAGACCACAGAATGGTAGATCCACCGACAGTTTGCACCATGCAACTAGAAAGGCCACAGACACTCTATGCCAACCTTTGAAAGCAGTGAGGAGGGAGGTTGTACCATGCAAAGCCACAAGGGTGGAGCTGCTCAAAGCTGTGGGAGCCTACCTCTTTCATCAGCATGAGATGGATGTGAGACATGGAGTCAAAGGAGATCATTCTGGAGCTTTAAGATTTGACTGCACCGGTGGATTTCAAACTTGCATGAAGCCTTTAGCCCCTTTGTTTTGGCCAATTTCTCCTATTTGGAATGGCTGTATTTACCCAATGCCTATATCCCCACTGTATCTAGGAAGTAACTAACTTATTGATTTTGCAGACTCACAGGTGGAAGAGACTTGCCTTGTCTCAGATGAAACTTTGAACTGTGAACATGTCAGTTAATGCTGAAATGAGTTAAGACTTAGGGGACTGTTGAGAAGGCATGATTGGTTTTGAAATGTGAGGACATAAGATTTGGGAGGTACCAAGGGCAAAATTATATGGTTTGGCTGTGTCCCCACCCAAATCTCATCTTGAATTATAGCTTCCATAACTCCCACATGTTGTGGGAGGGACCTAGTGGGAGTTAATTGAATCATGAGGGCAGTTTCCCTCATACTGTTCTCATGGTACTGAATAAATCACATGAAATCTGATGATTTTATAAGGGGAAACCTCTTTCACTTGGCTCTCCTTCTCTTCTGTCTGCTGCCATATAAGATGTGCCTTTTGCCTTCTGCCATGATTGTGAGGCCTCCTGGGCCATGTAGATCTGTGACTCTTTTAAACCTCTTTTTCTTTATAAATTACCCAGTCTCAGGTATGTTTTTATCAGCAGCATGAAAATGGACTAATACACAAAGACAAACAAAAGCTGAGGGATTTCATCAACACCAGACCCATTGTACAAGAAATACTAAAGGGAGTTCTTTAATCTGAAAGAAAAGAATGTTACTGAGAAACGAGAAATCATTTGAAGGTTCAAAACTCATTGGTAATAGAAAGTACATGTAAAAACACAGAATATTATAACACTGTAATTGTGGTGTGTGAACTACTCATATCTTGAGTAGAAAGACTAAAAGATAAACCCATGAAAAATAATAACTAGAACAACTTTTCAAGACATAGACAGTACAAAAATATATAAATAGAAATAAAAAAAGTTAAAAAGTTGGAAGAAGTTAAGGTACAGAGGTTTTATTGGTTTCTCTTTGCTTGTCTGTCTATGCATTCAGTGTTAATTTGTTGTCAGTTCAAAATAATGGGTTACAAGATATTATTTGCAAGCCTCATGGTAACCTCAAATCAAAAAACATACAATGGATACACAAAAGATAAAAAGAGAATAAAACCACCAGAGAAAATCTCCTTCACTAAAATAAGAAGATAGGAAAGAAGGAAGAGAAAACCACAAAACAACCAGAAAACAAATAACAAAATGGCATGTGTAAATTCTTACTTATCAAAAATAACATTAAATGTAAATGGACTAAACTCTCCAATCAAGAGACACAGACTGGCAGAAAGGATTAAAAAAAAAACAAGATCCAATAATCTGTTGCCTACATGAAACATATTTCACCTATAAAGACACAAGTAGACTGAACATAAAGGAATGAAAAAGATATTCCATGACAATGGAAACCAAAGAAAGAGCAGAAGGAGCTATAGTTACATCAGACAAAATAGATTTCAAGACAAAAACTATGAAAAGAGACCATTCTGACCAACATGGTGAATTCCTGTCTCTACTAAAAATACAAAAATTAGCTGGGTGTGGTGGCACATGCCTGTAATACCAGCTACTCAGGAGGCTGAGGCAGGATAATTGCTTGAACCAGGGAGGTGGAGGTTGCAGTGAGCCAAGATTGTGCCACTGCACTCCAGCCTGGTGACAAAGAAAGACTCCATCTCAAAAAAAAAAAAAAAAAAAGAAAAAGAAAAAGAAAAGAGACAAAGATGTCCACTTATATAATGATAAAGGGGTCAATTCAGCAAGAGGATATAACAGTTGTAAATATAGCACCCAACACTGGAGTACCTAGACATATAAAGTCAATATTATTAGGGATAAACAGAGAGTTAGACACCCATACAATAATTGCTGGAGACTTCAACATCCCACTTTCAGTGCTGGACAGATCTTCCAGACAGAAAATCAACAAAGAAACATCAGATTTAATCTGCACCATAGGGCCAGGCATGGTGGCTCATGACTGTAATCCCAGCACTTTGGGAGGCTGAGGTGAGTGGATCATCTGAGGTCAAAAGTTCAAGATCAGCCTACCCAACATGGTGAAATCCCATCTCTACTAAAGATACAAAAAAAAAAAAGCCAGGCATGGTGGTGGGTGCCTGTAATCCCAGCTACTTGGGAGGCTGAGGTAGGAGAATCACTTGAACCTAGGAAGTGGAGGTTGCAGTGAGCTGAGATCATGCCACTCCACTCCAACCAGGGCAACAGAGTGAGACTGTATCAATAAATAATAAAACAAAATAAGATAAAATAAAATAATCTGCACCATAAACAAATAGACCTAATAGATATTGACAGAACATTTCATCCTTGGCTGCAAAATACACATTCTTTTCCTTAGCATATGGATGTTTCTCAAGATTATACCATCTGTTAGGTCACAAAACAAGTCTTAAAACATTAAAAAAAAATGAAACAATATCAAACATCTTCTCTGACCACAATGGAATAAAACTAGAAGTCAAAAACAAGAGGAATTTTGGAAACTACATATACACATGGAAATTAAACAATATGCTCCTCAATGATGATGGGTCAATGAAGATATTAAGAATGAAATTTTAAAATTTCTGGAAACAAATGATAATGAAAACACAACATATCAAAACCTACTGGATACAGCAAAGACAGTACTAAGAGGAAAGTTTATAGCTCTAAATGCCTACATCAAAAATGTAGAAAAACTTCAAGTAAACAATCTAATGATGCACCTTAAAACACTAGAAAAGGAAGAGCAAATCAAACCAAAGATTAGGAGAAGAAAGGAAATAATAAAGATCAGAGCAGAAATAAATGAAATTAAAGTGAAGAAAACAATACAAAAGATCGGCAAAAACAAAGGTTGATTTTTTGAAAAGACAAACAAAACTGATAAACCTTTAGCCAGACTAAGAAAGAAAAAAGCAAGAAGACCCAAATAAATAAAATCAGAGATGAAAAGGGAGATATTACAATAATATCATAGAAATTCAAATGATATTTGAGGGCATCATTAACAATCTATACTAACAAATTTGAAAACCTAGAAGAAATGGACAAATTCCTAGACATACAACCTACAAAAATTGAACCATGAACAATCCAAACCTGAACAGACCAATAATAAATGTAATAAAATTGAAGCCATACTAAAAAAGTATCCCAGCAAAGAAAAGCCTGGGACTTGATAGTTTCACTGCTGAATTTTACCAAACATTTAAAGAACTAATACCAATCCTCAAATCATTCCAAAAAATGGAATAAGAGGGAATACTTCCAAACTCATTCTATGAGGCCAGTATTACCCGGATAACACCACCAGACGAAGCCACATTAAAAAAATAAAACTACAGACTAACCTCCCTGATGAACAACGATGCAAAAATCCTCAACAAAATACTAGCAAACTGAATTTAACAACACATTAAAAAAATCATTCATCATAATCAAGTGGGATTTACCCCGGGGATGCAAGGGTGGTTTAAAAGTTTAACACCCAATAAAGCAAAAATTGCTTTATTGACTGAGAAATAGTGATGCCTTTCATTGAGTTTAATAATAAAAGATAAGAAAAAAAAAACTTCTGTGACAAGGATGAGTTGAATTGTAGAGTCCCTGCATGTGAAATGCCAGTGGGACATATAAGATTATATGAGATGTCAGTAGAACTATCAAATATTATCATTGGATATATGAGTACTTAAAATCAATTGGTAGAAAGTATAGATCCTATAATTATACTGGTTTAGTTAGAAACACCCTGACTGTGAATAACAAATACGTGATTTTAAAAGATAGGGATTTTTTGTTTCCCATGTAACATGACTAATTTGGATTTGGATATTTCAGGGCTTGATGCTTCAGCCCCAGGATGTCATCAATGACCCAAGCACCCTAGGCCTTTCCAGTCTTCTATTCTTTCTGGTGGTTTGTAATTTTAAGGTCACCATAAGGTCATAAAGTAGTTGTTTTAATTCTACACCAAAGCATCCACATCCCATGAAGGAAGAAGGAGGAAGAGAGCAGGACAAAGTTACATACTAGTAGAGTTTAGTCCTTCTTTCAAAGAGATTTTCCAGAGATCTTATCCAATAACTTCTATCCATACCTCTCTGGTTAAAACTATGAAATGTGGCTGCTTTTACCTGCAAAGGAGTCTTATGTTAGGCACATTGCTATTCCAACTAAATCAAAGTTCTTTTAGAGCAGAAAAGCAAGAAATCAAATGCTGGTTGCATTACTGGTAGTGCCTGCACTGTCCCCTATGTTCAACCTACATATATTAAAAAAAGAAAAATTCATTTGAAGGTTTATTTTAAGGACATGCTTTTCACCATTATATAATTTTTTTTGCACTTTCCAAAGCAATTTTACCTATATTTTTCTCATTTGTTCTTCACAACAACCTCGTGAAATCAGTGGACAGTAATGTTTTCCCAGTTATCTTAAAGAAGCAACAGAAAAACCTGGTTAGTAAGCAGTTAAAATAAAACTAGAAGCCCAATTTTATAAAATCAGAGCTTTTGATTGTAAAAACAAACAATTCTAATTTTTAACTGAATTGACAGGATGTTTTTAATATTACATAAGCACAGTTTTTCCACCCTTCAGAAAGTACAGAAATTATAGCAGTTTATTTCCAAATTGATATCAAAAAGGAGTCTACAATTTGCCTAAGTCACTCAAAAGCCAGTATTAGAAAGACATCCAAAGTCTCTTCAAGCAGATGCCAATCAAATATGTTTTGGAGTAAGGGGATAGCAAGAGAATGGATAATCAGTTTCTCTGTTCTCTCTGACTCCTTTATTTCCATATACTCCTTACTGTGATGAGGAGGGTCTTTGGTAAGACAGAGACTTCATTTGCTTCGTAACATGTTGCCATGAGATAAAATTGAACATGTGAGGCCAGGCGTGGTGGCTCATGCCTGTAATCCCAGCACTTTGGGAGGGAGAGGGGATGGATCACCTGAGGTCAGGAGTTCGAGACCAACCTGACCAACATGGTGAAATCTGTCTCTACTAAAAATACAAAAATTAGCTGGGTGTGGTGGTGAGTGTCTGAAATCCCAGCCCCTCGGGAGGCTGAGACAGAATCTCTTGAACCTGGGAGGCAGAGCTGACAGTAAGCCGAGATCGCAGCACTGCACTGCAGCCTGGGCGACAGAGTGAGACTTTGTCTCAAGAAAGAAAGAAGGAAAGAAAGAGAAAGAAAGAAAGAGAGAGAAGGAAGGAAGGAAGGAAGGAAGGAGGAAGGAAGGAAGGAAGGAAGGAAAGAAGGGAGGGAGGGAGGGAGGGAGGGAGGGAAGGAAGGAAGGAAGGAAGGAAGGAAGGAAGGAAGGAAGGAAGGAATTGAACATGTATATGGTAGATGGCCCATTCTGGGAAGGAAGGAAGGAAGGAATGAAGGCAGGAAGGAAGGAAGGAAGGAAGGAAGGAAGGAAGGAAGGAAGGAAGGAAGGAAGGAAGGAAGGAAAGAACTGAGCATGTATATTGTAGATGACCCATTCTGAAGAGACTAGGAAAAAAGAAGCCTCTTTCTTTGAGGAATGGTAAGAACCTATCAGTCTCTGACATGGCAATTGTCAGTAACCCTGACCTCAGAGACCCTGAAACTGCCCACAGAATGAAACTGGACCCTATAAGAGTATCAGAAGGCTAGAGAAGACAGATGACAATCTGGAGGAAGAGGAGGGCAGAAACTAGAGAAAGAGGATATCCTTATAGGAGACTGACTGTATCTAACAGTAAGGCAACTTGATGTAAAGTAATTTTGCTCACCTATGTGGCTCCATTTGCATCTGTATCAGCTAGTCAAAAATCTGCTCTCTTTCTCATAATGGACTGTGCTCAAATTCATTTCTGGATGTTGTGAACAGGAATACATTTATTTGTGGTAATAAAATAATAAATTTATGAAAATAGTTTTCAAGTATTGTTTGAATTATAAATTGCACTAGTGGTCATACCTATCTAGTAATGCCTCCTCTTCATAGTTCTGCACATCAAAAGAAAATACAGGTATTGATGCAACCAATCCATATTATGTATATATGGGTGTGTGTATATCTATCTATCTAGATAGATAGATATATCTATCCATATAGATATATATCTATATCTATCCATATATATCTATATCTATATCTATCTATCCATATATATCTATATCTATCTATCCATATAGATATATATCTATATCTATATCTATCTATCCATATAGATATATATCTATATCTATATCTATCCATATAGATATATATCTATATCTATCCATATAGATATATATCTATATCTATCCATATAGATATATATCTATATCTATCCATATAGATATATATCTATATCTATCCATATAGATATATATCTATATCTATCCACATAGATATATATCTATATCTATCTATCCACATAGATATATATCTATATCTATCTATCCACATAGATATATATCTATATCTATCTATCCACATAGATATATATCTATATCTATCTATCCACATAGATATATATCTATATCTATCTATCCACATAGATATATATCTATATCTATCTATCCACATAGATATATATCTATATCTATCTATCCACATAGATATATATCTATATCTATCTATCCACATAGATATATATCTATATCTATCTATCCACATAGATATATATCTATATCTATCTATCCACATAGATATATATCTATCTATCCACATAGATATATATCGATATCTATCCACACAGATATATATCGATATCTATCCACATAGATATATATCGATATCTATCCACATAGATATATATCTATATCTATCCACATAGATATATATCTATATCTATCCATATAGATATATATCTATATCTATCTATCCATATAGATATATATCTATATCTATCTATCCATATAGATATATATCTATATCTATCTATCCATATAGATATATATCTATATCTATCTATCCATATAGATATATATCTATATCTATCTATCTAGATAGATCTATATATATCTATGTAGATCTATATAGATATATATAGATATTTACAGATATATACAGATACATGTAGATATATATACAGATATATATATATATATATATAGAGAGAGAGAGAGAGAGAGAGAGAGCATACACATTTTGGTCGAAGAAGGAAATAGAAAAAATGGAACATTTCACCCTTTTTGCAGACTATAGGACCTGGATTATTTTTTGTTTGCTACATACATGTTAGCAACATTAATCTCCAGGTCTAAGGTTATAGCCACCTTGTCATGCTACCTGCATATCAGAGGTGCTTTCCAGCTGATGATTAATTTAAGCATCTTAATATATCTTGGAGAGTTATTTAAACAGATCAAGACACGAACTTATGACAACATAAGGAGACACAAGATGAGAAATAGAACTGGAATATTCTCCACTGTCTTGGTCAAATTAGAGCTCCAGTATTTTCTCCAAAATTTTTCAGAAGTTCATCAGTATCCATAGGAGGTCAGAGAAAGTTAAAACGAAATATAAAATAGAGAAGTATTGCTTGGAGGCCTTTTGGTTCTAGAAAAATAAAAAGACGTGACTATGGATGCAACCTCCTTTCCTGATGATCTTTCTTTACTTTTATCCATTCCTTGAGTTTGCTGATACATATGCTTTGTATAAGTCAATTATCTTGGTTTATAGTTTTGTCATTCTCATGACCAAATGTTAGTACAATGACAAAATTTGCTACATATTGCATTTCCATCCAGAAAACATTTTGATATTCCTGGCCAAAGCAATTGCCCATTATATAAAAGTCATTTATTACAATAATGATTATTAAATAAACTGATCAACTTTTGACATTTCTGCTTTAAAAACATCATTTCCACCAATCACAGTACTCCTTTCAACATTCTTCCTTTTGTGACTCATATGTTTCCTTTTCAATTACCATTCAATTTACCTTTTCAATTAATACTAAAAAACGTAAGTGCTATGACAATGTTATGAGAATAATCCCACACAAAACCTTTAAGAATTATATTTTCCATTAACCTCAATTGTGAGAGTTGTTTTCATTTTTTGAGAAAGGCAAATTCATCAACCATGAATCACAGTGGTTTAGGAAATGGAACCATTTCTTGTATTTGTGTGTGTTAGCTCAGAAACAATACAACCCAGACTTCTCTGAGCTGACCACATCTCAGTGGTCAGTTGAGTGCATCAGACCCTTTGACTTTCTACAATCCTTTAATAATGATGATTGCAGTTTTCAAGTGGTAAGTATTCTTGACAACTCAGTAATGTTTCATTCATATATATATGAATATATATATATTTGCTTCTTTTGGCAGGAATTGGATCATCTCTTTTGAGTTTATCTGTTCCTTCTGCCTTCTATTTTCTTCTACTTCCTACAGCCAGGAATAATAGAATGTGTCTTTTACTTTCATTCCGAAACTTTCAGTCTTTCACAAAAAATAAAGAGAAAAATGTCTGAAGTTAATGAAAGGCAATTTTTTCCTTTACCCACTGGGAAAATTGAAAGTATGACCTTTCCAAGAGACATAATGAGAGACAGCTTAAAGTCTGATAAAAAAAAATCTATGTCAAATTAAGTGATTCCCCATCCCATTATTGCTCATCAAGTAAGTTAGTGTGCTCAGTCAAGATTACTCAGGAGCTAGACTATCTTGTGCAATTTACAAATACTCTCTCCCTTGTCTCTGTGAAGTATACCTTAGTTTCAGCCCCATTACTTCTTCTGTCGTTTTTCAGCTTTCATCCATTAGCTGATCAAATTCCACATCAGACACCAGTAACCGCGAACACCAATTTCAAGCACAGCAAGTTGAAATGAAGAAGCTCTTAGCAATGTGTCCTTTACCTGAAAAGAGCATCTTCATTTCTATGCTAAGAAGAAAATCTGTGCCCTATTCTGAGTTTAGCTATGACTAATAATTTAACCTGCAGTTAGTCTAATTTTCACATTGTAAAGTAGGGATGAATAATACTTTTAGAGTAGATATGAGAATGGAGAAGGTTCCTATTATATTATCAATAAAAAAGATTAAAATAGGGATAATAATAATAGCAAGTAAATAATTGTTTTGGGCTTTAAGTGATGCAAAGGGGTTTCACATGCAGGTTTTTCATGTTTATTTTTTAATTTGACATCACAACACACTCAAAAATGTGATAGGTAATAAATAGTACAGTTAAGGAAACTTAGAGACTTTAAGTGACTTAATCAAGGTCACACATTTAGGAGTAATCAAAACCTTTACTAAAACAAGGTCATCCAACACCACTCCCCAAATGTCATTCCATAAATTAAAAATAATGGTTAAATAAAATTAACGATCTAAATATTTTTATCTTCATTCATAAAATACTGTTTCTTTAATCATTGAGAAATAGACTCTTTAAACCTGAAATGTCTTATAGTCCAGTCTTTCACCCCATCTAAATATCTTTTCTGCAATGTATCAGATGGAGGGTCCTCTGGCTTCCTCTTAAACTCCAATGTCAGATAGCATTCCACTCTATATATGACAACCTGTTCCACTGTTAGTTTGAGTTGTCCTAGTGTCTGTGGAAACAATATTTTCTTCTCTTTAGCTTCAAAACACCTATACCATTTGCACTCTCTGTATGGCACCCAGCCTGGCACTTCGTTATGTTTTCCAGACCCTCTTACTCCAGCCCACTGGAAAACACAGCTCAATGATGGCTCTGCATATATTTTAAAACAGGTTTCCCTTTGGTTTTTTCTTCTCTCAGATAGATTTCTCCAAATCCTCTTTTGAGATAGTTACCTCATTTCTCTCTAGACTTAGCATCTCTTTCTTTCCTAATTGTCAAAAGAACTTCCAGTTGAAATTTCAGCTCTCTTCTCTGTGAGACACTTGAAGACTCCCCTAGATATTTGAAGGCTTCACAGCCCTCTTCTGCTCTCCAGTGGGGATGAGAAAATTGAAGGCCAGCACTGTAAGTGACTAGTCTAAGAACACAAAAGTCGTGGTGCATGACTCCTGGATGGATTTCAGTGAATATCGTCCTATCATTATCATGTTAAAGACTATTCCTTCTTAAACTTGCGAATATGAAATGCTAAACAGTCTGTAGAATGTTAACAATCACTGAAGGAATGTGCTCAGTTGATTCTGTAGTTAAATTGTCATTTGGTGTACCTATTTCTTGGGGCTATAACTTGAAATTCTTGCCCTCTGTGGAAAATCACTACAAAGATGATTATCACTGTAACA
Source organism: Homo sapiens (assembly GCF_000001405.40). Lineage (NCBI taxonomy): Eukaryota > Metazoa > Chordata > Mammalia > Primates > Hominidae > Homo > Homo sapiens. The sequence goes on along the minus strand of NC_000007.14, from coordinate 123,039,152 downwards.
TCCTACAAGTTCATATTATTAGTCAAATGATATGCATTCTACTTCTGGGGAAAATAATTTGAAAGACCATTGTTGGAGCTCTGCTGATGAACTATGGAATGAATTTAAGGCAACGCCTAGGATGTCTCCTGGTTACTAAAATTAGGCTGTCTGGGAGTACTGTGAAAAACAGTATTATGTATTTACAGTGTTCTTCTAGGGTTTTGGTACAAAGAAGTATTAAATACACAAATATTTATTTAACTGGTATAATAGAGGAATAGGTTGTTTTGATTACTCCTCAAACTTTCTGACAAATTAAACATTCGTTAGCTTATGGAATACAATTGCTGGAGCAATGAAAATATTTGACGCAGAAAACTTCTTTCATGTGTGTAATTGCATGGTTTATTTTTAAACAATGTGTTTTTAGAAATATGGTAATTACACACACTAAAAGCTGGCAGCATGATAGCTGATAATATTAATATAGATTAAAAGAGTTTAATTAAGTAGGTATACAAAACAATCCTCCAGTTTTTCCATAAGTAAAAAGCTTAAGTAATTAATAATACAAAAATAAAGGAATAAGAAGTCGGACATTTCTGAGTAATAATAAAGGTTTGAAAAGTATTTTCAATGGTTGCAATTAAAATGCTATTGTCCATCCATTCCTGCTTTATAGTCTTAGAAGCTCTGATTAGTATACTTAACATCATCAAAGCACCCCCCTAAAAAATTTTTATCCTTCAAGCATGAAGATCACTAAAATATCTAAGAACTTTTTTTATTATAACAATACATGTTGAACTTAGAAAATGAGAAATATCGGGAAGCATATCCACAAAAATTAAAATTACCCAAATTCTATTACTCAAATGTGAAGAGTTAGCATTTTGCTTTAAATCCATTCTGTCTTTACCTGTGTCTATATATAAATGTAATACGTTAATTTGAAAAACTGGGGTCATATTGACAAACTGGGGTATATAATGAAGTATAACTTTTTTTCTCACTTAGGAAAATACTACAAAGGCTTTTCAATTTCCATATTATTGAATACACTTCTAAAATAATTTAACTAAAAATGCTGAAAGATATCATTGGTACATTTATGCTCTAATAAGCCAAATGTGGTGTGCCTGGATTTTTTTTTACTCGTTGTTTTACGTTCCATTTGTTGTTAATATTAACAATATTAAGTAGGACAATAGTCCCCCAAAAATGTCCTTGTTCCAATCACCAAGAGCGGTAAATATGTTACCTTGTATGGCAAAAGAGACTTTGCAAATGTGGTTAAATTAAGGATCTTGAGATGAGAAAATCATTCTGGGTTATCCAGGCTTCCCCAGTATAATCACAAATGTTATTTTAAGAGGGAGCTCTTGGCCTTGCAGATGGAGATGGGGTCATAGGCCAAGAAATGCAGGCAGCTTCTAGGATTCTCAAAAGGCCAGGAAATGGATTCTCCCCTGAAATCTCAGAAAGAATACAGCCCTGCAGACCCTTTTTAGCCTTCTAACCTCCAGAACCGTAAGATAATAAGTTTGTGTGGCTTTAAACCACTAAGTTAGTGGTGCTCTGTTAAAGCAGCAACAGAAAACTAATACAGCTACTTTATGCTGTTGTTATTACTAAATTATCATCATTTGTTTATATTTTCTGTTTTATGACTTGCCCAAAGCAAGAATTAGGTAACCTAAATCTGTTAGACTATAAATGCATTTGCTTTTTTCCTTCTACATTCATGAACGTATAACAGTCTTGACAATAGTCAGAAACCATCTGTGGTTATTACCCAAGCTAATAAAATCATAAGCCTTACATCAATAGAAGAAATAGATTTAAATACACACTTTGAGACACAGAAACTCAAAGATCTTTAGCTAAGGGAATTCAGAGACTATAGAATATAGGTACAACTAAGTTTTTTCATAAGAAATACTTTACATTTTTGAAGAACTGATGCACATTTAGGTGAAAGTTTCATTTCACTGAACTTTAATTCCAGTTTATGGTGAAGTTAAAACAGGGCTTAACTAGCGGTATCACAGGTATGAACAGAAAAGTTTAGTCAGCATTTCCACTAGGACAGGTAGAAAAGCTAGGTATTACCTGGAGAAAACAATGTCCCACAGAATAAGTGACTGGAGGAGGGCAGTAACCAATTTTCCTCAAATGGACTTTCCAGGCTTCCTTCATGAAACAAAGAACACTTGCGAAGAAAATGCCATACCTCACACGATGTATGAAGCCCGTGTTTTACAGACTCCCAGTGCAGCATTCAGGCACTGAATCAATCCTTCTGCACAGCAGATGCTACTTTGGAATCTATCAGTACAATGCCCTGCACCAATTTATTTTAGGAACTTGTTAAAATGAGAGTGACACTCTTCTTTGAATGGGCCCAATTTGACTGATTTCTTTAATAAACAATGAGATGGAAGCTCATGGATAACAAGAAACAGAATTCTGTTAAAGAGATTGTCTACTTACACCTTCAATACCTACTAAGATAATTCAAAATAACATTCAACCCAACTCTACTGGTGAGTCTTCTTTTCTCAAAATTTTGAACAAACATAGAGTGCTATGTTAGTCCAGGTTCTCTGAGATGCAGACATAAAGATAGGATTAAACGTGCAAGAATTGTAATGGGGAAAATGCCTACGTAAAAGAAACAAGCAGGGGAGCTGAAAGAGGCTGGGAGAGGCTGAAAGTCTGACCTTAAGTGAAGGAAAGAGTGAGAAGAGGCCGGGCGTGGTGGCTCACGCCTGTAATCCCAGCACTTTGGGAGGCCGAGGCGGGCGGATCACGAGGTCAGGAGATCGAGACCATCCTGGCTAACACGGTGAAACGCCGTCTCTACTAAAAAATACAAAAAATTAGCTGGGCGTGGTGGCGGGCACCTATAGTCCCAGCTACTCGGGAGGCTGAGGCAGGAGAATGGCGTGAACCCGGGAGGCGGAGCTTTCAGAGAGCTGAGATCGCGCCACTGCACTCCAGCCTGGGCGACAGAGCGAGGCTCCATCTCAAAAAAAAAAAAAAAAAAAAGAAAAAAGAAAAGTGAGAAGAGGTTTTGCGGAAGTATATCCCAGACTACAGTGCAATCTAAGGCAGGTTTGACAAAGCTATAGGCACTCCTGGAGCCAAAGTAGGCAAATAAAGGAGTCCCTTGTATCTCAAGAATGGGTCTACTTTAGCATTCCACTGCACTTAGTCATTAGCTAGGAAGAGCATCAGCATAAATGTGGTGATAGTTTTCTAATCACAACTTTTGGGGTGCTGGGTCAATTGTGCTCCCTGGAGTAGGAGATCTGGAGGCACATCCTTGGGGCTGTCATAATCTATACCTCACACTGTACAAAGTGTACTTCTCACAGCTTTGGGGAACAGTTCACCAGTTTTCCAAGAGCCATTCTTCCCAAAGAAAAGCTCAGAAGAAGGAAAGTAGGATGAACTAAAGCCGCTGTCACTGCAAACTGTCTTGGAACTCCTCCTCACCCTCCTGCACTTTCCACTCTGAATTCCTTCAGCTTTGCCGAAGATCTTAAAGGATTACCTGGTTCGGGGATGCAAGTCTTCACACCTGAAGGTTCTGAATATTTGGCAGTAATATCCTTCTCAATTCAGAGTTGCTGCCCACATCTATTCACAGTTACAGTGGAACAGGGTACAGCAGGAAGAATCCCAGGAATCACTTGGGTTTCATGTGCATGCCTCCCTACTCACATTCAGTGCCTCCTCATGATGACTGGGGTCAATCGTCCCAGGAATATGGTGACTCTTTCTTTCGCCTGATGGTCCCTGGGCACTAAGAGTCCAAAGCATCCTCAAAGAAGACATAACTTTTTTTTCTTTCTTTTTTTTTTTTTTTTTTTGGAGACAGAGTCTTGCCCTGTCGCCCAGGCTGGAGTGCAGTGGCTCAATCTTGGCTTACTGCAGCCTCCGCCTCCTGGGTCCACGCCATTCTCCTGCCTCAATCCTCCCGAGTAGCTGGGACTACAGGCGCCCGCCACCATAGCTGGCTAATTTTTTTGTATTTTTAGTAGAGACGGGGTTTCACCGTGTTAGCCAGGATGGTCTCTGTCTCCTGACCTCGTGATCCACCCGCCCTCAGCCTCTCAAAGTGCTGGGATTACAGGCGTGAGCCACCGCGCCCGGCCAAGAGGACATAACTTTTAATTCCATTGAGCCCTTGCTGTGAATCTCTTTGCAAGAATGTGTCCTGTTTGGGGACTAGAATGTGCAATCCTGCAGAACCCAGAATTGCAGGAACAGGAGCCACAAAGTGCCCCAAGTGATTTGGGAAGATGAAGAGTAGGACCATTCCTCCTTCTACTCCTCGGTTCCCAGACACGTGTATCTTTCCTTTTAGGGAAATATTGCCCTATAGAGGTCTTTGATTTAATAAACTGCATTCTGAAGGGTAACATGCTATCTTCTCAGTGTTGCCTTCAAACTTGCATTTCAATTGTGCCTTGGAAGACTGTCCCAACATCCACGTAGCAGGTGATATGACCAGCGGATTCCATGGTCATGAACTCACTCACATATCTTTTTCATTTTAAAGTAGGAGCACAAATGCTATACTGTATGAGATTTCATGCTTGTGGATCAGGAAGTCCGTAAGTTCCTAGATCACAGTGCTGGCTGAGGTGCTGCAAACAGAAAAGGCAAACCTATATCAAGAATAAATATCCATCTCTGTGAGATTAAACCACTAACACTTCCAGGATTGAAGGGAGGCAATTTAGTCAACTTACCGCCAAATGCTAGTTGGTCTTCTCAAGGGACAGTGCTGTATCATGGGCTCAGTGGTTGTTTCTGTTTCTGACCAATTAGACATTTAGAGGCAACAGCAGCTGAAGCAGCCACAGTAAGTGTGAATACATGCCTGTGGGTCTATTCCTAGCATCTGTCTCTGCCTCCATGGCCATTCCATTCATGTTCCCATCACAAACATTTTGAGCTGGCCAATGGTGAAGACTGGCTAACCTCAAATGGTAGTTATTCTGCAAAATTGGTTATTCAGAACTTCTTCTATGGCAGATAATTTCTGGAGGGCATTAACATGTGATATGAAAATCTTCACATTTTCTATCCACATGCCTCTACCTTGAACTCCTTGTCTCCTATTTTTCAGTCATTTTCCTTTAGGGACCCCCTTCCAGATGGTCAGGCCATTGGCTACTTCCTAGGAATGTATCCGTCTTCTCATATTGAACCATTTTCTTTTTTTTCTGATTTTTATGTTAGATTCATGGGGTACAGGTGCAGGTTTTTTTACATGGGTAAATTTCTTATCACTGAGATTTGGTGAATAAATGATCCTGTCACCCAGGTAGTGAGCACAGCTAGTTTTTCAACCCTCTTTCCCCTCCTACTCTTTTCTGTCTAGTAGTCACCAGTGTCTATTGTTCCCATCTTTGAGTCTGTGTGTACTCAATGTTTATCTCCCACTTGTAAGTGAAAATACATGGTATTTGGTTTTCTGTTCTTTTATTAATTTGCTTAAGATAATGGATTTCAGCTGCATTGATGTTGCTGCAAATAACATGATTTCATTCTTTTTCGTGGCTGCATGGTATTCCATGGTACATATGTACCACATTTTCTTCATCCAGTCCACCATTGAGGGGCATCTTGGTTGAACCACTTTTCCTTCCACACAAAGTGGATAATCAAGTGCACTCCTTACAGCTTCACCTATTGGGAAGATTTTTTCTCTCCCCTGTCTCTCAGGTCCAGCTCTAAATATGACTATAATGCAGATACTATCTATTCTTGTTTTTTACCCATATAACAAGTCAACACATTTATAACCCAAACATGGGATTTTTTGACCCTTTTCAGTTGGTAAGAGAAGACCCATATGAACAAGCTGGGGAAAGGTCATTTGTGTAACAGGGCTGGGTGACATGAAAATCTAGGCTACCTCCTCATGCAGATTACTCATGCCCTCTGGATATCCCCATACTTGATCTAAGATGTGTAATTTCCAGCTTGCTTACCACTGGGATCATCCACTAGAATTCATCTCATAATGGGATGTTCCAGGCATATGGTCACATGATAGGTTAAGCATTTCATATCTAGCAGGGTCTAGTAAGCTGCTGTATTAGTCCATTTTCATACTGCTATGAAGAAGTACCCAAGACTGAGTAATTTATAAAGAAAAAGAGGTTTAATGAACTCACAGTTCCAAATGGCTGGGGAGGTCTCACAATCATGGTGGAAGGTGAAGGAGGAGCAAAGGCACATCTTATATGGTGGCAGGCAAGAGAGCATGTGCAGGGGAACTGCCCTTTGTTAAACCATTAGATCTCATGATACGTATTCACTGTCACGAGAACAGCACAGGAAAACCCCAGCCCTGTGATTCAATTACCTCACACTGGGTCCCTCTGACATGTGGGGATTGTGGGAGCTACAATTCAAGATGAAATTTGGGTGGGGACATGACCAAACCATATCAAATGCCTAGAGCTCTTTTGCAAAGGACATATAACTCTTTGTTGGTGGGATGCATGACCTGAAGCCTAGAATCCCAGGAGTGTTTAATGTGATTTTTCATACTGGATCATTCTATTAGCTCTATGCTGCATTTTTTCTCACCATTGATACTTCCATCACCATAAGATATGCTGTATTGTACTGGCCAAGTAGTGGGGCTGATTGCACTGCCAAGTGGATATGCTACAGTAACTTTTACTTCTCTTGGCCCCAGCCAAAGATAGCAGCCCTCTATGTCACCAGGTATATGTGCCAGAGCAATATTTCTAAGCGTAGAAAGTGTTTTCTCCATAGCACTCTTGCTGGCTTTCCATTTACTTGCTTCTAGGAATACCAGGCTATAGTTACCATCTCCACAATGACTTTACCAATTATAATGATTATTCCAGCTTTCTGGCTTGTGATAATTAAGCAATACCACCTGGCCTGTATTACTGTGGAGCCCGACCATTCCCACAGATGCTAATAAGCCCAGCTCTGCGGCTGCACCTCCTACTATCATCACTGGCCTGTATACACTTCTTGGTGATGCTGATGCCTGTCTCACCAGTATAATCCTGATGACCTTGGTAAATGGTGTATTATCTGGGATCTCTCTTGGATCCCAGACCTCTGGTGGGTCTTCTGGCCATACAAAATATATCCATCCCATTATGCCCATTTCTCTCAATCTTTTTATTCTCTCACCTGCCATCTGCCATGCAGCATGTTAAATTTCATGTCCTAAGAAATGAATACTTGCTTATCTTGCTTTAGAATCCAGCCATCTAATCAAGTACCATCAAAATCCCAAAATACTCCCTTAATTTACTGCTCTATGCCAATGTTGGGGCACTGATAAAAAGGACCTCAACCAGTTCTTGTTATTCTTTAGGTTAATTGTTCTCAGCTGCAGGCATCTTTTCCCCCAAGCAACATTTCGAAACATCTGGAGATATTTTTGTTTATCACAACCAAGGATGTCACAACCAGCATCTAATGGGGAGAGGCCAAGGATCATGCTAAACATCCTACAATACCCAGGAAACCCTCCACAAGGAAAACAAAATATTCAATCTAAATTGTCACTAGTGCCATGTTTGATAAGCCCTGTTTTACATGTATAGTCTTTTTCCTCCCTTTTCAGATCCAGAATGTCCCAGCCAGGTGATGCTGGGCTTTAACCCTAATTATCAGCCCAGCAGCCAAGAAAGGAAGTGAGTGAAGGTTCTGAGAGGACACCTGTTTCCTTGTGTCAGAAGAAAAGGAGAAGGCTTCTGCAGCATCTTTCAGCAAAGTAGAATTCCTAACCCTTCCTTACTAAAAGATGTTGGGTCAACTCTGCAAACGTAGAAGGCACAACGAAGACAGGATTAGACATGAAGTGGAGTTCTTAGGGAAAATAACCATATAAGGGCAAATAGAAAGGGAGAAAAAGAAAGGGAGAGCCCTTAGGCCATGACGTGAATCTGCCCCGTGTGTGGAAGAGAGGGAGGGGAGGCTGCAGTTTTGGCAACATTTGTGAATTTTTTCAGGCCAAAGTTGGCCAATGAAAGAGTCATCTGTCTCCCAAAAAGAGGTCTCTGCCTTAGTATCCCCACCTCACTTGGTCATTGGTGTAGAGTGGTCCATGGGAGGCAGGCCTCTGCACAAATGCAATATTAGATTTTAATGTGCAGCTGCACATAGGGCACTCAGCCAGTTATACTTCCTGTGGTAGGATATCCATAAGGCCATTCTTGTGGGCTCCACAGTGGCCAACACAAAGTTAGCATCTGCGGACACAATCATGCAACTACTTCAAAGAGGGAAATGTTACACCCAATAAGAGAGAAATGACAGGCAGTGATTACGGCCAATCAGAACTTCTTTTCCTCATCTGATACACTCCGGGACTATTTCAATGGGCAGCACCCTGTGTGCCTTTGTCCTTTTGCCCTCTTGAATTGCAACTAATTATCAATAATTGAGGATAATTTCCAGAAAATGTGAAGGTTCGCAAAGGAATTCAGCAAAGATTACATAGTCCCTTTATGCATTGTGTTGCAATTTATAACTCTCAGATGCAAGCACACAGACCTTGATATAACTAATTTAGTTAACAATATTTGTTAATTTTTAACTTTATTTTTCCAAGGGTAAGGAAAAAAAGCTATGAATTACATTGTAAATATCAAAGATTATTTTTAGTTTATTAAATGGAATTTGTCCAAGAATCTTCAAAAACAAATCCCAATCTTCATCCAGCTAGACATACCAGGTATTAGAAACACGTATTCCAAATTCCAACTCTACTCCACCATTTAAAAGTTGTGTGACTGAGGATGAGTGAAACTTCTCTAAGACTTAGTTTCTTCAGCAGTTGAATAGGAATACTAGTAGTATTCCCCTGCTATGGCTGAGGTGGAAAATGAAATAATGCATGTAAGTCTAGCTAAGTGTTTAGCATATGCTTACCTCTCAATAAATCTAGCTATTATAAATGTAACTTGATTAGCTCACTTCTCTTCTAGTTCAAAAGAAAATAAGTTGAGAAATATTTCTTTTTTGAGATGCAGTATAAAGTAGTGAAGAATGGTACAAAGATATTTAAAAAGCTTGGGCTTTACAATTCTAAAGATCAGAGTTTGAATCGCATTTCAGCCCCCTGAAGTTTACTAACACATAGTAAATTAGTTAAACTATCTGATACTTCCCTCATCTGTAAAATAAAAGTAATAATAATATCTGTATGACATGGCAGTTTCAAGAATTAACTGAGATAATAAATGTACTTAAAATGCCTACCTCCAGTGCTTAGCACATAGCAAGCACTTAATATATATTTGTTATTATCGTTTGTTATTCTTGATTATATAATATGATATCTTCATGGCCAATGAGGTGAGCCGGACCATCTATTTCTCAAGTGAATAAGTGTAAATTATTATACTCAAAGCTTTCATCATTAAAAAAAATGTTGTTCAGTCTCTTCCCTTGTTACTTGTAACTCACGTATACAGTAGTCACAGCTGTTATGCTCACAAGAGTCAAAGTGCCTTTTGCTATGACTTCATTCCTTTCTTCTTAAATTTGATTTCTAATCTGCTAGGTGCTTGGTAACAAAATATTCAAATTTAATCCAACTGTATATACAATAAGAAGAAATATATTGTGAATGAGGATCTCAGAGACATTCCCTACACAGATGGATGAGCTGGAGTATCAAGACTTCTGTGAAATTCGTTTCACTCTCCAAAGGGCCCCTTTACCTACTTCCTGACTCTGCAATATTTCCCCATCAGAGAGCTGAGCCTCAGCTGGGATGTAGTTGCTAACTGCAGTCCTGTGTATGTAGACGATGCCAATAAAGGGTAGTTAATTGAATACAGTGAAAATAAGTTGAATTTAATTAACAATATGGTCCCTCTCCTTTCAGCATTATATAGGCCAAACAGTTTAGAAATGTCAACATTAGGCCGGGCGCGGTGGCTCATGCCTGTAATCCCAGCACTTTGGGAGGCCAAAGCGGGTGGATTGCCTGAGGTTAGGAGTCCCAGACCAGCCTGGCCAACGTGGTGAAACCTCATCTCTACTGAAAATACAAATAAATAAATTAATTAATTAATTAATTAAAAAATAGCTGGGTGTGGTGGCAGGCACCTGTAATCCCAGCTACTTGGAAGGCTGAGGCAGGAAAATTGCTTGAACCTGGGAGGTGGGGTTTGCAGTGAGCCGAGATCGCATCATTGCACTCCAGTCTGTGCAACAAGAGCAAAACTCCATTTCAAAAAAAAAAAAAAAGGAAAAGTCAACATCATTTTATTTCCATCAATCACTTCACATATCTGGTCATGTGTCTTTAGTAACTTTGATTTTCTATACCAAGAGAAAAATGAAAATGTTTGCTAGTCCTGTTGCTTCCTTTGTGAGGATACATTTCTGTGTCTGCTTTGACGAGTATTGGCATATGAGCCTGCCGTTAGTCAGGGCAAACATTCAATATCTCCATGCTTGTTTGGCTTTAAAAAGCTTTGTGAAGTGTAAGTCTGGGTATTGCCTGCACTTCATTTTCCTTCTTTTCTAAGTGGCATTTAATACTAAACAAAAACTGATCAGAGGTTTAGAATTATCCTTGGCCTATTGTGTTTCCATGGTTACAGGTCTGTGTTGTTCATCTTCTGAATTCAGCCTCAATGACTTACCCTGCCTTTGTGACCCATGCTTATTAGTTCTTGATCACCATGTTCCATCTGCATCGGCCTCTTACTCACACACCACAATCATTTCTAAAGGAGGCAGTCTCCCTACGTTGTGATTGAAGCACCTGAACACAGACACCATTTTTTCAATATTTCTCCCCTCACATGACAAAATCTACCCTAAAATAACTGACCCCTTTTCAAGCTACTCTTGCAACATTTCTTAGCTTCTTTTACCAATGTTATTACTTTACAATTCTCTGCAATGTATGATCCACTTTTCTACCTTCTTATGTAACCAAAGTATGATTTGTTTGTTTGTCTTGCTACCGGGATGATGAATGGATTAATAAAATAAGTAAAACAATGAGGTTGTACTGCCAACTAAGTAGAATATTATAACACTAATTAATAGCAAATATTTTGAAAATAAAAATGTAATTCAACTCATATGGAGTGCTTACTGCCCTTTGTGAGTAAAATTTGGAAAATATTTAATAAGTATATACATAAAGTGGATAAAATTGAATTTTCAAAGGAAGTTAACTGAACAGCATTCAATGTCAGATAAGATTTGGCACCTTGCATGTAACTCTAGCAACAATAATAACAAGAAGGCTGGGCTCGGTGGCTCATGCCTGTAATGTCAGCACTGTGGGAGGCAGAGGCAGGAGGGTTGCTTGAGCCCTGGGAAAGGAGTCCATCCTAGGCAATATAGTGTGACCCCATCTCTACAAAAAGTTTAAAAATTAGCCAAGCATAGAAGTGCGTGCCTGTAGTCCCAGCTACTCACGAGGCTGAGGCAGAAGGATTGCTTGAGCCTAGGAGATTGAGGCTGCAGTGAGCCATGATTATGCCACTGCACTCCAGCCCAGGCAACAGAGTGAGATCCTGTCTAAAAAAAAATTAATTAAAACAATAACAAGAAAAATAATAATATATTAAGTAAAATAGCTTATTTCTCTCATAAAAGGAACCTAAAAGTAGGCAGTCCAGGGAAGGAATGGCAGCTCCATTGTCATCAGGCTTTTTGTACCTTGCTGCCACCAAATCCTTAGAAGACTAGTTCAAGATCCAGTATGGCTGCTGGAGCTCCAACTGTCATGTCCACTTTCCAGGCAACAAGAGAAAAAGGGGACTCCTTGTAACTTCATTCATTATGTGTGCTTACATATTGGCCAGAACTTAGTTGTATGATCACAAGTAATTGCAAAGGAGGCTGGAAAATGTCTCTTAAATGGGCTACAAGGTGACTGATATAGTTTGGCTATGTCCCCACCCAAATGTCATCTTGAACTGTAGTCCCTATAATTCCCGTGTGTCATGGGAGGGAACTGGTGGGAGGTAATTGAATCATGGGGGTGGTTACCCCCATGCTGTTCTCATGATAGTGAGTTCTCATGAGATCTGAAGGTTTTATAAGAGGCTTTCCCCCACTTCACTCTGCACTTCTCCTTGATGCCACCATGTGAAGATGGGTGTGTTTGCTTCCCCTTCTACCATGCTTGTAAGTTTCCTGAGGCCTCCTAGCCCTGTGGAACTGTGCATCAATTAAATCTCTCTCCTTTATAAATTACCCAGTCTCTGGTATGTCTTTATTAGCAGTGCGAGAATGGACTAATACAGTAAATTGGTACCTGTAGAGTTGGGTGCTGCTACAAGGATACCCAAAAATGTGACAGAGACTTTGGAACCGGGCAACAGGCAGAGTTTGGAACAGTTTGGAGGGGTCAGAAGAAGACAGGAAAATGTGGGAAAGTTTGGAACTTCCTAGAGACTTGGGGGGCTCATAAGACAAGAAAATGTGGGAAAGTTTGGAACTTCCTAGAGACTTGTTGAATGGCTTTGACCAAAATGCTGATAGTGATATGGACAATAAAGTCCAGGTTGGGGTGATCTCAGATGGAGATTTTGAACTTGTTGGGAGCTGCAGTAAAGGTCACCCTTGCTATGCAAGCTAACTTTTTGAAGTGGTTATAATTATATTCCTATTTTACAGAAAACTAATTTAATGAGGTAGACAACTTCACCAAAGTCATAGAACTATTGAATTGTGAAGCTAGGATTCTAATTATCACTCTGACCAGAAAGTTTCGTTCTCACTATATCATTTAACCTCTTTACTTACTGTACTTGTTTTTTGTGCTATTTTTATATAAGATGCTTACCCCTTGCCTTATGCTTTTCCATCCAATTACATTTTTTTCTACCCATTTTCCAACCAACACTAAATAAATAACGTAGCCTTTCTACTTAGAAGCAATCTAAGGTTAGTTGTTGTGTTTATTGTCTTATTCTCCCTCTTCACTGCCTAATATAATTTCCTTGCATAAAGTAGGTGTTCACGAAATAATTAAGGAAAGACTAAAGAAAGGCTAGAAGAAGGTAATTGGTGATACACTGGCAAGTGGTTTCCTATGAGTGGTTCCAGGCAAATGGGGAGAAATAGTTTATAAAGTGTGAGCATAAATAAAAAGCATAAATGTTGAGTGAGTCTACACCCTTGAGTTTTACACTAAAAGATTAGCAGTTAAATAAAGACCATAAGGATTCTCAAGGCTTTGTGCAATTTTGGTTCTGATTGTTTGGTTTGGTTTTGATATGATCATTTGGGCCTATTGAACATATTTGAGGATATAAAAATCCTAAGGAGATAGAAAGAGAGAAATAATGTTTGCAAGGAAGAGGACAAAACATGAAAGTAGTCCCAAAAGAAGTGGGACAGCATAAGATGAGGGTGGCAAATGTTGAATGGAATCTCAGCGAAAAAAGAAATCCATTTTCCTGAACTATATGGAAAAAGAGATGCAGGAAGAATGATTAACCTTCTTCACAAAGTCTTAGTTAGGCACTATTGTTAGTTGAGGCATTGAAGATAGGAGAGGAAATATAAACGAAAGTGAATAAAAGAGGAAAAAATGTTGGTGTCCAGCCAAGATGTGACTCATGGCTGTGGACTAGACATGAGAAGTTAAGGTATAGAAAAAAACATCAAGCATATTGCTGAAGGTGGGGAAGTCAGTATGGTAGCAAGAGTAATACTGAAGTAGCTGATCAAGAAGTCACAAGGGTAAAGTGAGGCTACTAATGTGAAAGGGAGCAAGGAAAACAGATGAAAATAAAGGGTTACTGGAAGCAGGGTTAGGGTATCTGGCAAAGTAAACTGGGGTGAGTGGGAGAGACGAGAGGTAAGTAGACTTTTTTTTCTGATAAACAGTCTTTAGTTAGGTCATTGCATTCCAAGGTAATTTTTTTTAAATGTGCTATTTTAGTGATGACAACAGAAAAGAGAAAGAAGAACATCCTGTACAGATTTAATCTTTGAAGTTATTCAAAGCAACAGCATATCTTTATTATCATATTTCATAATCACAGAGTCATTATACCCAACTGACATTTTTCTCAAGTACTCCTTCTATTTTCCTCACCAGCACTACATTTACTTCCATGATGCTGTTTACAAACTTACCTCTTTGGTTAAATTAAATCTTGAAGTATTGCTTCAAAAAATAATGAATGAGTCAGTATATACTCCAGACACAAAGCTAAACTGCCACCAGTGGCAACATTTAGTTGTGTTAATGTGGACGCTAGATTTCTCCATGAAGACATTCTTATATTTTCAGTACAATTATAGCATTTCTGTTGAATCATTTCCCCAAGACGGATGGATTTTCAATCATCTGTTCACGTTCCCTTGTCTGGTCCTCTTCGTATTAATAAGCATGCATTTTTAAGAACTTAGAAATATCCCTAGGGAAGCCTAAGATAACATTATAAAACTTCAATAGATAATTCAATAAAATGTTCCCCAGGCTCTCATTATGATCTAGTCACTTGAGGGCAGTGGAGATACAATAGTGCGCAAAACAAGGTTTCTGTTCTTGTGACACTTCTATTCCAATACAGAGAACAGACACACTAAATAAATAAGTTAGTATATGGTATTTCAGATGATAACAGGTGTCATGAGCAAAGAGTAAGAAGAGGAAGATAGGTCCGGTGAAGTGGGAATGAGGAGGGAGAAAATGATATATTTTTTTTCTAGATGATTTGAAGGCCTCCTTGTGAAGGTGATATTTGAACAAAGATTAGGAATCAATACAATAAACTAGATATCTGGGGGAGCAACTTAAGTGGGACTGGGAATAACAAATTAGACTCTAAGAGACCCTGAAGTTGGATTCCGCATGGTCAGAGAAATGATAGGATGCAAGAAAGGAAGCTCTTAAGATGGGAAGCTATTGGAGGATTTTGTGCAGAGAAATAACATGTTTGAACTACATTGTAAAAGGATTTCTCTGGACACTGTGTTGAGAAAATACAGTGGATGGGCAAGAGTGGAATGAGAGAGACAGTAGAAAGGCTACCACAATACCCTTGAGGTGAGAAAGGATGGCAGCTTGCTCCAGAATAGTAGCAACAAAAGAGGTAGAAGTGATAGATTTCTGGGTATATTTTGAACATTCTTATTTGCCAATAGGTGGAATGTGGGATATAAAAGAAACAAGAAGTCAGAAATTATGCCAATATTTTGGCATGAGCAACTGGAAAGTTAGAGTTGCCTTTTGCAGCAATGAAGATGACTGCAGAAGAAGCAAGTTGATGCTTTTCTATCGATAGAAAATTACACTTTAAAAAATCAATTTGAATGTTAAGAAACACCACATAATTTTTCCGGATAACTTGAGTTACCTAGAGGAATAAATACTCGAGGACAGTTTATCCTTGTCCAGTTAAATACTCAGCAAACTTGAACACTCATCAAGCCCAAACTCTTGAAACAAAGGCCAATTCTTTGTTTTGTTGTTGTTGTTGTTGTTTGAGTCGGAGTCTTGCTCTGTCACCCAGGATGGAGTGCAGTGGCACCACCTCTGCTCACTGCAACCTCCACCTCCCAGGTTCAAGGGATTCTCCTGACTCACTTTAGCCTCCCAAGTAACTGGGATTAGCGGTGCACACCACCATGCCCAGCTAATTTTTGTATTTTCAGTACAGACAGAGTTTCACCATGTTGGCTAGGCTGGTCTTGAACTCCTGATTTCAAGTGATCTGACCATCTTGCCTCCCAGAGGGCTGGGATTCCAGGCATGAGTCACCACTGAAAAGTCCAATTCTCTTTGTTCCAAAGAACAAAGTAGAAGAGAAAAGCCCCAACCCCCATCTCCTCTATCTGTCACTTGTGGTTTTATGAGAGGTTCTCTCTCAGCTAGGGTGTCTTCCCTCAGGCTGGGGGACAGAGGCAGTGGATATAAGGCTCATTGTTCCTCTTGGAGTGGGGTTTTATTATGATGTGGTCCAGTAACATTTTCATAGCAAGAGTAGATGGTGAGTAACCAAAAATTGGAGATGGCTCTCAAATTTTTATTGAAACAAGGATTTTTAGAATCTTTTTTTCCTCCTGCTTCAGCATCAGAAATAAGGATGTGCACTTTGTTTGTCCCATCTACCATCACCTCCAGTCCCAGGTTGTTCATTAGTAGCAGGAGCTCACTTCTAATTTGCATATTGGTGTCTAAGAAAAATTAAATTCTGATAGAAAATTCTGAGAAGATGGCAGAGTAGGAAGCATTAGAAATCTGTCTCCTTACTTAGACAACAATTTTACTGGAAGAACCTCTCTGACATAACTATTTTGAAACTGTAGAGTCTATTAAAAGTTTGCAACTTCCAGGGGAAGACTGGAATGGTAAATTGTGACTAATTTCAGTCCATTTCTACTCTAAATACCGTAGCAGCTACTCATTCTGCACCCCTCATCCACATGGCAGGCAGCTGTTTGTTCCTGGAGCAGCTTGCAAACAGCTTGCTAGAGCCAGAATGGGAAAAACAAAAACAAAAACAAAAACAAAAAAACCAAAACAAACAAACAAACAAAATAAAACTCTTTTCTCCAAATATTTGAGATCTGTGCTCTGATTGCTAATTGCTGCTTCTGATCACAGAGGTGCAAAAAGATAAGTGGCCATTTTTGCTGCACCTCCCCTCATTGTTACAAGCTCTTTTCCCTTTCACTGGAGTGACTTCCAGCAGATTTATAAGGCTAGTGCCCTTTTCCCCCCATCTATTTTTTTTCTTTATTGTCTTTTAAAAGCCAGACTAAAGACTAGGGAATTTTTAAAATACAACTGCATATAGGGAAAATTAGAAAGTGACCATGCATGCCTAGTGAAAGACTAAGGAAAGACCCGAGAGGATCTTAAGTTTATACCTCAGTACAATCCTTAACACAGAGATCACCAAAAAAAAAAAAAAATTAAAAAATAAAAATAATCAACAAAACCATAACAAAACCCAGCAAACCTTAGGGAATCTGATTTCTGGAGTTGCCACATTATTAGATTCAGACATTCAATTTTGACTAAAAAATTACAAGGTACACAAAGAAATGGAAAACTATGGCCCAGGAAAAGGGGAAATAAAAAAAGAAAGAAATAGAACTACTCTCTGGAAAAGACCTGATAGTAGATACACTAGACAAAGAGTTTAAAACAACTGCATTAAAGGTACTCAAACCACTGAAGGAAGATGTGAAGTAAAAAAAAAAAAACAAACCCAACAATTTTTGAACAAAAAATTGAAGTATCGATAAAGAGACAGAAAACCTAAAAAGAAATAAAAAAGAAATTCTGGAGCTGAAGAGTACAATAACTGAAATGAAAACTTCACTAGAGGGATTCAAAGGCAGATTTAATCAGGCAGAACAAAAACAGAATTAGTGAACCTAAAGATAAGACAATAAGAATTTTTTAGACTGAGGAACAGAAAGAAAACAAATTGAATAAAAGTAAACAGAGCCTAAAGGACTTGTGGAACACCATCAAGTGGACCAATACACGTTGGGGGAATACCAAAAGGTAAAAAGAGAGAAAGAGACAGAGAGAATTTTGGAGAAATAATAGCTGTAAACTTCCCAAATTTGATGAATTACATGAATTGATTAATTACATGAATGTAAATATCAAGAATCTCAACAAACCTCAAGTAAGATGAACTCAAAGAGAATCTTAAAAGCAGCAAAATAGAAGCACCTCATCACATATAAGAGATCCTTAATAAGATTATCAGCAGATTTCTTATCAGAAACTTTGGAGGCAGGAAGGCAGTAGCCAATATAGTCAAAGTGCTAAAAGAAAAAAAAACTTGCAAAACAAGAATCCTATATCTGGAAAAATTGTCCTTCAGAATGAGGGAGAAAGTAAGACATTTCCAGATAGAAAAAGGCTGAGGGAGTTTGTAACCACTAGATCTGCCCTGCAGGAAATGTTCAAGGGAGTCCTGCACAGCAAAATGAAAAGACCCTGTATAGTCATTGAAAACTGTATGAAGAAAAAAAGTTCTTAATAAAGGTAAATACATGAGCAATTACAAAAGCTAATTTTATTCTAAAAATGCTTTGTAACTCCGCTTTTTGTTTTCTAGGTAATTTCAGAAACTGATGTATTTAAAAGAATTATTAGCTTAAGTTTTCATGTGCACAATGTGTAAATATATAATTTTGTGACATCAATAACAAAAAGCAGTGGCGAGGAAGCTATAAAAAAACAGAGTTTCTGTATGTTATTGAAGTTAACCTGGTAGAAATTCAAGTTAGAGTGAGAAAACTTTAGGATTTTAAATATAATTCTCATGGTAACCAAAAAGAAAATAGTTATGAAATATACACAACAGGAAATTAAAAACAACATATTATACCAAAAGAAAATCAATTAACCAAACACAAAAGGAAATGAGGGACAAAACAGCTATCTGGCATATAGAGGACAAATAGTAAAACAACCAAATCCCTTCTTATCAGTAGTTACTTGAAATGTAAATGGATTAAACTCTCCACTCAAAAGAGAGAGATTGGAAGAATGAATAGAGATACATGATTCAACTATATGCTCTCTATAAGAGACTAACTTTAGATCCAAAGACACAAATAGACTGAAAATGAAAGGATGGGAAAAGATATTCCATGCAGATAGTAATCAAAACAGAGCAGCTGTGGCCATAATATTAGTCAACATACACTTTCAAACAAAAAAGTTTACAAGGGACAAGGAATGTTATATGCTAAGGTAAGCTTTAATATAGAAAGAAAATGTAAAAATTATAAGCATTTACACACCCAATAACAGACCATCAAAACATATGAAGAGAAAACTGATAGAATTGAAAAGAGAAATAAACAGTTCTACAATAATAGTTGGAGAGTTTAATGCTCCATTCTCAATAATGGGTGGAACAGCCAGACAGAAGATAAAGAAAGTAGAGAACTTAAACAACACAATAAAACAACTAGATCTAACATACAGGTGCAGAACACTCCACCCAACAACAATAGTGTACACATTCTTCTCGAATGCTCATGGAACATTTTTCAGAATAGACGATATGTTAGGCCACAATTTGTTCTCAACAAATGTAAAAAGACAGAAATATCACAAAGTATGTTTTTCTTATCAAAATAGGATAAAGTTACAAATCAAAAATAGAAGTAAAACTTCCTAATAGAAGTAAAAATTCCTAAATATTTGGAAACTCAACAGCACACTATTAAATAGCAAAGGGATCAGAGAAAATATCACAAGAGAAATGGAAACATACTTAGAGATCAATGACAATGAAAACACAACAAACCAAAAAGTATGGGGCAGAGCAAATGCTAAGAAAAGAGCATTTGACAAAATTCAACACCCTTTTATGATAAAAAGTACTCAACTCAACAAACTAGGAATAGGAGAAAACATTTCTAAGAGGGAAATTTGAAAATATTTATATTAGAAAACAAGAAAGGTATCAAATCAACAACCTAACTTTACAGCTTAATAAACTATAAAAATCAGAACAAACGAAACCCAAAGCTAACATAAGGAAGGAAATAATAAAGATTACGGCAGAGATAAATAAAATAATGAATGGCAAAAAAAAAGAAGAAAATCAATGAAACCAGAAGTTGGTTCTTTGAAAAGATCAACAAATTTGACAAACCTTTAGCTAGATGAACTAAGAAGAAAGAAGGCTCAAATTGGTAAAATCAGAAATAAAAATAGGGACATTACCCTTTCCATAGAAACTGAAAGAATTACAAGTGACTACTATAAACAATTGTATCCCAAGAAGTTGGATAATCTAAATAAAATGGACAAATTCCTAGAAATACAAAATGTAAATCACAAAGAAATAAATCTCTGAATAGACTTAAAATAGTAAGGAGATTGAATCAGGAATAAAAAAATAAATCTCCTAACAAAGAAAAGTACTGGATGGGCTTATGGGGAATCCTACCAAACCTTTAAGGAATGTCTAATACCAACCATTCTCAATCTTTTCTCAAAAATTAAAGAGGAGGGTAGAGTTCCTGGCAAATTCTATGATGCCAATCCTCATAGAATACCAAAGCCACACAAAGACACTATAAGAAAACTACAGACCAATGTCTCTTATGAGCACTGATGCAAAAGTCCTCAACAAAATATTACTAAAGCAAATTTGGCAGCATATTAAAGGATAATACACAATGATCAAGTGGGGTTTTTTATCTTGAATGCAAGGATAGCTCAATGTTTGAAAATCAACCAATATAATACACCACATTAACAGAATGAGGGGAAGAAGATAACCACAGGATCTAAGAAAAAAGTATTTGACAAAATTCAACACCCACTATGATGAAAAATACTAAACAAACTAGGAATAGAAGGAAACAATCTCAATATAATAAAAGCCATGTTTTGGCTGAAAGTGGTGGCTCAGCCTGTAATCGCAGCACTTTGGGAGGCCGAGGAGGGTGGATCACCTGAGGTCAGGAGTTCAAGACCAGCCTGGCCAAAACAGCAAAACCTCATCTCTACTAAATATACAAAAATTAGCAGGGTGTGGTGGCAGGCACCTGTAATCCCAGCTACTCAGAAGACTGAAACATGAGAATCACTTGAACAGGGAAGTGGAGGTTGCAGTGAGCTGAGATCGTGCCACTGCACTCCAACCTCAGTGACAGAGTGAGACTCTGTCTCAAAAATAAATAAATAAATACAAAAGCCACATTTCAAAAATTCACAGGAAATATCACACTCGATAGTGAAAGGCTGAAAGCTTTTATTCTAAAATCAGGAAGAAAACAAGGATGCCCTCTTTCACCACTTCTATTCAACAAAGCACTGGAAATTTTAACCAGAGGATTAGACTAGAAAAAGAAACAAAAAGACATCCAAATTGTAAAGAAAGAAATAATATAATCTCTGTTCACAAATATTATGATCTTATAAGTAGAAAACCTTAAATATTCCACACAAAAATGTCAGAGTTAATAAATGAATTTAGCCAAGGAGCAAGAAACAAAGCCAACATACAAAATCAGTTTTATTTCTATACACTAACAATGAATAACCTGAAAAGGAAGCTATGAAAGCAATTCCATTTGCAATAGCATCCAAAAAATAAAATAGTGAGATTAACCAAGCAGATGAAACACTTGTGCAATGAAAGCTACAAAACATTTTGAAAGGCATTAAAGAAGACATAAATAAATGAAAACACATTTTATGTTCACAGATTGGAAGACTTAATATTGTTAAGCTGTCAATACTATACCAAATGACCTACAGATCCAATGCAATCCCTATAAAAATCCCAATGATGTTTTTTTGCAGAAATAGAAAAACCTATCCTAAAATTTATATGAAATCTCAAGGGACCTCAAGTAACCAAAATAATATTGAAAAAGAACATAGCTGGAGGACATATACTTCCTGATTTTAAATTTACTACAAATATGGAGTAATCAAAACAGTGTGGTACTAGCATAAAGACAGATATACAGACCATACACACAGAGAGCCTAGAAATAAACCATCCCATATATACTCAAATGATTTTTTTGCAAAAGTGCCAAGAGGAAAGGACAAAGGGCAATCTTTTCAACAGATGCTGCTGGGGAAACTGGAAATCTGCTTGTGAAAGAACACAGTCAGACCCTTACCTAGCATCGTAAATTAACTCAAAATGGATAAAAGACCTAAGTGTAAGACCTAAAGCTATACAACTCTTAAAAGAAAACGTAGTACAAAAACTATTTTTGGACAAATTAGACAAACTGGACTTCATAACAAATCTTAAAAATAACAACAAAAGACAATTTTAACAGAATAAAAAGGCATCCCAGAGAATAGGAGAAAATATTTATAAATCATATATCTGATAAGATATTAATATCCAGAAAGTATAGAGAACTCCTGACTCAATAACAACAAAACAAACAACACGAGTAAAAATGGGCAAATCCGAATAGCTAAGACAATCCTAAGCAAAAAGAACAAAGCTGGAGGCATCACCTTACCTGACTTCAAACTATCCTATGAGGCTACAGTAACCAAAGCAGCATGGTACGGGTACCAAAACAGAGATATAGACAATTGAAACAGAACAGAGGCCTCAGAAATAACACCACAGATCTACAACCATCTGATCTTTGACAAATCTGACAAAAACAAGAAATGGGGAAAGGATTCCCTATTTAATAAATGGTGCTGGGAAAACTGGCCCGCCGTATGTAGAAAGCTGAAACTGGATCCCTTCCTTACATCCTATACAAAAATTAATTCAAGATGGATTAAAGACTTACATGTTAGACCTAAAACCATAAAAACCCTAGAAGAAAACCTAGGCAATACCATTCAGGACATCGGCATGAGCAAGGACTTCATGACTAAAACACCAAAAGCAATAGCAACAAAAGCCAAAATTGACAAATGGGATCTAATTAAACTAAAGAGCTTCTGCACAGCAAAAGAAACTACCATCAGAGTGAACAGGCAACCTACAGCATGGGAGAAAATTTTGCAATCTACTCATCTGACAAAGGGCTAATATCCAGAATCTACAATGAACTTAAACAAAGTTACAAGAAAAAGTCAAACTACCCCATCAAAAAGTGGGCAAAGGATATGAACAGACACTTCTCAAAAGAAGACATTTATGCAGCCAACAGACACATGAAAAAATGCTGGCCATCAGAGAAATGCAAATCAAAACCACAATGAGATACCATCTCACACTAGTTAGAATGGCGATCATTAAAAAGTTGAAGCAACAGGCGCTGGAGAGGATGTGGAGAAATAGGAAGGCTTTTACACTGTTGGTGGGAGTGTAAACTAGTTCAACCATTGTGGAAGACAGTGTGGTGATTCCTCAAGGATCTAGAACCAGAAATAGCATTTGACCCAGCGATCCCATTCCTGGGTATATACCCAAAGGATTATAAATCATACGGCTATAAAGACACATGCACACGTATGTTTATTGCGGCACTATTCACAATAGCAAAGAGTTGGAACCAACCCAAATGTCCATCAATGATAGACTGGATAAAGAAAATGTGGCACATATACACCATGGAATACTATGCAGCCATAAAAAATGATGAGTTCAGGTCATTTATAGTGACATGGATGAAGCTGGAAATCATCATTCTGAGCAAACTATCACAAGGACAGAAAACCTAACATCGCGTGTTCTCACTCATAGGTGGGAATTGAGCAATCCAACACTTGGACACAGGGTGGGGAATATCACATACAGGGGCTTGTCGTGGGGTAGGGGTATGGGGGAGGGTTAGCATTAGGAGAAATACCTAATGTAAATGATGAGTTAATGGGTGCAGCAAACTAACATGGCACATGTATACATATGTAACAAACCTGCACTTTGTGTACATGTACCCTAGAACTTAAAGTATAATTTTTAAAAAATAGGCAAAGAACCTAAATAGACATTTCTGTAAAGAAGATATTGGAATGACCAATAAGTACATGAAATTGTGCTCAATACCACTAATCATTAGGAAAATGCAAATCAAAACTATAATGAGATACCACCTTACACCAGTTAGTATGGCTATTATTTTTAAAAACTGACAAAATAACAAGTGTTGGAAAGGATGTGGAAAAACTTAAACCCTTGTGCACAGTTGGTGGGAATTTAAAATAGGCCACTGTGGAAAACTGTATGGTAGTTTCTTAAAAAATTACAAATAGAATTACCATATAATCCAGCAATTCCACTTCTGGGTATATACCCAAAGGATCTGAAAGCAGGATTGCAGAGATATTGTACATCAGGTTGATAGCAGGTTTATTTACAATAGCTAAAAAGTTAAAGTAACCCAAGTATCCATTGACTGAGGAATGAAGAAGCAAAAAATATATGTGCAATGAGATATTTTTCAGTTTTAAAATAGGAAGTAAATTCCGACATATACTACAACATAAATGAACCTTGAGGACATTATGCTAAGTGAAATAAGCCAGTCACAAAAACACAAATACTACTCTCACTTACATGAGATACTTAGAGTATTCAAAATTGTAGAAATAGAAAATGGAACGGTGACTGTCAGGGGGTCGGGGGAGAAAGGAATGGGGAGTTATTGTTTAATGGGTACAGAGTTTCAGTTTTACAAGCTGGAAAGAATTACAGAGAGATGGATGGTGGTGATGGCTGCACAACATTATGAATTTACTTAATACCACTGAACTGTACACTTTAAATGGATAATGTGGGAAATTTTATGTTATGTGTAGTTTACCATAATAAGAAACTTTGAAAAACTCCAATACTAATGGATACCTTTTTCTTACTATCTCAACTGGCTTACCTAATAAAGCAAAGTTAAGTGATTCTGAAAGTAAAACTGCTGCTACGTAAAAGGTGTACATGCTTTTCTTCATATCAAGTACTGTATTACTAACCTAAATATCTTTCATTCCTCCTGTTCTATTTCACTCTTTTCCAAGAAAGACCATCTTTAAAATATTTAATCAAAAAAATCCCCAAGTTAGAAATGCTCAGTCTTAGCTCAACTAGTCAAGGTAATATCAAGCAAAGAGAACAAAGCTGGAGGCATCACGTTACTAGGCTTCAAAATGTACTAAAAGCCTACCATAACTAGAACATCATGGTACTGATACAAAAACAGACATATAGACAAATAGAACAGAATAGAGAGCTGAGAAACAATGCCACATACCTACAACCATCTGATCTTTGACATAGTTGACAAAAACAAGCAATGGGGAAAGGCCTCCCCATTTAATAAATGGTACTGGGATAACTGGCTAGCCATATACAGAAGATTGAAATTGGACCCCTTCTTTACACCATATACAAAAATAAACTCAAAATGGATTAAAAGTGAAACCTAAAACTATAAAAAATCCTGGAAGATCACCTAGGCAATATCATTCCGGACAGAGGACCTGGAAAAGATTTCATGACAAAGATGCCAAAAGCAATTGCAACAAAAACAAAAATTGACAAATGGGACCTAATTAAACTAAAGAGCTTCTGCACAGCAAAACAAATTATCAGCAGAGTAAACAGACAACCTACAGAATGGGAGAAAAGTTTTGCAAACTCTGCATCCAACAAAGGTCTAATAACCAGAATCTATAAAGAACTTAGGTCAAAAGGCAAAAAAAAAATTTAAAAATGGGAAAAGGACATGAACAGATACTTTTTAAAAGAGAAGACATATAGACATATGCATGGCCAAGAAGCATATGAAAAAATGCTCAACAACACTAATCATTAGAGAAATGCAAATCAAAACCACAATGAGATACCCTCTCACACCAGTCAGAATGGCTATTATTAAAAAGTCAAAAAATAACAGATGCTGGCAAGGTTGTGGAGAAAAGGGTACAGTTGTATACTGCTGGTGGGAATGTAAATTAGTTCAGTCATTGTGGAAAGCAGTTTGGCGATTTCTCAGAGAATTCAAAGCAGAATTACCATTCCGCCCAGAAATTCCATTTAGGGGTATATACCCAAAGGAATATAAGTTGTTCTACCGTAAAGACACATGCATGTGTATGTTTATCATGGCACTATTCACAATAGCAAAGACATGGAATCAATCTAAATGCCCATCAACAGCAGACTGAATAAAGAAAATGTGGAACATACACCTCTTGGAATACTATGCAGTCATAAAAAAGAATGAGATCATGTCCTTTGCAGTAACATGGACGGAGCTGGAGGCCATTATCCTAAGTGAACTAACACAGGAATAGAAAATCAAATACCACGTGTTCTCACTTATAAGTGGGAGCTAAACATCAAGTACATATGGACACAAAGAAGGGAACAACAGACACTAGGGCCTACTTGTGGGTGAAGGGAGGGAAGAAGGTGAGGACTGAAAAACTGCCTATCAGGTACTATGCATGTCAACTGGGTGGTGAAATAATCTGTACAACAAACCCCTGTGACATGCAATTTACCTATACACCAAACCTGCACATGCACCCCTGAACCTAAAATCAAAGTTTACTTAAAAAAAAAAAAAAAAATGCTCAGCCTTCGCATTCACTCTATTCCCTTTTTTCTCACTTTGAGTTGAGTTGTGGAGCATCTTAAAGGAGGATAGTGCGGGTCAGGCAGGAACCTGGAGATCCTGGTCTGGATATTGATTCCTCAGAAACCCTGTTCATGCTACCATGGGAATAAAATTTCATTTATAAACTATTAAGTGACTAGCTATTACATCTAAGCTATGCATCCTTACTCCTCATTGTGTAGGAGGGTACTTTCTCCTGTTTACCTAGATGCAAATAAAAAATAAATAAGCTGATGAATCATACCCAAAATAACAGATCAATCATGAAAACCCAGGAAGGGATATTGAAACTGGCATGCTGTATGTTTTAACATAATTTGATTGAATCATATATATGATAATATTTAAATTAATTTGCATCTTTTTGCACCCTATATCTTTCTCCAGGAGGAGATTAAAGGTAGGTATAAGAGATTAAATTTCAAATATCCATATATATGAAAAAAGGAGAGAATGCAAAACAAGTGAAAATTTATGCTGACTGATGGTCAAAATATGTTACTAGTTTGATATAGTCTCTAAGGACTATATGATCTGTTAATAGAAATGTAGTATTTATAAGCAAATGAATGATTGCAAATTACAGGTGGGAAATCTTTTCTTCAGAATTTTATTAGATGTTATACAAAGTCTTTGCTTCTACTAACATAATAAAAAGCATTTTTTAAATTTTCACCATGTATATTTTCTAACAAAACTACACAGAAACTCTTAGATTTAGAGTCTAAAAACAATAAAAAAGATTTCACATTTTAGAGACTTATTTTTATGCTTCTTTTTGTTACACCTCATACTTACTTTTAAAGAGGATTTTTGGCAGAAGAATGGGTATTTCAATAATTTCAATAACTTGCATCATATTCTTAAATACTTGCAGGTCATAGGCTACAATAGCAAAGAGCAGAGGCTCTGAGCCTGAATACCCCCACCTGTACTAGCTGTGCAGCAGCTTCCTCACCGGTAATATAGAGTTAATGACAGTACCTATCTCATAAGATGATTTGAAAGTTAAGTGAAAATACTTATAAAGTAATTAAAAGAGTTGCTGGCACATAGTAAAGCATTCCTTTTGTTAGATTTTATTATTTTTGATGTGCTGTTTTATTTACACAGAGTAATAAAGATTTCTGTCTCTTCCAGGCAAGTGAAATGGACAATGATTAATCATGACTGGATAGGTTGAATAATGGTTCTGCATTGAGCGTATAAAATATTAAATGTGTGCTTTGTTCTTAAATCTTTGAGTTGTGATAATGAGGTAGGCAACCACTTATATAAAAATAGCCTAGAGAAAATGACTATAAAGAAAACCTAGCATGGCAAGTTTTTTCCACAAAACAGGAAATACCTTAATCCATCAAATGAGCATATCCAAGTTGGGGAGAAAACTGAGAAAATATATTTTTTTTCTCAAGGTGGGCAAATATCAAAACTCACGTGGCATCTTAATCATTATTTCTCTTTTTAATAATAAAAAAGAATTGTTAAATATTCAGAGAATCCCAGAAAAAAACATAAAGTCTTCCATATCTTAACCTCATTCTACTCAAGGCTACAACAAGGGAAAATAATTGCATGCCTAAAAACATAAAAAAATGAAAGCTCATCTGTCACAAATAGATCTCATTTCATACAACAGTTATTAGTGATATGTCAACAAACAAGTATTCTCTAGACAAGTAGAACTAAGTGATAATTAATAGGAAGTTATTCGCTTATTCTTCCTTTGATTGACATAAGACTTAAGACTATGGTTAACTGAACATTTTATTTTTGCTGAAAATGTCTTTCCCTAGTAAGTTTACTACATAATCTCCTGTTCCTCCCCTAAATCACTCAAAAAAGATTTTGGTAACCATATGTATTTGACATATTTTCTTACTTCTATTATGCTAGCATCTATACACATTTTAGACTTTTAATTACAGTTGTAATCTCTAACCTGCAACTGGGATTCTCTATGTATTCCCTCCTGCCACATAGTATAAATGCAGCCTTACAACCTCCTAATTATCAGAGTCAATTACTCTAGTCATGATGATGATGCCTCAGCTGTTGGTTCTCAACACAAGCAGTGTAAAGTGCCCTAGTGGTAGCTATATATTATAGTTCAATGGGACCCTGATCAGTCCCTTTGCAAAAACATGCCCTTATTGGGATTCAGCACTCCAACCCTGAAGAACCCAGAGTTGCAAGTATATGAAGCACAGAATCGCCAGTAGATTTTTGGGAATAATATTAAGTGAGATCACTCCTGCTTTGGCTTCCACATCCATATATTCTTCCTATTTGTGCAATTATGCCATAGAGAAGTCTCTAATTTCATGTATATACTACATCCCAAAGGATGGCATTCCATCCTTTTAAATTCTTGTCTCTGAGCTGACTCTGCCACTCTATCTTTAGAAGTCTATATTTTCTAGATGTTGTGATATGTGATCAGTGGATCCCATAGTCATGGGTCCATTTCTATACCACCTTTGCTGTGATGTGAAACCTCCCACTTGATTTAAATCTGTACTCTACAAGATTCTGTACGTGTGGATCAGGCATTCCATTGTTTCCTACCAGAAAGCTTTGCTATTCCTTTCTCTTTTTCCTCTATACTCAAGTCACCCTGTTTCTCTGGCTAGTTTTAAGAGTTTCCCTTTATCACTGATTTTAAGAAATTTGATTATAATATAATTTGGTATAATTATCTTCATGTTTCTTGTGTTTAAGGTTCATTGTGCTTCTTAGACCCATGAGTTTATAATTTTCACAAAAGTAAATTTTTCCTATTATTTTTTAAAGTGGATTTTATGTTTTAGAGCAGTTTTAGTTTCACAGGAAAATTTAACAGAAATTAGAGTTCTCTTATACCTCCTGTTCCCAAACATGCACAGCCTTCCCCATTATCAACATCCTGCAACAGAGCAATACATTTGTTACAATTCATTAATTTACATTAACACATGATTATTACCCCAAATCCATAGGTAACATTAGATTCACTCTTGACATTGCATGTTCTATGGGTTTTAACAAATGCATAATAACACATATCTAGCATTATAGTATCATACATAACAGTTTCACCGCCCTAAAAATCTTCTTTGCTCTCTAGCCCCTGGTACCCACTGATCTTCCTATTGTCTCTATAGTTTTCCTTTTCCAAAAGGTCATATAGTTGGAATCACAGTGTATAGCCTTTTCAGATTGGTTTCTTCCACATAGAAATATGCATTTAGGGCTTCTTCATGCCTTTTTTGGTTTGATAGCTCATTTCGTTTTAGTAATGAATAATATTTCATTGTATGGATGTACCACAATTCATTTATTCATTTACCTACTGAATAGACAATTTTTTTAATATCTTAAATTTATTTTCTGTTCCTTCCCCTCATCTTATCTCCTTCAAGTACTCCAATAATACATATATTAGACTACTTGAATTTGCTCTACAGTTTTGTTCTCTTTTTTCTCAGCTCTTATTTACTCTGAGTCTTGTTTTGGATAGTTTCCATTGTTATTTCCTCAAGTTTATTAATCTTTTCATCCATAGATCTAATCTGCTATTAATCCATCTAACTAATTTCCATAGTTTCATTCATGATTGATCTCTTTTCTTTTTTATCAGGCCTGTCATGTCCCCATCTAGATCTTGCTGGGATTTAACTTTTGTTATCAGCCTGCCACCCAGGGGAGGAGATGGGGCAGCAGCTGTGGGCTGCATTTGTTGCTTTTTAGGGAGAGTATTCTGTAGCATCTTTTAGCATGGAAGATGTGCTACCTCTTACAGGTGGAATACCTTTGAAATTTCTGATTGTTCGGTTTGTTTGTATAGACAAAAATTTTCAGAAGCAGACATTCAGATATCTTCTATCCCATGTTTAAGTATCTCACGTTTTTCAACAAGGACCCTGACTTTATACTAATAGACCTGCCTTGGTCAGACATTTAAATGGCTCAGAGTCTCTGCAACACCAGCTATCAACATTTCTTTTCATTGCTCAGTTATGTCTACTCTTTGTTCTTTCACTATAAGAGATAAGGGCCTCGTTGTAAACTGCCAAACATGCCTGTCTCTTACACTTAGCCTTCAACTGCTTATCAATGGCCCTCAGTTTCTTTTTATTTCTCTACAACTTAGTAGTAACTAACCAACTCTTTGTAGGTATTGTTCCTTTTGTATCTTTGAAATGACTGAATCATTCTAACTGCATGGACAGTTCATTCAACCGGGATGTTTTCCCAGGCCACCACTTGTGGAATCTTTAGCAGCTAGGCCACAAAATTGTGTGAGAGACTATTTCTGCACCAAACAGTACTCAGATTGAGGTCCTCTTTGCCTGATAGGATGAGTTAAGTCCTAAACCCTAACCCCATCTTATCACCTGTTTTTTAGACCACTCCTGGTACTACTTGGAAGTACAGACTTCCAAGAAGCAGACATCAGGACAGTATTAGATGTGCAAGACGTTTATTAGAGAAAGTCATGCAAAACAAAAAGGGGAAGAAGCTATAAGAGGCAGAGATGGAATTCAGACTAAGATGCAAACCTGACATCTACAAAGGAGAAGTGGAGGAAAAAGACTAGGTAGAACAATTCTTAAACTACAGTTTTAAGAAAGTTTCACCAGGCTTGATAAGATTGTCCCAGAGCCAAACTCACACAATTGAGGAGTCCCCCATCTCCCAGGAATGGACCTGCATTAGTTCTCCTTCTACTCATTGTGCTTAGTTGCTAGGTGAGAGCAGCCCATGGGGAGAGTGGCTTTTGGTGCAAATGTGTTTGTGAATCTAGGATGGCAGAAGCTGAGGGCACTAGTCAATCAAGTTTCCAACAGCAGGGAATCTGACCAGCACATTTTCATAGGCAGAGCTGCCACCACTTCCTTGCTGACTAGTCTATGTAAATGATTCCCTTTAGAGTTCTGCAAGACACAACCCCCTAGGCATCTCTGACCCCTGAATATCTATGGCACAAATTAATCTCTCTTTTCAACACTTCAAGTTTCATCCCTTCCTCAATCTGACTTAGTGGGATCTCGCTTCCTACTGTAGAGAGAAAATAGGCACAATAAGAAAAGAACTTCCACATGCTATTACCATGTGTATATGTCTTTTTCTTGCTATTAGGGGAAGAACAGGATTTTATATAACAAAAGCCAACTCCTTCTCTTGCCTACTCGAGGTCAAAGTCTCTCTCTCTCTCTCCTTGTCTCCCTTGCATCATCAATCCCCCCCCACACTAGATCTAGATCACTTCCATCATATATAAATATGTCGTTGTTAATCTTTAAAAAAGTTTATCCCCTTTCCCTTCCAGGAACAAATCAATATATCTGTTTCTCTATACTTTTTTCCATTTCCTATCCTTATATTATATCTTGAACCAATCAGACTATTATTCCATTCAGAGTACTATTCCCACAATTCTTCCAAGACAGCTCTTCACATGGTGTATTAGTTATCTAGGGCTGTCTTATAAAGTACCACAGACTGGGTAATTCAAAAACAGAAACTTATTTTCTCATCACTCTGGAGGCTAAAAAAGTCCAAAATCAACACATCAACAGGATAGGTTTCTTCTAAGGCCTCTCTCCTTGGCTTACAGATGCCCATCTTTTTCTGATGGGTTTTTCAAATTTGGGTGCATGTTTGTGTCCCAATTTCCTCTTTTGATAAGGATACTAGTCATATTGGATTAGGGGCCACCCTAATGAACCTATTTTGAGTTAGTTACCTCTTCAAAGACCTTATCTATAATATAATGCAGTTACATTCTGAGGTACTGGGTGGTTAGAGCCTCAGCACATGAATTTTGGGAAGCCATAATTCAGTCCATAACTCATGGTTGATTACCAATAACTTCCATGTTGCTAAAATCCAATAGTCAATTCTCAGGGGTCACCTTATTCATCAATCAACTACATTTCATATAGCTGATAACTCAGACCCCTGTGAAACACTCTTTTTTTTTTCTGCCCTACTGGCCTTATCAGTCTCCTTTGCTGGTTCTTCCTCAGCTTGATCACTAAAGATTGAAGTATGCATGGGCTCAGTCCTCAGAATGCTTCTTTATCTACAGTCATTCACTAGGTGATACCGTGTTATCCCACAATTTTAAAGAACATCTAGATATGCAAAGGAGTCCCAAATTTATATTTTCAGCTCAAATCTTATCCTTGAACTCTGGATCTATATACTCAACTGCCCACTCATTATTTCCAAAATAATATCTAAAATAGGTATCTCTAATTTAACATCCACAAACTCCTCCTTTCCCTTCCCCAGAGCGCAGAAGAGAGCCAGAATCAGGATATTAATCAGATTCTTGATAAATATTTGCTGAATGAATAAATGAACACAATTATAACTCACATAGAATTTCTGTTTCTGGAGGAAATTATTAGACTTGTGAAGTATATTAAGACCAGCTAAATGGTGTTTGCTTCCTTTTCTAGTTTGTGAAATTGAAATAGCAAGAAGAAACAGGGCCCTCTTTGTTTCCAGCAACACTACCTATATGGATCCTATTGTTAAACTTAGAATTTGTCTTTTATTTAAGAATAACTTTTTGAAAATTGTGTCTCATATTTGCATTTTAGAATTTTCTCATTGTTTTCATGATAAGGCTTATATGTGTATGTTCTAATTCTTTCTAACCCTATTGACAAGCTTCTACCTAATGCACATTTCCTTGTGAAACTGTTGGAGTTTTTTTTGGTTTTGTTTTTGTTTTGGGGGGGGGGTTGATTGTTGTTTTTTATTATTGGCTTTAAGTCATGTCATGGGTGGGGTGACGATTTAAAAACATTGGGCCAGACGAGACATTCACCTGATAATTTTCAGCCTTCGAATTTTTGAGAAAAGAAGTGACACATATTTATCAGGTATGATTTGATTAAAGGCAGTTTACACTATTACACCCTTTTTTTCTGCTGTGAAATTATTAGCAGCTTCTTTTCTTCTGCTCTTTGTGTATTTGGGTACTAAGGCTTGAGGAGTGGGGGATGGGTCTAGCAGGAAAATGGCAGGTGCATGGCATTTTTACCCTTAAGAAATGATCGCTTTCAAACTCCATTATTTCCAGGGGCATCATCCCAGCAGAGCCTTCCTTGCCTCTGCAAAGGGGTTGAGGAAGCCTGTGAAGGACTCTGAATAACTAGGGTGGCATAAAGGCGAGGAGGCTTGGGGACTCTTGTCCTTTCTCTTTGTCATTTCTTACTCTTTCCCTTTTCTTCATCTTTCTTTCTCTTCTTCTTGCTATTCTCATTTCCCCATTCCTTTTTACCCATGCATATCTTTTGGGTCACACCAGGGTATCCAATGCAACCAAGGCATCTGTGAGGGCTGGTACCCAGGGCTGATGAGATATTAACCTGGTAATTGAGAAGGAGCCCGATGATGACCAGGGGAATGTTTCTCACTGCTCCTCAGCAGCCCAGCTCCCTCTCATTTGTCTTTACCATGTATCATTAAGCAGGGATTTATTCAAAACCCTCTCTCTAAGGCAGTTGAGTTCTGAGAATGTCATATTTCCTCAAAATAAGAACAAGGATATTTTCACAGTGGGGAATCATTTTTTTTTTTTAATAACTCACTTCAGCCAGGCATGGTGGCTTACACCTGTAATCCCAGCACTTTGGGAGGCCCAGGCAGGCAGATCAGTAGAGGTCAGGAGTTGGAGACCAGCCTGGACAACATGATAAAACCATGTCTCTACTAAAAATCCAAAAAAATTGCTGGGCGCATGCCTGTAACCCCAGCTTGATGGGAGTCTGAGGCAGGAGAATCGCTTGAACCTAGTAGGTGGAAATTACAGTGAGCTGAGATCATGTGACAGCATTCCAGCCTGGGCAACAGAGCCAGACGCCTTCAAAAAAAATAGAAATAATTAAAAAATGAAAAACACCTCACTTCTTTTATATTTGGTGGAATCTCAGCTTGGGGCCCTTGTGTCTTCCACTGGAGTCAGACAAATCTATTTATAACAAGAACCTCCTGAGGAATAGCCTGAATGTGCAAGAACTGAGTCATCCCAAGTCTAGAAGGAACCAAATGTTGTGTTTATATCCATGATTCTCAAACTTCATCAAGCATAAAAATCACCTGGAAGGTTGTTAAAATTCAGATTGTTGGGTCCAATCACCAGAACTTCTAATTCAGTAGGTCTGAGATAGGACCCAGGAATTTGCACTTCTATCCATTTTTTAGATGATACTAATGCTGTTAATCCACGGAAACCACTGCTTTAGACCTTAAACAAGAGAGATGTTTCTGAGGTTATCATTCTGCCCTAACCCCTCCCAGCCTCACAGACTTGTAGTATATCCCTGGGAGAGAGAGGCAAAGTAAGTAAAACTTCTCTGAAGTTTGGGAGTGTGTTGAGCATTGGTAATCCTCTAACAGAATATAACCAGAAGAGGGAGGAGAGTTATTCTCTGCCACCTTCCCACAGATCACCAAAAGCTCTGCACTTTGAGTGTTCAAAGTTTCCAGGCAATCATGGATAGCGCTTGGTAAAAATGATAAAAGCAGGGGCAATGCCCGTTGGGGTTACATACATCACCTGAATCTTAGATGCTTTGTTGGCGGTGGTGGTGGTTTTTCAGTTCCTTTTGGTCTGAATTTACCTAAGGCCTGCGGATGGCTTCATTTTAGTATTAAGTTATGTTTCTTGTATTTTCCATAATTTACAATCTGCCATTTGACTAGGTACCTGCTCCCAGGGTTTCAGAAATGAGTACATTCAATAAATTGGAAACTAAACAAATTAGTGCCATGATGCTTATTTAAAGAATGAGATAAAAGGCAAAGAAAAAAATGACTTGCTCCAGGCCACATAGGTTGGTGGCAAAATTAGAAATAGGAGAAAGGATGTTCTTTAACCTCATACTTGGACAACCTTACCTTTTAGTTACTGTTAGATATTCTTTTAAAATGCAGATCATTTGGGAGTCATTGCCACATGAAAAAATATCAATTCTGATTGTTACTGAATGTTAGTAACACAGGAAAAAAAATGTGTTTGGCTAATTGGAAAACATCTGAATCCACTGTTTTGTTTTGTTTTATAAATCTGTGATCGCTTTAACAAGGGTCAAAAGCACAACACTTCATGACAGGCCTGCGGGGGAAGGAGTTCCAATTTTCCGGAAGTGGGTGTAAAAAGGGGAAGGCAGATAAACAAAATGTGCTGTTCCTTCTGAGGTGAGGATGAAATAGTTTTTCCCACAGTCTTGAAGGGTGGTTGCAATCTTCTTCCACAGAACAGAAATATGTACTGGGAAAAATGAGCCTGCGTCACAGGCTAAAAGAAGCTTCTCATACTATATGTAGAAGCAAGAGTAGATTTAATTACCTCTAAAGCTGAATTATCTCTGGATTTATGTAACATGGGGTGGCTAAAAGAGACATACAGAGTGTAAATTTTCATAGGATCTTTAGAGGAGAAGGCTTTGTTTAGAAGCCATGGTCCTTCTTTTGCATAATGTGCAGGCTCTAACGCTCTTAGATAATTAAAGCACACAGGAGTTGGTGAATGCTTTGAAAAGATTGAAGTACAGTACAGAGCATTAAACATTTCATTTGAAGCCACAGAAAAGGTGTAGCTTTTCTAGAATAATTAAGATATGTGATTTGGCAATGATATCAGAAGATTCTGATGCATCTTCACAAAATTGGAGTGAGATTCACATTGCATGTATGAACTTAGGGATAAAATTGTATTTAAAGAGGGTCATCTTCATAGTATGGATCAACAACAACAAAAAGACATTTTCCAGAGAATTTGACACCCCTGTGTTTCTTCCAACTGCTAAAATTACAAAATTAAGAACTCACTCTTCCCTAGTGATTATTTTCAAGGTAAAATTATATGTAGCAGGGTTTTTTTATTTTCACCACCCATGCAGGGTATTTTTTTCCACAAAGGTGGCTCTAAAGCAGTGGATCTGAAACTGAGCCACCTTTTCAGGTAGAGAGAAAAAGGAACACTTATACACTGTTGGTGGGAGTATAAATTAGTTCAACCATTATGGAAGACAGTGTGGTGATTACACAAAGACCTAAAGACAGAAATACCATTCGACCCAGCAATCCTATTACTGGGCATATTCCCAAAGGAATATAAATAATTCTATCATGAAGACAGATGTACATGTGTGTTTACTGTAGCACTATTCACAATAGCAAAGACATGGAATCTAAGCTCATCAATGATAGACTGGATAAAGAAAATGTGATACATATACATCATGTAATACTATGCATCCATAAAAAAGAACAAGATTATGTCCTTTTCAGGGACATGGATGGAGCTGGAGGCCATTATCATCAGCAAACTAACACAGGAACAGAAAACCAAATACCGTATGTTCTCATTTGTACATGGGAGCTAAATCATGAGAATACATGGACACATAGAGGGGAACAACAAAATAACACACACTGGGGTCTTTCAGAGGGTGGAGGATGAGAGGATAAAGAAGATAAGGAAAAATAACTAATGGGTACTAGGTTTAATACCTGGGTGATGAAGAATAATCTGTACAACAAACCCCATGACACAAGTTTAGCTATGTAACAAACCTGCAATTGTACCCTTGAACTTAGAATAAAAGTTTAAAAAAATAAAAATTTAAAAAAAGAATCAGGTGGGGTGATTTTTAAAATTCTGATACCTAGTTATACCCCAGACAAATCAGAATATAGAGATTGGACCCATGCCTCAGTTATTGCTTTTGAAACTTTCCAGTTGACTTCAAAGTGCAACTCTGACACTTACAGGCCTTTCCAGTGAAACTCAAGTATACAATAAATAGTTCCTAAATGAGCTATCTTTTTGTATAACCTGATTTGTCTCAGTAGTCTCAGTCTCTTCTGTCTATTGTCATTTCTCTTGTGTATGAACTCATTATTTTCCTAGTTACTAAGTACAGGTGCCTATAAATTACAAGTAAAGTAACTAGAATTTGGTTATCTGGCTCTTATAGTTGCTGTGTGTATTACTTTCTTATTGCAGCTATAACAAATTACCACCAACTTAATGGCTGAAAACAATATAAATTTATTATCTTACAGTTCACATCTGCAAAGTCCCACTTGTCATATATGCTAATGTGTTCATGTATTCACAGGTTTGGGGGATTAGGATGTAAACATTTAGAGGAGCCATTATTTTGTCTACAACAGTGTAAGGAAACTAACATCTAATGGGGGCAAGACCAGAAAGAATGAATTCAGGTTGTGTTGACTTGTGACATCCATTTTACCAGTCTCATTGGTCTAAACACTGCTTGCCAATATACATTTCACAGCAGTGCAGATCATGAGAACCACTCTTATCATAATGTTACATGATTACATATGAGTTAGAAGAACTTATAATCACCATTTGTCCTATTTAGTTTTAATGTATTGTTTTCAGATGAAATGCCCCAAAACATAAATTTCTCTCTAAAAAGTAGCCAATTTGGGCACACTTATGTTTTGGCATCTTTGCCAATTCCAGGTATTTGAATGACTTAGGAATATAATCACAGATAATAACAGTGTGTATTTCTCTTCTATGTTAGGAAACTTGTTACATAATTTTCCAGGCCCTTGCACTTGTAATGCAGTAGAATACAGAGTTCTCTAGTCTGTTCTCCTTGTACTCATCACTCATTCAACAGATATTCTCTAAGTACCTACTCTGTGCTACCGTGTCCTAGCTGCTGAATCAAGAGACCTATGAACACCCATTTTATGTAGCACTTCACTTTCAAACCAAAAATTAAACCTGATTGTCAGTGCTCCCACTAAAAGCCATTGGTCTCTTATCATTGATTGACCTAAGTAAATATTTTAATTTCTATATAATATATAATTATAATTTATATATTATAATTATAATACATAATTTATAATTATATATTATAATTATAATTTCTATATAAGTAATAAAGGTAAATTTATATAGGCTAAGAATTAGTTAAATGTAAGAATGTGTGTATGCGCATGCACACACATCATGTTTTGTTTTGTTTTTCACTGATCTCAAGGGGTTTTTCTGCCCTCATATACCTAAAAGGACTATATGGACTTAAATATGGGGATAGTATCTCATCTTCTCCTGTGAAGTCATAGTTCTCTGTATTGGGCCTTATTTTCCCTAGTGCAATCATTCAGGGATGCTCTTGGGTTACCACATTAATATAGAGTCTGGGGGCTAAATATTGTATAACATTAGGAATTTAAAGATAATTGAAGAGATGAGTGGAATTTCCAACCTAGGCTTTTTTCTAAGACATTCTCCACTTCTGAATCAGTATTCCTCCCTCGGGAATCTCATGCCTACCCACGAGGAAGCAGCATTTTCAGGAAAATAGGCCGCTCATTTCACCCCCTGAAATGAGGTTCTCTGCTCCTGAAAAGAAAGTTGATATGGTGGGTCCACTGACCTTATTGCTTATGGATATGAAACTGTTTATCACTCCAGTTTATCACTAAAAATTTCTCCACCAAGTCCCTGGACTTTCTGAATCTGGGGGGATTCAGAAACAAGTAATAAGTAATAGTTATTACTTATTATAAATAAGCAATTTTATAATTACTTATAAATAAGCAATTTTATAATTATTAAAATAATAATAAGTATTTGAAGTAATAAGTATCTCTTTCTGGAGGTAAATAATAAGTATTTGAAATAATACTTATTTCAAAGTATTATTGAAATAATAAGTATTTGAAATATACAAATAAGTATTTGAAGTGATGGATATTTTAATTAGTTTTATTTGATCATCCCACAAAGTAAATATGTATTAAAACACCCCATTGTACCTCAAGATATATACAATTATTTTTAATCAATTAAAAATAAAATGGGACGTGAAAAAAATCTTAGACTAAGTTCATCTAGCTTTGTCTGAAATACCCTAAAAATCCAAACCAGTGCCTCTCTCATCCTGCAACGTTGTCTCAGCATGTCTGCTCATTTTGTCTGACTCTGGAATAGAATTCTAAGAAACATTCTGGCACGATTCAGCTTGGCTTCCACTCCTTTGCACGAGTTTGTCAGAAATCAGAAATACTTAACGTTGCACTTTCGGTCATCCAGCCTAGGATAATTTAATCCCGGATATTATTGGTTACCCTTGTAAAGAAACCAAAAATATAGCTCAATCATCACGTGAGCCTTTGAGATCCAGGTAAAGTTTGACTGAAATCCCAATTCTAGACTTGGGGCAGTCTGAGCTTTTCCAACAAGACCCACCCCTCACTTTCTCAGCTTTTCAAGACTGTACTCCTGAGTCCACAGGCATTTCTCAATCACTTCTCTCTTCAGAACCAGATTCAGAGTCCCTTCCCTATGCAACTGAAAAGTACTCATATTTGTGTTAGTCATGCTCTTTCCCATAAGTTTCTGGAGTTGAGCAGAAGAATCACATGACATAAGGTACATTTCTATTTCTTGCTGGCAAACCTTTCTCTGGCCTCTCTACTCAGTACCCAGTGCTCCCTCTGTGATGTCCTCCCTCCACCTAGTGCAGCTGGGTAAAGTGTGGTCCTGTTCCTTGCTCTGGTTGCTTCACTTCCTGGGAATAACCAGACACATTTATCTGCTTTCCGCTACATAAGTTAGAATGCTGGTGAATAAATTTCTCTTTACATTATTTTAAATTTATATTTTTATGGAACACATGATTTATGTATGAACATAGAAACACACTTACTGCCTTATCTGCATATTATAATCTATGTTTTTATTGGATCTTGGTGATCATTTTTATCATTCCTTATGTTTTACTTGTGGAACTGAGGTATACAGAAATAAGTTTATTCAATTAATTATACTGCTGTGTGAGGGGAAAATATTATCAAATAAAGCACTTTTTCTTTCTCCCTCTCAGTGTTATCCCACCTGCTCAGTACCACATGCTAGTTGTAAGTGGTTTAATCTATCAGTGTATATTCTGCTCACATAACAGGATTTCAGAGCTACTTCGGCCCAGTACTAATAAGCATTACACAAAATCAGGCCCTGTGTTAGTTTCTTTGCAATTTCCGCTGTTTTCCCCTCAGGGTCACGAAATGTCTACAACTCCTAGCACCATGCACAATACAGAATAACACCAAACACAAGATGAAGAGGAAAGAATCTCTCCTCATGAATCTCTCTGTTCTTATCAGAGAGAAACGTTTGTCACAGGAGGTCTCAGCAGGCTTCTCCTCTATTCCCAGTGACCAGAATTGATTCGTGTGCCCAAACTGAACAGGCAAAGAAAACACTAAACTAAGAGTCTGGCATTTAAAGCCTCTCCAGAAAGAGATAGGTTCTGCCTATAAGGGAAAAATGTAGCAAACTTGCTTGCAGGGAGGCAAACATCCACATGGCTTTAAGCCATCATATGATTATACCACATTTGATCTATTACTTAACTGATGGTCATGTACATAGTTTTCAGTCTTTTGGTATTACAACAATTCTGAAATAAATAGACTAGTAAATTTCTGCTTGTTTATATATGTGTAAGGATTTCTCTATAATATACAATATATACCTAGAAGTAGAATGCCTGCAGAATAAGGTCTGTACATTTTCTATTAAATATGACCAAACTGTTTTCCAATGTAACTATCTTAATTCATATTCCTTCCAGTGGTTCATAAAGACTCTGATTTTTTCATATCTTCTCTTAGAGTTGATATTCAAATTTTATTTTGTTTTTGCAATGAGAAAAATGAAAAATAACTACTCAGTATTATTTGTATTTTTCTTATTGCTAGAGAGGTTAAGCATCCTTTTATGAACTAATTGGTATTATTGTCTACCCTTTGGCGAATTGCCTGCTCTTTTATTTTCCTGTTTTTAAAGTTTTTTAATGAAACACACAAACACATACACATCAAAAAAGAGTACCATCTAGAAACACCCTTAATTTATTATATATGTGTATATATGTGTGTATTATACATTTTTATATATAAAAATGTATATGTGTATATAAATATAAAATGTTTGCTTGATAATAGCAAGCATTTATATATTATATATAACATATGTATATATATTATATATACATATATTAATATATATACATATGTTATATATAACATATGTGTATATATATAATGTTTGCTTGATAATAGCAAAGTCTAGAATTGGGCAAGTTATTCCTATCAAATTTGCAAATAAGATACAACAGTCTGCCTCCCTCAGGGGGAAGTAAATAAAGTATTAGAGGAAACTAGGAGTATGCTCAGGAATGAGAAAAAGACAAAATCTCTAACAGTGAAGATAGTAGATGCTTATAAACATAAATTGGCATTCTTTTTCCCTGTGGGACATTAGGAAAAAAACTGGTGGGCCTTCCCTCATGTCTACCTGAGAAGGGGGAAAGAGAATTGGAGAGATGACAGAGTAGAGAGGCATGGGCCTCCTGCCATTTATCATTTTTACTGAAAAGAATGCCAGAGTTTGCCATAGATCAAATGTACACTGCAGAAGGTAGCTGAGCTTCAGTCACCTTGCCAGCACCTGACCAATGAGGACTAGTTAAGGGACAACAATCCCCTGTCTGATAAGGGAAAGGGTGTGAGCTAAAGGAGAGTGGAAGAAGGCAAACCAGAATTGGGATCACTGCAATGAGGAGACCCCAGAGGTGGCCCTGAAGGTTCACATGCACACATGATGAAAGAGCCAGACTCTCAACTCCTAACCCCAGGGAACATCAATCACCAGTCTATGGACACTCTGTATGTCTCACCTTCAAACTTTCCCAAAAAGAGTATCTGGGTTATTTAATCAGCCACTATCACATAGAAAACACTCCAGTGGAGTAGAGTAGTGCCAGG
Source organism: Homo sapiens (assembly GCF_000001405.40). Classification (NCBI taxonomy): domain Eukaryota; kingdom Metazoa; phylum Chordata; class Mammalia; order Primates; family Hominidae; genus Homo; species Homo sapiens. Next base: position 122,997,287 of record NC_000007.14, on the reverse strand, counting down.
CCATCTCTCATGCAGCAGGCCAGTCTATGAGGGGCTGCTTTGGACAGAAACTCATTCCTGGTCATACTATTGTGGCTGGAATCCAGTCATGAGGGGTGTAGTATGGTGGCCACACTTTCACAACCCCTCAGACAGAGATTGAGAGCATCACAGTCCTTCCAAGTTTACTCAGAATGGGGCAGTGTATATAGCTGGCAACATGCTTAGTGTATTCAGGACATAAATTAGAGGTTAATGCTATTATTGCATGTTTCACATACCAACATTTCATATCTCATCTTTCTCCCTTCTTATGTCTGGATACATCTCAACCAATTCACCTTTTAATAATATATATTGTTTTGTCATCTCAGTTTTTTATTTCCTGTTTCTTGCATTTTATTGAGAATGCAAAGCAGATGCTTTCTTACACTTAATTCTGTTTTCTGGTGTAATTTTTCAAGCTATTGCTTACCTTTGCTTCATGAGTTCAGTAGTTTCTTGTTTTGTGTTCAAGAATTCTAAGATTCATGTTTGCTTGCTTCTGTGTTGTCTTCCTTGAATGACTAAAAAGTCCATACAGACTCCGAGTTTATCATACATAAGGTCAATGACTTTCACTTTGTCTCTGTCACCAACTAGCAATTAGAATAACCTCTCATTTCTGAAGCCACTTATTACATATTTGGTGTCTATTTGGAAGAGTTGTCCTGAACTGAAGGAAAACGTATTCCTTTTATAGCCTGCTTGTATAGCTATGAAATGATGCCTGCACATTTAGAAGTAATACGCTTTACTAGTGGTAAGAGGGTCCTCTTTCAATTCTTCCTGAGCAATGGGAGCAGTGACAAAAAGAACCTAGCCATGTAAGAGAAAAAAAAAAACACACAGTGATGTTAATGGGACAAGAACAATTCCTGAAAATATATAAGGCATATGCTCAAAGCATCGGAATTGGCAGAAGAACAATAGCTAAGAGAGGCTGTGTGCAGTGTTTTCTCTGCAGTTTGATTTCTCTAAGTGGGGGAATTCAATGGGCAGTTATGAGAGTGGCCTGCATTGGATGGAAATACTTGAAGGTCTGGGGTTCAGCAATTTTGTGGAATTTCGGAGGAAAGACTTTTCATTATCATTTTTATTTACCCTCACACTTTGGTTGTAGCATCCACCACTAGCTGCCATGAGAACTGGGAAGATAGGGCTTCTGAGGTTCGCTTTGGTACTGCACTCAACAGAGCAGAAACATCATGCAGGACGTGAATGAACAGGGAAGGATTCATCTTTCTTGTTGCTCAAATTTTAGGTTAAAAGAGTGAAGATGTCATTTAAAGAAGATAAGGAAATAAGCTAAGTGCACCTCAGAAAAAGAGGAAATAAACAACATGGTTATGAAATACATATGCCTTTTTGGAATAATCAAATCACCTCAGGAGCAGGAATCCACATTTAAACATTTCCCTACATTCAGATGTGATAGCAAACCAGCAAGCAAAGCATAAACAAATTCTATAGATAGGAAAATGACAAAATCAAAAATGAGCTTGGGAAAATTTGCTTCCAGAGAGAGGGGTTTTCTTGTACCAGACAGTGGTGGAATCAGGAACCCATTCTCTACCTGGAAATTGGTACAGAGATTCAGAGTCTTTGTCCAGGAAGACACTTTGGAGTAGAAGAATGATACCCATCCAACTCACTGTCTTCTTCATGATCATCTATGTGCTTGAGTCCTTGACAATTATTGTGCAGAGCAGCCTAATTGTTGCAGTGCTGGGCAGAGAATGGCTGCAAGTCAGAAGGCTGATGCCTGTGGACATGATTCTCATCAGCCTGGGCATCTCTCGCTTCTGTCTACAGTGGGCATCAATGCTGAACAATTTTTGCTCCTATTTTAATTTGAATTATGTACTTTGCAACTTAACAATCACCTGGGAATTTTTTAATATCCTTACATTCTGGTTAAACAGCTTGCTTACCGTGTTCTACTGCATCAAGGTCTCTTCTTTCACCCATCACATCTTTCTCTGGCTGAGGTGGAGAATTTTGAGGTTGTTTCCCTGGATATTACTGGGTTCTCTGATGATTACTTGTGTAACAATCATCCCTTCAGCTATTGGGAATTACATTCAAATTCAGTTACTCACCATGGAGCATCTACCAAGAAACAGCACTGTAACTGACAAACTTGAAAATTTTCATCAGTATCAGTTCCAGGCTCATACAGTTGCATTGGTTATTCCTTTCATCCTGTTCCTGGCCTCCACCATCTTTCTCATGGCATCACTGACCAAGCAGATACAACATCATAGCACTGGTCACTGCAATCCAAGCATGAAAGCGCGCTTCACTGCCCTGAGGTCCCTTGCCGTCTTATTTATTGTGTTTACCTCTTACTTTCTAACCATACTCATCACCATTATAGGTACTCTATTTGATAAGAGATGTTGGTTATGGGTCTGGGAAGCTTTTGTCTATGCTTTCATCTTAATGCATTCCACTTCACTGATGCTGAGCAGCCCTACGTTGAAAAGGATTCTAAAGGGAAAGTGCTAGGCCTAGAGGTTGCCTGAGGCACAGGATAAAAGACTCCCGAGCAATTGATATAATTAATACCAGAAGAGAGTATTGCTCTTATCAATCAATTCATTGTGAATCACCATAATGCAACCCTCATTCCCTTCCATCTTCGCAGCCATGTATTTGTAAATAATCAACCCTTTCTCTATCCTTTTCCACTGGTTTCCTTTCCCTTTCACAATCCTCAGGTTGGTTCCAACTTGCTCAAGACTGCCCCATCTCTCCTTAGTCCTTGCCAACTCTGGAATTGTACACCTGGTATATTCTACACAAGACAGTCAAAATCATGGTGTCCACACATTACTTTAACCTTCCCATGACTGCCAGTTACTTCACACATGAATATGAATACCATCCCACAGAAACATATTGCTTGTACCCTGAATGATTCCCATACTAAGCCTTCAATTCACTTTTTTAGTCAAGGAGTCTCTCTCTCTCTCTCTCTCCCTCACTCTCTCTCTCCCCCTCTCCATCTCTCTCTCTTTCTCTATCCCCTGGCTGTTTCTGGACTTTTATCTGATGACACAAATGTTCTTATTTGCTTCTCTTCCAAATGCCATGTCTTTATCTCTTTAAAACTCAAGTCAAAATTTAACTCTTTCTTCATTTCCATTAGCCAAAACATTATACTCTTCCCCAGAATAGCAGACACTTTACCCAATCCAGATTCATCCTTAATAATTCCCCAAATATTGACAATTTAATTGTGTCAACTATACAACTATAAATGGTTTCCATTGGCTCAATTCTTGCCTCTCTATTGTATTATAACTTGTATTGTATTATTAACTTGATGGAACATCTCCATGTTGAGACATAGTTGTTTTATTTCCCATATACAACCCAGATATCAGTTAAGAACCACTCTTAGCTCATAACATTTGAGTGGCGTTGGCTTACACTTTCTACACTTTTTTATTCTGTCCAAAGCCCTCCCAAAATGAATAAGAATATAGAAATCACACAGTAATCAGTGAAAAATCACGTATAAAACATACTCATTCTTTAGACGTTCTTTCTGCCTCCCTGTCTGACACGTTTCTCTCATACCTTCTTCCCTTGCAGGACCCCATGCCCTTATCTCCAAGGCATCTCACTCCTCATTTATCTCCTCTTCACCCTCAACTACCAGCAGCTATGTGTCTTGGTAATGTCCAACCACTATGCCTTTGGGTCTCAGCCTCTGTCCACCCCAGATACTTATTAAGGTATTCTTCTTAAAGCCAGTTGCATCTCTTACACCATTCTGGTACCAAGCGTAAATAATGTGATGTTTTCTACCCTTTGTATATATTGGGCATGTCTGGTGAACTGATCTTCTAGCTCTGCCGTTAGAAGATTGAAACACCTCCTGAAAGCAAATCATCCTATGGGGCAAAGGATGCAAGTATCTCAAGCTTGACTGTGAAAGAATGGCTTAGTCCTGGAAAGGAATGGAAATTCTGATCTGCTTGTGGGCTTATCACTCTGATTTGTCTCTGAGTCAAATTCATATTTGAAACTGAAGGTGTGAAACATAAGTAAAAACTGAAAGACCACTTTTACCAAAGACTCTGTGCCATTTGGCATATCTCAGCAGCATTCCTACTGTTGCACACAGAGGGGAGTGAAGCATGCTGTCCCACTCCACAGAAGCACCCTGTCAGCCTTGCATCTCCCTAGGTCCAATGGTTTCACTGCAGTAGAAGGTGGGACAAAACCTGGTGGATGCAGTAATGACTGGGGAGCAGAGTCCTAACCATGGGTCTGAGAAGAAAAAAGGAAAAAAAAAAAGGTAGATATTGGCATTGAGTTGACTCCCAGGAATGCTTAGGAGGCTGGAGGGGAGGTGCCTTATAGGGTTTGGGATCCTGCTGGAATAGATTGAACAAGAGCCAGTGAAATTAGGATTCTACTGCTATTTGTCATTTGCATCCACATCCAGATGAGGTCTTGCATGTTCAAAAACCTCAGATAGCTGAAATAAATAGAAACCGTTCTTCTCATATGTGTATAAATAGAGAACGGGAAAAAAAGAACACCCCCTCTCCCCACAATCACACACACAGATGCTATTCCAGAAGCTGTTAAATATTTTTAGTACTCTCACTGTCTCTTTTGAGTAAAGTGCAATGGAAAACTTATCCAGGCTATGCATAAGGTAGGAGTGTTAGAAGCAGTTGAGGGGATCCAGAAATCAGAAAAAAATAAAATACAAACAGAAATAATAACTAACTTTTATATTAATGGCACCTAATTGTTCGCAAAAAGATTTTACTTACATTTTCTTATTTTGGACTAAAAGACAAATCAAGGTCACCTAATCCAAACTAGCTGGAAAATAAACCTAAGAAGGTCAAGTGATTTACTTAAATTAATGCCAAATCTGAAGTCAATGGAAGAGGAGAGGGAACCGAGAGATAAATTTTAAATGAGAAAAAATTTAATTTGGAAAAAGATATGATTTAAAAAGCAGATGCTGGCCAGGCACAGTGGCTCACGCCTGTAATCCCAGCACTTCAGGAGGCCCAGGGGGGTAGATCACCTGAGGTCAGGAGTTTGAGAGCAGCCTGACCAACACGGTGAAACCCCATCTCTACTAAAAATACAAAAAAAAAAAAAAAAATTAGCCAGGCATGGTGGCAGGCACCTGTAATCTCAGCTACTTGGGAGGCTGAGATAGGAGAATTGCTTGAACCTGGGAGGTGGAGGTCGCAGTGAGCCAACATCGTGCCATTGCCCTCCAGCCTGGGCAACAAGAGAGAAATTCTATCTCAAAAATAAATAAATAAAAAGATGTTTTGAAAAGAATAACAGAACGATTGTGACCAAAAGCTAGGACATTTTTTGACAGCTTCCTTTAGCTAGATATGAAATTAAGATACCAAGGAGCTAATGCACCTGTGTTGTCCAATTTGTAAATACTTTATCCTATATAATGCTTTTTATTAAAAGTATAGTGTGTTGCCTGATAACTTTCTCTCTCTCTCTCTCACACACACACACACACACACACACACACACACAATACAGAAGAAGGGAGAGGACGTGATAGGGGAGTGAAAGAATTTACCCCACTTTCTTCCCTGCTGTTCTCCAGCCTCTACACCACGCCTAAGATAGGAGAAGAGAAGAAGCCGTTAATTGGATATGAGATTAGTGTTTGATTTAGAATCTTTAAAGTCTAAACATGAGAAAATTCTTAGAAAGCTATGGAATCTATAATGCCATCAAGAATTGGGAAAGGGTCATTCTAGGAATATTTTTGAACACAGAAGCCAGAGAAAACTTTGTTTCTTTGGAGCACAACCTATTCAATAACTTTGTTACAGGAGACAAAAAAATCAGTAAGATGTGAAATGCCTCTACATTTTCTCTGAGATTGCTTGTCAGGTATCGTGCATTGCATTCCACTTATTAAACAGACAAATTTCTTTTCTCAGAAAGAGCTAAACCAGATGAGATCGGGTGCATTCAGGGTGGTGTGGCCAGGTGGCAGTGGCTCAAGCCTGTAATCTCAGCACTTTGGGAGGCCAAGGATGGCACATCACATGAAGTCAGGAGTTCCAGGCCAGCTTGGCTAACATGGTGAAACCCTGTCTCTGCTAAAAATACAAAAGTTAGCTAGGCATGATGGTGGCGCCTGTAATCCCAGCTACACGGGAGGCTGAGGCGGGAGAATCACATGAACCTGGGAGGCAGAGGTTGCATTGAGCTGAGACTGTGGCACTGCATTCCAGTCTGGTAAACAGAGCAAGACTGTCTCAAAAGAAAGCAAGGAAGGAAGGAAGGAAGGAAGGAAGGAAGGAAGGAAGGAAGGAAGGAAGGAAAGAAGGAGGGAGGGAAGGAGGGAGGGAGGGAGGGGGAGGGGAGAGGAGGGAGGAAGGGAGGGAGGCAGGGAGGGAAGGAGGGAGGGAGGGAGGGTTAAGCCAAAGGCCAAGGAATTTAGACAGAGCAACATTAAATTTGGGGATTTATCACAATACCTTTCCATACCTAAGAAATTTTAACATAAAGTTCCACTCTCTTTCCATTCTGGCATTTGAGTTTATATTTTGTTAATGATATTGGTTCTTATTGTTCTTGTATTTCTATTGTAAATTATGGCAAATTCTTTTCATACTTGATCTTGCTGCTTTAAAAAGGAGGTGAAGAAAGAGCAAAATAAAAGAAAGACTACCAAGGATAATGATATGAGTTGCACTGCAGCAATAAAAGAATAATGGCATAACTAAATGATAAAACTAATTTTTTAAATTACCCAGATTCACTTTTGTTCCAGAAATGCATATTAAAGGACAGAATTTTGGAAACACTTATAAAGTCTAGAGGAGCATGTGCTTACAGTTGGTATAATTCAACGATTTCTGTGTCTATTAATAATGCCAAAATTCTTCCTAATAGAAGGAAAAAATGCAGCTTCTTTGGCCTTTCTACACAGAGATTTTAATACAATCCCTGAGACTTATTTACAATCCATTAGCCATGTCTCAAACTCCCAAAGTAACATTTATTTGAGACCATTTTTTCTATTTTTAATAAAACTTACAAAACTGATGCTAAGTGTAAACTGGCTTTTTGCTAGTTTTTATAGCAAAGATACAGTAGGATAAACTCAATTGCCAATTTCCTTCAAATCATTTATGGGATAAAATTTATAAAAAGTGACAGGCTACACTGGTTGAATAAAAGATAAATTTCTTATCATAAATTTTTTTCTTCAAATTTTAATCTAAATGCTGGATTTCCAAAAAATGAACTTTTATTTTTAAAATATGCTACATGAAAGTAATTCAAACACAGCCAAAGTGCAGTCAAAATGACTGAGAATAATCATTCGCATTTGCAGGGGAAAGTAGATCTTAAAATTTAAGTTTAAAATTAGAGGCAAGATAAATTTCACAAGCTTCATTCTTATAGCCTAAAGATAGAATGTGTAGGTAGATATTTCTTGAGAATCTTGGCAGATCAGTGTTGTCAGTACTTGAGGGATTGAATCAGGCTCACTCCAAGAACTTGGAAATCAGATTGTCTTTTGATGGGTAAATCAAGAAATCAACTTCCCTTCCTACTTCTGGCCTAAATGTATCAATCTAAGAATTAACCAGAAAATGGGTGGCTAGGAGGTTTTCCAGTCAAACCTCAGGATTTAGGTTAAAGCGCAGTCCAGATTGGAGTAAATTACCTTGAAAGAGAAGTAAAACAGGTCTCAAAATAAACTTTAACAAGCAGATGAAAAGGTTATAAGTTTGAACTCCATTGTGTTCATCCAGACCTGCCCAGGGTAGGAGGATGCTGGGTTAACCAATTTGAAGCTTTCTAGTCCTAGTGACAAGTCCTTCAAGCTGTTATCTGAGGAATTTATCACGAGGTCATATAAATTCCTTCATCTCTTACACCGTATGCCCTCGCCCACTCATTTGATTGTGATTTGGCATTTAACGTTGTGATTGTGTGTCCAGGTAAATGGAAGATGCAAAACACACGTGCATATGTGAGGATGGCACATGACTTTCAGGGCCCAATTCAGGATGTTAGGGCTGGTGGCTGATCCCCACACAGACTGCTTTGCCACCTTTGTCCCCATGCTGAGAGCATCCTGTGAAAGACAGAAGGTTCACACTGCAAAGCTGCACTCACTCTGTGGCTCCTGTTATATTTTTGATCCTTGTATACATTGATATATTGGTGCCCGTGAGATTCATTTTTGCCGTCTTCACACTCAGTCCCAGTTTTCTTGACCTAGGCTTAATGATCATGTAAGTTGAATTGAGGCAGAAATTTCCCTGACATCTTGACCATTTAATTCATGTTTGTGCCCACTTCAGTCTCATTTTTTTCAGCTTCAGTTTCAGGTATATGCATTTGTTTCTAAACCTGACCATCCTGGAGAACTAATAATAATGGGTTTCTAGGCCCATAAAGCAAAGGAGCAGACCTAGCATGTGGTAGCATCATTTTGGTACTCATTAATATATTACTTTGAGAATAATTCTGCTGGCATTTAGGATTATTATTCTCACTGCCAAGGTCGCTGTTCTCAGTTGTAGGCAATGAAATATGGTCTAGATGGTCTGAGTATGGAGAATCTACTACACATTTTTAGGCAGCATATACAGTTTCAGGGAGTACTAGGAAAATGGCAGAAGCGGGCAATGAGAAGAAATATCCAACCATACCACCGTCTGCCAGCAGCACCATCTGCCACTTGGCTTCCATAACATTAGGGAACAGGCTGCAGAATTTGCATCATAGCTGTCCCAGGGGCATCAAATACCTCTGACCCAGGATCACACCTCACATGTGCAGCCACTACCCTACATTGCTTACTTCCTCTGTGACTCCAATGGGTGCCTCTGCTTGGCTGAACCTTAGTCACATATAGAACCTTAGCTGCTCTGTGTGTCTGAAGACCGTCATGTTATCTTTCCAGCTTCCACTGAAGGCTCACAAGATTGGGGCAACAAGGGGGCAAAGGGAGACAAAGAGCAATCTCTCCACAACTTTCTTATGCAAATACTTACAATCTGTAAATTATAGGCACTGGTATACATCCCACATCTATCACCATTGTTCACTAACTTAAAAATTAGGTATCATAAACATGTTTTTATACCTAAAATGCATATGAAAATAAATCATAAACATTCTCAAGCAATTAATACTGGGGAAAAAATCTAAAAGAAACAAGGATAACTAAATATGGCTACCTTGGCATTTACTAAAATTAAGGGTCCTGAAATCTAATAATTTCAGGACTGGTAACATAAATGCAGAAAGGACCTGTAAGAAATTGGTGAGCTTGACCGTACATGCTGCACAACAACCTGTGTCACCCATGCTGTTTGCAGTCTATTTCAATGGAAAAATAAAACCCAAAAATTAATGGTAAGGAACAGAAAAGGAGATTATTAGCTGTAGAATATGGTCTTCACTTCTCTCCCTAACCCACTTTACCAAGTCAACGCACTTATTTTCCAGCTGTTGTCAGTGCTGACTCCTAACAGCTCCCAGGCACCCCTTCTTTTGAGAGAACTCTTAACAAGAACAGGCTCACTTGGGAGATTATTCCCAGCCCACAATACTGCACCCTGCAGCTAGCTAATGGTTGGATGATATGGAGGTATAATAGGCCAGCCCCCTTGAACCAGACTAAATCTATGGTGCAATTCATGCTCAGAATACCCCTTGGGCTCAGTTCAAAACTGGTCTCCAGCTGAGGCCACATCCTTGCGTAGCTTTTTTCCCCTTGTTTTACCCAGCTTACCTCATTCATTTTCTCCTGATAACATTCCCTCCATACATACCTTAAATAGGAATCTGCTTGGGTTTGTTTCCAAAGAACATAAATTAAGAAACTAGCTAATCTCAACATTGTTTAGTAGAAAACAAATAGAAAATAGCAAGAAAAAAAAATTATGTAGGTACTCCCCTGTCAAGGAAGGGGAGCTTAACTCACCACACCTTCACTGTGGCTGTACTTAGCAACTCTATTCTGAAGTGCAGAATATAAAAAGGGAGAAGAAAACTACAGTGGAGAGCCTTGGCAAATATTACCTAGGCCAGGTGATCAAAGTTAACCTTATCAGTAATATGACATGCTGATGGAATGTACCATTGGTACAATGTAATGAGGATGACACTTTGCTTCTGTTGTCTTCTCCCTAAAAACCCAGACTAACCATGAAAAAAAAACATCAGACAAACCCACATCGAAGGACATTCTACAAAATATCCGACCAGTACTCTTCAAAACTGTCCAGTTTATTGGAAAGCCTAAAAACCTGTCACAAACCAGAGGAGGCTAAAGGAAGCATACTGACCTAATGCAATGTGATAACTTGGGAAGCTTCCTGGAAGAGAAAAAGGATATTGAGGAAACACTAGTAAAATATGAATACATTTTATAGATTAGATAATAGTAATATACCAATGTTGGAGCCTTCATTGTGACAAATGTACTATATATACTCTCTCTCTCTCTCTCTATATATATATATACACACACACATATATAGTACATATATATACACACACACATATAGTACATATATATGTATCCTAATTAACAGTAAGAGAACCAGGTGTTAGTGCTCTTTGTATTATCTTTGCAACTCTACTTTAAATCCAGAATCTACAATGAACTCAAACAAATTCACAGGAAAAAAACAAACAACCCCATCAAAAAGTGGGCAAAGGATATGAACAGACACTTCTCAAAAGAAGACGTTTATGGAGCCAAAAGACACATGAAAAAATGCTCATCATCACTGGCCATCAGAGAAATGCAAATCAAAACCACAATGAGATACCATCTCACACCAGTTAGAATGGCAATCATTAAAAAGTCAGGAAACAACAGGTGCTGGAGAGGATGTGGAGAAATAGGAACACTTTTACACTGTTGGTGGGACTGTAAACTGGTTCAACCATTGTGGAAGTCAGTGTGGAGATTCCTCAGGGATCTAGAACTAGAAATACCATTTGACCCAGCCATCCCATTTCTGGGTATATACCCAAAGGACTATAAATCATGCTGCTATAAAGACACATGCACACGTATGCTTATTGCGGCACTATTCACAATAGCAAAGACTTGGAACCAACCCAAATGTCCAACAATGATGGACTGGATTAAGAAAATGTGGCACATATACACCATGGAATACTATGCAGCCATAAAAAATGATGAGTTCATGTCCTTTGTAGGGACATGGATGAAACTGGAAATCATCATTCTCAGTAAACTATCGCAAGGACAAAAAACCAAACACCACATGTTCTCGCTCATAGGTGGGAATTGAACAATGAGAACACATGGACACAGGAAGGGGAACATCACACTCTGGGGACTGTTGTGGGGTGGGGGGAGGGGGGAGGGATAGCATTAGGAGATATACCTAATGCTAAATGACGAGTCAATGGGTGCAGCACACCAACATGGCACATGTATACATATGTAACTAACCTGCACATTGTGCACATGCACCCTAAAACTTACAGTATAATAATAATAAAAAAAGAAAAAAAATCCAGAACTATTCTAAAATGTAAAGCTTATTTCATAAAAAAATTAAATTCCCTAATGTTTCAAACATGGACATTTTTAAATTTTTTGTCTCTATATATACTCTCTCTCTCTTTATATATATATATACACACACACATATAGTGCATATAAACACATACATATATAGTACACATATATATATATCCTAATTAACAGTAAGAGAACCAGATGTTAGTACTCTTTGTATTATCTTTGCAACTCTACTTTAAATCCAAAACTATTCTAAAATGTAAAGCTTATTTTATAAAAAAATTAAATTCCCTAATATTTCAAACGTGGACTTTTTTTTAATCTCTTGAGAGTAAGATTATTTTTCTTACTTCTGTGTCACACAATTTTTGGTTCAATGCCAAACATCTTGTGTAGACTAGTAGAGGCTAAAATAAATGACATTTGTGGCCAGAGATCAGCAAGCCGTTTCTCTGTCAGGGTGTATGTATGGTGGCTGATACTTCTTCCCCTCCTGCTCTGCCATAGGTGATGAGCTCTACTCATCTCTTCCTCTCTTGAAGGAGGTTGGTCCTCCATGGATTTCAGACTGCTCAGTGCCCTGTGTCCTCAGGTACCTGATGAGTTCCAGAAAAGTTACACTTTTTGTCATTTATTCATCTCTCTCTTATTTAGAGATGAGAGCAAATTCTTTTTAGCTTTCTACATTCTAAGAGCAAGCAGAATGCCAGAGATGTTTTTCTCCTTAATTTGGTATACACAACCATCATGTAGGAGGAAGGAAAATAATTACAATAACATATTTTAAAACAAGATATTTTAAATGTTTGAAAGCTCACAGAATCTTAATGTTGGAAGAAATATTAGAAGACATCTATTTTAGTGTTAAAATATTCAAATCATATCCTCTTTTGTTAAAATTAAATTTTACTCTTCATCTTCCCTTCAGGAGAAGACCGCTTCTAGTTAAAAATATCTTCTGCATATCTGCACTAATCAAAAAAATATTTGTTTTACGTTACCTTCAGCTGAAATCATGAAAAGCATAGAAATAATTGTTTCATTTTACAAATAAAAAATTATAATATTGAGAATGTTTTCAAACTATACACTCCTTTCCTGATTCTGGTTAAAAACACCATATGGAATCTTCTTCCTCCTCAGTTTGAAAATATTTCACCTATTCCAAACACCCACCAACCAGGTTTTTTTGGTCTATATATGTACCTATAGAGAGAAGTTTATTATACATCAAATTCTTTATATAGACATTGCATATAAATATAGTAATCACAAGGATGAGGACATATAAAATAGGCAGAATGGGGGAGGTTAGATTTAACCTTTTTTGCAAGGGGAAGGTTAAAAGATGGATGGTATAAAACAGAGCTAGGCCCCCTCTAAGAACTCAGTGCATCTGAGCCAAATGTTGCAAACACCAAACAACCCAAGTACTGAGGTGATGGCACAGATTCAAATCAAACATCTGTATGCTCTTGCCAGAGGCAAAAAGCTACATGAAGGAGAAATAAGGAGCATCTACAACAAGATGCGTGACGAACACAGCCCACCTTGTTTTTCTGTAATTCTCAAAGGTCAGAGAAAAAAGCCTGCAATGATTACCATTGACTAGTAACATCTAAACTTCTAATAGTGTTTTCTAAACTTTCCTTATCATAAGAGTCATCTGACTTTTTATTAAAAATACAGATTCTTGGAATCCATTCCAGATTAACAAATCAGACTCTGGGAGAATTGCCTCAGAATGTGCATTCTTAAGCAAAGCCCAAGGTATTCCTTTAATCAAAATCTTTTGAGAAAAATTCTTAGAACACAGTCTCTTCACAATTTCTTGTCCTGAACAGCATTTTCTTATTAGTAGCTAATCATTTCTGATGATCAAGGCATGATAATACTGGTGCTTAACACTAAAATATTAAATACTAGGAACTGCTTGTGTGCTTGTTAAACTGTAATTTCCTTTCTGGAGGTGTGAGCAGAAGAAACTCAATATTGAATTCACCTTATGGTAAGTAAATTTTAGTGAAAAGCTGATAGCAAACTAAACAATTTTTCTATTTATTTTTTCTAGAACAATTTTCTAAAGAAAATTATTCAAGGACAAGAGATAAGCCTTAAAAACAAATTATTCTAGTGCATGTTAAATTATGTAAGCAGGAACAAATCAAAATTTATTCATGAACACATGACTGACAAATAGTGAAATCATTGTTCCAAACCTCTTGAGAGTATGTCTCAAACTGAATCTAGTTTGAGAGCCTCTTTGTGACATTTACAGGGCTATACTTCAATGGAAATATATTTGTTTTAGATGAAAGGGAGAGGGTCTAATGAGGAGAACTTTGCCTTTTGTAGGAAAGACAAAAAGGTACTGTTGTGGTTTTAATTTAGGAAAAAGGGATGAAAATACTACATAGAGCTCTTCGAACTTTCCTACAAACTACCTCTTAAGCTTTCATTCTTGACTATTTGGCAGTGTTAATCAATGTTTTGTTCAAGATTATCTGATTACATGAAGTGTTTAAAATGTGAAATGCTAGGCCTCCATGTGCTTACCGAGATTAGTATTTCAAAAAAATATTTCCTGGGTTTCAAAAAAAAAATTCCAGAAGGCTAAACTTTTAGAAAGGATACAGAGTGATTTAGATAAAGTTGGAAAATAAGTGCCAAAAGGACAGGCCACCAAACTTTTTCTGGAAAAGGCCAAATAGTAAGTATTTCAGCCTTTTGGGGTCATACAGCCTCACTCACAACTACTGAAATCTACTGCTATAACACAAAGCAGCCATAGACAATACATAAGCTAACAAAACTGATTCTATTCTAGTAAAACTTTATTTATTAAAACAAGCAACCAGCTAGATCTGGTGCCATAGTTTTCCAGCCCCTTTCCTAAAGGATGAATCTTTGCTCTTTCTCAAACCAAAATCTGATGAAAGGAAAAGCGAGAAGAGAGATGGGTTAGGGTTGTTGAAGGAATGGGGGAAATGGAACCATTATAATCCCCTCCTCTTTCTTTCTTAATCACTTAAAATGTGTTCTAACTCTGGTATAGCTATCCCATGGAAGAGGTCTTCCTTATGGATATAATCAGCTGTCATTTAAGCCTCTTTATAATGAAAAAAGAGTCACTCAGCATTCTCTACCAATCTGTTTCCTGTCTTCCCAAGCAGCAGATAATACGAGAAGGAGACAAAGAAATCAAATATCAACTACCCTCCCCCACAACAAAAGTCTATACAGGTAAATAATGATCAAAAGAATAATACAATTACAGTTAGTTTTATGTTTATTTTCTTGTATGAAATAAAAAACAATTTCAAATTTCTGTTTTTAGGAAGACAGGGTAAAAATTACTACTTCTTTTCTCTCTATTAAGATATGCCAAAACATCAGAGAGAATAAGAAGCTGAAATTGAACCTTCATATTTGATAAAAATTGGGATTAAATTAAAAATTTTAAAACTTTAAAATTAATCTATCTAGCTATCTAGCTATCCATCTATCTATATTTAAGGAAAGGTTAAAAATCACAATAAAAATCCAACCAAGGTAAGTTTAGATATTGAGACACCACATGTATCTCAGCAAAAGCTCACAGAATTGAGTGCAGTATCCTATGAAATAAATACTTAGGATGACAAAGGCAACAAAATTGGAGTATATGGACTACTTATAGAAGCCTCCCTGGTAAATATCTCTATATATCTCATCTTTTTTCATTTAATAAAAAGACTAAACAAGCTCATCTATGCAGAGAGTCACGAAATCTATAACATGAAATCCAGTTTATGAGCTAGATAAAACATATGCCAGCTCAGAGCACTAAACTTGCTCCTCTCACACACAAATCTCCTATAAATAGTTCATCCAGGTAGAACTCACAGTATTCAGTATGAAAAACAAATCAATAGAAACCAATATCTAACATATGCAAAACACACAAAAACAAAGGAAAAAACAAGAATGCAGATGAGGATTACACTATTGCAAATGTCTCAATGCAGATTAAAGTTATGATAAAACATATTTCAAAAAACTCAAAGAAACCCATGAAAATATCCTTTCTATAAAACAAAAACTCAATAAGAGATATGAAACAATTGAGAAAGAAATAAGAAAAAATAAACTTGTGAAGTGAACAAGGACAATAAAATCATTACACCTAAAAGGAAAAATAAAAGAAACTGCTGAATACAAACTAAGGAATATGGCAAACAGAGTTGAGATAAGAAAGCAAAATGAAATTCAAAAGAGCGAAGAGTTTAAGTTACGATGGCCATTACTTTTGGAAAAGTAGGAGGATTTGGAATGTTGAGTAATGTTTTATTTTTTGAAGAATACAAAAGATAGTAGTTAAACAGATATGTCCACTCTCATTACTCATTGAATATGCATTTATAATTTGTTTACTTTTATATATGTTATTTCTTCTCTTTTTTAACTCAATTTTTCTTGAAGTATAGCTATACTTCAAGAAAAATTGAGTTAAAAAAGAGAAGAAATAACATCATAAATATGGAAGGAGATCCGATATATGCATTATTGGTACTTCCTGAAGAAGAGAAAAATTGCCACTGGAAAAAATTTAAAAATATGATTTAAGAAAATTGTTCTGAAACTAGAGAGATCTGAAACTACAGAATGAAAAACTCCAATTTTGAGGAAAATGAACACAAAATTTTCAACAATGAGGCATATTCCAGTGAAATTAATAAATTTTGGCCTGGCACGGTGGCTCACACCTGTAATCCCAACAGTTTGGGTGTCCAAGGCAGGTGGATCACATGAGGCCAGGAGTTCAAGACCTGCCTGGGCAACATGGCAAAATCCGCTTTCTACTAAAAATACAAAAATTAGCCAGGCGTGGTGGTGCACACCTATAATCCCAGTATTCAGGTGTCTGAGGCAGGAGAATCACTTGATCCCGGGAGGTGGAGGTCGCAGTGAGCCAGGATCACACCACTGCATACCAGCCTGTGTGACAGAGATCTTGCCTCAAAAAATATATATATATAATAATAATAATACATTTCATGTAAAAATAAAATAATAAGCAGAGAGCATTGAATCCCCAAAATATTAGTTGAAAAATAAAACAACCCTGAGAAAAGTGGTTAACCAATTACATTTATGTTTTAAACTACACTGATATAGAAACAATAATATAACTAACACATTTCTGTAGTTAATGGTGAAGTAAGGTTTTAGGTATTACATGAGTTAGTTACAATGGTAAACATTAACTATGTACATGTAATAAGCTTTTCAAATTGTCACAATATAAATGCATTTTAAAAAGTCAAGCAAACATAGGTCATATATCAAAAGATAAAAAACAAAAGACCTATTAAAATATAAAGTTTGACCAAAATATATCAGAAATAAAGTCAAATGTATGTTAAATCAATAAATTTAAATAATCATCTACTAAAAGAAAAAGTTTATCAGATTTGACTATAAAGCAAAACATAATTATATGCTAAAATCAAGAGAAACACTTAAAATTAAGTGACTCATAAAGTTAAAGTGAAAAGAAGGGTAAAGTATGTTTGTAGTAAAATTCTGTAATTTGCTTTTCCAATTTAACAATAAATTAAATAGATGAAAAACTTAGTAAAAATTAATAACATAAAACAGATCTGATGGCTTTATGTCTAAGTCTACACCAAGAAAACAGAAACAAAACCTTCTTTTCAAGTTTCCATGGATCATTCACAAAAAGTGATCACATATTAAGCAGCTAAAAAAGCTTCCGCAAATTTCAAAAAGACATAGCACAAACGGGATTCTCTTTTCTAGTATGGTAATGCTAGAAATTAATATTAAAAGCATAAAGAGCCCTATGAGATTGTGAAATTTTACTAATCTTTTCAATAATTTTTGTACAAAAGGAAAAGCAAACTGAAATTCTACAATAGAGAAAATAGTAACAATAAAGTACTAAACATCAAAAATTAGGATATGCCTAAAGTGCACAAACATAACCATAAATATAAACACTTAAATTAATAAGAAAAAATCAGTATATAATTAAGTATCCAACTCATTAACTTGAAGAGATTAACTACTAAGGAAATTATAAGGGAAAGATAAAAATAGAGTGAAAATAATGAATTTAATAAAATGTTTTCAATTGACAAAAATAAAGAGCTATTTACTTCAAAAATAGAATACAAACATCATGAAGTAACTGAATCAAAATAAAAGGGAGAAAGTACGCATAAGTTTTATATAACTATGAGTAATCTTTAAAATGCTACTGAAGAACACAAAAGAAGACTTAAATGAAGGCAAGAGCATTTTAAAATCTTGGACAAAATGACTCATAGATATGTGAATTCTCAAATCAATAAATGTAATGATTTTTCTTTAAGAATGTGCTCAACTTTTTAAAATAAGATAAGCATTTTCTAAAATTTGTATGGAAAAGTAATATGAAAAATAGGTTCTAATAAATTCTGAAAGTGGGGGGAGTAATAAGAGGAGATAGTCCTCCAGATAAAAAAAACCTACTATAAAACAATAGTAATAAAAAAAGTGGTACTGATGAATCAATATACCATAAGAAACAACCCCCAAGATCATTTAAATGAAAAAAAAAAATAGAGTTCAATGAGTGCTGTAATATATATTCTCCTGCGTCTAAAACACTTAAGGCTATGCGACTCTATCTTTGACTATGCAGAAACTACCTCTGGAAGATAGCACAGATTGTTTCTGGGAAGATAATGGAAGATTAAGGCATTGGAGCGAGGGTGAGGTGATTTACTTTTCACTATATATCTTACTGTTTCTTTTACATTTTGTGTTATCGTTACACATTAATTATTTTAAATTTTAAAGTAAATGAAATAAATTACAAAAAAAGTAAAGTTACAATTACACATGTTCGTTCTAGAAAATTAAAAACTTTAGGAAAGCTTAAAAATTAAAACCAAAATTAATTGCAATATTGTTAACTGTGGAACATATCCAAGATGCAGCACCAAAGTATGTTATCAGCGAATCCATACAGGTCTGCAGCGAACTCAATTCTTGCCTTCTCAGAAGAAGGAATTCGACAAAGGAGCATAAGACAGAAGGAGAGATGGAGGCAAATTTTAGAGCAGGGGTGCAAGTTTATTAAAAAGCTTTAAAGCAAGAAGGAAAAGAAGTAAAATACATGTGGAAGATGGCCTAGCAGGCAACTTGAGAGATCAAGTGCACAGTTTGACCTTTTGACTTGGGGTGTTATACACTGGCATTCTTCCAGGGTCTTGCATTCTTCTTCCCTGACTTTTCCCTTAGGGTAGGAGGACTCATGCTCCCTGGTCAGCTAGCACCTAGGAGGAAAGCATGCACAGTGTGTTTACTGGAGTTGTAGGCATGCTCACTTTAGTAGTTCCATCTTGCTCCTCAATGCACATGCTTGAGCCCAGCGGCCCAACTCCTGAGATCTTATCGGGAAGCTACTGATCACAAGTTTCAGGTGTCTTCATTTATTGGGAGACCGCCTTTCCCTGGTGCCAGCTGTGACCCATTATTATTATTATTATTTTATATATATATTTTTATTATACTTTATGTTCTAGGGTAAACGTGCACAATGTGCAGGTTTGTTACATATGTATACATGTGCCATGTTGGTGTGCTGCACCCATTAACTCATCATTTACATTAGGTATATCTCCTAATGCTACCCCTCCCCCCTCCCCCCACCCCACAACAGGCCCTGGTGTGTGATGTCCCCCTTCCTGTGTCCAAGTGTTCTCATTGTTCAATTCCCACCTATGAGTGAGAACATGCAATGTTTGGTTTTTTGACCTTGTGATAGTTTGCTGAGAATGATGGTTTCCAGCTTCATCCATATCCCTACAAAGGACATGAACTCATCATTTTTTATGGCTGCATAGTATTTCCATGGTTTATATGTGCCACATTTTCTTAATCCAGTCTATTATTGTTGGACATTTGGGTTGGTTCCAAGTCTTTGCTATTGCGAATAGTGCCACAATAAACATATGTGTGCGTGTATCTTTATAGCAGCATGATTTCTAATCCTTTGGGTATATACCCAGTAATGGGATGGCTGGGTCAAATGGTATTTCTAGCTCTAGATCCTTGAGGAATCGCCACACTGTCTTCCACAATGGTTGAACCAGCTTACAGTCCCACCAACAGTGTAAAAGTGTTCCTATTTCTCCACATCCTCTCCAGCACCTGTTGTTTCCTGACTTTTCAATGATCGCCATTCTAACTGGTGTGAGATGGCATCTCATTGTGGTTTTGATTTGCGTTTCTCAGATGGCCTGTGATGATGAGCATTTTTTCATGTGTCTTTTGGCTGCATAAATGTCTCCTTTTGAGAAATGTCTGTTCATATCCTTTGCCCACTTGTTGATGGGGTTGTTTGTTTTTTTACTGTAAATTTGTTTGAGTTCTTTGTAGATTCTGGATATTAGTCCTTTGTCAGATGAGTAGATTGCAGAAATGTCCTCCCATTCTGTAGGTTGCCTGTTCACTCTGATGGTAGTTTATTTTGCTGTGCAGAAGCTCTTTAGTTTAATTAGATCCCATTTGTCAATTTTGGCTTTTGTTGCCATTGCTTTTGGTGTTTTAGACATGAAGTCCTTGCCCATGCCTATGTCCTGAACGGTATTGCCTAGGTTTTCTTCTAGGGTTTTTATGTTTTTAGGTCTAACATGTAAGTCTTTAATCCATCTTGAATTAATTTTTGTATAGGGTGTAAGGAAGGGATCCAGTTTCAGCTTTCTACATATGGCTAGCCAGTTTTCCCAGCACCATTTGTTAAATAGGGAATCCTTTCCCCATTTCTTGTTTTTGTCTGGTTTGACCCATTATTATTTTACAGAGACAGTTAACAACCATCTGACCATCACCTGATGGTTGCCTGACATTCCTGGTTTTGTTGGGGGGGAGCTGGGGTGGAGCCCTCTCCTGCCTTGCTCATGTCTGACTTGCTACCCACTGTAGCAATTTCATCATGAGAAGTTAACTACTCTAAAGATTATCATTTGTTCCTCTTTACTCTTTTGTTTATGTGTATTTAATACAGGCAATATTTCCTTTGCATAAGTGTGCCAAAGAGGCAGAAGGAGATAAGCATTGAGAAACTGGCTCTATATGATAAACAGCTAGCAATGAGGAAGAATGAGAGGGAGAAAAGCCTCTCTGGCCAAGACTTGAGGAGAAATTTGAAGGTTTGGAATATGTGAGACTGGAGTAGCTCCAGAGTACAAGAGAACTGAAAGAAATAAAAATTTATGGGCTGGGCGTGGTGCTTCATGCCGGCAATTTCAGCACTTTGGGAGGCTGATGTGGGTGGATTGCTTGAGCTCAGAAGTTCAAGACCAGCCTGGGCAACATGATGAGACCCTGTCTCTACGAAAAATACAAAAATTAACCAGGCATGGTGCTGCACGCGTGTAGTCCCAGATACTAAGGATGCTGAGGTTGGAGGATCGCTTGAGCCCAGGAAGTCAAGGCTGCAGTGAGTTGAGATAACACCACTGCACTTCAGACTGGGTTATAGAGTGAAACCTTTCTCAAAAAAAATAAAAAAGAATTTATGAGAAGGAATGCCGTTGGCTATCTGTTGGGACCACTGTATATACCCTTTAAGGAATATAGGGAATTATTAGTGTTGCCTTTTTAATAAGTTGAGGTTCTAGGCCATTCTTCCTTTAAAATGACTCCTTATGCAGGCTGAGCCATGTGGAGCCCTGCCATTAATCACTTATTTAATGTAAAGTGTGTGGTGTACATGTAGGACTCTCTTCCTTAATAAACATTTATATAACTTTTTTATTTTTAATAATGTCTTAAAAGTATATATGCCTTTGCTCTTCCCACAATTAAAAAATAATTTTATAAAATCACAAAGAAATGAAACCCTTAATGGATCTAATATTGCCCACCAGGGAAAATGTCATATCTCAGAGAAAAATGTGGAGTTAGCCCTGATGGTTAGCAAGACTTCTTGCAGCAAGACCCAAGCAGTACTAATGCTTATACATAGGAAAAGGGTCACTCTTTGTGAGGTGCTAACAATGTGCCATTCTAAAAGCTCTTCACCTACCCCAGCCAGCAAACCACAATCCTCCCACTCAACCATTTGGGCATGTGAGACATTTACACATCTACACATATCTGGTGACACTTTAGAATTAGAATTGGAGTGCGGTCACAAACCTATGACTCAGGAGCCATAGTCATTCATCTCTTCCAAACTTCCTTCTTTGTTGCCTTCTTTCATGTTGTCATGATAACTTTCTGTTCCATCCAGCCTCAACCCACCACTCAATCTCTAGTAAGTGCAAGTTGCCAAAACTAAAATATTTTGGCTCTTGATTGCTTTAGAAAGTATGTGAGTGTTAGATAGAGCTAGTAAGAAAAAGTCAGAGCATTTTATTTTTTGCTGCCTTTTACAGCTAGAAAAAAAATGTACTGTAGAATGCAATTAGCTAGGGGGATAAAAAAAAATCGTATTTCTATCCAGAACATTTTTGTGTTGCTTACCTTTAAAAACTTTAATTATTCTAATTATATTTTTTAATAAGAAAAATCAGAAAATCTAGTTATATTGTGTTTATTTTAGTTTATTTAGAAAATGGCTATGACTTTTGAAATTCTGGTGACAAAATGTAATGTTCCCCATTAAAATCTCCACTCAAAGCCTTTTGGTCTAATGCCATTTCATCTTACGACTTTAATATTATTAAGTAGGAAATTGATAAATGTACTTTTACCTTTTTTCAAAAAAAATTTTATAACAAATACAAAGTTTTAGAGTTTTGTATGCTTTTTTTTACATAATGTTGTAAGTGCTTTCTAACACCATTAAAATGCTAAAAACTATGATTTTTGATAACCACTATCGCACAAAATAAGGTTCTTCTTGTATCCTCCCCTGCCCCCAACATTAACCAATTTTCAGGACAAATTCCACAAAGTCACAGAGTATAGGGAAGAAATAGGCTTTTTTTGAAGAGAAGGGAAACTTATATAGGCTATGGATCAGTAAGAGGAGAGAAAGAACAGGGCACCCAACCCTCCCATCATTTCTCAAAGACTCCTGCTGGGGCTAGTGTACCAGGAGAAGTGTGCATTCCAATGGAGCACACCCTCATGGAAGTTCCTATTTTCTAGAAAAAGGATGAGAAAGCAGCCTCTGGGTATGAACATGCCAGCTGCATGCCAGCCATTCACAGGCATTGTCTGAGAACGACGCAGTCAGTCACCTTGAGACCTGGAGACCATGGGAAACTGCAGTTCTGACTGCCAGGGGAAGAAGCCACCATCCAGTCCTGTGGGAATGTGAGCTTGGCTGCAGCCTCTCCTTCTGGGAGGAGAATGGGAATCCCAGGTACCAGCTGGTTAGCTGTCTAGACAACCCAGAATGACTCTCTAGGACTATTTTCAGCCATCTTATTCATTACATTACAAATGCATAATAATTAATCACATGTAACTATTATAGTTTTATTTAACCTTTCTTCTGATTGTTGCTATTTAGGTTATTTTTCTATTTTTCACTTTTATTAATAACGTTAAATAACATTGGCTTTCATTAATAATGTTAAAATGAACAACTTTTGCATAAATCTTTATGTGCATTTCCAATTGTCCTTTAGGCTAAATTCATAGAAGTAACATTGCAAGGTCAAATGGCAACAATTTCATTACGATTATTTATATCTCCTGCCAATTTGCCTTCTAGAAAGATTATGCTAATTTACAATTTCATAAGCAGTATACTTATGAAAGTATATACTTTCATAAGCAGTATATGAAAGTGTCTTTTTCACCAATTCTTCCCCAATGGGGTATTATCTTTTTAAATGTATTCTCTATTTTGATAGATGAAGTATAGTATCCTGCTAATATTTAATTAGCATTTCTTTCATTACTAGTGTGAAATGAATGTGGTTTTTAAAAATTGTTTGCTTACTAATTATGCAAGTTCAAATTTCCTGTACTTGATCTTAGTTTATTATTTGGGTATTAATGTCCTATTATTGATTGTGAAGAATTCTTTGTATATTAAGATATTAAACATTTTTCTGTTATATCTGTAGCAAATATTTTCCCAGTTAATTTACATTTTAATTAAAGATATAATTTCTGTTATTCCTTTGAGAACTACACATTTACTCACTGACTTCTGATCAATTATTCCTCATTTCAGACATGTTTTATATTATGAGGAATTTGAAGAAGGGGATGTGTATTTTTATTTGAAAGTGTTTTTTGTGTGTGTGCATATAACTAATAGTAAAATCAAATGCAGCCTTTGAAGAAAAAGAAAATTAGAGCAAGACATTTTAATTCATTTACTAACATTTCTAGAAAAATATTTGCCAATGTCAAAAATAGTCTTTCTAATTAAATTTCATCTGGTTTCCAAATATGTACTATGATTTTCTAGTTTGAAAGGTATATAGTATGAAGCTTATTTTTATTTCTTGAACACGGACTGCATATGTAGTAACAGTAGATAGAGGAAGTATTAAGGAAAGGCATACATTGTGGATTATCAACTAAATAGTACAAAAATTTCTTTAAAGGCAAAAATAAGCATGTTACTTACAGTAATGGGGTTAATATCAAGAGAATCTATTAAAATTTGAAAGTATCATTTCTCTTAATAAATTTTGCAGAGCTCTTGTTCTTTTAAAGCCTTGTGCATATATAACGTGGATAAAAACTAAAACTAAGCTACATTTTGAGATATAAAAGCCAAAGAAAAAAGATTAAGAAGAAAATACATCAAAATGTTGATGATATTATTCGTTGTCTTAATGGTAGGTTGCAACTGATTTTTGCTTATCTTGCCATTTCTCTATTTTCCAAATTTTCAACAATAAATACATATTACTTACATAATCAGGAGGTGGGGGGAGAACTTGGATAAACAGAGAAAAATATATGAAAAGAAAGCTCTCTTGACCAGTTTTAATTCCCAGGCTCTCTAATGCCCCACATCCTTTCTCATTAATTTTTAGTCATTTGAAATGTTTTCATGTCTCTCCTGACAACACAATCAGCTACTCTACAATAGTCCAATTTATTCTAGGTTCTAGGTTATTCCTGAACACAAGGTTTCTCAAAAAGTAAACTGGCCTATATATTTCAGCTTTCTTTGATTTCTAAAAATAATCTCTGTGTTTCTCCATAACTTTTTGCCTCTAGCTTATCCTAACCTAAAGCTACCTGGCTTTGCCTACCTTTTCTATCCTCCTCTTCCCCTACCAGGAGATACAAACCTCAGTTCCCCAATGTTCATGATTTGAAAAGCAGGTTAAATCGTGATTCAACATATCTGTGTGGAATTACAATCTACTTTCCCAGGCTGTTTTCCTCACAGGCTAGCTGATGTCGGCCAGAGGAGTGACAGAACTTTCACTGTCTCTAGTTAAGGGGAATGTGACATTGAATGTCATTGTTCACCCTGGAATAGTATAGCCCAGGCCCTCCACACTGTTGCCCAGGTTACAAGTTGATCTGCATGAAACATATAATGTCCACGAAACTAAGGATCCTGCAGAGCCAATCATTTAAGGGGACAAATCATATAAGAAAAGAAAGCTGTTCGTAGAGTGTTCGTGCTTTCATTCTTAGAAGAAAGGCTAATTTCAAAACTACAACCTCGTGGAGACAGGGAAGGTGACAGGAAAGGGCAGATAATGGTTTGCTTTTTACTAAAACATAAATATTTTATATATGAAAACTGAAACCAGCTTCTGCTCTGGTGTTTGGGTTTTATTCTCTAGCTAACATTTGCTTTTTCAAATTTTAGCAGTAATATTATAATACAACAGCTTTTCCTAATATTGCTACTGTGCCTCACTCAGCCATCATGGATTACCTCTTTAAATGTTGCTTCAGTTACATATATAGTCATTATTAATATTTCAGGCATATGTTTTACAAATTATTTCCCATATTTAAATTCTTAGTGGAACAAAATAGTCCCTGGTCCTCTTTTCCTACCTATATGGGGGAAGGGTGGGGATCAGAGAGAGAAAATTATTATAAGCTAAGGTCAGGGTCACAAGTAAAGTGTTCATTCCCATCTGAAAAATATATTTCAGTCAATTGTTTGGTTAAACAATTCTAAGAGCATAAAAAGGTCCTTGTATTTACATGGAACACAGCTTGTATTTACATACAGTTTAAGGTCTTGATGTGTAAACATGAGAAGATGATGCAGTCTCTCCCTCAGGAAATAACACCTACTTCCTTTGTGCTGAGGAACTGGGAAGCTCTCTAGTGTGAAACGAAAAGAATCATTCAAGGGAAGTGTATTAGGTTGTTCTTGTGTTGCTATAAATAAATGCCTGAGTCTAGGTGATTTATAAAGAAAAGAGATTTAATTGGCCCACGGTTCTGCAGACCGGACAAGTATGGTGCTGGCAATGGCTTCTGATGAGGGCCTCAGGAAGCTTACAATCACAGTGGAAGGCAAAAAGGAGCAGGCAGTTCGCAAGGCAAGAGCAGTAGCAAGATGAGGGGAGATGCCACACATTATTAAACAACCAGATCTCACGAGAACACACTAACTATCATGAGGAAGGAAGGAAGGAAGGAAGGAAGGAAGGAAGGAAGGAAGGAAGGAAGGAAGGAAGGAAGGAATATATAGTCGTGGGGTATGGGGCAGGGGAGTAGAATGGCAGGCAGACAGGCTGCTGATTTAAAGTGGATTAACCAACTCTGAAACACAAAGAAATCTGGAGAAACAGTGACTTATATTAAGAAAAACAATTTTAACTTACTATTTGCAGGAGCAGTGGGGAGCAAATATTAGATGTGTGGTCATATCAAAAAAGAATATTAAATTCTATCTTATAAAGCTGGAGCAATCACAACATGTAGTTGAGACTTTTTTTAAAAGGCACAAAAGACAATAAAAGACTGAAAAGAAAATTAAATTGATATTATATCTTCTGAGTCTGTGGACATGGCCAACTGTGCACGGTGCAGCAGGAGCTGGAGGGGATGGGCACTGTGTCAGCATGAAAGAGGTTGGTTACAGCACACTTGGATTTAGAGAGCTTTTGGAAGATGACAACCTGGTTTGGTTATTTTTTTATTTGTCAGAGTGTATTAAATGTTGTTAATTTCATAAAATAAAGAAAAAAGTCAGACAAAGAAAACTGAATATGATAGAGCTTAAGATACTAAAAGAATATCTACAAAGACTGGGAGTGGGATGGGGAAGTTAATTACCAACATTCATTCTGATTCTTCTACCTATATTTTATCAGAGCCTTTGGATCTCCTTTTAAACACAACTTTTCTTTTCCTTGTAACGTCACTCCAAATTTTCCTTATTTCCCTTCCAACTTCTAATATTTTTTCCTCCACTTCTTTTCATCCTCGTTTTCCTTTAATTCCAATTTTTCTTTCCTTAATGCAAGAGATATGCAAAGTATAGAACAAAATGAAAGGGTCATTTAAAAATTAGATGGAGAAAAATTTGCAGCAACATGGCAGAACATTTAGGGTACCAGTTCAAGTCTGTTCCTCCTCTCCTTTGCAAAAACAGGACCAAAAAGAAGGATAAAGAGGAGAGAAGAAGGTGGAGAAGGAAAGAAAGAAATCAAGAGGAGGAATAGAGAGGAGGAAGAGAAGGAAGGAGAAGGAGAACAAGAAAGAAGAAAGAAGGGAATTTCCACAAATAATATCCAGTGACCTGAGCTTGAAACACTCAGGAGTAACTCAGCCAAATTGCTCTCCCTGGGAGTCAAGGGAGAAGCATAAGGGTGGCAATGAGGAAGGTAAGGTATAGTATTACTGTTGAATATAAAACAAAGGGGACAATGTGTAAGTTGGATTGTTAAAATATATAGTCAATGCTTTTAGTGATGAAAGCAAAAGTATGATAATCTATTATAAAAGTTTCTTTTTTTGCCCATTGCTATCAAATGGCATACTAATTAGAAAGCAAAATCATGGTGAAGTGCATTGTTTACAAAACATGTAACAATTTAAATTATAGTACATATAAATTCTTAAATACTGCCCATACAACTTTTAATAATTCAGTTTAGTATGTAGTTGCTAGTTCAGATAAATGGTTTCAGCATAGTTATTTATTAAATAATGAAAGATCATTTATTAAGAAGGCTGGAAGTGGCTAGAAAAATATTCAGGTTGGTTTCTTTTTATATGTTCTTATAATAAATGTGAAAATCCTGTAAGTTTAAGCAAAGATCAGATTTGCAACCTATTTGAACACCAAAAACTAAGGGCTGTAATATTGCCAAACGTTTAGTTTTACTCCATATAATACCATACTATAAGGCTTCACATTTTTAAAAAGTTGATGATTATACCCCCACTGATTTTATGATCATTATGAATCCAATTTTCCTGTGGAATTTCTAAAGAATAAATTTTTAGAGAAGTGGAAATATAATCATTAAATAAAACATATTTTAGAATACATAGTGAAGCTATCAGTAAATTCAATTTATATTAGTAGGACAACTATGCTAGGGCAAACTACTTAAATGGTTTGTAAAGAATAAATGTCTTTTTAAAATGTTTTCTCTAATTCAATCAAAATTGCTAACATCCATTCTTTGTTCAAGACTGTGTATTAGGCAATAAGGTAGATTAAATGTAATAGGTGAGAAACACATACAAATAATTACAAAACCACACTTGCTTTTATGAATGCTTTAATAGTTCAATAGTGCAAAGAGAGAATGGGTGTGGGTGATATGAAAATAATATTGGCAAAATCTGGAAAATCCCCATGGAGAAGCAAGAATCATGCAGTGCTTTCCACAGACATTACAGGAAAAGGAAGTTTCAAGAAGATGGAAAGTAAGGACAAAGTCCCCTAAGTAGAAAAGCTTTTACTCCCAAAGTTTCTTCACTGTATCGATTTGAAATTTGTTCCCCTGTGATCTCAAGCCACTGATATTTCTCCTCTCTCTGGGATCACGCGCACTAAAACTATTCATTGCTTTAAAAGAAAAAGCCATTGTGACATCTTGAGTGATTTACTAAACGTTTCTGTTCCTCACTTTTCAATAGAATCAGGATAATAATAGTATTTGCCTCATAGGTTTGTTTTGAGGTTTGGACTGTTTTATTCATGTTGCATACTCAATACAGTTCTCGGCACATGTACTGAGTTCATTTACATTAGGTGCTCTGAACAGTGCCTAGTTCAGTAATGTTAGCTGTCATTATTATTATCATCATGTCTGTCATCAAAAACAATAAAAAGCCTGTTAAATAAGAAAGCTTTTAATAATTGGTGATTGTATCACTGGGTCTTCTGTAAATACACATCCTCTATCCTTTCTTAACTTATAATTTTAAAAAAACATATTTTTTCCTTTTATTTTTATTTGATACATAAGTATACATATTTATGGGATACAGAATGATATTTCAATACATGTATGTAATGTGTAATGATCAAATCAGGGTAATCAGCATATCTATCATCTCAAACATTTTTCATTTTTTAATGTTAGGAGCATTCAAAATCCTCTCTTCTGGCTTTTTGAAAATATACTTTAAATTATTGTTAATCATATTCACCACACAGTGCTACAGAACTCTAGAACTATTCCTCCCATCTAGCTGTAACTTTATATCTTTTAACCAACCCTTCCTATCTTTCCCTCTCTCTACCTTTCCCAGCCTCTAATAACCACAATCCTACTATTTGCTTCTATGAACTGAATTTTTTAGCTCCCACATATAATGAGCTGAATTAAGCTCCCACATACAAGCGAGAACATGTGGTATTTATCTTTCTGTGCCTGACTTATTTCACTTAATATTGTGTTCTCTAGGCTCATCCATGTTGCTGCAAATGACAGTATTTTATTCTTTTATGGCTGAATACTATTCCATTTTTTTGTGTGTGTGTGTGTGTGTGTGTGTGTGTGGCTCATATTAAATAAAACTTTTTAAAATTATACTTTAAGTTCTAGGGTACATGTGCACAACGTGCAGGTTTGATACATAGGTATACATGTGTCATGTTGGTTTGCTGCACCCATCAACTCATCATTTACATTAGGCATTTCTTCTAATGCTATCCTTCCCCCAGCCCCCCACCCCCTGACAGGCCCCAGTATGTGATGTTCCTCGCCCTATGTCCAAGTGGTCTCATATGCAGCCATGAAAAAGGATGAGTTCATGTCCTTTGCAGGGACATGGATGAAGCTGGAAACCATCATTCTCAGCAAACTATCACAAGGACAGAAAACTAAATTAAACTTTTAAGTGTTTCCTAGCTGTCAAAGTTTTGAATCACTTTATTATCTTCATTATTTTCTTCCATATCTGTTCATTGATCATAGTAGTTCTAAGGGGGTTTGCAAAAGTCTTTTTAAAGTTGGTAAAGCAAAACTGGATGGCAACACTTCCTGCTCCCAAGTGCAAATTAAATAAACAACAATAAAAAATGACAAATTTATTTAAAACAAAGAAAAAAATAGAACATTCTGGGATGTCACTGAAGGAAAAAGTAAATTGATGAAATCCTAAGGATTTTCACTAATACTGTCACTGAGAAGAGAAATGCACTATAGGGTGAATAGAGAGGAGAAAAGGAGAGGGAAAATCTTGGAGAGTAGAAGCCAATAGGACTTACTCATTTTTAATCTGCCACAGATACTCACTTGCCTACAATCCAGAACTTTATACCTGATAATTATCCCAATGTACTTCAGAACAGAGCTGCTTTTAATGCCCTGTAAATATGAATCACCAGGACTACAAGTTAGGGGACTTTGTCTATAGTCCTGATTTAATGATTAAGTAAATCAGTGATCTTGGACAAATCATTTGAACTCTCCAAGCCTCCAGTTTTTCATCTGTAAAACAGATTTTAGATTATTTTTATTAAGAGGCATGTGTCTTTTTTAAGTTTGGAGAGCTCAGCCTGAAGAGATGTTGATCCTAAAGTCCTGGACAGATGGTGGAGAGGGCATGACTCTCCTTCCTGCTTGTTGTGTATTGCAGGAAGGTGGTGATGTGCTGCACGGGTTGCACGCAGATCTGTCAGGTAAATGCCTGGTTTCGACAATCTCTGGTTCTGTTTCAGCCTTTAAAACTATCATCTGTAACCTGATACTTTTGATCATTCTGCATTCGTTTAGGGACAACCTCGAAGTATAAGTAGATTAACACGATAAAAGTTTATTTCTTGCTCACATGAAGTCCAATGAGTGAGAGGAAGAGGGGCTGTTTATGTTCTGTAGTCCCACCATCTCCTCAGAACTCCCAGTCCTTGGCTGAATTCTTTGACATTAGAGGACTGACAGAGGAAGAGAGAGAGCAGAGAAGATCATGCAGTTGCCCTTATGGGCTAGACCAGGGTGTCCAGTCTTTTAGCTTCCCTAGGCCACACTGGTAGAAGAAAAATTGTCTTGGA
The DNA here is from genome assembly GCF_000001405.40 of Homo sapiens. Taxonomy (NCBI): domain Eukaryota; kingdom Metazoa; phylum Chordata; class Mammalia; order Primates; family Hominidae; genus Homo; species Homo sapiens. Next base: position 122,966,301 of record NC_000007.14, on the reverse strand, counting down.
CAAAACATAAAATACACTAACGATAGTTGATGAGCTGAAAAAGAAAAAAAAATTGCAAAAAAAAAAAAATCTCATAATGTTTCCAGAGAGTTCACGAATTTGTGTTTGGCCACATTCAAAGCTGTCCTGGGCCACATGCAGCCCACATGCAGGCTATGGGTTGGACAGGCTTGGACTAGACTGAAAGTGGCATATAACTCTTTTGCATTCCATTTACTAGACCTCAGTTATATAACAACACTTAAGGGCGAGCAATGTCTCTCTGCGAGCCCAGGAGCACGAGAAAATAGATGACTGTGAATACACAGCTATCTGGCACATAGGATAATCTTTAAGTCATGGTGTTGTGCAAATCCAGATGAAATCTAAAATGCAAACAGACAAGAAAATGTTTTAATGTTTCTTCTGTGAGGGATGCATAATATAAAGTGTTAAATGGAGAACCTGAACAAATGAAAGTCACACTCCTCTGGTAAGCACTATGAAAAAAGACTGTTTTGTGAATGCAGAACTTTAAATTACAAGCAGAAACATTCATAAGGTGTATTATGGATGTTAAAATCCTTCAGAACATGCTCAAGTTCCCTGTTAATGACAAATCTATGCCAATAAAATTATCAGACCTTTTCTGATGACCCCGTGTGTAAGAGAAGCCCCGCTGGGAGGCTCATATAACATCTGCCCATATCATATTCCTTTTTACAGAAAGCACTCTTATGCCTGCACTTTTCTTAGCATCACATTTACAGGCCATTTCAGCAGTAGCACATCACTGTATTCTTGCAGCTTCCAAACAAGAATTACTCAAAGGTTTGGAAAGTGCTGTGTAATCAGAAACCATTCAAATTAAGTCTGTATTTGCTTGTAAAATGACCCACTCTCTTTTCCTCTTCCTCTTTAATGATGCTTATTATTTTCATGTATGAGGTTAAATGTCCATTCATGCTTAGCCAGTTTGCTCCTGACATTCATTTCAGGCTTTTGCCACAATGATGTCGGGATTTTACTCTGGGGATCACAAATTGGTTAGCTGAAGTTACTTATTAAAATTATGTAATGTCTAGTTCAAAGGCAAAAATTTGAGAAAATATAACAAGTAGCAAGGATTGCTAATGTTTAGGTAGTTGACTACCTTCCCATTTACTATCAGAGAAGTGGATTATAAAGGGAGGGATTAAAACAATACTACATGCTAGAGCTGTAATAAGGCTGACACATCCTTCCCCAACATTTTTTCTGATCATTACTGTCTCTTATTTGTTTGTGAAAAAAAAAAAAAGAATCAAAAAGCAGCATTTTCTGAAGTGCACAATGTGTACTCCTGAATGATTTTAGGTTTCATGAAGCATTATATAAAATTTAATCACATAAAGATTTTCCATTTTAATTATCTTTCAGTTGATTACACCAAAAAGAAAGTTACAACTTCTTGCTAGCATGTCTTAAATACACCTCTAAATCTTTTTTTTTTCTTTTTTTTTTTTTTTTTTGAGACAGAGTCTCACTCTATCACTCAGGCTGGAGAGCAGTGGTGCAATCTTGGCTCACTGCAACCTCTGTCTCCCGGGTTCAAGAGATTCTCCTGCCTCAGCCTCCTGAGTAGCTGGGATTACAAGCGTGCACCACCACACCTAGCTAATTTTTTTGTATTTTTGGTAGAGATGGGGTTTCACCATGTTGGCCAGGCTGGTCTAGAACTCCTGACCTCAAATCATCCACCCGCCTTGGCCTCCCAGAGTGTTGAGATTACAGGCATGAGCCACTGCACCCGGCCCAGTAGGCCTCTAAATCTAACTGATCTCTTCAAATAAATAGAGAGAAAGCCTTAGGCCCAAGGCCTTTGGCAGGCAATAGCATTTTGTTGTAATTATTGTGTGATTTCAATACATTTATTTTTATAAAGACTGTCTACTCCAAGTCATCTAAGTTATTTAAATTAGTTATATTGGGCCAGAGTGGTGGCTTACACCTGTAATCCCAGCACTTTGGGGAGCCAAGACCAGAGGATTGCTTGAGGCCAGGAGTTCAAGACCAGCCTGGGCAACATAGCAAGACCCTGTCTCTACAAAAATTTTAAAAATTGGCTGGACATTGTGGCATATGCTTGTAGTCTTAGCTACTTAGGAGGCTGAGGTGAGAGGATCACTTGAGCCCTGGAGTTTGAGCCTGCAGTGAACTTTGATCATGCCACTGCACTCCAACCTGGACAACAGAGTGTGACTCTGTCTCTAAAAAAAAACAAAAGAAACAGTTATATAAAGTCAATTTTTAAAAAATATTAAATCAGTAATATTAAAAGCAGACATGGATATAACAAGTATTATGAAGATAGTATAAGACTGAATGAACTTTGGAAAATAATGCAAGGGGAAATTATGCACAATAGACCTATTCACCATATCTGTGGTTGTCATTACCATGAATAATACACAGAAAGAGGCAATACCATTAGATGTAATTTTTTTTTACTAAAGCTACTGTATTTATATTTTGCATTGTTCTTCATAGGAACATTTCATCCTAAAGAATAGTTATTTACATATGTAAAACCAGATTGCATTATAATACAGGTTGAGCTGCTATTACTAATAACTAAATTTTAAAATGGCTCAGATATGATAGACGATTTTCTCTTTCTCCTGTAATGGTCATACGGCAAGTGGTCCAGAAAATTCCCATTTTTCTTGTTGTTCCTCTCTCATCCCTGGAGCATCTACAGATTCAAAGATATATTAGTGTCCTGTCTACATCCCAGGTAGCAGCAGAATGAAGGAGTCCAAAAGAGAGAAAGCTCCCTCCCTTTAAATGACAAATCTTGGCAAGAAATAATTCATATGGCCATATTTAAATATGATGGAGGCTGGTTGGTCAAATGGTTTACCGAAGATTTCATTAACATAGAAAAAGAAGGAAATATATATTGATGAACAAATAGCGGTCTGCTTAAACTCCAAGGGATTTCTCAATCACAGAAACAATGAAATTATATTTATATACTGTTATCTTTACAGCATTTTTATCTTTGTTCCATTTCATACCAAATTAAATACAAACCCGTTGACCTAATGTTCAAGTCCCTTCAAAATTGTCCACAATATAAAAATATGGCATTAAGCTGCAAAGACAGTTTGAAATGACTAGAGATGTTTCTTTTAAAAACCTACACAATGTGACTGACTTTATCTAGGTAAGTCTGACAGTTAAGCAAGATGGGAATCTGAGCAGTTAAGAGCACGTGTTTAGGATTTGTTTCCTGAAGATAGTAACTGACACTAAAGCCTAGAAAGGTATTCTTATACATTTAGCTCTGCTAAATGACCAGCAGGTCACAGAAGGTAAACGTAAGACTTCCACAGAAGATGCTGACACTGACAAATGAAAATGAGGTTAAATAGAGTCATTATAAAAATCCCTCTAGTAAAACTTCAGAAAAACAGAAGTTAAAGCCAGATGCTTCTATTACCCAGCTCATCCAATTTAAGTCTACTCAAGAATCGATAAAGCTCTATTCTGAGATTTCTTAGCGACTGTTCAAGGTTTTGGGAGTTGCAGGAGGCTTGATTAGCATTTGCCGGTGCTGGGACATTTTTTAGGAGATACCACAAATCATATAACTTCAGTTATGAGAAGTCCATGAAATATGTCCTAGATATAAGAATCTTAAATAACATCCATCAGGATATCACCATTGGGAAAATAACATCATATGTTTCAATAACCTGGAAGCAACTGTGACATGTGACAAGCAGAAAGCTGAGTGAGATTCCCCCCCTGCCCCCAGCAAGTAACATAAATACAATTCCAATATGAAAATGAAAACAGAGCGAAAACAATGATTAAATAACTGGAGTAACAGTACTTATTACTCAAATGATATCAGAATATAAGAATTCACCTATATTTCAGGACAGAGCATGTTCTCATTCAAACATATTTGACCAAACACCATTTCTTTTTCAAATACTGGAATATTTTTAAGTGTGAAAAAATGTTTCTATCCATTCTTCAAAATTAGTGCTGAGGCTGGGCCCTGTAATCCTAGCACTTTGGGAGCCTGAGGCGGGCAGATCACTTGAGGTTAGGAGTTCGAGACCAGCCTTGCCAACATGGAGAAACCCCATCTCTACTAAAAATACAAAAATTAGCCAGGCATAGTGGTGCATGCCGGTAATTCCAGCTACTCAGGAGGCTGAGGAAGGAGAATTGCTTGAACTCATGAGGCGGAGGTTGCAGAGAGCCAAGGTTGTGCCACTGTACTCCAGCCTGGGCATTTAGTGCTGGATATGAGGACATCTGCTCAATTGTTATTGGATATAGTTCTAAGCAAAATTGTAAAGTAGGCAGAGCCTACATCTCCACTTCCAGTCTAGTCGTTCTATAATTTCATCTTTTTTGGCCTCTTCTCCTAATCATTCAAGAACCTTGTCTCCTTATGTTCTCTTCTACTGTGTTCTTCTACCTCTTTCCCCTGTCCTAGCCTTGAGCCTGCACCATTGTAGTCTAGTCCTCAGAAAAGGAGCTTATAGATAATGGTAACAGTACAACATATGTTATATTCAACTTTAGAGAGAAAAGACTGACTATGGACAGGGTAACTGGATATGTGTTTGGGATCTCATTCCCACCTCTTCCACCAACAGTACCCTGGTTTCCCATGAAAGAGTTTGCTTCCCACTCATTCTTGGTCACGTAATTTGTGTTGGATGGAACCCCATTCCCAGCTCTAGGGATGAGCCATAAGATCACTTTTTGCTATCTGGAGTCAAGTGCCTATGGAAGGCCAGAGTTTTAGTGGAAATAAAGAGTATAGGAATTATGAGATTGGTTGGTTGCTTTTAAGTACACACACACACAAAAAAAAAAAGGGAAAGAAAGAAAGAAATAAAATGATGAGGTTTGGGGTATGACTGATCTCTGATCTCGTCACCCAGGTACTGAGCATAGTACCCAATAGGTAGTTTTTCTAGCCCTTGCACTCCTCACTACCTCCCCTTCTAATAGTCCCCAGTGTCTGTGGTTCCCATCTTTGTGTCCATTTGAACAACTAAAAAAAAAAAATAATGAGCTTGGAACTTTCAAGTCCCAGCTCAAGGTATGGGGAATGAACCAGGAAACTTCTGTGTCTCCCTTCAAAAAGTCCTATATCCTATAGCTAAAGGATTGAGGGTTTTGTTATCAAACTCAAAGTCCAATCATTCAGGTGGCTAAATTATATCATACATAGAGTTCACAGCCACAGATTCTCTTACGTTAAAGTGAGAGCATTGATTGGAAAAAAGTGAAAACCATGAAAATTGCCATAAGGGCATCTGGGCACATTCCAGAGAAGCTAGGGACTGTGAACCTCCAAATTCCACTGTGACTTCCTTGTCATAGAAGCATCCCATTCTTGCAATCTAAGGAGATTAGACTCCTCTTGCCTAAATAACCTGCAATGACCTTTCCAAGACAGTTGCCTTACACAAAAATCGTAATCTTCCTCTTTTCCTTACTCCTAACAGATAATTACATTAAAATCTAAGGTATTGAGCACAAAATATGATCTGGGAGAAGGTAGCATACATACTAATTGCAATATTTTGCCAACATACATTAACTAAAACCTAGAGAATATTTATCATAACGGATTCTAAGAGTTTCAAATCAGGTAGAAGAAATGGCCAAATTGAATGATACAGTGGAATTAACCAGATTTAATTTAATGTGTTAACTAAAGTAGCTTGGAGTGGCTCTGTGGGTTCAATTGCTTGACTGAAACTCAGAATCAAAGGTGGTCTATGCTGATGGAAATTGAGATATCAGAGTTACCTTGGTATTCTGTAGAAACAGTTATCAAATGCCAGGCGCGGTGGCTCACGCCTGTAATCCCAGCACTTTGGGAGGCCGAGGTGGGCGGATCACGAGGTCAGGAGATCGAGACCACGGTGAAACCCTGTCTCTACTAAAAATACAAAAAATTAGCCGGGCATGGTGGCGGGCCCCTGTAGTCCCAGCTACTCGGGAGGCTGAGGCGGGAGAATGGCGTGAACCCGGGAGGCGGAGCTTGCAGTGAGCCGAGATCGCGCCACTGCACTCCAGCCTGGGCGACACAGCGAGACTCTGTCTCAAAAAAAAAAAAGAAACAGTTATCAAATATTTAGGGAAAATGAATGCTATAATGATTTTGTTATATGTGACCCCCTTACTCATCTTCCAATTGTACATCCCAGGAAGTATACTTACACTGGAAGGGGAATACCAGCACCCTTGAAGTCCTCTGTCATAGCTATTCTCTAGAGGCCAGAAGTAATAGTGGGAAATGCTGCTATTAAAATAAGTCATCTGAATTCAGTCTGGGATGATGCAATCCCAGTATAATAAGAGCCACGTTTCAGGTCTTAATTGCCAGAGTCAAAGTAGGTATGGTTATTATAATGGGAGGCAGACTAGTTTGAACAGCAATGATCTTTGGTACTGGTTTATTGATTATGGTTATCCTAGTTCTAAAATATACGGCAGGAAGAATCACTGGAACCTGGGTGGCGGAGGTTGCAGTGAGTGGAGATCATGCCACTGCACTCCAGCCTGGGTGACAGAGACTCCATTTCAAAAAAATAATAAAATAAAAGTAAAATATATGGCAGGCTACAAACATTGTACTTTATTTGAATAATCAGAGCAATTCTTAGCATAGTAAACAGAAATCTAACTTAAACCACCATCATAGAGAGTTCTGGTCCCTCAACCAATTCCCAGACTTGAGCTGGTTTACAGACACAACATCCCTTAAATGAAAGAAGGCCTGGGTTCCTTGAGGAGTGACCTTTCTACATTGCCTAAATTTATCTTGTAACTTTTCTTCCTAGCCTTCCCCAAAGGGACTATGGACATTTACCAAAGTTACTATGCATTGAGGAAAGGAAAACACCAAACTTTGAGGGAATTTTTGGACCTTAACTCTAAATTAAATCTAATTTGGGGGAGAAAAAGCCCACTTCTTCTTCACAAGTCCAGACAGAAGCTTATGGAAGCCAGATGATAAAGCTTTGATGTATGTCTGTCTGACAGTGGCCCCAGTAGGTCTTCTACTCACCCTGCAATAATTTCTTCAGCCCCAGAAAGCAGATTTGAAATAGACATATTTAACAATTGGCAGACTCCTCAAAGCAGTTTCCTGACTCAAGTGAGGGCTATTATAGTAGGAAAGGCCAAATAGAAGCCACTAGAAATGTGAATGCACTGAATTATGATAAATTTAATTAGATGGTAACTCCAGTTGCAGCGACTATTCTAGATGTGGTTTCTTGACTATAACAAATCAACATAGCCCTTGGTACCTGGTATGCAGCAATTGAACTAATGGGTGAATGTTGTTTTTTTTTCTTTTCTTTACACTTACTTGTAATGATCACCAGGAGTTGTTTGTTTTCAACTCTTCATACCTCTGTCATATTTCCTTTTCAAGCACTTTGATAACCTCTTCATCCCATAGGACATCATGCTGGTCTAGCACAATAATATCACATTGATTGGAACTTTCTGGTGAGCAGGAAATGGAGGCATCAGTATGACACATGTAGACCAAAGGGTGGGAAAGAACACCCATTAAAATTCAGGGATCTCACACCTTAATGAAATTTCTAGGAGTTCAGTGATATGGGGCACATTGAATTGGCCCTTATGATGAAAAAGCCTCTCCTACCATGATGAAAGAGACCTGGAGGCTTCTTCGTAATTTGGGGGGCATCAACTAATTTATTTGAGTGTGTTCTTTCAAACCATTTACTAAGAAATGTGAAAGGCTGCAAGTTTTGAGTGGGCCGAAAGCAAAAGACAACTCTGCAACAGTTCCAGGCTGCTATGCAAGTTGTTCTGAAGTTGGGTCATATGACCCAGAAGATTCACCAGTGTTTGAAGTGTCTGTGGCAGATAGGGATGCTGAATGCAGTCTTTGACCAGCCACTGCAGGTGAAATACAGCATAGACCTGTAAGATTTTAGCACAAAGTTATGCTGTCCACTGTAGACAACTATTTCTCTTTTGAAAAATGGGTATGGCTTACCAGTGGGGCCAAATAGAGATGAATTCTTTATCATTGGCCCTAAAGTTTCTGAGCTGCCCATGATGAACTGGGAGTTATATGGCCTCCAAGCTATAAAGTTGAGTGGGAACAGCAATACTTCTTCATCAGGAAAAAGCAGTATAGATGAGATCAAGACTAAGTAGGTCCTGAGGTATGAGTTTAAGCAAATGGCTCCAACTCCTGCAGCTCCTACTAGAGAAACATTTCCTCTCTCAGTCTACACCAATCATTTTATAAGACTTTCACCGTGATCAGTTGAATGATAAAGAAAATATTCAGATGAAGAAATTGTATTCTGCACAATATTCTGGCATGACCCAAAAGTGAGGAACTGCAATGTTACAGCCCTACTTCAGGGGTGGCCCTAAAGGATAAAAGGAAATCCTCCCAGTTGGCAGACTTTAGAACAATACTCCTGATTTTTCATTTTGCATGAAAAAAGAGATGTTTCAGTATGTGGATCTACACAGATTCATGAGCATTGATAATGGTTTGGCTTGATGTCAAAAATTTGGAATGAACACTGTTAGAAAATTAATGACAGGCAGGTTTGGGGATGAGATATGTGACGTCTCTGAATGGGCGCAGAGAGTAGGAATGTTTATATCAAATGTAAATACTCACTAATGAGCGATCTCAGCAAAAGAGGAACTTGATGATCAAATGGCCCAGATACCTCATTTTTAGCTGTCACTCAGCCTCTTTCCACAGCCAACTCCATCCTTCACAATGTATTCATGAACACAGGGGTAATGGCAGCAGGGATAGAGGTTTCGCTTTCACTCAGTATCATGGCCTTCCACTCACCGAGACTTTACTACTTCTGAGTGCCCAGTTGGCCAACAGCAGAGATCAACACTGATTCTCTAAAATAACTCCCTGGGAGATAAATGGCACCACTCCCCTATGAAAAAGAAAGCATTATGTTCTCTTTGGAATAGGCACTTATTCTGGGTATGTATTTGTCTTCCTTACCTTTAATGCTTCTAATAAAAACCACCATTTTTGGATTTATGGAAAACCTATTCATCATTAAGCTATTCCACAGAGCCTGGCTCTCTACCAAGGAACTTGTTTTAGAACAAATAAGCTTCATCATTGGACTTATGATAATGAAATCCACTGAGCTGGCCTGATACTATGGTATAATGGACTTTTGAAAGTGCGGTTACAGTGTCAGCTAGTTAACACATTGTAAGGATGGCTAATATCCTCCAGTGTGGGCTATATGCTCCAAATCAGAAATTAATACATGGTGGTGATTCTCTTGTGGTAAGGATTACTGGGTCCAGAAACTACCAGGTGAAAACGAGAGTGGTTCCTCCTATTAGTACTCCCAGGAATCCCCTAGCAAATATTTTCCTTTTTGTCACCACAACTTTAAACTGTACTGGTTTAGGTCCCAAGGGATGAATACTTTGACAAGGGAACACAACAATTGTTTCTTTAGTTTTGAAGCTGAGAATGTGACCTGGCTATTTTGAACTATTATACAACCGAATCAACAGGCAAAAAGAAAAAAAAAAGAAAAAAAAAAAGAGAGAGAGATTACATCAACTGGGATTTTTTAATTCTATCTATCAAAGAGAATTTGAGTTTTTACTATATAATGAAACAGGTAGGGATGCAGGAGACCTTTGGGGATATGGGTCAGTTTTGATCATGCAGAAACAGATGCTAAGTCACAGAAGTATGAAAGAATTAATGAGGTATTGCTTGAGAAAAACTAAAGAGAGAGGAAGCAGAAATATACAGCAAAAGCCTTCAGACTGTCTTGAGTTACCTGGGGAGTGTATTTAGTGGGTGGAATAGGGAAAAGTACATCTGCTCCATCTTTCTGGAAGAGAAAGTCCAGTTTGTGTCCTTTTAAAATGTAACTTATCATTGCATCCCATACATTAAGCTCTTCAATGATCTCCCTTGATATCTAAAGTAAAACTCTAAGTTCTGACAATGGTGAACAACATCCTATATGAATTAGCTACCTTCTTGCCTAACATTTTCCTCCTACTCAATCTCTAGTACCTAGAAGAGGGCTGGCCCAAAATACATAATCAATAAATACTCTTGGATTAATAAACTGAGTAAGTTATCTCTTTTTAATATTTAAATCAAACACTTGGCCTGATATCAGGAACCATGAATATAATGAAATATGCCCATGAATATGGCACATTGCATGGTAAGTGGGACCTTGTAGATGTAATTAGGGTTACTAATAAATTGATGTCAAAATGGGAGTGTTGTGGATTATCCAGGTGGACCTAATGTCATCACATCAGCCCAAGCAGAAGAAGAAAGCAGAAGAGAAAGACAGAAATGTGAAGCATGAGAAAGACTTGACATGCTGGCTAATATGGAGGGAGCCACATTCAAAAGAGAGTGAATTAAGAAGTTGAAAGAGGTCCCCTGGCCAAAAGGCAGGAGGAAAACAATGACCTCAGAGACTTTCAATTGAAGTAAAGCTTCTACTTCTTGAACATTTTCCTTCCACTTCATTATTCTTATTTGCAACCTAACAATTCAATATACCCTTAACATACTTAGAGTTTATTTGTTTATTAGTTTCACTCATTTTTAAGAATTCCAAGAGACAGTAGAAGAGAAGTACTCTTCAAACTTCTACACTTATGCTGTCTTCATTGAACCACATTCAACTAGGAAGCACCTAAGCCGCTTACCTATGTGCATCTTCCTGGAAAAAAAATTAAATTATAAAGAAATGTTCCATAAACATGCTCAGTGCAAAATATCCAAGTGTTGACTTTCAAAACTATTTTTTTCACACAAATTAGAATTCTGGTTTTGTAATTTTTTCTCTGTTACTATTAAAAGAGAGCTGAAATAAACATAACTACTCATTGGAGACTTTGATGTTTTTATAAAATGAAAATAGCTTTGTTTCTCTTGCTGATGGTCTCTTTCCTTTTGCTGGTCCTGAATAGAAACTATTAAATTAGTTTTTATGCAATTCTTTGTTGAGGTCTCTGAAGTTGCAAGGAAAAACCAAGCCTAATGAGATGGTAGCAGGTTATTGGAAAGATGTGTTGGAAAGTAAAACATGAGAACCATCTCAGCGGCTTGACTCCTGTTCAAAGGTGCATCACTCAAATCAAAACCACAATGAGATACTGTCTCACACCAGTCAGAATGGTGATTGTTAAAAAGTTAAGAAACAACAGATGCTGGCAACATTGTGGAGAAAAAGAAATGCTTTTACACTCTTGTTGGGGGTATAAATTAATTCAACCATAGTGGAAGACAGTGTGGTGAGTCCTCAAAGATCTAAAGGCAGAAATACCATTTGACCCAGCAATCCCACTACTGGATATATACCCAGAAGAATATAAATCATTCTGTTATAAAGATACATGCACACTTATATGTTCATTGCAGCACTATTCACAATAGCAAAGGCATGGAATCAACACAAATGCTCATCAATGACAGACTGGATAAAGAAAATGTGATACATACACACCATGGAATACTGTGCAGCCATAAAAAGAAATGAGATCATGTCCTTTGCAGGGACACGAATGGAGCTGGAAGCTGTTATCCTCAGCAAACTAACACAGGAACAGAAAACCACACACCGCATGTTCTCACTTATAAGTGAGAGCTGAATGATGAGAACACGTGGACACATGGGAGAGAACAACACACACTGGGGCCTGTAGCAAGGGGTTGGGGGATCGAGGGAGGGAGAGCATCAGGAATAATAGCAAATGGACGCTGGGCTTAATACCTAGGTGGTGGGTTCATCTGTGCAGCAAACTACCATGGCACATGTTTACCCATGTAACAAACCTGCACATCCTGAACATGTACCCCAGAACTTAAAGTAAAAGTTGAAAAAAAAAAACAACGACTACAACAAAGGTGCATCACCTCCAGGACTGGGATTGCAGGACTGGGATTGAGCTCTATGAAGAATCAGAACAGGTGCCAATTTTTAGCCAGGATATTTCAAATTAGGAATTGACTTATTATTGGGGCAGTCTCACATTGATGAGATCACCCATTATGAAACAGTCCAATTGGGCCGAATTTTGCACCAGGTCATCTCAGTAGCAGATGGCATTCTTTTATGTCCATCCCCTACAAGTTTACTTTATGCAGGGCACCTGTCCTTCGCTGGATCCATGGGTAGCTGTATTAGTATAATTTTCTGCACCTGAAATAAACCATAGTAACTTAAAGCGTAAGCTCATTTTTTAATGTTTATAGATTAAAACTTTATTTTTTTAATTTATTATGCTTTAAGTTCTAGGGTTCATGTACACAACATGCAGATTTGTTACTATGTATTAAGAAAATGTGGCACATATACACCATGGAATACTATGCAGCCATAAAAAAGGATGAGTTCATGTCCTTTGTAGAGACAAGGATGAAGCTGGAAACCATCATTCTGAGCAAACTATTGCAAGGACAGAAAACCAAACACCACATGTTCTCATTCATAGGTGGGAACCGAACAATAAGAACATTTAGACAGAGGGTGGGGAACAGCATAAGCTCATTTTTAAAGAAAGTGTCTGAAGGATGCACTTGTCCACAATTCCTCTGTGGTATCACTGCTTCTCTAGGTAGGTATTTTCTAAACAAAACATCAGTTCCCAAACACGGGTAAGATTGACCTGTGATGCTTATTTATTTATTTATTTATTTATTATTTTATTTTATTGAGATGGAGTCTCACTCTGTCGTCCAGGCTGGCGTGCAGTGGCATGATCTCGGCTCACTGCAACCTCTGCCTCTCAGGTTCAAGTGATTCTCCTGCCCTAACCTCCCGAGTAGCTGGGACTACAGGTGCCTGCCACCACACCCAGCTAGTTGTTTTCTGTTGTTGTGGTTGTTCTGTTTTTGTTTTTTTGTTTGTTTGTTTTTGTATTTTTAGTAGAGATGGGGTTTTGCCATATTGGCCAGGCTGGTCTCGAACTCCTGACCTAAAGTGATCTGCCTGCCTCAGCCTCCCAAAGTGCTGGGATTACAGGTGTGAGCCACCGCACCCATCTTGTGATGGTTATTTGAAGTGCAGGTTTCAATCCGCAATGCCTAGATGTTTTGATTGAATAGAATTAGAGACCAATGCCTTCATTTTTATAAACCACCTTTAATCTTCTGATGAAGGTGGCAGAGGATCATTCATTGAGAAATTCTGTATAGAGAACATTAAGAAATTGATGATTTTTCAGTGTGCTGTGCTTTATCCAGAGTTACTCAAAACTATTTAGAGTTTTACCTGGCCACATAATCTTGCATTAAGGTTCTTTAAAGTCTGCTTTAGTATATAACCAAGACACCCATAGAGTGAGAAGAGAACTCATTAGAGAGAAAAGCAGTTTTTGATGTTACCTATCACATTAAAATAAGAAGAAATACTGTATCAGAGATTACTTCATGCAAAGTGGCTGTAATTCACCACCATCATCATTTTTGTGGTAGATGCTGTCAAAATAAGGGTCATTAGAAGACCCCCACTCAGCTGGGCTTGGAAACCTGATGAGATCATAGCCTAGTAGCAGATGGAAGCAGGGAAAATGGAGCAAAGCACAACTCATCATAGCAGGAAATGAGGATTCATATTGGGAGGGAGTGCACCATAATCTTTAGCTAACCAATGAGAAACTAAGTTTAGTTAACTAAGATTATCTAAGCTTTCAGTATTAAACAAAGTTGACCCTTGAACAGTACAGGTCTGAAACATGTGCGTCCACTTATATGTGGATTTTTTCAAAAAGTTATATTGAGTGTGCCTGCCTCTCCTGCCTCTCCTTCCTCCTTCTCCTCCTCTTCTGCCTCTGCTACCCCTGAGACAACAAGACCAACCCCTCTTCTTCTACCTCCTCCTCAGCCCACTCAACATGAAGACAACAAGCATAAAGACTTTTATGATGAGCCACTTCCACTTAATAAATAGTAGATATATTTTCTCTTTCTTATGGTTTTCTCAATAATACTTCCCTTTCTCTAGTTTACTTTATTGTAGGAATACAGCATATGATACATATAACATACAAAATGTGTGTTACTGATTGTTTATGTTATTGATAAGGCTTCTGATCAACAGTAGGCTATTAGTACTTAAGTTTTAGGGGAGTTAAAAATTATATGTGGATTTTTTACTGTGAGGGGTTTGGTACCCCAACCCCCACATTGTTCTAGGGTCAACTGTAATAGGAGATTTTAGAATCTTTACCTAAAAGAATAGATCATTTCTTTAATAGAGAATTTAAACATAACCATATGTCCTCTTATATTGTTTGTTAGAGATTTTTATTTCCAAACCTTTCTTGAAATACTTTTTAATTGACTAGTTCTGTCATTAATAGGTACGTGTTTATGAATAAGATTAGAAAGATACATAAAACATCACTGGAAAATGTTGCTGCTAGGTGATCATGTGAAATTTATGAAATACTTTATTAGAAAGCAGTAGAGGTGAACTCTCCCCAGCATGTACCTCCCCAGGAAAGATTAAATGGATAATACTTCTAAGATACTATGGGAGAGTTAATTAAAACTACATGATTCAGCATATAGGATTTGGAGAAGCTGCTTATAAGCAAGCTTCTCCAATAAGCAAGAATGAGAAGATGTGCTCTGTAGGAAAGGTAAGAAAAGTTAAGCATGAAAGATGCTGGGGTAAGTGAGGAACCAAGGCAGCACAGGGTGAGGTGCCAGAAATGCAGTGGTTGAGAGCATGGAACTTCTTCCTTTTCCCTTTTGTTGCCTGAGTTTGTAATCCTAACTCTTCCATTCGCTAACAGCAACTTTTGGGGCTTAACTTCTTGATGCTTCAGCTTCTTTATCTGCAAGTTGGGATAATGATAATACAGTAATATCAATTACCAACCATTTCACTTTCTGCAATTTCAGTTACCTGCTGTCAACCACAATCCAAAAATATTAAATGGAATATTCCAGAAACAAACAATTCATAAGTTTTAAATTGCATGCCATCCTTAGTAGTGTGATGAAATCTCATGCCCTCCTGCTCTGTCCCGCCTAGGACATGAATCATCCATTTGTGCAGTGGCAGCCTAGCCACACTGCACACTATTACCTGCCCATTACTCACTCAGTAGCTACCTGGGTTATCAGATCAACAGATCACAGGAAGAAGAAGAGTGCGTATAGTACAACCAGATATTTTGACAGAGAGTGAAAAAGATCACATTTACATAACTTTTATTATAGTATATTGTTATATTTGTTTATTAATTACCATTGTTATTGTCTCTTTATGCCTACTTTATAAATTAAACATTATCACAGGTATGTATGTATAGAAAAAAATATAGTGTATATAGAGTCCAGTACTATCTGCAGTCTCAGGCATTCACTGGTAGGCTTGGAACACATCCCCCATGGATAAAGGGGCACTACGGTATCTGTTTTACAGGATGACTGCAAAGAGTCAATGAGTAAACATAGGTAAGAGGCTTAAGGCAATCCCTGAAACATAGTAAGTTCCAAGTAGCTCTTAGCTCTTATTAACTACAGGAGGTTCATGCTACTCTAAGATAGAAGGGTTTAAATAATAAAACCTTCCCCATAGGTAAGCCAAATCCCTTCTTCTCTTTCAATTTAAACTCATATTATCTTATTCTGTCATTCATGGCAATAGGGAAAAGTCAGACACTCTTCTCTGCATGATGACCCTTCACACGCTGAAGGCTTTCATGTAATCGGAAACATTTGTGGATGTAGAGCTCTTCAGGGAAAAGTGTGTCCCAATCTAATTTCACAAAGTAATGTCAGGAAGGAAACAATCAATGAGGTTACTCCAAATCAAAGTACTTAGAGAAAGTCTTTTAACTCATCTTTAGTCCAGCAAAACGTGAAGAATCACTGATGTCCAAAAGACATGTAGGGAAGGATGTTTTACTTCTATACTTCTTACTATGTTTTGAGGCTAAAATCAAAGGTTTTGGAAAGTTCCAATGTACTAAATCAGAATAATTTAGAGTCAATTTCTACATTAAGATAACAGAGTATTTATATTGATTCTTGAGTTTTATAACACAAACAGTTTATTCTAATTTTGGTTTAACTTGAAGGCAGTGACATCACCTACATATATTTGGACTCTTACAAAACCTAGCAAGCATTTTACCTATCATAGGTATTCAGTAACATTATTGCTCAATGAGTTCATAGTAGTCAAATTAGAAATTTAGGAACTAACAATAATATCTAAATGTTTATTGGAAATTGCTGCAATTGGTGAACATCAGACAGTAATATAAGCATCCCATATATATATGTAAAACATATATATAACATATATATAACATGTATAACATACATATCATGTATATAACATATACGTTTCTTCAAACAGTGCAAACAAGTAGAAAATAAAATGTAACTTTCATCTTCGTTTATGTTATTTTAGGATAATTTTTAAAGGTAAAAATTTAACTTCTGTTAACTTCTTCTCCAGCTTAAGAGAATATGGTGAAGATTTTCCAAAACAGGACAAAAATCAGGACACATGGTATAATTTTAAAAACTATTTTCTGGTTTGGATGTATATTTTAAGTAGTGTTTTCTAAAATTGTTTTTTAAGCCACACTCAAAAAGCTGATTGTTAGCATTTAATATTAAATGCTAATTAATCCTTTTAAAAAAATAAAGTTATATGAAACTGCTTGCCCATAGTATGGTTATAACTCCTACACGACAAACTTTTTTTTTTTTTTTTAGCACTAATGACCACATTTACTTTAGAGAATTTCTGCTGCCCTGGAAATGTTAGAGTAGGGAAAGCCAAGAACCAAGTGGTGAGTGAAAAATCTGTTAGGTATGACCTAAAACACTGTCAGCTGTGAACTGCTGCTAGTCTCCCCTGGCATGGGAATGAAGAGGCCAGGAAGAAAAGTCAAGTCAAGTATCCATTCCCCTCCCCTCCCCAGCTGCTGAGTAAATACACTTCTAAAGTTGATTCTGGCACCCAAAATTTTTCCAGAACATATCATAGGCAAGATATTTTTCCCATCTTGTCTAGGTATGAACCTGTGCTCTTTGACTTATCTGAGTTACACTAAAACCAAATTATTTTTCAACTGTCTTTATATATATTTAGAAAGCATATTTTTCGTCTTAACTAATGTAGCATAGTTAAGATGAAAAATATGCTTTCTGAATTTTTGGGTATGGGGTATTCACTCCATTCAATTTTTGGGTATGGGATATTCACTCCACAAAAATTTAGGTAACTCTTTCTTTAATATAAAACATCCAGAGAACAAGAGGGAGAGGGAGGGAGGGAGAGAGATAGCTTAGTAAAATTTCAGAACACCAAACACAAAGTCTTAAAAACCAGCAGATATAATACAGCATGTCATCATGTCATCATATGACTATGCCATAATTTATTTAATAGATATCCTAATTTAAGATATTTAGTTCCTGATTTTCTACTATTGTGCAAAGTGATCTTATGATGGTTGTTGTAAATAAAGCTTTATGTATGTTTCTTATTATTTCTTGTAATAAATCATGTAAATTAGATTGCTGTGTCAAAATGTATGCATTTTCATACATTCATATAGGCCTTCATACATATAGCCAAATTGTCTTCTAGAAATCAATTTATACTTACTGTGTATGATCATTCTTATCTCTCAAAAAATTGCAAAACATATTTTAAATTGTTACATATTACTTCATTATTATATATCCAACATCAATCAATGTAACAAGCATTTATATTAGCAATTTCACAAACACTTATGTGGTCAACATTTGTACCAAATTCAGAACATATTTTGTACCATCTTTTAAGTGTATCTTCCCTTAAGTATATGACAATTAATATAGATCTATTTTAGTTTTTATTACTTTCCCTTGTCCTTCTCCTTCTCCTCTTTGTCCTTCTGAAGAATCTCCCCCAATAAATATTTTCCATATTTATTTTGTATATTTTGTGATATTTTTCTATATATGAAAAATGTTACCATCATATATGTTACTGTTTTTCCTTGATACTTTATTGTGGAGTTTGTTTTGAGGTTTATGTTGATTATCACTTGCTCCAACAGTTTATTATATTTATTTTTTATTTTTATTTTCTGCCAAACAGTCAAAGGCACCACAGGTAATGAATATTTGGGCTACAAATCCATCTTGGGACCACATGATGGCTATCAGTTTTCTGAGGTGATAGCCCCGCCCACTCAACCTAGAGCCAAGTTTTGTTACAATAAATTTTTCTCAGCAGTCCTATTTCTGAGTTTCCATCTTGGCTTCTTTTTGGTCTAAGCTCAACAATGCATTTAAAAATTACAAATAAGGGGGCTGTGCGCAGTTGCTCACACCTGTAATCCCAGCAATTTGGGAGGCCAAGGCAGGTGGATCACCTGAGGTCAGGAGTTCAAGACAAGCCTAGCCAACATGCTGAAACCTTGTGTCTACTAAAAATACAAAAATTAGCCAGGCATAATGCACACCTGTAATCTCAGCTACTGGGGAGGCTAAGGCATGAGAATCCAGGAGGCGGAGGTTGAAGTGAGCTGAGATCATGCCACTGCACTCTAGCCTGGGAGACAGAGCAAGACTCCGTCTCAAAAAATAAATAAATAAAATAAAATAATAAAAATACACAAATAAATATCACTAATATAAGTAGCAGTTTATCCAGAATTTTAACTGTTTTGGTGAACTGTCAATCAAGGTACTAGCCTCCCATATTGCCAAAAATAAAAGTCACATTTTATTTAATAATTCAATTTTGTTGCAACAATAATGACATGAAAATTATGCACAGTCTATTTGAAGTACAAAAAGTAGTATGATGTCAATTACGTAAAGTGTACAAACTATAGTAGAGAGTTGTAATATCACAGGTTTGGGAAATAAATGAAATTGTAACTCTGATACTCTTCGGTTTGTGACTTGTGGCTAGTGTGGGAGTCATGGTTGCTCAGACTTGCTTTCAAGGGAATTTGCTGTGAGGTAAGAAGTTGGCTGACAGCTGCCCTACCATTAGATCTATCCCAAAATTTACCATGACCACAGTTTCCCCAGGTGTGCCCCAGACAGTATAAATCCTTGTTGTAGTGATTGGCATTGGATATGTAATAATGAAGTACATCTGTAACAATTGAGTATGGCTAGAGAATAAGAGCCAAGCCATTTCTCCTAAAGGCAGAATTCTCCTCTAAGAGGCAAACTTTGCACCAGAAGACATCTCTACGCCATCTCCAACTAGAGCCAAGGTTTGTGACAACCTGGCTGAGATTTTCCGAGAGCTGCACTGTGGTCTGAGTTTCTTCCTACACAATTGTCCTTCCTACCCCTCCCTTTTCACAAGTACCTGAAGGCTCTCCATGCCTTCCCCCTTCCCCTCTTCTCTGGATCCTTCACAAAAATATCCCCCAATAAATCTTTTGCATGTCTAATTCCATCCCAGGGGACCCAAATTAACACAATAATTTATCTGATTTCTTTGCTTTTCAGATCCATTATGTGTAACTGAGGATAATAATACTTACGTAACTGAGGTTTTTAAAGATTAAAAGAAATAATTTATTTAAAGCACTTATAACTGGGCCAAGGACATAGAAAGTACTTAAGAAAGGATGCTGCTGTCATAATTTATCATTTTAAAAACCCAAAAAAATACAAATTAGGTATTAGAGGTGATTTTTCTTTTCCCTCTACTTGCTCCTTCCCACATTATCTAAAATTTTTTCAATAATTTTTTTAAAAAAATAAATATAGACTCAAATATTAGATTTGGGTGACCTTAAGCTCAGGATTTTTTTGTTAAAGAATTTAGTAAAATCTTCAACTAACTGTTACCGACATGATAGATTAAATATTTGCAAATTTTCCCTGGCAAAAATTTCCATTTGTATTCATGCCCCAAAACAGCTTTTTAAATTAAAACAAAACACTATCAGGAAAACTATGCTTCATAAGTAAAACACATTTGAAATTTTACCCAAAGTCATTGTGTTGAAAATTTTATACCTAAAATAACAAAGAAGCTTTAAAAACTACGTAGACTGTAACTCCTTTAAGGATTTTTCATAATGTTTGTGTTTAATGTATTTGCTTCAAAGGTTGCACCTATCTATTAGTAAATCATGTTCTTAGAATTCAGGCAATTACTCTTTTGGTCCTCATTAGAAAAATGTAAATACCTTTAAGTTTTGAGATTTGTATCAATTTTTTCTTTCATTTGGAGCCTACCACATACTATTATCTTCAGAAAATAGTTTTGTTTTAAAAATATCAAACTATTTTGTAATTTTTGTGAAATTGTTAAGCTTCAATAGTCATATATTTGCCAGTGGAAACTAAAAAGAAAATAGAACTCTAACAAATAGTCATATGAAGATCGCTGCTAATGAATTTTCATTTTTCAAGATGCCTCATAGTATGAGGCAACGCTAGTAATTGCTAACTACTTATCTTTCTCCCTCTTTTTCTTTGCCAACAGACACCTAATTTTATTGGTGAAGTCAATGTGCTCAGGTGAAAACTCACTTCCCATACTCCTTTGCATCTAATTGTGTTCATGTGACTGGGTCCTAACCAGTGAGATGAAAGCAAAAATCTGCAGAGGGAGAAAAGAGGTGGCCTAGGAAAGTTTAAGCTTTCTTGAGAACAGGGTGACAAACAAATACAGCTGGTGGTATTCATCCTCTCCACCTCCTAGAATTTAGATGTAATACCTTGAGCTGCAGCCGCCATTTGTGAGATGAGGTAAGAAGCATAAGGAGGAAAACAAACACACAACATAAAGATGGAAAGATCCTTGGTTCTTGATGGCACGTCAAACAACTGACAATATTCTCTGTTTCTTGAGACAGAGTCCCGCTCTGTCATCCAGGCTGGAGTACAGTGGCACAATCATGGCTCCCTGCAGCTTTGACCTTCCGGGCTCAAGCGTTCCCAGTAGCTGAGACTACAGGTGCATGACGCCACACCCAACTACTTTTTTAATTTTTTGGGTTTTGTTTGTTTGTTTGTTTGTTTTATAGATGGAATCTCACCATGTTGCCCAGGCTAATCTCAAATTTCTAGGCTCAAGTGATCCTCCTGCCTCCGCCTCCCAAAGTGCTGAGATTACAGGTGTAAGCTACTGCACCCAGCCTGAGCACATACTGACCTGATACAGGTTCCTCCCTAATTGAGAATTATAATTGTACTGATACAGATTCCTCCCTAAATGAGCACTATACGTTGTTCCCTATGTTCTATCATCATCCATCTGCATTGAACCACTACCAATCTCAGGCCTTCCCAGAATTAATTCTCATCAAGTCTGAGGTTGCTTCATTAGACTACTCTAATTCCTATAAGATAAATCAGAGTCTTTGGCAATAGCAAGAGTTCTTTCTTTCAAGTAGTGCCAGGATAAACATTAACATGTGTGATTAATTTGTTGTTTCCCACAAGACAGAATTGGAAGATATATAACAAAAGAGAATCAGAATGTTTCCGGGTGATTTTTTCCTAAGAAGCCTAACATATTTTTCAATGTTTTGTATTGCTGATACCATCTCTGCCACATGTACTAGGAAAATGGGCAAAGAGCTTTAAATTACTTGAGACTATGCAATGTGAATCTAAAAATTAGAATACAATGACTACAAACTATTTGAATTACAGCTTTGCAATAATCTTCCAGTAACTGCATGGGCTTAAAATGTTTTCCTTGCATTTGGAATTATTTTAAATATAAGCTTATTTTATACTGTGTTCTATAGGATTTTACTTTGCTTTTACTTATTCTTGTTTTCATTTTCTGTATTTAAAGTTTAGCCAATTCTCTACTGAATTGTCATCTCCAGATGAGGTTGGTGAATGACTACTGATGACATTTGAATGGTGGAGAACATATAAGTGCCCAAAATATGTCTTACTTGCATGAACTTTATGAATTTTTATATTAAAATATTTAGTTTCCAGAAATCTGTTAAGTTTAAATGTGATCCTTGGAATAAATATTTTAAGCCATTATCATCCACTAACACATCTTATAATCAGATTAGTTAATACACATAGTTCATTGAGTCTTAAGTAGATAAGCTTTAAAATTAATTCAATTCCTCTGTTCATGAATTTATTATTTTTGACTGTTGTTTATTAAGTGATCTGTGTTTTAGCTTTTGACCACAGTTACAGCATATTAATGTACCATTCCTGATAGAGTAATGAACATTTCTTTCAGTGACAGAAATTTTTTTAAATAAAATAGGAGATTAAGAGGTCAAGGCAGAGAAATTAGCTTAAACCTCAGTTGTATTTACAAAGTTAATATAATATGAACTTTAAAAGTTGATGGGTTCAAAGATCAAACACTATAGCTTAAAATGAAAATTGAATATCTTCTCTTCAACTGCTACAAATTACACAAGTAAAGAACAACTGTAGAGGAAGGGGCAACTCATGAAACAAAAACTATGGCTAACAAATAATAATTCATGACTAAATATTTAAAAATAAAATATACATGAAAATAGCCATAGGACATTAGGGTTGTTTACCTCCCAAGTTGCCATATATTAAAAATTGATAACAAATATTGTGTTGAAACCAAAAAAAACAAATAAAAACAGATAGTCCTTTATATTGATGGAGGCAATGTTGATTGATATTGCCTTCCTGGCAACTGGGTGATATGTAAACAAACTTTCTGGCAATTAAAAAATATATACCAAATATCTTGAAGTATATATTTATAGATTCCTAAAATTTTTTCACTGAGGAAATAATTAATGGTATCTAAAAATTTAACTACATTATTAAGGACTGAAAATGTCCAGTAATCCAGGATTGGTTAATTAAGTAATTGTGTTTTATAAATTATTGGGTAGTCTTTTACAATGAAGTTCTTAATACATATTTGTTGACATGTAAAGTTATTCAAAATTATTGCTAATAGGAAACCCATTTTGTAAAGAAATTTTAAAAACAGGAAGATTTACATATGAATCAATGTAGTTTTGGTAATATATATCAGTGTGGTTGGAGTTTGTATCTTTTTTTATTTCAGCTAATCTATATTTATAATTTTGTGCAGTGAACATGTACTTAATAAAGCTTTTTTAAGTGATCCAGTAACTATTATTATACACAATGGATTATGCCTCAAATATATTCTCCAAAAAATCTTCTTAAGGTTTTATCCCTTTTAATGAAAAAAAAATGGAAAACAGAAACTCTTTGAACTGTACACACAGCACAAAGTCCCTCTCTCTGACCACTGCCCTTCTATACCCCAGTGAGGGAGACCAATAGCTGTATTTGTAACAGCTATAGGTGGTGAGGTCAGGTGCAGACATTTGTGCAAACAAGAGCACTCAGCTTCTCTTTCCTCCTATCTGAAACTGGACTTGCAATTAACTAGTAAGCATCATTAGAGCTGAAAACAAACCCAGAGCAATGGCATGTTATGATATAAAGGTGGAGAAACTTGGTCTACTAAGAGAGATTTTTTTTTTTAAGATGAGGAAACAATATAAAAGATGGGAGACCATAGTTCCAGAAAAACAAAAAAGAATAACCTTAGTTACAGGCTCTTTTCCAAAGCTTACAAAGCCAGATCGTACTCCCTGTCCCAGGATTCCAGGGGAAACCTATATTTTTATGATAAAGTCTGTTTTCTTCTTAACCTAGTTTAAGTAAATTTCTGTTATTTGCAAAGAAAAAGCATAAAGAAATGTATCAGTCAGAAAAGCAGAAATCTAGTTAGTTTAACAAGAGAATTTATAGAAGGAGTATGTTTAACAGGCACTAGAGGATGGAAAAAAAAAACAAAAAAGGAACACTGAAGTATCATAAAAGTGGCAACTACAGTAAGCAAGTTACCACTTCTAAGTCTGGGGTAATAAAGGGTTGAGTGGGGGAATACTAAAAACTAGTACTTTGAGGAGAGATTGCCTAGCAATGCTTGTAATTCATGATCTTAGAGGAGAGGTCTCGGGTAGCCAGGATTCTGAAGACAGGATGTCAGCCAACTGGTGCTAGTCTCTCTAAGAAGGCAAAATGAGGCTGGTTGTAGGAATTTGGGGGAAATAACTGAAGGCAATTGCTATTGTTACTGCCATTTCCAGGGTGAAAAACCATTCCTAAGGTGATACTGACAGTCAAAGGAAGAAAAACAGGAGAATATGTCATTTTTTTCTTCCTCCAGGACTCCAGTCTTCCTTCAGAATTCACTATGTGGAAGCCTAACAGGAAGGCAGCTGAAAAAGTGGAAATGTAGTTTGCGGAGCCCCAGACCTACTAAGACAAGGAAAAATACAAGAGTGTGTTTGAAACTAAGTGATAATGGCTTAAAAACAAGCACGTATGATAAAAGTAAGTTTTGTTTTACTTCCTAATTTCATGTTTTACACAGTGCAAAAATAATTGCAAAATGAATAAATAATATTGTAGAGAAACCATAGGAACCTCTCCAAAGATAAGTTAAATTCAAGGGATGTTTGCTTTTTTGGCAGCCTGTGTCATACTAAAAAAAGAGTCTTTTAATTAGCTTTGCTTAGTCCTAAATATAATTAAGTTTGTGAATTTAAAAGGAATTTTATGTTTTGGTTGAAGAAAAAATGAAAAATTAAGTTAGTGCATTTCTTGTTCAAACATCAAATTTTGATAGTATTTGTAGGTTAACATATTCTATCAATTGAGACATATCAATTAAACTATTTGATTGTCTTATTAAATTCCAAAAATAAACATACGGTAACACTTAAACAGTATCAAGCTTGTAGCTGTGCATGGAGTTCTTGCTACAATAGCAGGCCTTGCTATAGTAGGTAGCATTAGGCCGAGGAGTCACCACCAAAACATCTAAATGAAAAAACAAATGAATTTCGAGAATTATACTTTTAAGAATGTTCCATGCTCTGATAGGAAGAACAGAAACTCTGGTGTTGTAGGGTAAGATGTTCTGTAAATATCTGCTAGGTCCATTTAATCTGAAGTCCAATTTAAGTTTAGGGGTTTTTTTTGTTGATTTTCAGTCTCCAGGATCCGTCTAGTGCTGTGAACAGGGTGTTGAAGTCCCCTACTATTATGCTGGGTCACAAAGCAAGTCTCAATAAATTTTTAACAACTGAAATAATACCAAGTATCTTTTCAAACAAGCAGAATAAAACCAGAAATAAATCCAGAGGAATTCTCAAAACTAAAAATACATGGAAATTAAACAACAGGCTTCTGAAAAATCTTTAGGTCAATGAAGAAATTAAGATGGAAATTTTTTAAATGTTTGAAATGAATAGAAATGGAAACAACATATCAAAACCTCTGGGGCACAGAAAAAGCAGTGCTAAGAGGAAGAAGTTTACAGTGCTAAATGCCTACCTCAAAAAATAAAAATCACAAACCAATAACATAATGTCACACCTCAAGGAACTAGAAAAACAAGAACAAACCAAACCCAAAGCTAGCAGAAGAAAAGAAATAACAAAAATCACAGCAGAACTAAATGAAATTGAGACCAAGAAAAGAAAAAAAAATAGATTGCTAGATGCAGTGGTTGACACCTGTAATCCCAGCCTTTTGGGAGGCCGAGGTGAGAGGACTGTTGGAGCCCAGGAGTTTGAGACCAGCTTGGGCAACATAGGGAGACCCTGTCTCTACAAAAAAAATTTAAAAAAATAGCCACGTATGGTGGTCCATGCCTATAATCCTAGCTACTCAGGAGGCTGAGGTAGGAGGATTACTTGAGCCCAGGAGGTCAAGGCTGCAGTGAGCCATGATTGCACCACTGCACTCCAGCCTAGGTGACAGAGCAAGATCCCGTCTCCAAAAAGAAAAGAAAAGGATCAGCAAAACAAAAAGTTTGTACATTAAAAATATAAACAAAATTGATACACCACTAGCTAGACTAACCAATATAAGATCCAAAAAATATAATAAATTAAAAAGGAGACATTACAACTGATATCACAGAAATACAGAAGATCACCAGAGACTATTATGAACAACTCTACACTCACAAACTAGAAAACCTAGAGAAAATGGATAAATTCCTGGAAACATACAATGTCCCAAGATTGAGCCAGGAAAAAATAGAAATCCCAAATAGACCAATAACAAGTAGTGAAATTCAATCAATAATTTAAAAATCTCTCAATAAATAAAACCCAGGATCACATAGATGCACAGCCAAATTCCACCAAATCTGCAAAGAAAAACTGGTATTAATCCTCTTCGTACTGTTTCATAAAATTGAGGAGGAGGGAATCCTTTCTAACTCATTCTACAAAGCCAATATTGCCTGGACACCAAAGCCAGACAAGGACACAACAGAAAAAGAAAACTACAGACAAATATCCCTGACAAACATAGATGCAAACATGCTCAACAAAATATTAAAATACTGGAAAACCAAATCCTATGGCATATAAAAAAAACAAAACACCATAATTAAGTAGATTTTATTCCAAGGATGCAAATATGGTTCAACATATGAAAATCAATAAATAGGATTCATCATATGAACAGAATTGAAGAAAATATATATATACCTATATGTGTGTGTGTATATATATATATATATATATATATATATATATATATATATATAATCATCTCAATAGATGCAGAAAAAGCATTTTATAAAATCCAACATCCCTTCATGATAAAAGCCCTCAACAAACTAGGCATCAAAGAAACATGCCTCAAAATAATAAAGGCCATATATGACACACCCACAGGCAACATTATACTGAGTGGAGAAAAGTTGAAAGTATTTCCCCTGAGAATTAGAACAAGAGAATAATGCCCACTTTCACCACTCCTATTCAACATAATGCTCGGAGTCGTAGCCAGAGCAATGAGGCAAGAGAAAGAAACAAGGTATCCAAATTGGAAAAGAGTAAGTTACTTCTGTTTGTTGATGACATGATTTTTTATCTTTAAAACCCTAAAGACTCCTCCAAAAACCATTTAGATTTGATAAATGAATTAAGTAGAGTTTCAGGATACAAAATTAACATATGAAAATTAGGAGCATTTATTTTCTTTTTCTTTTCTTTTTCTTTTCTTTTTTTCAGATGGGGTCTCACTCAGTCTCACTCTGTCATCCAGGATAGAGTACAGGGTGCAATTACAGATTACTGCAGCCTTGACCTCCTGGGCTCAAGCGATACTCCACCTCAGCCTTTTGAGTAGCTAGGACAACAGTCATACACCACTATGCCCAGCTAATTTTTTTTTTTTTTTTTTTGTAGAGACTGGGTCTCCCTGTGTTGCCCAGGTGGGTCTCAAACTCCTGAGCTCAAGTGATCCTCCCATGCTGGCCTCCAAAAGTGCTGGAATTACAGACATGAGCCACTGTGCCCAGCCAATACTAGCATTTCTAAACACCAATAACAATCAAGCTTAGAACCAAATCAAGAACCCAATCTTATTTATAGTAGTTATAGAGAAATAAAATAAAATACCTAAGAATATATTTAACTAAGACGGTAAAAGATCTCTACAAGGAAAACTGTAAAACACTGACAAAAGAAATTAGAGATGATACAAATGGAAAAACATCCATGTTCATGGTGGGAAAAATCAATATTCTTAAGATAACCATACTACCCAAAGCAATCCACAGATTCAACACAGTTTCTATCAAAATATCAATGTCATTTTTCACAGAATCAGAGAAAACAATCCTAAAGTTCAAATGGTACCAAAAAAGAGCCAAAATAATCAAAGCAATTCTAAGCAAAAAGAACAAATCTGGAGGCATCACATTATCTGACTTCAAATCACACTACAAGTCTATAGTAACCAAAACAGCATGGTACTGGTATAAAATTAGACACATACACCAATGGAACAGAAAAGAACACCCTGAAATAAAGCCAGATATCTGCAACAAACTGATCTTTAACAAAGTCGACAAAAAACAAAAACTGGGGAAAGGACACTCTTCAATAAATGGTGCTGGAAACATGAATTGCCATACGCAAAAAAATAAAAATAAAACTAGACATCTATCTCTCATCATATGCAAAAAATCAACCTAAGATGGATTAAACACTTAAATGTAAGACATGAACTACAAAAAATGCTAGAATAAACTAGGGAAAACTCTTCTGGCCATTGGCCTAGGCAAAGAATTCATGACTAAGACTTCAAAAGCACAAGCAACAGAAATAAAAATGGACAAATGGGACTTAATTAAACTAAAAAGCCTCTGCATAGCAACAGAAATAATAAACAGAATGAATAGACAATCTGAAGAATAGGAGACTGTAATTGAAAACCATGCATCCCTCAAAGGACTAATATCCAGACTCAACAAGGAATTCAAACAACACAACTACAAATAATAAATAACCCTATTAAAATTGGGGCAAAGGACATGAGTAAACATTTTCCAAAAGAAGACACACAAATGACCAATAAGAACATGAAAAAATGCTCAACATCACTAATCATCAGAAAAATGCAAATTAAAACAATGAGATCATCTAACACCAGTCAGAATGGCTATTATTAAGTAGTCAAAAATAGATGTTGGCAAGGGTATGGAGAAAAGGGAACACTTATATACTGTTGGTGAGAATGTAAATTAGTATAACCTCTATAGAAATCAGTATGGATATTTCTCAAAGAACTAGAAATAGAACTAAATTTGATATGGCAATTCCATTAGCAAGTTTCTACCCAAAGAAAAATAAATCATTATATCAAAAAAAACTTGCACTTGTATGTTTATTACAGCACTATTCATAATAGCAAAGATATGAAACCAACCTAAATGTTCATCAGTGGATGATTGGATAAATAAAATGTAGCATATATACACAATAGAATACCATTCAGCCAGGAAAAAAAAAGAATGAAATCATCTTTTGCAGCAACATGGATGGAACTGGAGGCCATTATATTAAGTTAAATAATTCAGAAAGCGAAAGTCAAATACCAACTTTTTCTTATAAGTGGGAGCTAAGTACCATGTACACATGGAAATAGAGTGTAGAAAAATAGACATTGGAGATTCAAAAGGGTTGGAAGGTGGAGGTTGGTGAGAAATGAGAAACAACTTAATGGGTACAATGTATATTTTTCAGGTGGTGGCTACACTAAGAGCCCAGACTTCACCAATGCAATATATCCAAGTAACAAAACTGCACTTGTACCTCTTAAATTTATACAAATACAAATAAAAAGAACATATTTTAAGAACACTGTTGAATCAGTGAAGACCGTTTGATTTAAAATACCAGAATAAAAATCTCCCTTCCTTGGTAAGCTGACAGTCACCAGATATTTTCTCCCCCAAAGACATTTGCCAATTCAGGGAATGAGTTGCAGATTGTTTGCAAAAATGGTCATGATAATGCACCCCATTCATGTACGCATGCCATTGGCAATGTGACATTGACACTTCTTCCATCAAGAGGTAGAATCTTTTTCTCCATCCCTTGAATAAGGGCTGGCTTTGTGAGTTGTTTTGAACAATATATTGTGACAGAACTGAAGTTGTGAGTTCTGGAGACTAAGACTCAAGAGGTCTTTTTTTCTTAGAACAAAGACCTGAGACTGAGATGTAACCATGTCTAGTCTATCCTACTAGATTATGATAAGCCAAATAAAGGAGAATGGAGATGTCCAAGTCTAGAATCAACACCATGTACCAAATATGGGAATGAGGCCCTCTTGGACCATCCAGTCCCAGAGATGGCCATAGCTGCATGAGGATCCCATGTGAGGCCAGTCAATAAGTCACCTAGCTGATTGGAGCCCAAATTGCTGACCCACAGAATTATGATCAAATAAATAATTGGGATAGGTTGTTAAATAGTAACAGATAACTGATAAAATTGTGTGTGACCTAGGCAGAGGGACTCTACTGGAAGAAAGAGTAACAAATGAGCTTTTGATGTCTGTGGAAGCTGGCATGATGGATTAGAATCTCAAAGATCCCTAAATATATTCCCATGTTTCCTTATGGGAACTTTTGGAGAGATGGGTGAAACAGGAAGGTCGGGTGTGGCTAAGCCAGTCACTACCAAGAAGCAGAAAGGAAATTCTCACAATTGTCCAGTGCTTAGAAAATAAAGTCTTGCCAGTGGGAGAGAGTTTGTGTCAAACACATGTACAGTATCATACTCAAGATTTTGAAGCTACATAATGTGGAAGGACACAAATTTAAACTTCTGAAAGTCCAAATCTACATTAAGCTTCTGCAAGAAAAACTGCATCTTTCATATGCTTCATGTCTGAGGTCACAGAGGACTGCCAGGCTCTTCATCAAAAACCCAGAGGCCCCATGCTCAATAAAACAGATAAATCAGAAGTAAACTGAGGCTCAATAAAGGGCAACTTAGTTCAATCTTTGCTTAGATTGAGCCTATCAGTCCCTCACAATTTCTACCTAACAAAACAAAGGGCAAAACCTCCCTGGGAAAAATAATATCAACTGTAACACTGTAATTATTTTCTACACACTGTCTAACATGAAATAAAGAATATCAAGACTTGCAAAGAGTCAGAACAACAGGACCAATAATAAAGAGGATATAGCAGAGAACAGAGGCAGACCAACAGGTAATCCAGATATTGAAGTTAGTAAATGACAATTTTAAAATAACTATTTTAAATAAAACATTCTGTAAAATGGACAAAAAGTTGGAAATTTTCCAAAAGAGAATTGAAATTTATAAAAATAATTAACAGAAAAATCTGGGATAATAAAACATAATATCTACCATTAAGAATTTACAGAATGTGCATAACCGTAAACTGGGCACAGCAAAAGGTACCACAGGACAACAGAAAATATCTAATCAGAAACACAAAGAAAAAAGAATAGAAATAATAAAATGCATTTATAATAAACATATGGGAGGCACATTGTCTAAATCTGGGTAACTGGAGAGCCAGAAGGAAAAAAAGAGGAGAGAAATTAGGTAACATTTAAAGATAATGGCTGAAAATTGGCAGGGCGCGGTGGCTCATGCCTGTAATCCCCACACTTTGGGAGGCTGAAGAGGGGGTGGATCACCTGAGGTCAGGAGTTCAAGACTAGCCTGGACAACATGGCGAAACACCTTTTCTACTAAAAATACAAAAAATAGCCAGGCATGGTGATGGGTGCCTGTAATCCCAGCTACTCAGGAGGCTGAGGCAGAAGAATCGCTCGAACCCTGGAGTCGGAGGTTGCAGTGAGTTGAGATCTTGCCCTTGCACTCCAGCCTTGGCAACAGAGTGAGACTCCATCTCAGAAAAAAAAAAAAAAAAAAAGGCTGAAAATCTTACAAAAACTAATGAATGATGTGAGTCCACAGATTAAAGATGCTTTGCAAAACCTTTGCAGGATATTACAAAGAAAACCACACATAGGCACATAATAATCAAACTGCTAAAAACCAAAGATAAGAGGAAAATGTATATGCAGGTGGAGAAAGATTATGTATTTATTTCAGAGAAACAATAAGAATGATGATTGACTTCTCAACAGAATTGCAGAAAGCCAGAAGACAACAGAATGCCATCTTTAAACTACAAAAGAAAAAACGAATTTGTAAAACATAATCAAGTGACCCTTTTAAAACTGGAAAAAAATGAGTATCTAAAATTAGAAACTAGTTTAAAAA
The DNA here is from genome assembly GCF_000001405.40 of Homo sapiens. Taxonomy (NCBI): domain Eukaryota; kingdom Metazoa; phylum Chordata; class Mammalia; order Primates; family Hominidae; genus Homo; species Homo sapiens. The sequence goes on along the minus strand of NC_000007.14, from coordinate 122,934,660 downwards.
TTTCACAGCAGACTAGACACAATATAAATTATTATTAGTCAATCTGAAAATTGAACAAAAAAACCCCATATAACCTAAAGCACAAATAAATAACATAATGGAAAACACAGAAAAGTGTACAAGAAGCATTGGGAAACAGTTAAAGGCATAAGATATGTATAATCAAATTTCCTGTAGGAATGGAGATGGAAAAAGAGACAGAAACAGTATTTGTAGATCTAATAAGAATTCCCCAAAATAGACAAAAGAAAGTAACTCACAGATTCAAAAATCTCTGAAAGATTCAAGCAGAATAAATACAAAGAAGAATTCATTTAGGCATGACAGAAAAAGAAAAAAGAAAAAGAGAAAATTTGAAAAGCATCTACAAGGAAAAGGCACACTACATTTACAAATATCACAATATGGTGGCAAGTGCCTATAGTCCCAGCTATTCTAGAGGTTGAGGTTGGAAGATTGCTTTTATCTAGGAGGTTGAAGCTACAGTGGGCCATGATTGCACCACTGCACTCCAGCCTGGGTAACAGAACAAGACCCTGTCTCAAAAACAAAACAAAACAAAACAAAAAAAGTATAACAGTAAGACTGACAATATATTCTTATCAGAAAGACAGAAGCCAAATTACAATGGAACATAATCTTTAAAGCTTGGGGAATAGAAGAGGATGGCCAAAGTAGAATTCTATATGCAGCAAAAATACTTTTCAAAGATTAAAACAAAATAATCCAGACTTCATTACGAACCTACAATAAAAGAAATAGTTATTTAGATAGAAGAAATATTATTCTAGAGAGAAAAAAACTAGAGGAAGGCATAAAGGATAACACTAGTGGAAATTGGGGGACAGGGCATAAATAGAAATTAGTCCTTTGCAAAACAATATTAGTAATGTCACTGGGGTTTTAAATACGTGTAGAATTTAAATTTATGTCAACAATGATTCTAAAAGCATCATTATAAAAATTATCAATATTAGAAATAAAAGAGCCCTACCAGAACCAAAAACATAAAAGAATGTTAGAAAAATTTTACATTAATGAATTTGACAACTTAGAAGCAATTAACAAATTCCTTGGAAAATACAATACACCAAAATCAGGACAAGGAAAAATACAAATAAATACTCCTAAATCTGCTGAAGAAATTAATCAATTATTTTTTAAAGAACAAAGAAAATTATTTTGCCCAAAAGCTTCACTAGTGAAAATTTTCAAATATTTAGGGAAGAAAATACCAATGTTAGAGAATTAGAGAAGTGGATATTTCCCATTTTATTTTAAACAAACATGAATATTACAAGAAAGAGAAATTACAGTTCACCATCTGTTGTAAATATATACATGTATGCAAAGATTCTTTTAAATTTTATCAAATTAAGTATAGCGGCATATTAAAAGGATAATGAATGCATTATTACTAACTAGGGTTTATCTCCAGAATGCAGGGTTGCATAGTCATGCAAAATCAATCAGTATAATTTTCTATATTAACAGACTAAAGGAGAAAAAGACATATGATTGTAATAAATGTGAGAAAAAGTGTTTGGTGAAATTCAACACCTACTCATGATTTTAAAATAATTATTAGCATACTGGGACCAGAAAGGAACATGCTTGCTCTTACACTGTTGTTGATGAAAAATCCATAGCTAACATACTAAATAATGAACGAGTAAATGTTTTCACCCTGAAGTCAGGAACAAAACTCTCACGATTTCTATTCAACATTGTATTAGATGCCCTACCATGTGTAATAAAGCAAGAAAAAGAAATAATGGGTAAAAAGATTAGAAAGAAGTAAGCAAACTGTTTAGTTGCAAATAACATGGATGTGTACATATTTTGAAATCCAGAAAAGTATACCAGAAAACTAAAATCAATAAATGGGTTTGTCCATGGTGCAGGATTAACAAGGTTAATATAAAATATCAATTGTTTTTCTGTATGCAGGCAATGAATAATTGCACTGGAGGGGTGGAAATGGCCTGAGGTCCTGCCTTCAGAACCCCTAGTGGTGCAGAAGGGGCCCTGGCCATGGTGGGCAGGGGCAGGGTGATGCCCAGGCTCCTGATGGATTGCTTAGGTGAGAGTGACTTTGGCTATGCTGCAGTCTTCCTGCTTGGTGGACAGGGTTGCTGCCAGTAGCTGGGGTTTCAGCCACGTGGCAGCAGCAGCCTGAAGCCATGGCAGATGTGGGTGAGGTAGGCTTTCCTTAGGGCACCCTGAAAATGCACAGCCACCCTGCTGCTGGGGGGACAGGGGTCACTGCCATTGGCTCTGGCTTTGGCCCTGGGAATAGCAGCCAGCAGGGACAGTGGCTACTAGTAGCTCTACTGAGTGACAGTGGCTCTACTGAGGATGTCAGTGGGGCTCCAGGAATGTGGAGGTACAGGGGCTGTTGAACCTCAGGGGAGGATGCAGTTTGGTGGGGACTGGACTTTCAAAATGGTGCTGTGCTAACTGGGAGTTAGGGAGATACTCAGTGTGATCTCCCTCTCTGGAGCAATGCCCCTGTGCTGTTTTCAGGCAACTCCCTAAATCAGTCTCAGGGGCCCAGAGGATGGAGGGGCTTTCTTGCATCTAGCAATGCAGGAGTCCACCCTGGGAATCTGGACCCCTGGAAGATCTCTCACTTACCTTTTTTCCACAGTGGGGACCATCTCTGGGCTCCCAGCCAATCCTGGCCCAGAAAGCTACCTCATTTCCCTCTCCTTCCTTGCTTCAGGTGTTTTCTGTCACTTCTCTGTTAAATTCCAGTGTTCTCTTTTAGATGATCTATTAGACGTATGCTTATGTACTCACTATTTGGGTTCTTCTTTGTGGAGGAAGAAAATGACAGCTGGCCCTCTAGTCAGCCATCTTGAGGTCTCTGGATTTGTGTTGCTATGTTTTATTGTTTTATTAATTAATATTTTTGATTCATGGTTAGTTGACTCCACAGATTTGGAACTCACAAATACAGATAGCCAATTGTGCTTTAAATACCATCTGCATTTCTCCAAATAAGTCAAAAAGACCATAGTTGGTGTTTATTATTTCTTTCCTTCATTATCTATTCAATGTTGCCTTTGCCCTTAGCCACCAACTCAGCTGATCAAGATTTTTTTGACAGGCAAGGAGAACCAAATTTTATTCCTTAATGAAGTGAACCCTTGATGACCCTGCCTGAATGGATTTGCTTTAGTATGCCATTAACTCTAGTGAACATGATAGTACCAGAGAGCACTAGTGGATCACCAGGTTTCAGCTATACTCATCTCAGCCCTTACTGTTTATTTTGCTATTATATACTCTGAAAATGCCTTCTGCTGCTTTTTATAACCTTGAGAAGGAACCAAAAATACATATATGAACACAAAATTGTCTTTAGACAACATAAATAATATGACTTCCCTATCGATACATTGCTATTTTTCAAAAATGTGTAGATGCACTTCTGATTAATAACATGCAGTTTTGTTCTCACATGTAAGTAGGCTAAATACTAGGTATGTGAAATAATAGACATTGTAGACTCCAAAAAGTGGGAAGATAAGAGTGGGGTGAGGGATGAAAAATTATCTATTGGGTACAGCGTACACTATCTGCGTGATGAGTACACTAACAGTCCAGACTTCGTTACTGTGCAATATACCCATGTAACAAAAATGCACTTGTATCCCCTAAATCTACAAAAATAAAAAAGTTTAAAGCAGTTTATTTTATTATTTCACTCACTTAACAGTGATTTATTAAGTGCACACATGTGAAATGTGCTATGGTGTTCCAGCAGTATATGTACACAAGACTTTTCCTGATCCAGCCTAGGAACCCTTTTCAACAGTTTGTTGTTTTCAAATGTGCCATTATTGTCTAAGTTCACATCTCCCACCATGAGGTAAAAGTAGCAACTCTTTATTATTCACACGGCCATGTCTCTTTAGAATTCATTATATTGAAACAATATAGATTTTCATGCCTCTGCAATCTCCTAATACCTCTTATTAGGGATTGTTATATGATTACCTATGACACTGTGTTATTCATTTAGCTATCCCTGAATACAGGCTCCCAATAATTTTCTTAAATATTGTTATTGTGGTTCACTGATAATGACCACAAATGCAGGTTTTAACAACAGCATGTGGGGAAATATGAACAATAATTTGCTTTCTGATCATGTTAAATTTACTATACAGGATTTTATAGTTGTATGTTTATATAAACATATAACCACATATCTTACAACAATTTCTTCTTTTGAACTCATTAAGCTGTAATTGCTGTATTCCTAGAAAACTTTATCTTTTGATACCTCATTTTTACCTTTCATAAATCAACAGTGGGGAAAGATACGTAAAGGGACCTTGGGCAGAGTGAGAAGAATGTTCCTATCTTCACAAGGACTGCCCATCTTTCATCTCACATGGCCTAAGATTAATCCCCATGAGTACGACCTCACCACATTGATCAGGGGCAAAAAAGACATCAGCTGAAGGGACCTGTGGAAGTTCCAAAGAAATAGCCTTGGAAGACCTCAGGGGAGACAGATGTAGCCACCTGCAGAGGACTGCCTAACACATGGTACAGAGCCCTAAGGAGGAATTGGGTGACTTCCCTGAGTGCCAGTGGCAGGGGTGGGGGTAGCGGAAGGGAGGGTACATAAAGAATGCCTACCATCACTCTTACTACCCTTAGGTGCAATAAACCAGAGACAGTACCACATCAGCGCACAAACAGGTGAGAGGCAACACATGGGCACAGACATGCAGCTCAAGAAACAGCAGTAGACTGTCAGTAGCCCAGACCCCTGCACTTGTTCTCTGTCCAAAATGAAGCCCAAATCAGCACATGAGCACTATTCTGTCATCAATCTAATCTTAAGGGGTCTCATGAAAGAAACACTGCATCAGGTGGTAAGAATGACTTGCTCACAAAGGCACCTTCTTGTAGCCAGCACCTGGCTATAGGACCATAGCGTGAATTTGGAGCTTCTCGGAGCATCTGGTAGATGTGGGGCAGAGGATTGTGAAGGATACCAAAGAGAAACAGGAAATGGAGCACAAAAATCCCTATGCAGACTCGGAGCATACCACCCAGATAGCACTACAAGCTCCGGCTAATTACAGACAACACAGGGGCACTTAGAAAATGTCAAGAAAGGCCGGGTGCAGTGGCTCACACCTGTAATCCCAGCACTTTGGGAGGTCGAGGTGGGCGGATCACGAGGTCAGGAGATCGAGACCGTCCTGGCTGACACGGTGAAACCCCGTCTCTACTAAAAATACAAAAAATTAGCCGGGGGTGGTGGCGGGCGCCTGTAGTCTCAGCTACTCGAGAGGCTGAGGCAGGAGAATGGCGTGAACCTGGGAGGCGGAGCTTGCAGTGAACTGAGATCGCACCAAGGCAGTCCAGCCTGGGCAAAAGACCGAGACTCCGTCTCAAAAAAATAAATAAATAAAATAAAAAATAAAGATAATGCCAAGAAAGGCAGTCCAAAATGTGGCCTCCTGAGATGAAAGGCCCAGCACAGGGGCCCTGCTTGCCTAGATCTAGAAGAAGCATGCTCCTGGAGTCCTGTGATCCAAACTTTGGTCTTTATCAGAAGCCAGCAACAAGTGAGAAGCTTTTTCTTAAAACAAAGATATTTTCTTTCCAAAGACAACATAAAATATGCTGTTTGTTTTACAGCAAAATAGTTGTAAAAAGGTAGAGGCTTGTGCATTATTTTCTTATGCCATAGGTTTCATAAGTTTACCAAAGTCAGTTTAAATGCCAGTGCATCTGCTGGGTCATGTGTGTTGAGAGAGAGTAATTTGCACTCCATTTTCAACCAGCTAAAGAGACTTTTTGCTCCACATCCCACTCAAAGCAGAAGTCTTATGGGATATCTGCTAAAGATGTTAGAGTAACTTACTCAAATAAGATACCAATGGTTTCCAAACCTCAAAGAGGTTCACTAAGCATTGCGACTCTGGGCCTCTTTCTTAACAGTAAGGAGAGCAAATTACAGCAACTTTTAACTTTGGAGGGGCTATTTCAACTTATTTTAGATTACTGGACACCAGGAACTTCATTGAGGTGGCAGGCTACTGTACTTTTACAGGCTTTGTTTCCTATTCCCTGCATGCAAGTGTGTATCCATGATATCTGAAAGACCTGATACCTGCTCTGATGATGTCAGCAATATAGTAGCCTAGTATGCTCTCTTGTAGGATGATGAGATGATTGAGGTTCTTGTGGATTAAACTGTAGCTTAAATCAAGGGAGTCAATATTGTTTTTATGTAGGATAACAATGTTATGTTGCTATCCTTGCTAGATAAAAGCAAACTGCCTTTGATATTCTCTCTTTGTTGGACATAGAGAGCAACTGCTGCCAGCTAAATTGCTTCACAGTAGGCTTTGTTGATGTGGTCACATAAAGAGAATATATCTACAACATCAGCTGTATTTGAAGTCATCACCTGATGAAATTTACAACCATATTCTACCATTCTCTAAGACTTTGCTGTTTTCTAAACAAACCAAATAGGGAAATTGAATGGAGATATGATAGGAATCACCATCCCTGCATATTTCAACTTTTAGATGGTAGAACTAATCTTTGCAGTTCTCCTAGAATGAGTTTGATTTTGGATTCAAATTTTGCTAAGGGGAAGGAGTTCCAGAGGCTTCTATTTGGCCCTTCCTCTAATAGTCATAATAGTCATGACTTCATGTCATGACTAGGCAGCCAACACAGCAATTCTACCAGGTGTTAAGTATATCTATTTGAAATACACACACATACATACATACACACATGGAAGCACTTAGAAAAAAAATACAGGATATTTTCGGGAACCACTGGGCCCACGGTGAGACAGTCTTGAACCAAAATTCCTTTTATCACCCTGTAGCCTGGTTGAGAAAGACATTCTGGGTCCCCAAGAATTGGAACTGGCTCATTGTTAGTATCTAATAACCTCTCCCAACAAAGTTTATGTGTTTCTCTTTCCCAATGCATACATTTTTTTTTTCTTTTAGTAAATGTTATTGATTCCTTTGGAGTGGGCTGGGGGAATTTTCTGGTACATGTTTACAATGTTATTTTGCCTATCCTTCAGTTAATGTGTTTTAGGTCTATGAAACGCTTTAAGTCTGTGAACTACCTTGAATCTAGTAATAAAATGAGGGACAAGGCTGGGACTGGGGTGAGGCAAGTGACGTGCCTAGAGCACAAAATTTCACTCTGGTTCGTGCAAGTGCTGTTACTGCATCAAACCTTGTATCTTAAATGATTTTCTTGCGTCATCCTATTACCAGCTTTTCAAGGGAGAATGGTTGCTGTGGTCTGAATGTGTCCGTGAAAAATTCACATGTTGAAATCCTAACCACCAAGGTGATGGTTTTACAATATGGGGTATTTAGGAGGTGATTAGGCTATAAGGGCAGAGCCCTTATGAATGAAATTACTTTCCTTATAATAAGGCCTCAGCAAGACCCTCACCCTTTTCGCTATGTGAAGACACAGCAACAAAATACCATTTATCAACTAGAAAACGGGCCCTCACCAGGCACAAATCTGCCAGTGCCATATTCTTAGACTTTCCACCCTTCAGAACTGTAAGAAACAAATTGTTCTTGTTTATAAGCCACCTAGTCTATTATATTTTGTTATAGCAGCCTAAATGGACTAAGACGATGATTCTTTTGTTATTTTTTAATTCAAGTCTTTTTTTTGACAGACCTAGAGTGTTATTTTTGTTGTTATATAGTTCAAATGAAATGTTAATAGATTGCCCATATGGTTTAGTCTTAAAGATCTCATCATCAATTAACCCTATGTGTCAGATAATGTTGATTATCTTCACAACTATTGTCTTAGATTGGACAAATGCCAGGTCATTTTCAGGTATGATCCTATAACCTTCACAGAAGAGACATGCTGAGGCTATAAATTCAAATCAAATTACAGGCCAGGTGTGGTACCTCATGCCTGTGATCCCAGCACTTTGGGAGGCCGAGGTGGGCATATCACTTCAGGTCAGGAGTTAGAGACCAGTCTGGCCAAAATGGTGAAACGCTCTATTAAAAAAAAAAAAAAAAAAAAGTTGGCAGATATGCTCACTTGTACCCAAGAGTTGGAGGTTGCAGTGAGCTGAGATCGTGCCACTGCACTCCAGCCTGGGCGATAGAGCAAGACTCCATCTTAAAAAAAAAAAAAAAAAAAAAGAAATTACAATCTTAATAGGTTTTAGGATCTGATTTTTCTGCTATACCAATTAAATTAGAAGAAATCCTTTTAGAGCAGTCATAGAAAAATCCCTGATACTTTGACCAAACCTTAAACAAAAACTCAACATGTGACTTTGTTGTTTTCTTTTTTTCCTTTTATTTCTCCACTACAGTTAGAAGCAGCCTTACATTCTTTCCACCCTTTATAATAGTCAATGGGCACAGACTCTTCTGTCTGCAATCTTACCTTCAGTAGGCACTTTTCTGTTGAGCACAGATAGTACTATAAGTAACTTTTCATAACAGAAGGTCATGAAGTTCTGGAGCCTCTTCATGGTCACTGGGTCCTCATTACCCTAAAATTTAAGCAAGTAAGATAAACAGTCTCAACTTCACTTCCTTGAGGGTCCATTTCTTGCAGTCACTTCTGGTACCAGTAAATGTGTCAGTCAGGGCCCTCAGTCATAAACAACACAATCTACTATCATGAGTCTAAGCAAAAAATGAATTTATCGAAAGACGTAAGCTAATTCACAGACTCTCTGGAAGGGCCAGGGAGCCACACCCTGAAATCACACAGCTAGAAACAAATGCCCATTCATGCTGTGCAGGCTGCTCTAGTCTTGGTACATGTGAAGCTCAGGAAGCGATGCTCAAAGCTCCCCCAGTACCACACCATAGAATAAAACATAATTCCCCTACATCTGGCCATTTCCTCACATTATCCACATATATACATCTAATTGCAGAATCTAGTCAAAATCAACACCTTTTTGCAAGGGAGTCTAAGATTAAGAGCTTTCTGTTTTCTATCTTGGGAAAACACAACTCATGATAGATGGAAGTATCAGAATGGAAGGAGAGTATTTTAAGAAGTTGGGCAATCATTGCTTTTTAAGGCTACTATACACTATAGCCCAAGGAAAGCTGCCTTTCACCTCCTTAGTCTGAGAAAAAGCCCACACTTAAAGGCTTATTCTGAAACTAACTCTCGTTTCAGTAGTGAAAATATGCTAAATATCCTATTTATCATTGAATTATTTTGGAAATGGCGTTGTTAACCTTGTTTGCTTTTTAGATACATGTATAAAGTAGGAGAGAAGCTGGCATATAAGGGCAAAAGTTTTATACATATATAATGAATAGCATAAAATAAGTACATATTTATTTGGAGAGATTTAGGTCTCAGTCATTTTCTGATTTAAGCTTAAAATTCCCAGTTTAAGTGTACAAATGATATTCAACCTGTGTTGTTTCCCTAATTAACTAAGAACTTTTGTACATGTTTAAGCCATTATTATTAAAAAGTGTTGGCAAAATGGTCAAGATTATAATATTGCTGAATTATATAAAAGTCCTTTTCAGGTTGAGCTAACATTTTACTTTAGCACAAAAAAGAGATATTTTAGAACACGTAAAATAATATTTTTAGTTTTTCTCGTTTTGTTACCAAATTTCAAACCTTACATGGAGGTTATTATAGTATATTTGACACCCTATATTCCTGTGATTAGAGATGTGTATATATATATATATATATGGGCTAGGCATGCTATGTGTCTGAGCTTTGTCTAAATGTTATACAGAAGTTTGTAGGGTTAAAGATACATAGGTTTAATTCATGCAAGATAAACAATAAGTGCTCTCTTTTATACAATATGCACTGCATCTGGACCTTAAACATATAAAAATGGTCAGTGAAACTTCTGTGAACATGAAGAAATTATTTTAAAAGGCATTTAAATGAAAAAAAGAAGTTGGGCAATCATAACTAACAACTGTCTAGTAGTTTCAGAAGCTAATGATAAAGTAACAGTTCATCCCAACATTATGCACACTTTTTTTATTTTCCAGAGGATATTTCAAACTCTTTTTTGAAGCTAGTTTATCTATCTATCTATCTATCTATCTATCTATCTATCTATCTATCTACCTACCTACCTACCTACCTCTGTACATATCTTGTGTACTTCTTAAAAGCAGAAAATATATTTTTCCCTTTTGTGTCTAACATAGTTCCAACAATCACACCTGGCCCATAATAGATTGTCAACACCTGTTTGCAGAAAGAATGAGTGGATGGAACTATGTCAGATTTATCAGACTCATGGCATAAAAGCCATTCTAAAGCATGGGGATTATTTTTTGTTCCAAATTATGCCATTTTCTGTACCTCCAATTATCCCCATTACAGTCCTCTGCATTTTTTGGGAAAATTACTTAAAACTGTAAGAGATTTTACCACATTATTGCTTATAATAAAGAAACATTAGAGACAACCTAGATGTCCAATAATAATGGACCAGTTTAATATGGTTATGTATATTATCTTAAATAACTGACTACCCTCTAGTTATTAAAAATTGTCACAGTGTACATCTCCTATTTTAACTGCCAAGAATTTATTCTTCTTTCATTTAACAGTAGCATCCAAATTTTTCTTTGGGATATATCCCTGCCAACATTGGACATAACCTTGAGGGTGACCACCTTCTCTTGGACCAATGGTAAGCATGTGAGCCAGGCTTGGACAGATGTTCTGGGCATACAATTTGAAAGGCAAGAGCTCTAAAGTTGAAATTTATTCACCCTATCTTGAATAAATTATGCATTGCATTCTTCTCTCTCAGTTCATGAAGCAAGATGATTCCTTAAAACTCTTCTTTATATTTCCTTAAATTTTGCAACTTTCCCTGCATTGTGCACATAAGTTATTTTTCTGTTTAAGATAACTAGAGCTGGTCTTTTGCAAACAAAAACCCTAAATGATAAAATTGGGTTTTAGAAGAATGTTTTGTTGACCTGGAGAAAGAGTTACAACAAATTACTCCATGAAAAAAGTAACTTGCAAAGCCATGTAATATGTTCAATACAAATTATACATGAATACTTGTATATAGAAAACATTATAAATGCATATATTAAAATTAGTTTTTCTAGGAGATGGTGTTATCAATTTTTATTGCCTTGTCTTTGTTAATTCTTCTTTTTCAAATATTTTAGAATACCTATATATTACTTTGTCATTCAGAAACATATTTCAAAACAGAAAAACTTTCATTCTTGATTTTAAATGTCAATTACTTTATTAAAAAACTTATGAAGAATGCTAAATTAATTTAAGAACCAAAGGAAAGAATAAATCTGAGTTTGTTTACCCAAATAAGAACCTGAAGCTTCAACATAGAGAGACAAGTTGACCATAGCCAGTGTACTTGGTTTGTGACTTAGGCAGGCGTCAGGGTAAGTGGGGAAGGTGACTAGATCTTTTGGAGGATTTAATTCTGTTGTTAACTTTGGCCATGGCTGATGAACAAGAATATTCCTCACAATGGCCCCCTAAATCCTTTCTATCTCTTCAACTCTTATAGTTTCTCCTTTTTGTATTGCTTCATTACAACTTGTAATAAACCCAATTCAAATCTCCTTAAGCAAAAAAAAAAAGAAAAGATTTATAAACTTCAGTAATAAAAAAGTTCAAGGATAGAAGTAACTTCATACATGGCATTCAAATAATATCTTCAGGAGTCAATCTCCCGATATTAATTCTGTTTTCCTCTGTGTTTCTGTGTTGGCTTAAAATTTATAAAGGCTCTCTTGGTGATGCCCCCAAAGCTCCAAATCTATGTCTTTTCTGATTAAGTGTAACATAAAAGATATTTTTGTTTTCAACAACACAAAGTCCCAAACTGAGTCTTCTGGGACAATGAGTCATGTGCCCATCTATGAACAAATCACTGTTGACCAAGGGATTCTGATTGGCCAGGCCAGACTTACCCACCCATGGGGCCAGAAGGGCATCAGTCTATCCCATCATGTGGAATAAAAGCAGGGGTGGAATGGATGCCCAAGGGCAACATTAGTTCTGTTACCAGAAGGGTAATCCATTTGAAGCAGGCAAAACTAGCAAATATTTACCTCACCATTTATTTTTAAAATATATTCAAGTATGAAAAGATGAGAGTGAGGATTGAAGTTTTGAAACTTGACAGTTCTTTTCTCTTTGAAGCTCTGTGTACAAAGAAAATGACCACCATGAAAAAATGGAATGTCAGGAAATCTGAGCTTTGCTCTTAGCAATATCAAAACAAAATTATTTAATCTCTCTCAGCATCAGTTTTATCATTTGAAAACTGTGGGAGGGAGGGAAGGGAGTGAGAGAACTGAATAAGATGCGCTCTAAAGGCCTCTTGTAACTGAGTTGCTTGGCTTTAAAACGCATTTTAAAACTTTTTTGTCTTCTCTCTCATATTAGCCTTGAAATATACTTTGAAACTCTTTGTGTCCCTTCTTTCCCACCAGGAACTCCCTTGTACTGCACTTGCTTATCTAATTATGTGCTTGCTTAAAAATTCCGGGTGCTAATCTTAAAATAAAACAGGCATGGAGACTCAGCTATGCAATTCTTCCCATCTAGAGATTGCCTCAAGGCCGTTAATCTACGACCAGCCTTTGTCAACATGGTGTCAGCACACACTCCAGGTGGACAATAACTCAAGACAGCCATTGGAACAAGACACACAGATGCTGCACTCTGCCCCACTCCTGCATGTTTCTCACACCAGTTTTCCCTTTTTAAACCCCTTCATTCAGCCTAAACTTTTGAGATGGTTCTTTTGAGGCCTGCGCCTAGCCATCTCCCAAGTGCTAGTATCTGAATAGAATTGTTTTCCTTTCATTGCACCTCAATTCTCCTATTTTGACTTTTGAACAGTGAGCAGCCAGACCTGAGTTCAGTTACACCATCAGTACCAAAATTCTATCTTTCTTGTTCTTTTAAGATTCTTGATTAGATAAAATCTTTGTTTTTTTTCCCCTTTAAGAAAGTGTTATTTCTAATACATCATGCCTTTTTTAAAAAAATATATACCATGGGAATCAGGTTATTGCTTGATGATCAGGTTTTGAGTAAAAACAAAACTGTAATATCCGATGACAAATATGTAAGGAACATTTTTCTAAAAGCATGAATACATATTTTGATGGGATTGTTTTTTAGACCTGACAGACTAACACATGACTTGGATGCTTTTGCAGGAAAAGGATAATGTGTTAGCAACAAATTAGAGCTCATTATGAAAACATGGTGCACTAATACCAGGTACAGAAATTATGCCATCAGAGTCCAAAGAGTACCCAGCAAATCATAATTTTCATTTTTCAGTGCTCTCTAAAGAGGATGCTATAGAACCTTTGATAGGAAAATTATAAGAGCTATCCTTTATTGAACATCTGCTATGTGTCAGCTGTTTTGTGTGTTCTTCTTAACACTCTATTATAAACCATGTTATGGTATTATGTATAGTGACTATAAGGTAAAATACACATATGAGAAAATTAAGGCTCAAAGAGATTAATAACTTACCCAAGCTCACAAATCTGGTAATTAGCAGAGATGGATCTGTTCTCAGGTCTGTTGCATCTTATGAGTGTGTTGTTGTTTTCACTTTGAGACCATTCCTTTTTGTAATCTCCAAAGAGAGAGTGCCTCACAATTTTGCCTTGTATTTGGAAAATTGTTCCCTAGAAATATCTTTGGCACATTTGAATTTCAGGCAAAAGTATACCAATTGATGGACAGTCTATAATAATGCAGGAGTCATCACAGGTTTTTTATAAATTGCTATTATCTGGCAGAGAATACAAAACTTTGACCTTAAAATGAGTGAACTGCTCACAAGTGGGAGTTGAACAATGAGAACACATGGACACAGGGAGGGGAACATCACACACTGGGGCCTGGTGGGAGGTGGGGGTCTAGGGGAGGGATAACACTAGGAGAAATACCTAATGTAGGTGATGGGTTGATGGGTGCAACAAACCACCATGGCATGTGTATACCTATGTAACAAACCTGCATGTTCTGCACATGTAACCCAGACCTTAAAGTATAATAAGAATAAAAAAGAGTGAATTGGCTCTTATTTCTAAACCCAGACATGCAGTTAGTAGTGATCTTGCAGAAACTGTGTTACTAGAATGTCTTGCAGAAACATTACATTTGGTTACTAATATAGGATCTGTTTAAACATAGCAGTATTAATTTCTCTTTGTTTTTCATGTTATCCACGGCAAAAAAATAAAAATAAAAATAAAACAAAAAAAAACAACAAAAAACAAAAAACCAAAACACCTTATTTGAAGGAACATGCCTCTGGAGCAAGAAGCACAAACTTAACTTAGCAGCTGAAAGTTTCTTACTCTTAGGAATGGTGATTTTTTCTTATTAAATCAGTGGACATAGGTCAGCAGAGCTGCCTCCAATGGTAATTTTGGATGAATTGAGCCCTAAGGCAATTAAGGCAAAGGTTCCCTATCTGCATGTTAATCTGAGTGTCTCACAGTGCCAAAGGCAGTAGCAGAACCCACAGCAATGAACATGCTAATAAAGTAGCTAGATAGCCATACAGGGAAACAGAAGCTGAATAGGTCACTAGTCTTAGTTCAGCTGCAAGATTTCTTGCTATTCTAAATTTTCACAGCAAAGTATCATACAAGCTCAGGTAAATCTCAAGAGGTTAAATAATGATTCACAAGCCAATTGGAATGTTTCCATTTTAGATGTAGTCATTATTTTGGTAATGTCATTGATTGCTTAATTCTGCTAGTTTCTTTAACAGCAAAGGGAAATGGAAACCATTCCTGTAATTGCCAATATACAGCTTTACACAGAAACCAGTTGAACTGGAATGAAACCTATGCCAAGCTTTCAGTTAATGAGGTTTCTCAATCAATCCTCAATAGTTGCTGAGTGCCTGCTCTAGGGTACTCCAGGTAAACTGTGCCATTAGATTCTTTTTATGTAGTACTACATAAGAACTTGGAGGAAAAGGAAATGAGTTTGCCTTAAGAGACAAACTTTGAAAATCAATGTATAAAGCACCAGTAAGCAAATTTGCCTCAGACTGAATAGCTCCCCTGGCTAATGGTAATCTGATTGAATGAAACATATTAAAGGAAGAATGTGTTAATGGATGGAAAAGTGAGTTTGCTGGTGACGGGTGGGGTGTGGTTGTGAGAGACTGAAAAGCAAAGGTAGAAAGTAAAAATCCAAACATCTAGAAGGAAATCCAGCCAACTCAACTATGATGCAAATTCAGCATCGGAATATCCCAACTCTAAGGGCAAATACAAATTAAAAGTAAGAGGCTTAATTCTCCCTGTTAAGAGAGGAGACTACTCTCCCCTTCCCTTTTCTTCAAGCATTTACTTTTAAAAGCTTGTAAACTCTTTCTCTTCTTTTTAAAATATATGTGAATCCTTTCACAAATTTAATAAGCCTCTTGCCAGCCTAATGACCCAAAAATGTCTTTCTCAAGGACCTCAGAACCATCGTTTGAAATATAATCATCAAGGAACATAGCACCCTATCTCCCAGTTTCTGTAGGAGAATGGGAGCTAACATCAGTGGAAGCCTCATTCCAAGTTGCAAAATTATCTCCTGTCATAAATAAGTGAGAAATTGATTTTTCTTTTGAATAAAGCCAATAAGCTGACACAGAGTCACCCCAATTACCAAGTGAAATGAGGACAAACTAGGTGTGACAAATGGTGCTGTTAAGTTTTCCCACTGGAAACCTAGTTATTCTTCATCTTGAGAACATGTATGAAATGGACTGTATCTGTTGGCTATAGGAGGGTGAAATGTCTTTTTGCCTTTGCAGTCTCTTTAACAGATTGCCTGTGATTCACATCACATTGTGGTTTAATGCATTTTCAATAATAAAACTTTTATTTCTCTTTTCATCTTTGCAGTAACGTTTTCTGAATTGGGCAGAGGTTTTGTTTCCAATTATATTTCACCAACACAAGTTCCTTTGCTATGGTTCCATGTTTATTCCAAACTCCTGACGATAAATGATTTTTCCAAAAATGATTGTGTCCAATGCATTAAACAGGTGCAAAAATGTTGATTTGTACGATTATTCTTTTCACTGGACAATAACAAGCATTTGATTATACAGATCAGCCTCTATGAGTTTGATTATTATTAATCTATTCTTAAAGAAGAGTTTGTTCTTGATATGCTATCAAGTTTCTACGTTTGTAGGTCTGAGAACCAACCTCCAGTTTCTGATGAATTGCCAAGATTAATGCTATTCTGTGAGGAATAAACAGCCAACAGGCCTTCCCTAGTAAATTCAGACATGCACATTTTCATACAAAATTTCTTCAGAAACAAGAAGATATGAGATTGAAAAAATTGTCTCCCTATCAAGAATTGATAAATGTTCAAACAAATGTTGTCCAGGTGTTGCTCTTAGCTTTGGACTGAAAAAAGGTAAATATTGGTGAGCCTTCGAATTTCAATCTGGGACATCCAGCTGAATTCATCAAGGTAGAAACAGGTATTATACTAAGGAATAAAGAAAAAATAAACTCATTATTGTACAGTGTCCCCTTCCTAACATCTCAGACACAGGGATTGGTAGACAGCAAATGGAGGATACCACTTTATTTTGACATTAGCATTAGTGTCCACTGTCTCACGTGTACAGCAGTGTAGTGCTTTTGGTTTTGTTCTTTAACTCAACAATCTCACCATTGGCAGAATGTGATAATCTATAATTTATAGAGGTTTATGTTATGTATCTATGGAAATTCCTGAAAAGTATGCTTGAGTATCCAGACTCTTATGTAGCATTGAAAGAAAAAAGAAATATCAATTTTCTGAGACATTTCAAGATCCATTCATTATCTGGAGCTGACCTTTTAACTTGATCACATACTTGGGTCATTGCTCCTTCACTTGAAGCCCTAATGAAAAGCTCTTGATTCCTTTTATTCTATGCTCATTTTGTCATCTAGCCTCTTAAAATAGTAGCATGCCTTTTCCCAGAGTAACTTGACCGTAATATATCAGCTTTTCTCTGTTGACCAAAAAAAGCAAACTCTGTAAATATTTATAGAGGTTTATTCTGAGCTAAACCTGAGTGACCATGGCCCAAGGCACAGTCTCAAGAGGTCCTGAGAACATGTGCCCAAGGTGGTGGGGTTACAGCCTGGTTTTATACATTTTTTAGGGAGACATAAGACATCAATCAGTATATGTGAGGTATACATTTGTTTGGTTCAGAAAGGCAGGACAACTCAAAGGAGGCAGGTGCTTCTAGGCCATAGGTGGACCCAAAGATGTTCTGAATGGCAATTGATTGAAAATGTTAAGTTATTTTCTAAAGACCTGGAATCAATAAGAAAGGAGTGTCAGGGTTAAGATAAGGGGTATGGAGACCAATATTCTTGTGAAGTCTCATAGGTAGCACCCTTAGAGACAATAGATGGCAAATATTTCCTATTCATACCTTTAAAAGGTGCTAGATGCTAGACTCTCAGTTCTCTTCAAGATTGGGAGGGCCTGACGGGGAAGCATCTAGTTATGTTAATAGAGATCTTTACAGACGCAAATTTTCCCCCAGGGAAGATGACTTTGCAAGGCTATTTCAAAATATGGTCAAATAACATATTTTGGGGTAAAATATATTGATTTCCTTCATTTTCTGTCATGTGATGTTATGCCAGAGTAATGCTGGAAAGTAAGATATGCTATATAGGGATAAATAAAACCCATCTGATAAGTTTTTTTTTTTTTTGGAGATGGAGTCTTGCTTTGTCGCCCAGGCTGGAGTGCAGTGGCTCGATCTTGGCTCATTGCAACCTCCACCTCCCGGGTTCAAGCAGTTCTCCTGCCTCAGCCTCCCAAGTAGCTGGAATTACAGACATGTGCCACGATGCCCAGCTAATTGTTTTGTATTTCTTTTAGTAGAGACAGGGTTTCACCATGTTGGCCAGGCTGGTTTCGAACTCCTAACCTCAAGTGATCCACCCATCTCAGCCTCCCAAAGTGCTGGGATTACAGGTGTGAGCCACCACGCCTGGCCCATCTGATAAGATTTTATGGTTTATAGAGCGTGACTCCCTGGTCCCCTTAGGAATTTGGGCCAGAAAGAAAAAAGTTCAGAGTTTAGGCCTCATTTCTATACTGCATATAACCTAAACCTATGGATATAACCTCACCTAGGCACACCCAGGCTGGACACCTATATATTGCTTAAGATACAAAGCCACTAAAATTTATTTTCATTTGAAATTTGAGGTACTTAATTTAGATTCTGCAGTATCTTACCCTCTAGCTTTTCAATTACTGTGTTCTTTTTTTAACTAAGAAATCTTTTAGTTTGTGAATTCTTGGTTTTCCATTAGGTTACATTTTGGTTATGAAACATTTTGGTGGTGTGCCATGGACTAAATTGTATTCTCAAAATTATTATCCATTTGAACTTTATCCAGAAACTAAAAATATTAATGAATATAGTGGCTGGTTTCATTTTAGTCTCATCCCTAGTTTCCATGCTTTGTAAGAAAAAAGGGAGATGACTAGGCTAATAATCTCTAAGACTTACCCCAACTTCAGTCCCCAAATGCATAACATATATAATCATTGTCCATCATACTCAAAGATGAAAAACAACAAATATAGAGAAAACGGGCATTTGGCAATGGGAAGAATAGTCTATAGACTTTCTTCAATCTACCATATGTTTTTAAAATGGAAATTAGTTGGGCAGAGGGGAGAATGAATGAGAATGGAGAATGTTAAAAACTCACTCTGTAGTTTCAGATTTAATTAAACAGTGCTTCGGAACTTCACCATAATACCTGTCTTTCTATCCATCTATCTATTTCTATATATAATCACATGAAAATACATACGATATATATATGCACACATACACACACTCACATACACAGTATTTCTCCTTTCTTTTCTGAATTATCCATAATATTTTGTACCTTGCTTGTGATTGAGATCCGTATTTGAAGTTTCCTTCTTAGAGCTTTTTATAAATTCTTAATCTTTTCAAAAACTTGTTTTTAAAATGCTCTATTTTATCATATGTTGATACAGGAGTTAAGAAGAAATTACTGGCCGGGTGCAGTGGCTCACGCCTGTAATCCCAGCACTTTGAGATGCCGAGGCAGGCAGATCAGGAGGTCAAGGATCAAGACCATCCTGGCCAGCGTGGTGGAACACCATCTCTACTAAAAATACAAAAATTAGCTGGGTGTGTTGGTACGCGCCTGTAGTCCCAGCTACTCCGGAGGCTGAGGCAGGAGAATCTCTTGAATCCGGGAGGCAGAGGTTGCAGTGAGCCGAGATCGTGCTACCGCACTCTAACATGGAGACTCCGTCTCAAAAAAAAAAAAAAAAAGAAGAAATTACTTAAGCAGATAGTGAGGGTACAGCAGTCCTCAGTAAGGTTTTCCTTTTAATGAAAAGTAGCTCCAAATCATTTTCCTTTCTAACAATGAGCAGCCTATAAAATCGAGCTGCAGACATAGATGCTGGCAGTTGTGCCAATCATGTTCAAAACGGGAGCCCCATCTTCCCTTCTCATTATCAGCTACGTGTAGAGTCAGGAGCAGACAAGATGGCGCCAGTCAACGGGCGAGTTCATTTGCATAATAAGATTAAGATGGGGCAGCCAGTCTTCCCTCCCCCCGACCCCACCACCAGCCCCAGCTATATAAACGTCACACCTGTGGGCCCTACCAAATCAGACACCTCCTCTAGCCTGCTTATAAAATCTGGTGCTGCCCATGGCCTTTTCCCCTTTTTCAGACGTCCCTCTCTGGCAAGGAGCTGCTCTCCCCTCTCCTTTCCTCTATTAAACTTTCCGCTCCTTTAACCTACCCACGTGTGTCCCTGTTCTAAATTCTTTCTCTCAGCAAGACAAGGAACCCCAGGGTTTATACCCCAGACAACGTAGCCGCTTCAATGTTGCTTACTAAGGTGCCCTTTTGCTTCACTGTAAAAGGTCACAAATCTCATTAAATTTTTTTTAAGGTGTATCCCCGTCTCCACTTTCCAACAAACCCACCTGAATTTTAGTTACGCTTCAATTGTAAGAACTTTTAATAGTAGCCTTGTCTATTTTGTCTTACCCTTTTCAGTGCTAATCAAGCAAATTATACATAGAAAATGTAGCTATTACAATTAAAATATGATCTTCATACTATTACATCATAAGGATGGTGATTTATTCAAGAAGTATAATACAATTTGTGATTTAAGTAACTATAATTTAGCAGTTAAAATGTCATTTCATCTCATATTCTAAAGTGTTGGAATGCTGCATGTAATCATCAAAACAGGAAGAAAAATTGGGGGTTAAATTGAATTCTGATAAATAGTAAGGTTCACTGACATTCATTAATACCTAAGGTGCCATGGAAACTAAAAGATCAATTTTTTTTAATGTTATCTTAGTATACCTGGGGCTCAGTTGCAAATAATTAAAATAATTATGTCTGATTACTTAAGCTTGTTTCCGTGCTGGCTGAGTAATGTCAGAAGAAGTTAGTGAAATAAAGTGGAGTATGTTATGGTCTTTCTTAGGACCAGGGCAGGTGGTTGGTTATGTACAGCTCTAAGGGGATGCCGTTCATATTCACAGTTCTCCTGGACTTGTGTATTTATTACTGATAGAGACAGGAGACAGTCAAAGGTCCGTGGCGAAATTCCGCTTTCAAGCCTAAAACAGCCTGAAGGCTGAAAAACTGGACTGCTGGTCCTGGATGAAGCCCGCCCCCTTTCCTGACCGATTCTCTCTGAACAGTGCCCACCTGTTCGCTGGGAAGACGGGGTGGAGCTTCGGGAAGTTCGCGCCTTTTGCAGCGGGGAGGAGCCTGGCCTCTTCAGTTCCAGGGTGGTGACCTGCAATTCAATCGGTGAGGCGGGAAACCTCCTAGCAGGACTCTCTCTCTCTTTGCTGAGAATTATTTTTCCTTTTTTCCTTTCACCCAATAAATTCCGTTCCCCATACCCTTCAATGTGTCTGCGTGCCCAATTTTTCTGGTCGTGACACAGGAACCCAGATTTAGCTGAACTAAGGGGCAGGAATTCTGCAACATTACTATCATTGTCAGGGAGCCGTACGTGTACTTGAGGAAAAGGAGGCTTTCTCCTAATATGAACAAAAGCACTGTTCAGGCAACAGCAGGGCTAGACTCTGACTCCAGATACACATAGAAAGGCAGTAACACAACAAGCTGGAATCTCTACTTGACTACATTACAGCTTCAATTAAGCCTCTATTCCTTGTGAAAATATGTGGAAATTCAAATGTAATATTTCCTCAAGAAAACTAGTAACAATCAATAAGGATACCATATTCGGAAATAAAATAGTAAAAATCGCATAGCTTTTATAGTAAAAAAAAAAAAGTAGAAATCTAATGAATTTATTATGTGTTCTTCTCTGTTGCAGTCAATAGTTCTCATACATTGAATACCATGGCCAAGAACTTTGAACATTATAATATTAAATGGAATACAATTAGGCAAAATACTAAAAAATTTTTAATGAGTTATATATTCAAAAAGTAATATAAGAAATAAGGTGAAAAAAGTACAGCTCGAAAAATAATACTATGTTGAAATAAGAATATTACAGAGAAAGAATTGTCTATTAAGTGCTTTTAAAAAGAATTATATAACAAATAGCAAGAACTCAATATCTTAATAAAAAGCTATGAGGGAAGGTAAAATCCATACATTAACACTTATTCTCTGATTTACAATAAATAAAAATAAAAATGAATGTAATAAACTCACCCAAACAGAAAAAGGATAGTTATAAGTGGAAGGACAGTTATAGATGTTTATAACAGACAGAACAAAATATGTGGTAAAGAGAACTTGAATAACAGAAAACCAGTGGAAAACTGTCCTGTGGTCAAGTGCCCTTTGGGGAGCTCATTGCAAAACACAGACAATGATGAAGGCATCAGAATGAACCCCAGAAGTAAGAAGTAAGGAAATAGTGGACAGGAAGGAGAAAAGCATAGCCCCCAAAGTGAGGAGGAAAGTATTCTATGAGTTAGTAACATATAGTTTGGAATAAGAGTATAGTCTTCACATCTTAGCTCACTATTCAGCTACCTATGTGACCTTGGGCAAGCTACTAACTTCTAAGGATTAAATGTATATATAATTATTTATTTATATGTATTTATAAATTATTATTATTAATTCACTGCGTGGTAAGAAAAATAATGGCCTCCTAAAGATGTCTACATGCTAACTGCTGGAATCTGTGCATATGTTGTGTTATATAAAGGGGAATTAAGGTTGCCAATCAAATGATGTTAAAGGATATTATCCTAGATTATCCAGGTAGGCCGACTGTAATTAAAAAGGCCATAAAATGTGGATGAGGGAAGCTTAACAGTGAGTGTCAGAGTGATTTGATGTGAGAAAGATTTTATATATATACACACAAAGGGGAGTTTACTAAGTACTAACTTAAATGATCACAAGGTCCCACAATAGGCTGTCTGCAAGCTTGAGGAGCAAGGAGAGCCAGTCCAAGTCTCAAAACTGAAGAACTTGGAGTCCAATGTTTGAAGGTAGGAAGCATCAAGCACAGAAGAAAGATGTAGGCTGGGAGGCTAGGCCAGTCTTGTCTTTTCAGGGTTTTCTGAGTGCTTTATATTTGCTGGCAGCTGATTAGATTGTGCCCACCAGATTAAGAGTGGGTCTACCTTCCCCACCCCAGCACACTGACTCAAATTTTAATCTCCTTTGGCAACACCCTCACAGACACACCCAGGATCAATACATTGCATCCTTCAATCCAATCAAGTTGACACTTAGTATTAACCATCACAGACCCCCTTCACCGCTTAAAGTCTGTGATGGCCTGTAAATCACAGGCATTCTCTGGTAGCTAAAAAAGCTAAGGAAATAGATCCCCTTCCTAGATCTTCCAAAAAGAAATAAAGCCCTCTTGACACCTTGATTTTAGCTTATTGAGATACATTTAGGACTTCAGACCTACAAAGCTGTAAGATAATAAATTTATATTGTTTTAAGCCATTGTTTGTGATAATTTATTACAGTAGCAATAGAAAGCTAATACAACCATGTTGAAGTCAGTACAGTATAGTAAATGGGAATTTTAAAAGGGGAGAGTAGAAAAGTAAGATACAGTAGTGTTCCTCTATTACTATTAGGGAGAATATATATACTATTGGTTAACCAGTATATCTCATTTACTTACAAAGAACATTTGTAGGAAAAAATTGCATTAGCTTAACACGACTAGATGAAAATGTCATTTGTTTGATATCCACATATATCTGAAATATTTCTGCTTTTTATTTTATTTCTAAAGTAGGTTTCAGTATTAAGAAGACACTGAATAACTATCTCACAGTTAATTTTTCCAGGAATTTTAGAAACTAACTCTATAGCTTATGAATCAATGTATTACAAATCAATGTATATGGATTTCTTACTTGGTATACATCTGTCCTTTGATAATCTCTGTCTTGCCTGACAAAATAGTTTCTGAACTTATATAAAATTGTTCCATGAAAGTACACTAAACCTTTGAGGAACAGCCCTTTACTCATGGTGAGATGGATTGGACATACTGCACGTGATTATAGAAAATTCCAATAGGAGAGAAGATTAATGTAGAATCCAAGAAGAGTGTTTAGGGGAACTTGAATCTGAGCCCATAAAGCCCTAGATGCAGAGGAAACAGGATGATAGATATGTCTTATCATATGGTTAATAATTTGATTGATTGATTGGTCGAGATGGGATTTCACTCTGCAGTTCAGGCTGGAGTGTACCAGTGCAATCATAGCTCACTGCAGCCTGGAATTCCTGGGCTCAAGAAATTCTTCTGCCTCAGCCTCCAAAGTAACTGGGACCACAGGCATGTGCCACCACACCTGGCAAGAATATTATTAATTGTGATTCTTTTTCATCTCTATATAGATTAGAGAGGGAGCCATTCAGACTGTTGGCTATACCTAACACTTTGCCTTCTTGGGAGTTCCTTTTCCCACCAATTTCCTCAAAATTCTGTTGAATATTTAGCATAGGAAATGGATAGTTTCATGGTTGATAATGATTGTCTCTACCATCCAGCCCTTTCTCCCTTTCTTTTTTTTTTTTTTTTTTTTTTGAGATGGAGTCTCGCTCTGTTGCCCTGGCTGGAGTGCAGTGGCACCATCTTGGCTCATTGCAAGCTCCACCCCCCAGGTTCACGCCATTCTCCTGCCTCAGCCTCCCAAGTAGCTGGGACTACAGGCGCCTGCCACCATGCCCGGCTAATTTTTTTGTATTTTTAGTAGAGACGGGGTTTCACCGTGTTAGCCAGGATGGTCTCGATCTCCTGACCTCGTGATCCGCCCACCTCAGCCTCCCAAAGTGCTGGGATTACAGGCATGAGCCACCGCGCCCAGCCCCTTTCTCCCTTTCTAACAGAACCCCGTTGTATACTATCCCTTCTGGCAGCCCAAGTACCTTAGAAGAAGCTGACTTTTCCCCAAGCGCTAAGCGTTTGCTGTTTGGTTTAAGAAGGAAGGTGGATTCCAGTGATTGGTTCGGAGATCCAGGCCTAACCCAGTCAGCACATGGCATGTCTCTGGCTACAAAATTCAGTCAGAAATGGCTATGTAGCCAAATTCTGGATAATTGGAGACGTTTGTTGAAAGCTTCTGGAGAAAAAACACCCTTGATCACAAAATGGCTCCCTGAATCCTTACTTTTGTTCTCTGGTGTAAGGTTAGGTGATGTGCTATTGCATTTTTACTACCATGAAGGGTGTAGCCTGAGGAAAAATACAACACTCAGGGGAAGGCACAAGACAGGAAACTGAAGAAACAGAACCAGAGTTACTGAATTAAGTGGGCCTAAAGTCTGTCTGACCTCTGGACTTCAGCCACATAAGACGTTAAATGTTCTTACTGTTTAAGCCATTAAAATTGGATTTTGAGGTATTTGTGTGTGTTACTTGGTCTTACATATTTTTAAAAAGGTTTGGTTCAATTTCAGAACAGACTGACCTTGATCCAGTTTGCTTCACCTTATAAAACAGTGTACTTTAGCCATGAGGATTATTGGTCATAAAATCTCGAGAGCTCTCCAGATCAATCACAGTTTTACAGTGATGGGTTAGAGAATGGACAAAAGAATTAAAAATTTCTTAGATGCTGTATTAGTCCATTTTCACACTGCTGATAAAGACATACTCGAGACTGGGCAATTTACAAAAGAAAGATGTTTAATGAACTCACATTTTCACGTGGCTGGGGAGGCCTCACAATCATAGCAGAAGGTAAAAGGCACAATTCAAGATGAGATTTGGGTGGGGACACAGCCAAACCATGTCAGATGCCATTCTTTAAAAAAAAAATTTTCCACTTGTTTGCATTAATGCCTTCCTTTTGTTCCAAACCGTCAATAAAACAATGGATTTATTTTTCATGCTTTCTTTTGCTAATGTAAGTGGAGCTTGAAAGTGATGTAAAGCAGAAGGATGTATCCAGTGGTTTTCTTGAGTCCTTCCTCTTTTAGATTAGTATATGGCTAACATAGGGCTTCTATATTCAGAACTGTCATTCATAGAAAGCAAGCTGCTGGGAGAGTAAAAACAAATGATTCAAACCTTAAAAAGCTTTGCTTAAATTAAAAAATAAAATCAATATAAATTAAGTTAAAATGAAGAGATTATAAAATTTATGCTGCATTTTAGAGTGAATAAGAATGTATACTTTGCATGTCACATTATTTAGAAATTATTGCCAAATTAATAAAACAGAATGATATTTCAAATTAAAGAAATATACACTAGAGGAAAAACAATTCAGAATTACTGTCTCTATTTTCAAGAGTCAAATACTTTTTTTTTCACTCGGATCTTCAAATCACTATTCTTTCAAAATGCTTTTGATTTCCAATGCATGTAAATGTTACTCCATTTCTTTTATTTTAATGGCATTTTTTCTTATTATTTATTATTCAACACTTAGTCAATTCACTCTCCAGAAATAAGCTGTAGGGGAAAATATTAACAAATTTCAGGCTATGAATAATTTATTTAGATGCTATTGTCAGAGGCATGTGAACCAGAACAACTCCATCTTGAATAGGGGCTGGGTAAAATGAGGCTGAAATCTACTGGGCTGCATTCCCCGATGGTTAAGGCATTCTAAGTCACAGGATGAGATGGGAGGTCAGCACAAAATACAGGTCATAAAGACCTTGCTGATAAAATGGGTTGCAGTAAAGAAGCCAGCTAAATGCCACCAAAACCAAGATGGCCACAAGAGTGACCTCTAGTCATCCTCACTGCTACCCTCCCATCAGCCTCATGACAGTTTACAAATGCCATGGCAACATCAGGAAGTTACCCTATATGATCTAAAAAGGGGAGGCATGAATAATCCACCCCTTGTTTACCATATCATCAAGAAATAACCATAAAAATGGGCAACCAGCAGCCCTCAGGACTGCTCTATGGAGAGAAGCCATTCTTTATTCCTTTACTTTCTTAATAAACTTGTTTTTGCTTTGCACTGTTGACTTGCCCTGAATTCTTTCTTGTGTGAGATCCAGGAACCCTCTCCTGGTGTCTGGATTGGGACCCCTTTCCTGTAACACAGTATTATGAGCTTGATATTAGTGCTATAGGCTCTGCTGCTAGTATGTAATCTTTTGCATCTTATATCTTGTTTTACAGGTGTCTGGGTCACATTTGTTAGATGATTTGCCAAGAAAATAACTCATTGATGAGTTCAGATACCACCTACTCTGGGAAAGCAGTATGGATTCTGCTAAAGCGCTTCAATACTCACTTCCTCTGTGCTTCTCTAGTACTGTCTTCATACCTCTATAGTACAAATTTAACTCATTTTTTTATTTAACTTTTTATATAACTGTCTCTCTCCTTCATTAGCCTATGATATCTTTGACAGTAGACTGCCAGTCTTATGAAATTTTGGACCTCAGTGAGTGGCGCAAAATCTGACACAGGTGTCATCAATACAAATTTCCTGCACCCCTGGTTAAATTAAAGTCTTTTAAAAAATGTGCCTCATTTCTGACATTCTTTACCTAAAGTTCAGAGACAGTTACCTTTCACTCCCTCTATATATTGCAAATATTTGCAATTCATAGTGGTAAAAAGACTGCATTCCAGAGTTTGAATATCTGCATTCAAATTTCAACTCTGCTGCTGAGTAACCTTGAAGAAGTTTACTGAACATCTTCCCAAGTCTCAATTTCTTCATCTGTAAAGTTTGAAGCTAATAGAAGTTACTCCATGGGGGTTTTGTAAGAATCAAATAAAAACAATTATGTAAATCTCTTAGTAGGGTGCCTGGCATGTAATACGCATTTTCACCTTTACGTAGATGACAATGTTTCTGTGTTTAACATAAGCTGTCATTATTACTGTTGTTCCTATTAGCTACTGAAATATTTAACTTTCTGTGTAATTAGATATTAAATTTTAAATAACAATGCAATTGTATTATGGGAGGAAGGCTGTGAACTTAAGGTAGCTTTGGAAAAATTCCAGGTAATTTTCTAGCTGAAAGTTAACAATATCAACAAGAAGAAGTCATGCCAGGATTGTACTTATATTGTTCAAAGGCTTTTTTTTTTTTTTTTTTTTTTGCAGGAAAGCAAGTTTTATATTTCTCATCAGTCTTGGACCCGTTGTTTGAATTCACTGGTGGCTGTCTGCAGGGTGTTAGCATGTGGATATCTTATTGCACTAACTCTAGAATTCAAATAAGCTGTTGATAGTGATGGGAAAGAATATTAATAACGTTTTGCTGTATATTCAAAATGCTGCAAACTTTCCCATATTTCCATGCATGATATATCATTGTGGATAAGACTGGATGGTGAAAAATGTAAATAAAGGACTGTTAAATTGGTCCTGTAAAAATGCCATTAAAAATTGATGGTTACTTAGTATTGTCCCATAATTTTTTTTCTTCCCAATTCCAGCTCTTGAAAATTTATGGGTGTGGCAGGCATGTGTATAGGTACATGTGTGCCAGAGGAAGATTTATTTATATATGGCAATGTTTCTGAAATCTCTAGATATGCAGGTTCTATTACAATTCCAAAGAATCTCATGTGACTGTGTTTACAATGGTCCTTTAATATTAGTCGTTTGAGGCCGGGCGCGGTGGCTCACGCCTGTAATCCCATCACTTTGGGAGGCCGAGGCGGGCAGATAGCAAGGTCAGGGGATCGAGACCATCCTGGCTAACACGGTGAAAACCCGTCTCTACTAAAATCACAAAAAATTAGCCGGGCGTGGTGGCATGCGTCTGTAGTCCCAGCTACTGGGGAGGCTGAGGCAGGAGAATGGCGTGAACCCGGGAGGTGGAGCTTGCAGTGAGCCGAGACCGTGCCACTGCACTCCATCCTGGGCGAAAGAGCGAGACTACGTCTCAAAAAAAAAAAAAAAAAAAATTCGTCGTTTGAAATACTCAATTTGAAAAAATTAAATTAGCTAGAATTCATAGAGACTGTCTTATTAAAAAGGTTAACGGTGTCTTTTGGTTGTACTGCAGAAAAATCTGAGTTTATTTTAGAAATAGACCTTTAAACTCTGCTCTGTTCTTTGTGAACTTCCTAAGTAGGAAAGAAAGAAAGAAAAACAAATGTAAGATCAACTTTTCGATTAAAATGTACCAATTGTGAGGGAAAGCAACTGGAAACCAGCAATGGTCTCCTCAGAGATATACTAAGTTAGGTCTGAATTTCATGAGCTCTTGAAAGCACTTATGTTTTACCATGACCTTGGGAGTACTTTCTTTGAATTCTGGAGATTGTGTGTGAAATGTTTAATTCATTTTTTTGTCAGTACTTCAATTGTTTTAATGAGATTACATGTACTACTTCTAGTATTTTAACTTTATACCTGAACATTCTCTCCCAAATTAAAAAATAAAACCCTTTTATCTAATCAGCAGTGCCTAAAATAATAGATTTTGTTTTCGATGTGTGGAGGGGAGGGAAATAAAAAGAGAAGGGAAAAGAGAAAGGGAAAGCAATGTCCACCCTTTCACTTAAGGAAATAGGGGAAGGAATGGTGAGGAAGGAGTAAGAACTGTATGAGACCAGAGAGTAAGACTATTTTTAAAAATTATATTTGCTAACTCCATCTTTGTACAATGTTAATTTTAAGCACTAAATAAAGTATATTTTTATAAGTGTTCAGCAATATTGCTTTTTTCTATTTTGTAATAAATATTATCAGCTGATAAAATGTCTATTCTTTTTATTTTATAAGTCAACTTTTTTAGGGTATAATTTACAAATGGTGAACTGCACCTATATGAACTATACAATTTGCTGAGTTTTGACAAATACATGCATCTATGAAACTACTGTTAGAAATCAAGACACAGAATGTTTTCATAATCCCCCAAATATTTCTTATGGCCCCTATTAATTAATCTATTCCTCTACCCCTTGCCCCAAGCAAACATTGACCTGCCTTCTGTCATAAAAGGCTAGTTTGCAATTTCTAAAATTTTATGTAAATAGAATATATATGTATATATAGATGTACTTTTTGATTCTAGCTTCTTTCACTCATCATGACATTTTCATGTATGTTGCATGTATCAGTAGTCCATTCCTTTTTATTGCTGAATAGCATTCCATTGTACATATATATGTATACCCCTTTTTTAATGTATCCATTGATGAACATTTAGATAACTTCTAACATTTAGTTAAATACAAATAATTTTGATCTAAGCATTCATAAACAGGTCTGTATATGAACACTGGGTTTCATTTTCTTTGGTAAATACTTAGGAGAATTGATGGATCATATGGTAATTATATGTCTAACTGTATAAGACACTGCCAAAGAGTTTTGCAAAGTGATTGTGCCATTTTACATACCCTTGGGTAGAGTGTATGTTCTAGTTGCACCCCCATTCTCACCAATACTTGGTATTGTTAGTCTTGTTAAAATTTTAGTTTAAATAGATATACGGTACTATCTCATGGTTTTAATCAGCATTCCCTCTAAAGGTGAATGACGTTGAGCATCTTTTCGTGGGTATATGTGCTATTTATATATCTTCTTTTGTGACATAACTGTTTAAATACATATGCCTATATTTAAGTTGGGCAGTTTGACTTGTTATTAATGAATTGCAATTGTTCATTGTATATTCTAAATGTTTTGTCATATATATGTGTTATGAATATTTTCTTTCAATCTGTAAGTCTTTTTTATTTCCTTAATAGTGTCTTCTTAGGAAAAAAACATTTTTAATTTTGATAAAGATATTTATCAGTTTTCTATTTTATGTTTCATTTGTTCATGCATATTATCTAAGAAATCTTTACATAACCCAAGGTCAGAAAAATTTTTCTCATATGTTTTCTTCTAGAAATCCCACAGATTTAGCTTTGCTTTAGGTCTATCATCTATTTTATGTTAATTTTTGTGTGTGGTGTGAGAGGATGGCTGTTCATTTGTCATATGGGCATCCAGTTCTTCCAGCAGCATTTGTTGAAAAGGCTATTTTATGCTACCTTCTAAATTCTTCTGTACAATGTGAATTTTCTAGTACTAGTCAAACTTCATTTTTAAAAAGGGTTCAGCAATATTATTAATAATTTATATCCATTTTGCTATAAATATCATATTCTATTAGTAAAAAGCATTCATCCCTTGCCTTTTGGGAGCCTCTTTTTAAAACCCAAATTTATTGAGGCATAATTTACAAAGAATGAACTGTATCTTTTAGTGAGCATCACTGTTAGAAGTAGAGAAAAAGTGAAATCCAATGATTATTTGCTAGGTTCCATCTCTGTCTTGTCCCTATTTCTAGCCAGTGAATGTTATTGACCACCTACTTTGTGTCATGTGCTGTGTTAGGAATGAGACAAAAATAAGAAACTATTTCTTGGAAGTTCTCACTTAGGGAGAAAGGCATAAAATCACATCATGTGTAATCTAGTCAATGCTGTAATAAAGGTTTTGAAAAAATATATTGGCAATTAAAGAGGAAGGAAGTTAACTTCCTAGGGAAGTTAGAGAACACTTCACAAAGGTGGTGCCATTTGAATTAGGTTATCTTTATTACAATCCTTTTTGTCTTCCTTCAAAAAAGAAATTCATTTCATATATTAATGTTTACTTTATTAAGCTGAACATTTGAGTGCTTGCAATCTCTGGATCACAAAACGTAATGAAGAGATGTGCCTTAAATAAAAGGGGAAATGTGTATGATTTACCTAATAGACCTTCCCTTATAGATGAGTCATTTTACCGATACAGTCACTAGAGGTAGCCTCACCAAAGTGTAAACATTTTGTCTTGGGCCAAACAAATGCGCTTCCCATGACAAAGAGGATGGATATGAAAGGAAACAGCACGGATTTGAGAGGCCTGGAGCTGGGGATCCCATTTAATGAGCAGAGATACATAGAAATAGTAATGCCTACTATTTACTTAGCATTCACCATGTGCCAAGCATCCTAAATGCTTTGCTGAATTCTCACAACAACCTTATGAGAGTTTTGCACAGGGATAAACTGAGGCAAGAAATGTTAAGGCACCTATGGTAGATTATTCTTCAAAAATATCCACTTTCTCTTCCTCTCCCTTCCCCATCCCACTGATGTTTTGTTTGGTCATGTGACTGGCTTTGGCCTCCTAGTGGACAGAGTGTACTTTTCTATCCCTTTATTAAGAAAGACTTTGGGCTTGTCCATGTGATTTGCTTTGTCCAATAGGATGTTAGTGGAGATGACACAGGCAGCCTTGAAACAATGCATGCAGCAATGGGTTCTCCCCTTAGGCCTCTGCCATCACTGAAAGAAGAACCTGCTCTAGATAGCCTACTCGTCAAAAGAGATGAAAGACAGGTGGAGTAGATTTGGAACCAACTTGTAACTTAGAGCACAGCCTGGCCTTGTAACCACAAACAAGCGAGAGAGAATACACAGTTGATTGTTCTTTATTACACTAAGTTTTAGGGTGCTGTATTATTCAGCCACCTAAGTGGCAGAAAGGATTTGAGCGCTGGCAATATAGGTACAACTTCTGCACCACATTGCTACTAATACAAGAGATAATTAGCTATATTCAGACACCCAAGTAAAACTAATCAGTTGATGAATGAAGAACAGGTCTGTAACTCAGAAGAAAGTTATAGGTCTGGAATTAAGATAGTGTCTATGAACTAATGATCTAAACCTTGACAAATCATTTTAATCTCTCTGTGCTTTCTTTACAAGAGTATTGTAAAAAAATAATAATAAAGTAATGGCCATAGAAGTTCTTTGAAAATGTTAAAAGTGTTATGCATGTGCAAGATTTTTTAAAAGTCTGTTTTGTTTTCTGCTGTATCCTCAGTGCCTAGAATTGTGCAGGCCGTGTAGCAGGTGTTCAGCAAACATTTGTGAAATTAAATTGAAATTAATTTTTTAAAAATAGTGTCTTCAGCTCACAAATAACAAAACACAAAGTATGTTTATAATTAGGGAAGTAACTAACTTTCATTCTTGACAATAATTGGGTAAAAAGCCCAGGAAGTTGCTTCCTCTTACTCCTGTGTCTGACAGAGAGAGGGTGTTTGTTTCCTACCTTTACTATCTGAACAATGTTCTGTAAATCCTAACCTTAAATGAGATAGTTGTTGCAGTCTTATATTAGCAGGCTTCTTGTCTAGAGTGTTTTATTAGTGGGCAGCTATTTGATTTTAATATTTGTTCTGCAGTTTAAAAAAATTGAGCTTCATTTATAAAAATCCAGATAGTCCAGAATCTGGCCAAACAGTCATCTGGATTGGAAAGTTAGGTCACTGTGTTAGGAAGAAAAGGTCCATTTATCCTTTTTCCTTCTTTGTTTACCATAAAGCAAGATATAGTCTAATGAGATATCTTACTTTTAAGACATTTTCATTTAATTCACTATGATTCAGATGAGGGCTATGGTTAGAGTTTTGTTCCTCACATCAAATTGCAGAAAAAAATCACACTAGAGATGTTATTTAACTTATTCTACTTTCTATTATAGCATAGCCTGCCTTTTTATCTCAAAACGTCTCTGATGATTTCCTGAGAACATTTTCAGTGGTGTAGTTAAAGGGTTATTTCAGCTCCAAACTTTCTTGTTAAAATGTTAAACTGGAACATTTGAACAATATTGCATCACTGACATGAAACTGACTAACAATCTGGAAGCAATAAATTTTGCTTAAGTATCCTTCATTGTCGTGAGTGCTTCATCCTGTGACAGATATTCTCTAGTGAGAGTTTCGGGTAAAACTCCTTCTGTCTCAGCTAAAATTTTTAAATAGCTACTGAACAATTTCTGGCCTCCAGTTAATATGTGCTAGTAATACAATCTATCAGTGTCATGAGTATATTAAAAATTACGGACTAAACACACAATATTGAAAGAATAAAAGGAAAAGATCAATCATCTCATTTTTGCTATAGATTTTCATAATGATTTCTTTATTTCTTGAATATGTATTTTATCTGCCAAATGACCATATGTTGGCAACTCTTGACTTAGAAAATATATAAGATAATAGAAGAGAAATAAATAACAGAAATATAAATATAATTCATATCCTGGATTTCTTAGCAGGATCTACAGTGTTATTATTTTTCTTTCTTTTATATAAAGATGGGGTCTCACTATGTAACTATTTTCCCCAAGCTGGTCTCAAACTCCTGGGCTCAAGGGATTACTCCACTCCCCTACCCTCCACACAAACCATCTCACCTCACCTCAGCCTCCCAAAGTTTTCGGATTACAGGAGCATGAGCCACTGCACCTGGACAGGATCCAGAGTATTAAAGCTCATTTTACCTTATTAATCAAAGCTTACCTAATTTTATGTCCCTCGGACTCCAGACGAAACTGAAGCTAAATGGGAAAAATTTAGCACTATAGTAGGTAAATAAATCTTTTAAACAAGAAAAAAAAACAATTGGTCAAGTTTCTATAATATGAGAAAGATACCAAGAGGAAAGGGTTTTTTTTTTTTTTTTGCAATCTAATAGAAACAAATGTTTTAATTAAAAAAAAATCTAAATCCAAAGTTGCAGAAACTCAAACACTTTGGACACACTCTTAATATCTTCCTCTCATTTTTGCCTAATATCAATTTCTTCATCAAGTTATTTCAATTGTATACCCTATATTTCTTTCCAGTCACTTCATTTCCTCCATTTATATTGCTTTCACCTATTCTTGTATTCTTCTAATCTCTACAGTACAACCTGAGTGATTTTCATTATAAAAAATAAAACATATGAATATAACTCTGATACCTAACACCAGTCATTGCTCTTAGGATAAAGGCCAAAACCTTTAGTATGGTCTGTAGGCCCTACAATGTCTGCATTAAGTCCTCTGTTTTCCAGTCACTCTGATTTTCTTTCAGAAACTTAGAACAAACCAAGTTTCTTCTTGCCTCAGGGCCTTCAAGCATGTCTCACCTGGCTGGGCACAGTGGCTCATGCCTGTAATCCCAACACTTTGGGAGGCCAAGGCAGGTAGATCATCTGAGGTCAGGGGTTCGAGACCAGCATGCCCAACATGGCAAAACCCTGTCTCTACTAAAAATACAAAAATTGTGGTGGCACAAGTCTGTAATCCCAGCTACTCTGGAGGTTGAGGCATGAGAATGGCTTGAACCCGGGAGGTGGAGGTTGCAGTAAGATGAGATCGTGCCATTGCACTCCAGCCTAGGCAACAGAGTGAAACTCTGTCTCAAAACAAACAAAAGCAAAAACAAAAAACAAAATTCATGTCCCACCTTCTGTCTAAAAGACTACATGGGCCAGGCATGGTGGCTCACGCCTATAATCCCAGCACTTTGGGAGGCGAAGGCGGGCAGATCACCTGAGGTCAGGAGTTCCAGACCAGTCTGGCCAACATGGTGAAACCTTGTCTCTACTAAAAATACAAAAATTAGCTGGGTGTGGTGGCTGGCACCTGTAATCACAGCTGCTCGGGAGGCTGAGGCAGGAGAATCACTTGAATCTGGGAGGCAAAGCATGCAGTGAGCTGAGATCACGCTACTGCACTCCAACTTGGGCAGCAGAGTAAGACTCCGTCTCAAAAAAAAAAAAAAACACTATATGTATGTGTGTGTGCATATATATATATATATATATAGAGAGAGAGAGAGAGAGAGAGAATTATGTATATTATATATATTTAAAGTATTTGTTAAAATTATCAAACATATATTAACAATATATGTGAAACCTTGTTCCATCTATAGCACCAACAATCCCACCCCAACCCTAAATAATTTTGACGCCAATCCCAGACATACTATGAAATACTCTCCAACTCACGCTGATTTTTTTTTTTTTTTTTTTTTTTTTTTTTGAGACGGAGTCTCATTCTGTCACCCAGGCTGGAGTGCAGGGGCGCCATCTCGGCTCACTGCAAGCTCCGCCTCCCAGGTTCACGCCATTCTCCTGCCTCAGCCTCCCGAGTAGCTGGGGCTACAGGCGCCCGCCACCACGCCCGGCTAATTTTTTTTTTTTGTATTTTTAGTAGAGACGGGGTTTCACCATGTTGGCCAGGATGGTCTGGATCTCCTGACCTCGTGATCTGCCTGCCTTGGCCTCATGCTGATCTTTAAGATGCCTGCTTAAGCTCTATTTGCTTCTCTCCTCCCTCTGCCAGACTAGGTCGTATTGGCACCCTAAAACTTTTACTTCATAAAAATTATTTCAGCATGGATTTTATGTTCCTTTGTGTGGTTTTTGGGTTAATATCTATCTTCTCCCCTAAACTTCATGTTCCATGAGGGACAAATTGTGTCTATTTTGCTTTATCATTCTGTCCCTCCATATATCAGTGTGCCTGGCTCAGAGTGAATTCTTAAATATCTGATGAATTAAGTTGTGGGGATTTCCATAATAGAATTCCTTATATGTTGCTGCTTTCTTAACATTCTCGATGGTCTTTTAACTGATATCAGAATACTTCCTGAACACAGCCCCTGCCCTGTGGTACCTTCAGTCTCTCCAAAGAGAGACTCACATCATCCTTTGATTTCCTCTGAAGCATCTGATAAGGTATTATTTTTCCAATAGATGCTGTTGGTCTATTTTTTTTTATTGTTTATTTTTGAGACGGAGTCTTGCTCTGTTGCCCAGGCTGGAGTGCAGTGGTGCCATCTCGGCTCACTGCAACCTCTGCCTCCCGGGTTCAAGTGATTCTCCTGCCTTAGCCTCCTGAGTAGCTGGGATTACAGACGCCTGCCACCATGCCTGGCTAATTTTTGTATTTTTAGTAGAGATGAGGTTTCGCCATGTTGGCCAGGCTGGTCTCAAACTGCTGACCTCAGGTGATCCACTCACCTCAGTCTTCCAAAGTGCTGGGATTACAGGTGCGAGCCACCGCGCCCCACCTGTTTGTCTATTTTTTAAATGAATGGGCAAACCAAGCTTATCAGTAATGTTCATCTTCTTAATTAATCTGTTTAATTCTCATTGGCTTTTTCTTATATATCATAAAACTATTTTCCTCCTCTGAATATAGAATGAACTTGTCAAAGAAAGTAGTCTGTGGGAAGGCACTATTGATGTAAATGTTTATTATGTATCATGGGATACCAACTTTATGATCAAAGGAGTCTAAAAATAATTAGTCAAAAGGTTGATGGATCATCTTAATGAAAATGGTTAAGGAAATTACTTAATTTTAGTTTCTTAATTTTCATTTTTTACTCTAAATTTAATGAATCTGATTTTTGCTGTATGATTTTATTTGCATAAACCCCAATACTATTTCAACTTGCTTTATTTCTTATTTAAATTTTTTAAAAGACCAGTATATTTTGCTGACAGAAAATGTAGCTTAAACATATGAAAGTTCTTGGCAATAACTACTCACTAGGTTTTGCAATCTGCAGTATAATGCTATATAGGATTCTCTTACTAGTACTTCATAATGCCTACTAATCGATTCAAATTTTACTGCAAAATTGGATAGCATCATTTTAGATTAAGAGATATAATGATTGTGCCATTCAGAAAGTGGCACTGTTCACAGGGAGAAAACATTCTAAGCAACTGAAAGACAAATGTATAAAATTAAATACGTCTCGAAATCACAGCAGTAAATATTTCATTGTAGATTTTCATGTGTTTATGTGATGAAGATTTGGCTCCTGCCTTGGATACATCTATGATGTATGATACCTGTATCATTGCCTTTCATGACTCCAAATATTTTCTTTCATGATCATGCTTTTCGGTGTCACCTACATTACAAAATGTTTCTATTCCTTTGACATAGATTGTTCATCTTAAAAATAAAGGATTATGTAACCAGTTTTTAAGCACTCTACGTATTAGATCTGTTTATGAAGAGTAATCAAACAGGAAATGAAATATTGCTTCTCCTGACTATATCACCCTATATTAGAAATATATAATTAACATATCTTAAATTACCTTTCCCTCACTGGATAAATAACCTTGTTAGGTACAAAAATTATTGAGTTAATTCCTCTACAGTTCTTCGACATTTGAAAGGAAGTGCTTGCATGTAATGTCATTTCTAATTTCCATGAAATTGGATGTTTTGAAGGACTTTTAAAGAGTACTATTGACCTTGGTAAAAATTGATACTGTATATAATTCAATTTCTTCATTTGTCTAATATGGTATGTGCAAGATGGCTCTTCTTCAGAAAATGTCAGTTGAAATGAGAAATTTAATTATTTTTTTCGCCTATACTTGGCAACTAGATCTGGAACAAAGATACTTTAGCAATTGTATGATATGTGAGGAAAAGTTTCTTAAGAGTTTCTGATTAAACTTACATTGTCAGCTGCCCAACATAAGACTTATTAAAGATTAAACTCTAACCCCTTCTTTTAACCACGTTTGTAATAGATGTACCATAGCACCAAGTATCTGACCAGATTAAATTAAAGATACAGCACCATCTTATGGATGTTTCTATATTTGTAAAATTTGGGAATACAAAAATTATTTTGAGTTTGGGAATGGAAAACTATCAGCAAAAAATGTTGTGGGAGGAGAATATTTTAATATATAAGGGAAAAATTGTGCAGTATTAAATAACTCCTGTGTGTGTATGTGCATGTATATGTGTGTACATGTGTTATTTGTGATAGCATGGTAAGTAAAGGCACTAACAGAGATTTGTAATTATTTTTTCATTTGAAAATTAAGAATTCCACCAAAAAGGAAAATAAACTTTTATTACAATACAAATGCATAATTTTGTGAAATAAGACATTTGGCTAAGAATACTATCAATCTCTATAGGACAATGGGACATCACTATGTATCACCTTGCAAGGATGATCAGGGAAATACTGATAAATAGAAATGTTCTTAGTAGCCATGGGGCACTTCCCAAAGAGTGCTCAGAAATGTAGATATGATAATAAACCTATTTAATTATCTACGGAAACTGTGTAACTGGTAATAAAGTCTCCTGATATTCAATCTAGTATTTAATTATTTTTATAAGTAATTTATGCTCATTATTATTTAATTTTATACAAAGATATTTTAAAATAAAAATTTCCCTAACAATCTTTGTTATTTTAATGTAGAACACATAGCTAGTTTAAGGTGGTTAAAGGGAAATTGATGGGGCCAGGCGCGGTGGCTCACGTCTGTAATCCCAACACTTTGGGAGGCCGAGTTGGGCGGATCACAAAGTCAGGAGTTCGAGACCAGACTGGCCAAAGTGGTGAAACCCCGTCTCTACTTAAAAAAATACAAAAAATTAGCTGGGCATGGTGGTGTGCGCCTGTAATCCCAGCTACTCAGGAGGCTAAGGCAGGAGAATTGCTTGAACCCGGGAGGCAGAGGTTGCAGTGAGCCAAGATCGCACCACTGCACTCCAGCGTGGGTGACAGAGCAAGACTCTGTCTCAAAAAAAAAAAAAGAAAAATTGATGGACAAAACTCCTCAGTGAATTATTAAGGCATAGTTATATATGTGTGTTTAATATCCTTAATCTTTAGTTCACCTTAATTATCAGATATGGACCTCAGGAACTACATGATTTATCTAGGTCATACAGTGTAGATTACCTCATTTTAACTAAAATGCATATACCGTGGCTCCTATCTTTTTGATGTCTTGGACCCCATGATACAAATTTTGAATCCTTTATTTAGAAAAAAGGCCATCAGTATGACACATTTCATATAGGAGTTTCACATAGGGGTCCCCAACCCCCAGGCCTCAGACACGTACTAGTTGGTGGCGTGTTAGGAACCAGGCCTCACAGAAGGAGGTGAGTGGCAGGTGAGCAAGTGAAACTTCAACTGTATTTACAGCCATTCCCCATCTCCTGCATTAGCACCTGAGCTCTGCCTCCTGTCAGATCAGTGGCAGCATTACATTCTCATAGGGGGCACACCCTATTGCGAGCTGCACATGTGAGAGATCTAGATTGCGCATTCCTTATGAGAATCTAATGCCTGATGATCTGTCATTGTGTCCCATCACCCCTAGATGGGACCATCCAGTTGCAGGAAGACAAGCTCAGGGCTCCCACTAATTCTACATTGCGGTGAGTTGTATAACTATTTCATTATATATTACAATGCAATAATAATAGAAATAAAGTGTACAATAAATATAATGTGCTTGAATCCTTCCCAAACCATCCCTGCCCCCACCGTCTGTGGAAAAATTGTCTTCGGTGAAGCTGGTCCCTGGTGCCAAAAAAAAGATTGGGGACTACTGGACTAGAGCTCATACATGCTTTATGGTTTTAAGTAGTATTCTCCTTTTTTTGTTAAACTATATTTCCTCTGGTCATAGTTTTGATTAATAGAAGCCAAGGGCTTAATTATAAAGATATGAACAGTCTTCTTGGGATGGAAAGGACCTGTCATTTTTTTCAAATACACACTCTTTCTCATACACACACACATGTACACACACACACACCCCTACTTGTTTTTGACTCATTCTCCCCCACAACTAAATTATATATTAATAAAAAGAGCAGTATAAATAAAAGTGTTCTTACAAATTTATTTTTATATAGATTATTTTTATGATACTATAGAGAGAGATGTAAAAATATGATATTTACTACAAACAACAATATAGAATTTTTGGCTTTATCCTCACATGATAATACAGGTTCTAATCATGTTTCATTAGGAGTTATATTCTATATAATGTATATTTGACTCTAAATTTCTAAATTTTGTTTCAAATATAAAATTGTCACAAATTTAATAAAATTAAGTGCTTCCCAGATATCCATACTAAAAGGAAAAAAATAAAGTTGAAAAATTCTAATTATGCCATATATGTATTTTTATGTTCAGTTCTCAGAGGTAGATAGGCAATTTTTAGCTTAATGAGAAATTTAGGGAAATTTCAGATGTATGATAAAAGCATAATGTTTAAATTCAGATCCAAGGCACTATATTATTAAATGAAAAATTTCAGATTATCAAATTCAGAACTATAGGTAAAATTTTTGTTTATTAATATTGTAGAATAATATTGTTAATTGAATCAATGCTTTTATAATAAAGAGCCGATTACATTAAAATTCACTTAAAAATTAGATAGCTGGTCATTTAAACTAGGAATGAAAACATTTTCAGAGTCTGTATCTTTAAGTGTAATTAGATCCACTAGCTTTATTTGCTCAACATAGTAAAATACCTACTTTATCCTTAAATCAGGCTGACAGAATATTTAAGAGTAAATATTTGCTCAGTAATAACAATGTGTTAGTTGTTCAATGGCAAGATTAAAGACATAACTCTGAAGACTGGGTTTCTCAAAATGTCATCCTCAAATCCCTGGGGGTCATTGAGACCCTTTCGGGGGAGTCTACAAAGTGAAACTGTTTTCATAAGAATATTAAGACATTATTGTCTTTTTTGCTGTGTCGACATTGTATTGATGGCACAAAGGCATTGGTGGTAAAACTGCTGGTGCCTTAGAATGAATCAAGACCTTGGCACAAAAATGTGATAGTCATCATGTGTTATTGACTGGTACACACTCACAGGAAACAAAAATGTCAGTTTCACTTAGGAATGTTCCTGGTTTA
The DNA here is from genome assembly GCF_000001405.40 of Homo sapiens. Classification (NCBI taxonomy): domain Eukaryota; kingdom Metazoa; phylum Chordata; class Mammalia; order Primates; family Hominidae; genus Homo; species Homo sapiens. Next base: position 122,893,557 of record NC_000007.14, on the reverse strand, counting down.
GCAGGAAAAATTATTAATTTTGTTAAATCTCAATGTTTGGGTATATTTTATTTTATTCTGAGACAGGGTCTCACTCCGTCACCCAGGCTGGAGAGCAGTGGTGCTATCAGGCTCACTGCAGCCTCCACCTCCTGGGCTCAGGTGATTCTCCCACCTCAGCTTTCCGAGTAGCTGGGACTACAGGTGCACACCACCATACCTGGCTAATTTTTTGTATTTTTTTAATAGAGAAAGAGTTTCACCATGTTGCCCAGTCTGATTAAAAATTTAAAATATATATATTTTGCGAGTCAAAAATGGGAAGTATGGATAAAGCGCTTCTTGTCACCTAATGAAGTACAATGGTTGTATCAAGGAGAAGTACCTTTTTGAGTTGCAAGCTGAACTAGCTGTTTCTTCATGGAACCCCATTTTTACTTGAGAAAACAACTGACAGACAAATTATAATTATTCAGACGTGGATATTCTGCAGAATTTTTCTCAAAAGTGCATGCATAAAGCAAGGTTGTCACTTTAAGGAAAATAACTGGCAGTATTGTTGACAGTGACAAAATTCAAGCTATCAAGCAAAAATTAAAATTTTGTAAAACTTGTATGTGCCACAGTGAGCTTGACAGTCTTCCAATAGACTATTCTTAAGAGATTAGTGGTTACTGACAATGTGATTTTTTTATACTATTTAATAAAATGTGTCAAACTTTGAAAGATCTATATAACTCAGTGAACCAGTATTTTCCCACTGACCAATAAATAGTATTACAAAATAATGCATAGGTAAAAAATTAATTCAAGATAGACTAGTAGATTTTTTAAAATATCACAGAATAAGAAGAGTTTATTGATATGGTTTTCCATTCTACATCATACCTAACATTTAAGAAACTACCACTTGTTGACTTTTGGTATAATACCAAAGAAGAACGTCCACAATTATATTCAAAGACTATTAAAATACTCCTCCATTTTTTAACTATATAGCTATGTGATGTCAAGTTTTCTACATCTATTTCAGTCAAAATAATATATTAAAACAGATTGAATGTGGGAGCAGATATGAGAATCCAGATGAATTCTATTAAACCAGACATTAAAGAGATTTTTAGAGTATAAAAATAGTACCAATTTCTCACCCAACCTTTAATTTGGAAATATAATAGTTTTTTTCATAAAAATATATAACTTATATAATAAGTGTTATTTTAAAATAAACTAATAAATAGCTATTTCTAACTTTTCTTAGCTTTATTTTCTAATATAAGAAACACTGATAAATATAACCACACCAAAAAAGTTATCTGCGGTCATTAATAACTTTTAAGGGTGAAAATGGGTCCAAAGAACAAAACATTTGATAATAATTATAGCCTAGAGTAACAGCAAATAGTTAATAAAGGCACATCTTTCTTTTTACCACATAATATCATTTTTACTAGTCTTACAATTTTTGCATAAAACTCTATTTCACTTTAGTTGAATTTTCTTGAGCATTATTGTTAAAATGGTGTAAGTTATTTTACAGTAGTAGAATTTTCATCTCTTAAGTGAGACATTGGTTGAATTCCTAGTCAATCAATGCAACTCTCTCTTTACAACGTTCTAGTGTAGTGCTTAATTTAGATTAGGCAGGCACTCAATACATGTTATTGACTGGCAGAAAATGTGTTTAACAACAAAGTCAATATAAGTATAAAAATCTATGAAAGCTGGAGGGAAAAAAAAGCCTCTGGCTATTTATTGCTTTATCCAAGTATGAGCATAATTTCTATGTTCTATCCATTGCCATAAAAATTTCACATAGTTTATGGATTTGTTAACATTTTAAAAACCCAAACATTCTCTTCTGGGCTAAATATTTGCTTCTCTGGTGATCATAATAACCACTAAATACATATCTTGAATTGATGCAAGACTTTTCTTTGACACTTTGAACACAGGCCACAATGTGCTTTTACACTCCCTTCCTCCCTGCACTTTACAAGCCAACTCATTTCTGTTCATTTTCTTCAAATTTCTCATAACATAGAAAATTAAAGAATAATAGAACTGTAATCAGTCTCTAATGAATGCCCATAGATTGAATAGGAACAAAAGGATGGTAGCTTCTTATTTGGGGTCAAGTCTTCTTATAAAAATTATGAAATCTCCGATATCAAGATATTGTAACATCTGGGAGTTAGTCTGATTCTTTACAGGTTAATGATAATAGCAATACAGACTCTGAGTTATATAAAATCCAATAAATAAATGCATAGAACAATTTGCAACTTTATTTACATTTGGTTTCTATAGCTTTATGGCCCAAAGTGAGCTTAATAATAAAGTGATTACTGTATAATAGTAAAATATTTGGCATGAACTGAGAACTTACTCTATACCAGTACTTTGTACGCATTATCAAGTATTTTAAGTACTTCGTATGCATTATTTTATTTATTCTTCACAACAACCCTTTGAGTGTAGTGTGCGTGTGTGTGTGTGTGTGTGTGTGTGTGAGAACTGGGAACTACTCATTTATTTGTCAATTTATGCTTATCATCTGCATATATTTTCACCCATTACCTGTAAAATGTGTGGTCCCAGAACAGTTCTTCATTACTGACTCAGATTCTAACTGGAGAGGAAAAAAGGCAAAAGCAGAGTAAAGGGAGAGAAGGGATTTAAATGTGGTTTCCAAGAGGATTATTGCCTCATAAGATATAAATGTTCAACACAAAATTTCAAACAAATATTTTTATTTTATTTTTGTAAGTGCATATTTCTATGTGAGCTGACAGTTTTCCCATAGATGTTGCAAAACTGATTCTTCCATTTGTCCTAAAAAAGATTCCTCTTTCTGTTGTACAATAATTTTAGTTATAACTATACCACAAAAGATAATAGACTGTCCACTTTCAAGACACTTAAGGGATATTTTGAGAATTTTTCTCTAACAACACATGAGCATATATTATCATTATTGTTTAATTTGTTCTCCTGTCTATTTCATATGCATTCTCCCAGTGGGTAAATTATTAGCTTTTATGTATTCAGAATAATGCATAACCTAAAGTGGGAAACCAAAAAATGTCTGTTCTATGAAAAAAATGATTTCATCTATGAGTTGAAAGAGTTAACATTTACTTTGAGGCCAAATGCACAAACTAATTCTCATTCAGAAAACAGCCCACCTATGATATTCAGGTCACATACTTGTTTCCTTAAATATTATTGCCAAAACCACATTTTATATTCCATTTTATTACTGTGCATCCATCTTTCCTTAGCATAAGAGATGTTCCATTAAAAAGCAGTATAAATTCAATTTGTTTTTATGCTCACCTTGAAAAAAGTAAAAACGAATCATTGAATAAGTTTAAGTGTATTGTGTGCATTTATGCTGTGTGCCCAATATAGCCTTATGTTGGGCCTCATTTAATCAATGATTCCAGAGCATCAACCAACGTTATAATTACTTGAAAAGTTAATATGTAAGGTAGAAACTTGGCAAAACATTAGCGCAAGCACAAAATTAAAAACTTTAAAATTATTTGGGTACAATTAACTAATGATCAGATCTTCTTTTCAGGTTCCTTTTCTTCAAACCATCCCTTAATTAGAGGAGAGGCAAGGAAGTTTCATTGGCCCTCTTCTCACTCTGAACACATAATTTCTAGACCTTATCATCCATATGTGTACTTTAAGCTCCTCAAAGACCTGATGTTTCTCCAAACCTACCTGTCTTCTAGAAGATCATATTATATCTATTATTAATCAAGTTACACTATTCTGACAAGCATCTTCTATGCTTGACCCTCTTTGTCAGCACCTCATACATATTCTATTAATTCCTTTGTCCATCTCATCAGCTTTCCTCCTCCTCTTGTCCTCTCTCTTAAGTTCAAGGCCCATTGTTTCTCTCTCAGACGTCCCTAGTAATCTCCTCTTTATAGCTTGTCTCTGGTTTCATTGCCCTTATATTGCTCCAGATGGACTCTTAAGAGTTATGGATCACAGTATGTCTTACCTTACTTAAAACCCTTCTGTATTTCCCCATTTTCTTCAGGATATGTTTAAATTCCAAAGCATGGCACACAGACCCAATCCTGAATTTGCCTCTGCTTATTCTCTAGTCTCATTTTCCACATCTTCATATTACATACATTCTTCACTTCAGGCATGCCACTTTACTTGTAATTCTCCAAAGTGGCAAACAATTTCACATCTTTGCATTACTTCCTATCTACAGTGTCCTCATCTTGACAGCTCTAAATTATTCTTCAAGATATATGTCAAGCATCCTGGAAGACTTCTCTTACTGTATTAGTCTGTTTCCACACTGCTATTAAAGACAGTACCTAAGACAGGGTAATTTATAAACAACAGAGGTTTACTTGACTCAGAGTTCCGCATGGCTGGGGAGGCCTCAGGAAACTTACAGTCATGGCAGAAAGCAAAGGAGAACCAGACACCTTCTTCAGAAGGCAGCAAGAGAGAGAGAGAGAGAGAGATGGGGAAACTGCCACTTTTAAACCATAAACGTCTCGTGAGAATGCCCTCACTATCATAGAACAGCAGGGGGGAACTGCCCCCCATGATTTAATCACCTCCCACCAAGTCCCTCCCTCCACATGTGGGGATTACAATTAGAGATGAGATTTGGGTGGGGATATAGAGTCAAACCATATCACTTACTATCTTCTGAATGAAGTGTTTCTTCTCTGTATTGCCATTATCTTCCAGGTTATTGGAACACTCATCAGATTGCAATCCAAATATTGATTATTTTAAATAAATGTTTTTTTCATTTGTCATTCCTTAACTGATAAACTTCTTACGGCCTATATCTTGTTTTCCTAAATATATCCAGTATAGCTTTAGCATATGTTAGTTTCTTAATCAATGTATGTTTAATGATGCTTAAACATTCTCTTTGTTGTCTTTTAGATATTTCTTTAATTTATGCCTCTTAAGTCATCTTCATCTTCATGGAGAAAACACTGTATATTCTGCTCTAAAAATTATTAGATGTTTTCCTGTGGGATCCTCAAGGCTTGGAGATCTTTGACTTAATAACCACCTTTAATGGGAAAAGAATAAGTGATCACATCAAGTAATATTGATTAATAAAAGGAACTGAAAAATATACCTATTGTTGGCAAGAAAAGGGCAGTAAAGTTGCTATATTTAAATCATACATTTATGTCCCTAGAAATTTTTATTAGTTTAGTAAACCTCATACATTTATTATACTGTCTTATTATCAAGGCAAATTGCAGTAGAAAATGACACTATTTGGAACTAGAAAACTGTTTTGAGTCCTTATTCCATTAGGTGCTAGTTCTGTACCCTAAGGAAAGGATTCTTCAACTCTCAGGTTCCTTATTTGAACAATGGAACCTAAAATAAATGAGATAATGTATGTAAAGAGCTTAGTGCAGTATCTGGTTCAAAGGGCAATCAATAATAATACTACCTGCCTCAGAAAGCTATTACTTTGATGAGGGTATTAAACAATTTCACAGATCTTTGCAAAGTGCTAGATAAGCATCAGCTATTATGACAAGATTGCTATTTGTTTGCCTTGCCAAAAATAAAACATTGCCTTTAAATACATAGGTGTTTGAGATTTTCTATTTCTTGGCAGTTTGTGATCATCCCACAGCCATGCTCTTACTGAAGACCTTTTATTACTAGGGGGCCTGTTATGGATTAGGCAGAAAAATAGGTAAGACTCCTCAGGAGTAAATGCCTCCTTGTCTTTTACCCATCTAGAGAGAATGTCAGTAAGTGCAGAAGTCTCTCTTGTGTACCTAACTATATGAAAGTGGCCTGAAAAAGCTAAAACTGCTGTTTGACCATGGTGGTAGAGGAGCTCAGAGCTGGTAGTTAATTTGCCCTGTGTTATTTCCACTGAACTTCATCACCTCCCTGCCCACCTGGTCGCTGCACACTCCACCTGGTGTTGAATGCATTGTTTTGCCTATTTCCCCCTCTGTCAGGACTTAGGACATAAGATACAGAATTACTATAAGAAACTCCTAGGTGGTTCCAGCACTAGGACTGAGAAATCTGCGCAGATAAGGCAGGCTTCAGCGCAGCTACAAGACGCCGACTTGAGGCCAGAACCACCAGCGACTGAGTGTCATGTGCCTTAGTCACCGCGGGCTCCGCAAAAGGCTAACAGTGCTGGACACCGGGAGGGCGCTCAAATCTTTGTTGAATAAATGTCCACACTACACAACCTGTTTTGAGTCAACTGCATCCCAACCCAGAAAATAATCGAGATATGTTTGAGCTGAATCAGTATCATTTTGCACATATAAAATCTCTCTTGCCTTGAGTCTGCAGGACTAGAACAGTTTAAAAAGTAAGCCTCGTTGGTTTTCTTTTTTTTTTCATTACTCCGACTTTTATAATTTGGGCTTCAGCATGAGTATCAAAACGGCAGCAGAGCAGAGTGAGACTTTTCAAAGTCTTGTCGCAAAGATACTTCGTGGTGAAGGGCTCCAGTCCCGCTTTTCCGCGCTGGGGTTCAATCCTAGGCAGCCGATTCGGGTTGGGGAGATGTCTCGGCCGCTCCCCCTAACCTCTTGCTAGGGAACAGTCCCTCCCCGCTCCCCATTCCACCTCCACCTGCTGGAGAAAAGATCACAGGTGGTAGGGTGAGGGTAGTCGGAGCAGCCCCGGTGGACGCTTACACGGGCCATCGCGCTCGGCCGCTCCCCGCCTTTGCAAACTGTGTGCTAGGGCTCCAGGCGGGCCCGGGCAGCAGCGGCGGCGCGCGCACGCGCACTCCGCGGCCCCGCGCGGCTCTTCAACATTCAATTCCACGTGTTGCTTGTTGTAGGCGCCACAGGTTCCCCACCTGCGTCCGGGCGCTCGGGCGGCTCCGCCTCTGCCGGCGGGCTCTGGGGAACCGCTGGGTCGGCGCGCCCGGGGCTGGCGGAGCAATTCCTGAGGCGCCCAAGCTCACCCCCAACGCTAACTCCGCCTATTCAGTCCCGGCGGCTCCCCCTCTCCCCCCTCCCAATCCTCCTCCCGGCTCCTGCCCGCCCCTTTCGCCCTGGTGGTAGGAAACACTCCTGAATCTAACTCGACGTGTCCGGAAAGCCCTGGCCAGTTTTCCTTTCGTTCTGCGGCCGCTGCAGCCAGCCCCGCGGCTCCCTCAGACCCGCGGGCGCAGCCGCCGGGGGTGAGGCGCTTGGGGACCGCGGGCCGAGCGGCGGGGATCCCCGAGCACCATGCTGGACCCGTCTTCCAGCGAAGAGGAGTCGGACGAGGGGCTGGAAGAGGAAAGCCGCGATGTGCTGGTGGCAGCCGGCAGCTCGCAGCGAGCTCCTCCAGCCCCGACTCGGGAAGGGCGGCGGGACGCGCCGGGGCGCGCGGGCGGCGGCGGCGCGGCCAGATCTGTGAGCCCGAGCCCCTCTGTGCTCAGCGAGGGGCGAGACGAGCCCCAGCGGCAGCTGGACGATGAGCAGGAGCGGAGGATCCGCCTGCAGCTCTACGTCTTCGTCGTGAGGTGCATCGCGTACCCCTTCAACGCCAAGCAGCCCACCGACATGGCCCGGAGGCAGCAGAAGGTGAGTTGCGGGACCGGGCGCCTCCTACCACCACTTCTCCCTGGGTTTTTCTCCCGGGAGAGCTCTGGGACGCCTCCCGTCCTTCTGCGAAACGCAGGACACCGTATTTTTGTTAGTCTCTGAGGGCAGAGGAATCTTTGGGGACAAGACGGTGCTTTCACCCGCCGGGTATGCGGCTGCAGCGGACACCTCTTCTCCTCCTCCCCGCCTGGGCTGGCAGGAGCTGTCAGCTCACCATCCGTGAGACAGAGACCGACAGCGCCGGCCGCGCCGCGGTTGCACCCGGCAGGCGCAGCTCTGGCCGGATTAGAATGCAACTCCCATCAACTTTAATTTCCAACAGCACTGGTGCATTCCTGTCCACCTAGCCTGGCGTGATATTGCTAGAGCTGGGTTTGCCGAGGGTCTGAATGAGTGTTGTAGCTAGGCGAAACAGGTGGAGCCCGAGTACTTCTCTTAGCTAGAGTGAAGTCTTCACTTAAGAGGGGTAGAAATTTTCCTCAGTGAATAAAAAAGTTAAATTAATACGTTTCCTATATTGTCATACAACCAGGACATCAAATCCAAACACCGAGAAGGCATGCAGCTTTGTAAAGTGTTTGTGGGTAAGTAATTTCTGGTCTGGGCAGGCCTGATTAATGAAATATACTATTACTGATGAAAGATAAAGGATTGGTGCATGATCACTTCATAACAAATGCTTTCCAAATGCTTTTTTGGGGAACAAAATGCTTATTCTCCCCCAAAAGGTAAGAAGTTTGTTTCAGGTGAAAGGCTGGCCAACTTGAGTTTCAAAACAAGACCCCAGGGGCCTGATGTTCTGTACCAGACACGAGTAATGACTCAAATTGTCCTAAGTGGTTAAATGTTTACAATACAAACTCTAGGAAATCTTTTTAATAGAATGCTGAACCTGGAAGGTTCTGTAGAAATCGGTAACAGTTCCCTCAGTTTGTGACAAGACCTAGAGATCCAGAGAGATTGTAGTCTGCTCAAGGCATACCTACATGCACAGACATTTATTAGTTTTCTGAAATATTAACTTCAGTGTGTGAGGCATTTTTAGAAATTTGGAGAGGTTTTGAGTTGACTTCAACTATAACTGTAGTTCAGAGTAAATTCAGTCTCCCTACATTCTCCTACCCCCATTTAGATAACCTTTATTTTTTGAGGTATAATTGACATGTAAAAAGCTGTGCATACCACTCCACCCTAACTATTGGTGGTTTCATAGGTGTATAAGTATCATGGGGATAAGTACACACCTATAGTTAACACTATTGTATGCTTAAGATCTATCCTCTTAGAAAAAAATTTTAAGTGGTCTTACCCAACTTTTTAAAACACACACAAACTGAGCAACTATTTTGGAATCATTTATTCTCTGGGAATCCTTATGGAATATTTCCTTACAGCTGGAGATTAATAACAGATCCTTCAGGTAACCTAACCCTAGGTATTCAGTCACAGAATGGTAGGGAGACTCCTCATGTTGGAGAAGAGAAATAGGTCATAATAGCATTTCCCAATCCCAAACAAATTGGCACAGTTAAAACCACCATTACTCAGGTAAGTTTTGAATGCCCCGCGGTGTTTTTATGAGCCTGCTGCTCCACTCCTGTATGAATCCCATACTTCCTAATCAGCTGCTCTAATTGAGTCTGTTCTGAGGCAGTCACCCGTGGCCTCTTCTCAATTCTAGTCAAGCGACTGTCAGCTTCAATAGTCATTGTTAAAACTATTTTTTGTATATGTTGTGGTATGAGTTCATATCATCCAGTCTCTAGTTTTACCATTCATATTGCATTTAAGCCTATTTTTAATGATTAAAGTGTAAAAATAATGTTTGGTAAAATTAAGAGACTATTTTCTCCTTGGAATATTATCCTTGAAGATGCTTTTGCAAATTTACTATGAGTTGATTTATACTGTGAATACTTGTTGCATTTTGTTAATGAAGTGGACCCTCCCTTAGCTGTTCAAATAGTGCATTTTTCTCTGACTCCTTCTGTTTAAATATTTGTTCAAAATTATTTGAATTGGCAAGCAGGTGCATTCACAATACTACTGGGGAGACTATTGTTATAACCTTATCCAGGCATTACCAAAGATAATTTCAAACTACAAAAAAAGCAAAATACAACATATATTCTATGAAAAAAAATAGAATCCTTAGGAATTTCCACATTCTAAATGCTTAGAGCATTGAGCACAGGTTAACTTTTGTGAATTACTTTTATTTTTTATTAAGATGGATGCCAAATAGCCTAAGTATTTACTTTACTCAACCCTCCCCCACCTTTTAAAAAATGTGCTGCTTACTAAAGGGAGCTGGAGCAACTTTTGGCAGTCTGGTTTCCTCTTAGGGCAAAATGAAATGGGAATTTAACTATGTTTATGTGAATTTGATGCACAAGCTAATAAGTAATGCCAAAACTTACTTGAAGTCTTGCATTATACAGTTAGATTATCTAAAAGAAGTAACAAGGTAATTGCAAAATCACTAATCCGTTGTTTATTTTATTCTGTATCTTCAAGTAGTCAGGCATCCAGTAAAAAGATTTAATAGCTGAAATTGTTGTCATTGAAATGAATATTGCTGCTTACTCACTTCTCTCAACTTCAAGAATTTAGAGACCCAGAAATTGAGATCTGAAAGGGTCCTCATTTTATGAAGAAAATTAATCACAAAGATAAGATCTTTACCCAGGAGGCCAGGAGTCAGGTTTCTCTTTAGTCAAAGCCCGTTCACTATTAGAGCTGGTGAGTTTCTATGAACCAGAACTGAGCAGCAGTGTTATTTATTTATTTTTTTCACTTGGCTAAAATGGTCCACAAAGTTAGTAAGAGGTTGTGTCTATGAGCTATTTGAGAAAGCTTAGTAGCATTAAACACAGTTAACGAACACATGAATTTCTTTGCTTTTGTCTAGACTATTTCAATTTTGAGGAATAATAGTGGTCAGTTTATGACATTCAAGCCCTCTGATTGACCACTGATGGTTTTACAGAAAATTCTGGGGGTGCATATGGGCTACACACTGTGACAGAGTGCCTTTCCAGGTGCTACACCTCCTAAATGAACATATCCAGGGGTTCACACATGATATGAGTATGAACTAATAAACAGTGATTGAAAGTGATGTCAGTAGTGATAGTGCTTGAGCCTCTAATGCTGATTTACCCTGATTACCTTTGCACCACCCCAGTGCTAACAATGATGATTAACTTTGGATGGTTCTAGATCTTCAGTTAAAGGTAGAGTCAGTGTTGAAACTAGAAAAACAATAATACAAATCAGGTACTAATTAATAAAGGCAATTTGTTAGACTTATGAAAAACATTGAGACCTCGGAGGAGAAAGTAAAAAAAAAAAAAAAAAGGGTTCCTTGGTGGTTTGAAAGTTAGAGAGATCCTGATAAGCATAATGACCAACATAGAAGAGATTAAGTACCTTTACTCATAAATGTGAGTTCACAGACTTCAGGTCTAAATTCGTAACAATATTTAAGATGTATATGGCTTAAAGTGCTGGTAGTTTTGATTAGAATCCATAGGTTTCTAGTCACTGCTCTTTTCATTATTTGAGTTTTTATGTATTTTTTAACTAGAAATAAGAGGGTATTAAAATAGAACCTACTAACCTTCCATATAATTCATATACCTATATTTTTATGTTTCAGTGTGTGTCTCCACTGTAACCACACTAAATTGTGCCTTATTAAACCATTTTGTATAATCACTCCTACCACTTTGCATAATTTTCTGTGATAATTCTAAGTTTGAGAAATGTATGTAAATAATACTGTGAAATTGCAGATGGTGGGGAAGTAAACAGGTAAAATTGATCTGGAGAAGAACATTTGGGGAAATAGTATTGGGTGAAATAATATACCTCCAACTCGCTCATTTGAATGTTGTAACTACTATAAAGTGGCCACTTTTATCTCCCTTTGGACATAGTGGTACTTTCCAGGTTTTATTTTGTTTTCATCTTCTGACTACTTTGGTGTCTGCTGTGTACATGTAAGTCTCAGATTCAGTCCATGCCTCAAAGAATTAGTGAGGAATAGGATGGAGTAAAGATAATATAAAGGCAATGTGAAAGGGTCTTTTACTTTTCTGTGGGAAAGTGGGAACTAGTGTTCCTAAACATGTTTTGAGACCTCTGAAACTCACCTTATTCCCCTAAAGAAAGCCATAAAAATGGTAATACCTGTTGGTGTAAAACTAGTGAATTCAAAGTAACACTTTCCTGATGTTTCTAGCAAGCCCCAGAGACAAGTTAGCAGTGTTGAAGCCCCATAGTATGCCTTTCTTTCTGGCCTGCAGTTTTCCAGCAGATCTGATGATAGTCCAAAAATGCCATACTCTTAGGGAGATAGGGTGATTCATTTTTTTGTGCTCCTTTGGCTTTGATGCATTATGGTCCAAGTACAGAAGAGATGGGTTGTGATATTTGCTGCTTTTAATTATAGGGAATACCTTGCCCTGTTGGGAGTGAGTTGGAAACCACGTATTAAAGTAAAACCTCACACTGGACTTAAAACAGTATCTCAGGGAAAATTGCTTGTTGCTTCAGCTGATTCTTTTAACCTTCCACAGGGTATCCTGAGACCACAGCACTTAATTTGGTGGAATGAGTTGTGCTAATGAGAACTCAGACAGATTAAGTGACGTTGTCATTTGCTTCTTTCCTTCAAAAATGAAATCAGCTGCGATTTTGATATATAATGACTGCTTATTAGGTGAATAAAATATTTTAATGGTGTGTTTTCCCTTTTCAGTTTCGTTTTGTTTGCCTTTAATGGAAACAGCTCTCTTCATTCATACTTTTACAAAGTAAACACAGTTTGTAAGGTCATTAAAGACTTTCAAAACAAAATAGGAAAGCTGACTGCCAGATTATAAAGTCTGGGAATTCTGAATGGAAAATTCTTTATCATTTGCTAGTGAGGTAGACCACTTTTGACTGATTGTGCTACTTTATATTTATTTCAAATTAATTGAGACCTTTGTGAAGGAAGAGGTGGATTGCATAGTTATGTGACATTGCTGTTTCAGTTTTTAGCCTAGGAAAGACCTAATAATTAAATAGTGGACATATCAGTGGGACAAATGGCATATTTTCTAGGGTTTGAAGAGCATTTAAACATCAGATTATGGAATTGTTGTCCAAAATCTGTAATATATCATTTTATGTTCACTGTGTTTCAGTTACCTAAATGTTTTGATATGATTTCCTTAAGGAAAAAGAAGTGCGATTCTTATCTTAACTGCACATTAGAATCACCTGGAGAGCTTTAAAAACAATCTCATTATCCAGGTTGTACCCCAAGGTAATTAAATCAGTCTCAGGGGGTATAGTGTTAAAACTTCCCAATTGATTTCAGTGTACAGTCAAGGTTGAGAACCGCTGTTCTAAAGAGAAGATATAGAAAAATGGCTTATTTTCACCTAGGAAAAATGAAAGTATTGGCAATAACAAGTGAGATTACTAATAAAAGCTGGTATTCCATGTGCAGGAAAAGGTAATGGGGATACTCGAAGCAAGGAACAAAAAACACTCAAATAATATTCTAGAGTTTGTGCAGTCGATACAGTGGAGAGGCTAGTGCATATTTATTTAGACTTATAAAAGGTGTCTAGGTGATATGCTGGAGGCTTTTAAATTATATTCACAGTACTGTCTTTTATTCATTGTACAACTGTAGATAAATCACCACATTAGCAACAGAAAGTATATATTGAATGCTTAGGGTAAGTGTGAGTGTTGCTTTCCATTCCAGAATGAACTGGGAAGAAGAATACAGTGAAATCTCCAAGTTGGAGCTGACACTCAGTAATTCCTAACTGAACAGTACAGTTCACAAAGGTCCTACAAAACCGTTAGTGGGCAAACTGTTTCCTCAGTGTATGTAGTAGTAATGCGTACAGGTTTTCCAAAAAGTAAACTTTAGAAGTCATTCTAACATAATTATTAAAGTAATTAAATGACTTATTAAAGTAATTAAAGTAATTAAAATGACTTGTTTATTAATTAAAATGACTTGTTTAAGTTCTGCTATGTCCAAAATTATAACATTAGGTGGACAGTAAGGAAAAGCTTCTATTTTCCTCAAATCTTATTAAAAAGGTACGTTGTTGGTTTGCATTTGGGAGCCTTTTACTTTGTACAGCATCATGAATGCTCTGCTTGCTTCTTGAAACTTTTATACCACTTTGTAGATGTTGTGGTTTCAGTACTTTCATTTTATACCTTCAAGTTAGTGATGGATTTTTATAATGAAAATATTACTGGGGCAAAGGGCCTGAAAATTTAAAGCCTGTCTTTGTCAATCTAATAGCTAAGATATTTAATTTGCTTCTTTCTGATTGCTTGTGAGGATGAGTATTTGTAAGCTAGTGTCCTTTTCCCCATTTCTTTTCTTTTCTTTTCTTTTTTTATTTTTATTTTTTATTTTTGAGATGGAGTCTTGCTCTGTTGCCCAGGCTAGAGTGCAGTGGTGTGATCTTGGCTCACTGCAACCTCTGCCTCCTGGTTCAAGTGATTCTCCTGACTCAGCCTCCCTAGTAGCTGGGACTACAGGCACGTGCCACCGTGTCTGGCTAATTTTTGTATTTTTGGTAGAGACGGGGTTTCACCATATTGGCCAGGCTGGTCTCGAACTCCTGACCTTGTGATCTGCCCACCTTGGCCTCCCAAAGTGCTAGGATTACCTGCATGAGCCACTGCACCTGGTCCTTTTTTTTTTTTTTTTTTGAGGCAGAGTATCACTCTGTTGCCCAGGCCAGAGTGCAGTGGTGCCATGTTGGCTCACTGCAACCTCTGCCTCCCGCGTTCAACTGATTCTTGTGCCTCGGCCTCTCGAGTAGCTGGGATTACAGGTGTGCACCACCATGCCCAGCTAATTTTTTGTATTTTTAGTAGAGATGGGGTTTTTCCATGTTGGCCAGGCTGGTCTCAAACTCCTGGCCTCAGGTGATCTGCCCGCCTCAGCCTCCCAAAAAGCTGGGATTGCAAGTGTGAGTCAAGATGCCCGGCCTGCAGCCCGACTTTTGATGAATCTCTACTTTCATTACTAAGTGTTATGGCCCAATTTAATTATTTCCTTGGTAAACTATTTATTGAGTCCCTATTATGTGAATTTAACACTATCCAATATGTTCCGAGGATATAGTAAGAAAATAAAACAAGCAAATAATCCCCTTGTGGGCTAATGTTCAATAATTACAGGTTGTATGTCTATAAGTTTATTAATTTAATTCTTTTTTCAAATTTTCATGTAATTTTAACTTATGACAACTTTGTATTTATTTATTTATTTATTTATTTATTTATTTATTTATTTATTTATTTGAGACAGAGTCTTGCTCTGTCGCCCAGGCTGGAGTGCAGTGGCAGGATCTTGGCTCACTGCAAGCTCCACCTCCTGGGTTCACGCCATTCTCCTACCTCAGCCTCCTGAGTAGCTGGGACTACAGGCACCCGCCACTGCACCCGGCTAATTTTTTGTATTTTTAGTAGAGACGGGGTTTCACCATGGTCTCGATCTCCTGACGTTGTGATCCGCCCACCTCGGCCTCCCAAAGTGCTGGGATTACAGGCGTGAGCCACCGCGCCCGGCCGACAACATTGCGTTTTAATTTCTGGTGTGGTTATTTCCCTCTCTAATGTGTCAGAAATTTTTTACTTGTATCATTCGTCTTTCCCTTCCCACTTTTTTTTTTTTTTTTTCTTGAGACGGAGTTTCGCTCTGTCGCCAGGCTGGAGTGCAGTGGCGCGATCTCGGCTCACTGCAACCTCCACCTCCCAGATTCAAGTGATTCTCCTGTCTCAGCCCCCCGAGTAGCTAGCTGGGATTACAGGCACGTACCACCACGCCCAGCTAATTTTTGTATTTTTAGTAAAGACGGGGTTTCACCATGTTGGCCTGGATGGTCTTGATCTCTTGACCTCATGATCCACCGCCTCGGCCTCCCAAAGTGCCACTTTTTAAAAATAGTGCAGTAGTATAGCGTCTTTGTTAGGAAAGCACTGGCTTCAGAGGGCCTGGACTTCATCTTCTCACTCACTCACCGTGTGAACAAGGCACTTCGTCTTTCTGGGACCTAACTACTCCTTCAGTAAAATGTTGATAATTTAAAAATCATAGGATTTCTGTTGTGACGAAATGAGATGCCTATAAAGTACATGCTCCTGATTAGACGCTATCGTTTCTAGTTGTTAATTAAACCTGTTTGGGAAACAATGATATTTTTACTATATTCAGCCTTCTAGGAGCATACGATATCTTCAATTAGTCAAGACTCTGTAACTTTTTGAAGGTTTCATCATATAGATCTCTTGCATTTATAATCAAGTTAATTTTTATATTTTATATTTTTATTGTGACATCTTTTTAAATCTCATTATGGATAAATGGGAAGCTTTTTTTTGTAATTAACTGGTCATTGATGTTACTTAATTGTTGTCTTCAGTGTTGATCCTTTTAGATTTTCTAGGTAGGCAGTTGAAGCATCTGTTGATAGTGATGGCTTTTGTCTGGTCCTGTCCAATAGCTATACCTCTTTTGTTTCATATGTCACCATACTCTTTAGAATAGAACAGTATTTGTACTTGTTGCCAAAGCCCTTGTTTTGATCCATTATTCACTGGGAAATGTTTTTGGTGCTTTACTAGTGAATATACTGTTGGTTAGGATTCTTGGATAGAATTCTGGTATTCTTTGTTTATCCTTTTTCAAAAATTACATTAAGAAAATAAAATACATCAAGAATTGATACTGAATGTTATCAAATTCCTTTTTTTGTATTAATAGAGGTGAATGCCTAGTTTTGTTTTACTGATGTGACAGATCAGATTACTAGGTTTCCTGTTATTAAAGCATATTTGCATTTCTCGGGTAATTTCTACCTGATTATGACTGTTTTTTTTAATACACCTTTGAGTCTGAGTTTCCTGTACTTTTAATTTTTACATGTATGTTCATAAGAGAAAGGTCTATCAGAAAGGTGTTAACTGAGAAACATTTTACCTTTATATGTGCTCTAGAATAGTTTTTTTGTTTTGTTTTTGGTATGTAAATCATCTGATACATGAAGTTTTGAAAGAATTCACTCGTGAAATTACCTGCATCCAGACCCTGTTTTTTTTAGCCTATTGCTTTTTCTTCTTATTCAAAATTAAAATATGATAATTGCACGATTTCAGAAAAGTGGCTATTTTCAGATATAACATAATTTTTCACTTATTTTTCCAATATCCTTTATGTTAGCTATAAGTCTTATTTTAGATTATATTCTTCCTAAAAATATACATGTATATATATAAAATGGTGGAGTGCAGTGGCTAATACATGTAATCCCAGCATTTTGGGAGGCTGGGGTAGAAGGATCACTTAAGCCCAGGAGTTGGAGAACAGCCTAGGCTACACAGTGAGACTCAGTCTGCACAAAAAATAGAAAAAATTAGTCAAGCATGGCGACTCATGCCTGTGTTCCCAGCTACTCAGGAGGCTGTGGTAGGAGGATCACATGAGCCCAAGAGGTCAAGGCTACAATGATCTGTGATTGCACCACTGCACTCCAGCCTGGGTGACAAAGTGAGACCCTGTCTCAAAAGAAAAAATAAATATAAAATTAGATTTGCTGGATTCCCTTATTTTATTTTATTTTTTGACACAAAGTCTTGCTCTGTGGCCCAGGCTGCAGTGCAGTGACACGATCCTGACCCACTGCAACCTCTGCTTCCCAGGTTCAAGTGATTCTCCTGCCTCAGCCTCCCAAGTAGCTGGGATTACAGGTGTGCACCACCACACCCGGCTAATTTTTGTGTTTTAGTAGAGATGGTGTTTTGCCATGTTGGCCAGGCTGGTCTTGAGCTCCTGACCTCAAGTGATCCACCCGCCTCAGCCTCCCAAAGTGCTGGGATTACAGGCATGAGCCACTGTACCTGGCCAGATTCCATTTTTTTTTTAAGTTATATCTGTTAACTTTATAAGTTCTGCTATTTTAGAAATCAATAGTTTGTATCCTTTCTTTGTGTTTCCCTTAGGGTTGTCTTTTGTTGTTGCTTTTAAAGAGGACCAAGGGAATGGGAGAGAGACGTGAGAGAGTGGTTCTCTCATCTAGCTTCTCTTTTAGGATTACTTTATTTTTGGTTTTGTAATAAGATAATGAGAATATATGAAAGCTATGAATTTATCTCTAAGTGCAGTTTGGCCTCAGTCCTTATGTTATAAAGCATTTTTATTTAAATATTCTCTTTTCAGATTTTACTTTTTTCCTTGAACCAGTATTTACATATTTAATCAGAAGAGTAATTTAGAAATTGCAGTTGAAAAATTTGTTTTCTCTTTAGTAATAGATTTCCAATTTTAGGTTGACAGAGAATGTTGCTTATGGTACTTAGCATTGTTGTATGTAATTTAAGTTTTTCATCACAAATTAATATACTGATTTTAAGATAAAAAGTTTGCTATATATCTAATAATTAGCATTATTATAGTAATCATTCCTATCTTATTTTTGTCTTCTTTGACTAAATTATCTTATTAGTTGTATTAATTTATTTTGCATTTCCAGCCATATTTAATTCATATGTTTTGATTCCAGTCTCTTAGTTGTGTAAAGATTCATGAGTATATGCTTACAATCACTGAAAATTAACTTCGTTTGATCCACTTACTGTGTATATGGGACAAGGATTCTACTTTGTTCAGATTTAACACTGATTTTACTTTCTTTTGGTGGAGTTTATCAGAGAGATTGAAAAGTATCCATAATACGTATACACCTACACTCATATTCACCTAGTTATGCGTCTAATGTAAACACGTATGTACACATCTGCAAACGTGTACACATCTGCAAACGTATACACACTCACATTTCTGGATTGCTTTGTATTGAGGAAAATTATGCAACAATTTATGCCTAGTCCCATGCTTTAATAAGAGGGTTTAAACATTTTATTAGTTACCACTGATATGTTTAATCTTATTTTCTGTTTTGTTCAGTGTTTTCTGTTTCTTTTTTAAAGAAGTTTGTTGCCTAGGTTTTCTTCTAGGGTTTTTATGGTTTTAGGTCTCACATTCAGGTCCTTAATCCATCTTGAGTTAATTTTTGTATAAGGTATAAGGAAGGGGTCCAGTTTCAGTTTCCTGCATATGGCTAGCCAGTTTTCCCAACACCATTTATTAAATAGGAAATCCTTTCTCCATTGCTTGTTTTTGTCAGGTTTGTCAAAGATCAGATGGTTGTAGATGTGTGGCATTATTTCTGAGGCCTCTGTTCTGTTTCACTAGTCTATATATCTGTTTCAGTACCAGTACCATGCTGTTTTGGTTGCTGTAGCCTCAAAGTATAGTTTGAAGTCAGTCAGCATGATGGCTCCAACTTTGTTCTTTTTGCTTATGGTTGTCTTGGCTATACGAGCTCTTTTGGTTCCATATGAAATTTAAAGTAGTTTTTTCTAATTCTGTGAAGAAAGTCAATGGTAGCTTGATGGAGATAGCATTGAATCTATAAATTACTTTGGGTAGTGTGGCCATTTTCATGGTATTGATTCTTCCTATCCATGAGCATGGAATGTTTTTCCATTTGTTTGTGTCCTCTCTTATTTCTTTGAGCAGTGGTTTGTAGTTCTCCTTGAAGAGGTCCTTCACATCCCTTGTAAGTTGTATTCCTAGATGTTTTATTCTCTTTGTAGCAATTGTGAGTGGGAGTTCACTCATGATTTGGCTCTCTGTCAGGACATAGGCAAGGGCAGACTTTATGACTAAAACACCAAAAGCAATGTCAACAACAGCCAAAACTGATAAATGGGATGTAAAAGAACTAAAGAGTTTCTGCACAGCAAAAGAAACTATCATCAGAGTGAACAGGCAACCTACAGAATGGGAGAAAAATTTTGCAATCTATCCATCTGACAAAGGGCTAATATCCAGAATCTACAAAGAACTTAAACAAATTTACAAGAAAAAAAAAACCCATCAAAAAGTGGGTGAAGGATATGAACAGACACTTCTCAAAATAATACATTTATGCAGCCAACAAACATATGAAAAGCTCATCATCACTGGTCATTAGAGAAATGCAAATCAAAACCACAACGAGATATCATCTCATGCCAGTTAGAATGGCGATAATTAAAAAGGAAACAATAGATGTTGGAGAGGATGTGGAGAAACGGGAATGCTTTTATACTGTTGGTGGGAGTGTAAATTAGTTTAACTATTGTGGAACACAGTGTGATGATTCCTCTGGGATCTAGAACCAGAAATACCATTTGACCCAGCAATCTCATTATTGGGTATATACCCAAAGGATTATAAATCATTATACTATAAGGACACATGCACACGTACGTTTACTGTAGCACTATTTACAATAGCAAAGACTTGGAACCACCAAAAATGCCCATCAATCATAGACTGGATAAAGAAAATGTGGCACATATACACCACGGAATACTATGCAGCCATAACAAAGGATGAGTTCATGTCCTTTGCAGGGGCATGGATGAAGCTGAAAACCATCATCCTCAGCAAACTAACACAGGAATAGAAAACCAAACACTGCATGTTCTCACTCATAAGTGGGAGTTGAACAATGAGAACATGTGGACACAGGGAGGGAAACATCACACACCAGGGCCTATTGGGTTGGGGGGCTAGAGGAGGGAGAGCATTATGAGAAATACCTAATGTAGATGACATAGTGGTGCAGGAAACCACTATGGCATGTGTATGCCTATGTAACCTGCACATTCTGCACATGTATCCCAGAACTTAAAATATTAAAAAAATTTTTGTTTTGTGCCTTTTGCTATATGGACTCCATTTAAAAAATATATATCTGGAAAACGAAATGCCAAGTACAGTAGGTGGGTTTTACTTTCTCCAAAGATCATTTTCCTTAGGGAGGCATTTGGCTCCCTGTGTTTAAGGGCATTTCTGTACTCCTTTCCTGGAGCTAGGGACAGATAGGGTGAAACAATATAACTCTTCCTTCGCCTTCCTTATGTTTGTGCTTACTATTCTGATTCAAAGGGCAGGACACATGTATTTTAAGAGGCTGTGTCTCCAGTTTTGTTCTTGGGTTGTGAGTCCGTGGACATTCCTCTGGAAATTGGATTACAGTTTTAACTTTAGTTTACAAAGTTGTTACCCTATTTAAATTTTTTTTCTGGATCTGCATGGAATTTTTTATTAGAATATGGGAAAAATAAATTCTGCTGCCATGAAACTTGTATTCTTACTAGTTTAACATATTTAGGAAAATGCATTCCAAATTTTATTTAAAGAGATGAGAGCCTTAATTTGGTTCTCTAGAAAAACTAAAACTAAAAATACTGCTTAGTTAAAAAGGCTTACAAAATGCTGAATATCATAAGAAAAAATTCTGAAATATAACAAGACAACTTTAGCCTACACTTTTGAAGCTCTTCTTTTCTGACTCAGAAGGATTGCATATATTCTCAAGCAGTAGTAAGTAGGGAGATTGAGATAAAGCCCATTCTTGTTCCCTCGTCCTTGCTTTAGGTCCACTGTGTTTTGACGTGTTTTATATTATAAGCTTTTGTATAAAGCTTTCTTTGACAAAACAAAGGTTCCTATAATGAATCTCATTGTTTTTAACTGGAACACCTGAAATGACAGAGAGGGAGGCCAAAATGTTCAAGTAATTATGAAAATTTAAAGTTACATGATTAAATTGTGCAACACTGTAAGAATCCCTATAAAGTTTGATCACCATATCTTAGAGTCCTAGGCTTTGAACTTTATCCTTTTTCTTTCCTTTAAATCACCTTAAAACTATGTAAGAGATAAGCAATGTGGGGCTATACAGATTAATCCACCACAGATCTTGGTATAAGAAGCTGAAATCTAATAGGTAAGATGTTAACTTTGTGATCCTTCAAATAAAGAGAGATTTTTACAAGTCAGTTGTTTGGAGCTCAGGGGAGAGATTTGGGCACAAGAGTTAAATTTGAGTGTTGTCATATGTATGGTGATTGGAACCATGGGTTTGGATAAGGAAGCCCAAGAAAAGAGAGTCTAGCAAGGAGAAGATTTTAAGGACTGGTCTTAAAGAACTACTGGATTTAAGACTGGAAAGAAGGCTGAGCTGGAGAAGGAAATGGAGAAGAAGTAGCCAGATGTATTAGAAGAAAACTAGGATGGTCCATGTCACAGAAACTAATGAAAGAGCTACTTAACAGGATGAGTAGAAAACAATGTCAGGTGCTACTGAATGATCAAGTAAGATGGAGATTGAAAATGTTAATTGGATTTTGCAATATGGAGATTACCCTTAACATTGGTGACCCAGGGAACTCATTTTAGGTTCTATTTCACACAAGCCACGTTTTCAGACATTGACATTCCTAAACCGTATTTTGTATGCTGAATCTAGCCTTTCTTTCTTTAGCAGAGGAACAGCTTGAGTTATTACTTGGTGGCTTTGCTGCTCAACAGTTAAGCTTCAACAGTGTTGTGTTTTTATATCCTGTTTTTTTTTTGTGGGGGGGAATACTGTATAAATATAAATGTACATATGCATGTATTTGTTGTGCTTTTGTTTTATAATAATTAAAAATTGTCAGTGATAAGCATATATTTTGAATGTGGTACAACTGAGATCAAGATCATGAAGTATCCTGCAAATAGAAAATCCTTGATATTGAGTACTTAAGATTGGTTGTTTTTCATTTCATTTGAGAATGAAAAGAGAAAACTCAACATGTGAAAATGCTGGAATACATAAGTCAAAAAGTGGGATGAAACCAGGGTGTAATTTTTTTTTTTTTCCCAGCACTGTGGCAATCTCTCCCCTCCTCCGTTGTCCCCTGTCTTCCTTTGTTTGACTTTTCCATTTTCAGTTTTCTATCTTAGGACCCTATCTGCAGTAAAGATCTACTCTTCTTTGTCCTTTCTAAATTGCTGTATCTTCATCAATAAAGTGATTAATATTTGCTTCAGTGAGATGGTGGGAAGATACATAAAATAATTTCTGAAAAGCACTTAGTTCAGTGTCTGACCTGGACTATATCTTCAAAAAGTTTCCTGTTAACATTTTGTAATAATTTACATTCAGGGAAAAATGTTCCCTGCTATAAAGCATATTGCATTTATCAACAAATATTGAGGCAATATTTGAACAGATTTCATGTGGTAGGAACTATTTCAGACACTGGAATATAGACATGGACAAGATAGCGCTTTTAATCTCTTTTTGGGTGACAAATAATTGTGTATGTCTGGTACAATGTGATGCTTTAATCTATGTATACATTGTATAATGATTCAATCTAATTAACATATCCATCACCTCACCAACTTATCTTCTTTTTGTGGTGAGGTTGTTAAAAATCTATTTGTGTACCAATTTTGAAATATACAATACATAATTATTAACTGTGGTCAGTCACCATGCAATGCAGTAGATCACTAAAATTTATTCTTCCAGTTCAACTGAAATGTTGTACCCTTTGATCAACATCTCTCCTTTCTCCATCCCTCCCACTCCCTCCAGCCTCTGGTGGCTATCTTTCTACTCTGTTTCTATGCACATATATTTACAATTATTATAACTTTTTGATGAATTGACCCCTTTATTATTATATAATGACCTTCTTTGTCTCTTTTTACAGTTTTTGATTTAAAGTCTATTTTGCCTGATATGTATAGCTACCCCTGCACTCTTAGTTTTCATTTGTGTGGAATATCTTTTTTCTTCCCTTCACTTTGAATCTGAATGTGTCCTTAGAGATGAAACTAGTCTCTTTTTGGAAGCATATAGTTGGGTAGTTGCATCTTCTTTTTTTAATCCACTAAGCTGTTTGATGTCTTTTGATCAGAAAAGTTAACCCATTTATTTTCAAAGTCATTATTGATAGGTAAGGATTTACTATTAAATTTTGTTAATTATTTTCTGGTTAATATGTAGATCCTTTGTTCCTCTCTTCTTTTGCTGTGTTCCTTTGTGGTTTGAGGATTTCTCTATGGTATGCTTTGAATGCTTTCTTTTTGTGTATCTACTAAGGGTTTTTGCCTTGTGGTTACCATGAGGCTACCATAAAACATTTTATACTAATAACAGGCTGTTTAAAGCTGATAATAACTTTGATCGCTTGCACAAACTCTATACTTTTACTCTTTTCCCATTCACAATTTATTATTCATGACATATTTTGTATCTTTTACTGTTTGTGTCAGTTAGCAAATTATTAAAGCTCTAGCTTTTAATAGTTTGGCTTTTAATCTTCATACTAGAGATATATTTGGTATTCACAACTCCATTACAGTATAAGTGTGTTCTGTGTTTTATTACATAACTACTTTTACCGGTGAGTTTGATATTTTTGTGTTGCTCCTTAGTGATCTTCTCCTTTAGCTTGAATGACACATTTTAGCATTTTTTTTTTGTAAAGCAGGTCTAGTGGTGATGAATTCCTTTAGCTTTTGTGTGTCTGAGAAAGTTTTATCTCCCCTACATTTTTGAAGGACAGGTTTGCTGGGTATAATACTATTGGCAGTTTTGTTATTTTTCTTTTAGCTCTTTGAATATATTATCCCATTTACTTCTGGTCTTCAGGGTTTCTCTTGGAAAAATCTGCTAGTAGTGTTATAGAAGTTCCTTTGTATGTAACAAGTCACTTTCTTATGCAGATTTTTCAATATTTTCTCTTTGTTTTCACTTTAGAAACAATATTTTAACTTATTTATAACAATTTGATTATAATGTGTCTTATTGTGGGTCTCTGGATTCATCATATTAGGTGTCCAATGAGGTTCTTGGATCTGGATTTCTAATTTCTTCCCTAGACTTGGGCAGTTTTCTGTCATTATTTCTTTAAATATGGTTTGTATTCCTTTTTCTTTTCTCCCTCTGGTACTCTGATAATGCATAGTTTATTCACTTGATGGTGTTCCATAATTCCCTTAGGTTATCTTCAGTCTTTTTCATTCTTTTTTCATTTAGCTCCTCAGATTCGATGATTTCCAATGATTTTGTCTTTAAATTTGCTAATCTTCTCTTCCTCTTGACTTAGGCTGCTATTCAACCTGTCTGTTGAATTTTTGAGCTCAGTTATTATAGTCTTCAGCTCAATGATTTCTGTTTAGTAGTTTTTAATATGTTCTATCTCTTCGTTGAAATTATCAGTTTGTTCTTGTATTGTTCTCCTTACTTTAGCGAGCATCTTTATTACTGTCCTTTTGAATTCCTTGTCTGGTCAGAAACATATCTCCATTCATTAGCATAAGCTTCAGGAGATGTATCTTGTTCTTTTATTTGGAACATCTTTCTGTTAGTTAATTTTCCTTGACTCTCTGTGTTGGTTTCTGTGCATTAGATAAGAGAACCACCCCTTCCTGTCTTGTTGGAGTGGTCTTGCGTAAAAGATCTTTCTTTCCAATCAGGGATTCTATATTCTAAGCTCTTTGTGTTTGTCCAACCTGCTGTCTTTGTTCTTAGTGGCTCCTAGGAAATTAGAGTGTCAAGTCATGATATTGCCTTGAGAGAGGTGAGAGAAGACAGCCTCTTGAGATGTAGCTGGAGAGGTTAGAATGTTAAATATATATTTCTGTTCCTTCTTTGAGAAGTGGAGAGCTGGAATTTATCCCCCACTCATTCTGCCCTACACTAAAGTGAGAGTCTGAGGAAGAATCTTGTACTCTTGGTCAGAGTGCTCACTTTTAACCTGGGGAGATAGTTGCTGAAGGTTTGCAAGTTTAAAAGTCACTTTTGTTCTCTGTGGTCTGGGAGACCAGCAGTGTAGAGCTCCATCAACTTCCAGAGCTAGGTGATTTAGGAGCCAGTCACTCAAGTGAAGGCTGTAAAAGTTGGAGCACTCGATGCATGCAGAAACTACTTCCAGGGAGAGTCTGCAGATATAGATTTATTGCTGAAGCAAGTCAGAGAAGAAAGATCAAGAAGTGCTCACTCTGGCATTAAGGCAAGCAGAAGTCTCACACCCTTCTAGCAGGAAGAGATTTCTAGTTGGGAGTTATCACTGAAATGAACCAGGGAGAAAGGCACAGAGGGTGCTCACTTTCCCCTTCAGGTATGAAGAGGCCCATTCCCCAGCTTCCTTCCAATGTGAGATTGCAGGACTATATCTCAAAAGCAAGCCAGGAAAGAAGGCTTAGGGAGTGCTTTCTCTTTCATTGTTGTTGGCAGAGGCCTCCCATCTCTTTCCACAGAGAGATTTTCCATGGGTCTGGAATTGTCCCTGGGGCAAAGGGAGTGCCATGTTTCCCATTTAGGCTCAGATAAGTTTATTCTTTATTTGCTATGCAGGTTTATAGAAGTTGGGCTGATCCTGGGGGCTACAACTGCTGGGAATGACCATGCAGTCAAAACTCCCTTTGTTCTTTGTGCTTGAGAGAAATCATCTGATGCCCTCTCCCTGCCATTCCTCAGGCATGGTGATTTAAGAGCAAAGCCCTTCAGCAGGGACTCTAAAAGTTGGGCAGGGTATATGTTGTACAAGACTATTACCCTTCAAGAATAAGCTGGGAGTTGATATTTCCTTCTTGGGTGCTCAGGGTGGAGTTAGTGTGCAAGTATATCTCAGCTTTTTCTACCCATTTTGACAAGGGTATTTCCTCAGTTGTCTGGTACACAGGAGTCTTTCAACTGGATTATTTCTCTTGGAGAGAATTGATTTCTCAGTGTGTGAGAGGAGGGACAGTCAGGAGCCCCCTATTTTATCATGTTGCTCAAGAAAGCCCTTTTGAAGCTTATATTCTAGTAGAGGAGATGGATTAAGCAACAGATACATATATGTATATTCCTCTTAAGGGAGAGTAACTGTGGGAGGGGGTTTGGTGTCAGTGGTTATTTTAGATAGGGTGGTCAGGGCAAGCCTCTTGTAGAAGCAGGTAGCAGTTGATCAGGATTAATTAAGTGAAGGACTGAGCCCCTTGGAAACAGAGGAGGAAAGAGTATCCAATATAGCACTAAAGCAAGAATAAAAAGTCCTGTGGTGGAATAGAATAAGCTTTTCCTATAAAAAGCAGCAAAGTTGTGCAGGGTGGCTAGCATGATGTGAGAAGAGGAAAGTGGGAAGAATTGCATCTGGAGAGGTATGCAGAGGCTAGCTTATATGAATTTTTTAGGCCGTGGTAAGATGTTCGGAATTTAGGTGTGCTGGGAAGCTGTTGGAAGGTTTTCAAAAGTTTCAGGAAATGATCTGATTAAGATTCTAAAAACATCTCTTTGTCTGATCTGAGAATAGACAGTGCCACTACATGGCACAGCTTCAGGGGTATTTTTGTTTGTTTTGGTTTGAGACAGTCTTGCCCTTTTGCCCAGGCTGTAGTGCAGTGGCACAATCTCAACTCACTGCAACCTCTACCTGCCGGGTTCAAGCAATTCTCCTGCTTCAGCATCTCGAGTAGCTGGGACTACAGGTGCGTGCCACTACATCTGGCTAATTTTTGTATTTTTAGTAGAGATGGGGTTTCACCATGTTGGCTAGGCTGATCTGGAACTCCTGACCTCAGGTGATCCACCCACCTCGACCTCCCAAATTGCTGGGATTACAAGGTCTGAGCCACTGCACCCGGCCACCAGAGACTTTGTTAAGATGGAATTTAAGGCACCCTCTTAGAGTTGTACAGTCTTGAGAATAGATTGTAGGGGCAAGAGTAGAAGAAGAAAGACCAATTTGGAGACTATAGCAATGGTTAAAGTTTGAATAGGTGGTAGCCTGAGAGGTAATATAGAATATAGCCTGAAAGTATTTACTCAATATTATTTAAGTTTATAAATGCAGTAGGGTGAAACTGTGCTATTTTGAGATTATAACATGGTTAAAAATGTTTAAGCTATTTTATTAAAATAATAAATATGTTTATGTGGTTAAATAAGCCTTGCAGAACTTAAAATAGAAAGCAGCAGTCCCCTGCCCCACTTTTTCCCATTCCCAGTCACATTCCCAGAAGAAATTCTTTTAACTATTAATGTTTTTAATTCTTTGGGAAAATACTTCCAACATCAAAATAAGATGCCTACACCACTTTCCTTCATTCATTCTTCTTAGACTTTAGTCTTTACAGTACTTCCTGCAGAGGGTGCTGGGTGGGGAAGATTTAGCTCACTCACACAGACATGTGGCTCCCCTTTCTTCCACTTGGAATATGGTTATCTACTGCTAGTGGACCTCCAAGATGTTCTCACATTCTTATAAGCAACAGAATTTTTAGTTGGATAAATGCTGTGTGGTTGAAGTCTACATTTCTCATTTTCCTTTTCCCCCTTTCATTAACAATGGGACAGACCATGATTGTCTATAGAGAATGTGGGTCAATAACACAACTGTGGGAAACACCAGCTTTGTTATTTCTACCATGCGAAATAGGACCAGGTCCCATAAGATCATCAGTCTTAATGAGGAATTGCAGAGGCAATGTTTGTACAGAAGTCAGATACAAGCCAGAGACTGCTGATACTTCTCTGAGGAGAGTAGAAAGTAAGTTTTGCTGCAATAGGAGCAAGAATTGGCTTAGAATTGTTGCCTCAAAAATCTGTCAGTAGCTGGCTGTGGAACAGTCAGGGTCTCACATGTGTCACAGCATCTCTTCCATTGCAGCTATAGCCAAGACTTAAGTTCAGTCTAGTGGGATGTCTTAATCTGTTTAGTGTTGCTGTAAAGAAATACCTGAGGCTGGGCAATTTATAAAGGTAAGAGATTCTGCAGACCATACAAGAAGCATGGTGCTGGCAAGGCGCTGGCAACTGGTGAGAGTCTCAGGCTAATTCAACGTATGTGGAAGGCAAAGTGTTGCTAGTGTATGCAGAGATTACATGGTGAGAGAAGAAACGAGAGAGTGTGAGAGAGGAGATGCCAGACTCATTTTAACAACCATCCCTCACGGAAACTAACAGAGTGAGAACTCCCTCACCACCCACCACAGGGAGGGCATTAATCATGAGGTGTCCACCCCCATCACCCAAACACCTCCCATTAGGCCCCTACTTCCAACATTGGGATCAAATTTCAATATGAGGGTTGGTGGGGACAAACATACAAACAGAAGTGATGAGTACAAACCTATGGGCCATTTTCTGAAAGGGAAGAAATGGTTCTCTCTGGTCTCTTCCCCCTTCTTACTGGCTGGAATGTCAATGTCAGTGTGGTAGGAGTTAGAGCAGCCATTTGGCCAAATTGATGTTGCTACTTATTGAGGATAACAGAGCTACAAGTTGGAAGGAGTCTAGGGCCCATATCTTAACTACAGTTTGCTTTGTAATTTAAATAGTATACATATCTCTTTGTAATTTAATTAATATACTTATCCCTTTATGTCTTGTTCCTTTAGGTATAGACATTATGGCCCTGCATTTCTTGCTGACAATATTAATTGCCTACTTGACGGTCATTTTCCTTATTTCTTTCTTGCTGTAATAGTTCCAGCCCTAGGTAAGGTACTTGCTTTTCTAGCTTTCCTGAGAGCTACAAGTGGCCATGTGACATAAGTTTTTTTGGTTTGTTTTTTTGTTTTTTGAGACAGAGTTTCACTTTGTTGCCCAGGCTCGAGTGCAGTGGCAATTTCATGACTTACTGAAGCCTTGACCTCCTGGGCTCAAACAATCCTCCTGACCCAGCCTCCCAAGTAGCTGGAACCATGGGCACATGCCACCACCCCTGGCTAATTTTATTTTTTTTGTATTTTTGGTGTATGACAGATAACACATTTTTAGCCTTGCTGCCTCCATCCCATGTCTGGAGCTGTAGCAATCATATTATGACTCTGGGGAAAATACTAAGGGAATTTCAGAGGTACTGACTCAGACATAAGAGAGTCTGAAACCATTGCCAACAGCATCTGCATTCCAAACTTATTTTTTCTGGAGGTTGATTGTTTTATGTTCTATAATCCTCCTAAGGTTGATTATTTTATGTTCTGTAATCCTCATGAAGATCTCTATCTACACTTTATTTATTATTTTTTTTGAGACGGAATCTCGCCCTGTCACCCAGGCTGGAGTGCAGTGGCGTGATTTCAGCTCACTGCAACCTCTGCCTTCTGGGTTCAAGCAGTTCTCCTGCCTCAGCCTCCCGAGTAGCTAGGATTACAGGCACCTGCCACTACGCCCAGCTAATTTTTGTATTTTTAGTAGAGATGGGGTTTTGCCATGTTGGCCAGGCTGTTCTCAAATGCCTGACCTCAGGTGATCTGCATGCCTCAGCCTTTCAAAGTGCTGGGATTATAGGCATGAGCCACTGCACCTGGCTTATCTACACTTTAAGTTGTTGATTCTACAAATTGAAAACCTCCTAATGGTGTTTACATGATCAAGATCAACTACATTTGTCTGCACAGCTACATATATGTTGATTACCATTTCATTCATTTGAACTTTTTTTGTAATTTTAACTTTATTTTTCTTCTCTACCCATCTTGTCTTCCTTTGTTGCCTCCTTAAGTTGTTCCAGATTATAAACCCTGGTTCTCAGTGGGAATATTAATACTCCCTAGTAGACATTTAAAACATTTGTGGGGGTGTTTTTGAATTTTCTCTGTGATTGGGCATTGCTACGGTATTTAGTGGGTAGGGTCTAGGGATTCTAGAAATTCTGAAATGCATGATGAATAATTGTTCTTCATCCTACATCACATCTCAGTGTTCTCTTAAACATTATGTAGGCAAAAACTTGTTCATAATTATTTGAGCCTAGAAATAATTATTTACTTATAAAATATAAAGTGTATTTTATATGATTTTAATATATAGCAAGTTTTCGCAGATATGTAGAAGACACCCAGGTAAATTGAGGGAAGACTGAACTTTTCTTGTTAGCAACTTTTCTGAGAATTGCTCACCATTTTGAAAAACAATGTCACCAGCAGCAATAATGGTTGTGATATTTGTATTATCAATACAGGATGCTTGTATCAGCCTTCATTTTCAGTTGTCACATTTTTCTTGATTTTAAGGCTATATGCAAAAACTATTAAGCCCTTATTTCAAAATGTCAAAAAAAGAGAATAGTGTTGACAGCATTCAGTTAAATATTGCTTAACTTCCCCTAAACCCAGACTTCTTTATTATATAAGTGGGTGTACACATCTACTTTATCTTCTTGACTAGTTATATCTAAGTGTTTACATACTGAAATACACGTTATTTCAGTTATTTTATTATTTCTATTCCAGTTAGGATCATGTATTTATTTATTTGGAATTGTGCAGATAATTTAGCAATACATTTCATTTCTGGATAGCAAAAAGGGTTATTCTTTTTTTTTTAAAAAAAACAAAATGGAGCTTATTGATCATTATTGAGTTAGGGTCCAGCAAAAAATAGTTGTCACACTCTAAAGGGCAATTCACAAATTACAGAGGGTTGGGCAGGATTTAGGGATGAGTGAGTCATTCAGGGATTGACTATGGAGGGAAGCCCTTACTCCTCTTAAGGCTCAGTGGGCAGAAGGGAGCTGTGGCCAGAACTGGGTGGGAACTATAGCCATGAGAGAGAGAGGCCTTCTGATGGAAGCTGTGGTTTTTAGTGAGGCCTCTGGTCACTGTCCCACCTTCTGTGGCAAGGAGGGAGGCTAGGGATAAATCTCCTGTCTTCTTTCTCTTCTTTCCTTGGATTATGTGATGACATTTCACAAAAAGGGAAACCAAAAGAGAATCTGAAAAGCAAAAATGTAAGCTGTTAGGGTTCCTTAGCCTCCCAAGGCACAGAGCAGAGAATAGACGGTGAATTTGAGGACAAAGGAAGAATATCCAGACTGGGATGTTTTGTCTGATTTAGTTTGAGAATCACTATTCCAAAGTACAGCAGTAATCTCTCCACTTTTACCTCTCTCTGCAGATATGTCCTTCCTGTAGCCTTCCTATAGCTTGCTTCAGTCTGAACTAGTGTTTGGACAGCAGGCTGAGAGTTGTCATTATTTCTTCATAATTCTTTTGAATTGGAGCCTCTGTTTTCTGATCTGCCATCTTTGTAGGAAATAGTGTGTGAGAAATTTTCTGATTCTATGGAGGTCTAAAATTTTCCTCATTTTAACAGGGAAATTGGCTGCGCATAGAATTCCAGGTTGAAATCATTCTCCCTCAGAACTTTGAAGGTATTACTCCACTATCTTCTAGCTTCTAGTGTTGCTAATGAAAAGCATGCAGTCTGGTTTTGTTTATTTTTAAATATGTTTTATTTTGTTTTGAATGGACAGATAATGGTACATATTTATGGGATACATTATGATGTTTCAATATATACGCATAGTGCGTAATGATCGAATCTGAGCAATTAGTATATCCGTCACCTGAAACTTGTTATTTCTTTGTGGTGAGAAAATTAAAAATCCTCTATTCTAGTTGTTTTGAAATATACAATACATTATTGTTGACTATGGCAAAAATAGACAAATAGGATTACATCAAACTAAAAAGCTTCTGCACAGCAAAGGAAACAACAGAGTGAAGAGAAGACTTACAGAATGAGAGAAATTATAAACTGTGCATCTGACAAGGGTTTAATATCCAGAATATGCAAGGAACTCCAACAATTCAATAACAAACAAATAATCCAATTTAAAAATGGGCAAGCAATCTGAATAGACATTTCTCAAAAGAAGATATACAAATGGTCAACAGATATATGAAAAAATGCTCAATATCACTAATTATCGGGGAAATGCAAATCAAAACCACAGTGAACTATCATCTCACCCAAGTTAGAATGGCTATTATCAAATAGACAAAAGACAACAAATGCTGGGAAAGATGTGGGGAAAGGTGAACTCTTAAACACTGCTGGTGGGAATGTAAATTGGCACAGCCATTATGGAAAACAGAATGGGAGTCCCACAAAAAAATTAAAAATAGGACTACCATGTGATCCAATAATCAACTACTGGGTATCTATTCAAAGGAAATGAAATTCATATGTCAAGACATATATGTATTCCCATGTTTACTACAGTACTGTACACAATAGTCAAGACATGGAAATCTACTTAAATGTCTATCATTGGATGACTGGATAAAGCAAATATGGTATATATACTCATACCATTACTATTTAACTATAAAAAGATTACTATTTTACTATTAAAAAGAATGAAATTCTGTCATTTGTGACAACATGGATGAACCTAGAGGATGTTATGTTAAGTGAAATAAACCAAGCATAGAGGGACAAATACTGCATGATCTCATGCATATGGAACCTAAAAAAGTTGATCTCATAGAAGTAGAGAGTATAATAGTGGTTACCAAGGGCTGGGAAAAGTATTGGGTACAGGGGTTTAGAGAGGTTGGTCAGCAGGTATAAAATTACAGTTTTATAAGAGAAATCCTGATATTCTATTGCATAGTAGAGTGGCTATATTCATTCATTTTAAAATAACCTGTTTTTTCTTTCTTAAATGTTTTAATGTTCTTTATCCTTGGGGGTTCTAAAATGTTGCAATTACCTTTATCTTTAAAAAAAATATATTATGGCTGGGCACAGTGGCTCACACTGGTAATCACAGCACTTTGGGAGGATGACAGGAGAATTGCTTGAGGCCAGGAGTTTGAGACAAGCCTGGCCAACAAAGTGAGACCCTGCCTCTACAAAAAGATAAAAAGTAAAAAATTTAGCCAGGTGTGGTGGCACATGCCTGTAGACCCAGCTAATTGGAAAACCGAGGTAGGTGATCACTTGAACCGGAAGTTGGAATCTGCAGTGAGCTATGATTACACTTCTGCACTCCAGCCTGGGTAACAGAGTGATACCCTGTCTTAAAAAAAAAATGTTGTGTCAGGTACTTGTTGGTTACAATCTAGAGATAGGAGCACATCCTTCCAACCTTTGGCTAGTCTCTTATTTTTTGTGAACTTGGGAGGAAGTTGGGAGGTAAAGAGTGGGGTTTTCTTTTCTTTGGGGTGAGGCAGCTCCTTGAAGTCATCCTACAGTTTTTATTAGTGCACTTATAAATCCCAGAACGTTCTATTTGGATGAATTTTCTGATCATCCTTTTAAGACTGTTTGTCATTGACAAAGGGATGTTTTTATCTGCATTTCAACTTTACTGGAGATATACAGAGGTATGAAGTTTGCTCTGGAGAATCATTATACAGTTGGCCCTCCACATCCATGGGGTCCAAGGATTCAACCAACTGCAGATTGAAGATACTTGGGAAAAAATTACAAATAAAATTACAAATAAACAAAAAATAGTATAATAATGGTTTATATAACATTTATATTGTGTTAGGTATTATAAGTAACCTGGAGAAGATTTAAAGTATACAGGAGAATACCGTATGTAAATACTATGCCATTTTATATAAGGGCCCCAAGCATCCATGGATTTTGGTATTCATGGGGGTCCTGGAACCTATCCCTCATGGATAACAAAGGATGACTATAATAGTGTAGTCATATGTGTGTAATTAAAATATTCTCTATTTTTCTTATGTTTTTCATTTTGTTTTTGAGTGACTTAATAGTTTTATCTTTGACTCCCCTATGTATTACTGGAGCCATTAACTATAATAAGACCTATAGGTTCTAAATGACCAAGGTTCTAAAATGACCTTGATATGATGAAATACACAATTGACTGGAGAAAGCGATTTCAAAAGAAACTTATAACTCATTCTGTGGCATATTTTTGCCTAGAGGCATAACCAGGTATTATATACATTAAGACAGGAATAAAAAATTAGAAGGATGTCATCTAATTAATTATCCAATTCTTTTCAACAGATGACTCCCATATTCAGTCAATCATCTATAAAACTTTAAACTTTTAAGAAAGTCTTTTGGGATATTTTTCTTTAACATAATATAAACTTTCAATTAATTAAGACCCAGTGAAATTGAAAATATTAAGCAGTTTTAGGAGCAAAACAAGAAACCAAGAGTAAGAAGGGGAATCAGGAATGTATTCTGAAAAGTAACTTTTGAGGTATGTGTTGAGGTTGAAAGAGACCTGAATTCTATTAGAAACTTTCTGACAGAAGTTACCTAATTTTTTTTTATATGCCTGGCCCTCAGGCCCTGTTCCCTGACCAAATCAATATGTAATTCTTGCAGTAGGTAGCACCATCTGTTCCCCAAGGGCCAAATGCATATTAACATTTTACTGGCAACTTATTTTTTTTCTCATTAAAGATAGCTGTATGTAGCATATTTGCTTAAATACCACACTTTTTACTTGTTCTTACCAGGGACCTCACTATGCCCCCAATGTTTTCATTTATTTTAGAGTTACATATTGATGTCCAGTGGCCACACAGCAGAACAGTCTCTATAATGTCATGAAAATATTTAGTTTAAAATGTCAACTATATATAACGTGTTTCAAATATTAATGCTTTTATCAGGTTCTGAGATGTTGTTCTTTAGAGAATGAAGGTTAAAAGCAAGCGATGAAACACATATGGCTTTTAAAAGAAGTGAGTGTGATTAACTGACACTTGAAGTCTTAGAAGCTGGAGCTTATCTTTTTCTATTTCTGTATTTGCTCAGAGAATGTAAACAATCTGAGTAAGGTCATACAGTTTATAAATGATGGTGTTTGAACTGAGGCTTTTGTGCCTCTAAATCCTTAGATCTTTACCTCAGGTGTTTCTCAAAGTGTCTTTTTTCTTACAAAATAAGAACTTTGTTTCTTGTATAAAAGCTCTATTTAAAACCATTTTGTTAGATTACACTGAATTCGAGAGTTTGTGGGTATATTGCAGGACAAATCTTGGGCACTGAAGCATTAATGAGAGGTGAAGCCAGCTGGACTTCTGGGTAGGGTGGGGACTTGGAGAACTTTTCTGTCTTACAAGAGGATTGTAAAATGCACCAATCAGCACTCTGTTAAATGGACCAATTGGCACTATGTAAAATGGACCAATCGGCACTCTGTAAAATGGACCCATCAGAAGGATGTGGGCGGGGACAAATAAGGGACTAAAACCTGGGCATTCCAGCCAGTAGCAGCAACCTGCTAGGGTCCCCTTCCACACTGTGGAAGCTTTGTTCTTTCGCTCTTCACGATAAATGTTGCTACTGCTCAGTCTTTGGGTCTGCACCACCTTTAAGAGCTGTAACACTCACCACAAAGGTCGTTGGCTTCATTCTTGAAGTCAGCAAGACCACGAACCCACTGCAAGGAAGAAGCTCCAGACATATCTGAAAGAACAAACTCTGGACACACCATCCTTAAGAACTGTAACACTCACTGAGAATGTCAGCGGCTTCATTCTTGAAGTCAGCGAGACCACGAACCCACCAGAAGGAAGAAACTCTGGACTCATTAACACACACAGTTAAAGGCTGACATGAAGTGACTTGAGTATTTTTGTCATCTTCCACAGCGGCTTTATAAAGGGAGCTATTTAGAATTGTTTGGGAAACTTGTTTGAATAGGAAATCTTAAAATGTCAGGACCTCATAATTGGAATTCTGAATGCACATAAGCTGTAATAGACTCTGCCTAAATGCCCAGGTGGTTATTGATCTTGATTGCAAGTCCCTGCCCTTAGGTGCTGCATACTCAGGGCTTCCCACTCCTTTCCCCAAAGTAACATTGGATCTGGTATAGCAAGTTACCATCATTTAATATGTAACTCAACCTGAATTTCTCTTTTACTTTTTCAGTTTTTACTATTTTTTGTTTCTTTATTACTCATACATCTCCAGACCTGTCATATGTTTTTCTGAATGAAGAAATAATATACGCCTATAGTAAAGTATTTGGAAAGTACAGAAACATAAAAAAGAAATAGAGGGGGAGAAATGTGTGATATGACCAGCCATAATAATGAGTGCTGAGCAGTTCATCCTTATCATTATCGTTTCCATGCCTATTTTCCTCGGTTAATGATGCCATAAAAACAATTTTGTATCTTGCTTTTCCCTTAGCATTGTATCCTGAATATTTTTCTGTTCAAAAACTCTAATATTTCAATGGTTATATATTCTTTCCTCATACATACAAATCATAATTTGTGCCATGATGAATATCTGCAAAAACCTTATGGGGAGAGGAGGGCTGGGTTTCACAATATTCCTGGACTGGAAATATTATATTAGAAGTGTATACTTTTTGAGACTTGTAACATATATTGAATAATTCTCTGGAACAAGTGAGCTGATATATATAGTACTAAGAATAGTTTGTAAGAATATTCACCTCAGTGCAGCATTGCTAATCTTGAAATCATATTAAAGATGTCTTTTATTGTTGGCTTGTTTCATTTTTTAACCAAAATGTATGCAGTGCTTACTATGTTTTATAGAGATTGTTAGATGTCTTTATATATTTCATGAACACAAAAGATATCTTGTTTTACTTTGTATCTACTTGTTTTTTTAATGTCAGTTAAAATGTACACTTGGCATATTTTTTTAGCCATTGCTGGCCCCAGTATTGTGAGGGCTCTTGTGAAGCAAGCTGGGAGCCAAGACTTCAAGGTTTGAGGTGTGTGAAAACCTGTAAGTAGAGGTTTGTGTGTTCCAGGAAGATTAGTGGCAGGAAGAGGAGTTTGGTGACATTTTAGTAGTGTAGGGAACTACAGCATGAATGAGGTGGTGAAGGTAAAGATGAACAAGAAGAGAAGAAAGAGAAGGGTTGGAAGAGACATTTCAGAAATAGAGTGAGAAGCAAGCAAGACTGAATGAGTAGGATTTAGAGATGATTCCTTGGATTTTGCTGATGCCACTGGTGGGATGGGGATACCACTACCAAGATGTGAAGCACATGAGAAGAAAAAGATTTGGGGATATTCCAATGAGGCTTATGTTGGCTCTGAACAGAAAGCATGTCTAATAGTAACTTAAACCACTGGGCTTACTTCACAAGAACACAGGGAGTGGGATGTTGGCTCAGTGACACCATCATAAAGCAGCTTCTGCCTGTTTTCCTGCTCTTCCATCCCTAGCATGAGGCTTTTGCTTCCATGATTACAACTGCCTGCAAAGGTATCTATGTTCCAGGCAGAAGGAAGGGGGAAGGGGCCATGGGCTCCATCACAGAGACACTTTCTTATGGACAGGGAGCACCCCTCCCCACCTCAACTTCTTTTTACATCTTGCAGGCAAACTGTAGCTGTAGGAAGACTGGGGTATTAATATTTGCATGACCAGTCTCTGTCCTGGAGGAAAAGAGAGGAGAAGGGATTTGGAATGAGAGTTAAGTCACCAAAAATATGCAAACAAGGAGGCAGATAATAAATTTAATTTTGACCATGTTTGTGGAAGAGACTTCTGCAATGGAAAATAGTGCCTAGAATTTAAAAGAAGTTGTCAGGGCTCGAGATAGATGTAGAAGCAGTCTGCATTCTTTTCATATTCAGTCGTATGTCTAAAGGACTTAAAAATTCCTGTTTCTAGGCTTTTCCTGCTGTTTCCATGGCATCTCTTGTTTTCCAAATTTCATTCATTATGTCTTATTTCACATTCTTCTTTCAAGACCATACTTTGCCCCTACCAGCCACAGGGTCAGACTCCCCATGACATCCTACCATCCTGGGCAAATTTGCCACTGTTATTTTTTAAATTGCCCTTAGAATTTTCTTGGGTGTGCTTATAGTGTGAATGGAAGGACACTTTATTTGTGTTTGGAAGTTGAATTCCAGACTATATTATTAGAAGTATGACAATAACCACATTTTTCAACCTTTCTCTGTATGTACCTTATTGTATCAGGTAATGGATTGCTATTAGGATAAATAAATTAATGTGTGTATAGTACCTCTCACTTTCAGTGGCTGCTCCCTTCCTTTCTTCGTGTCCACAATTTGATATAGGAAGAACTGGCTTCCAGGCAGAATACTGCTAATGAATACTACTACTATACTAAAGAAATGATCCCTCCAGGAAAATAGCAACCCTCTTTTCTAGGGTCTTGCTTTTTGTCCCATCAGTGTTCTTCTCCCACCCTGACTACAGCAGATGGGGATCAAAGTCACACTTTAAAAAGCTTTCAGTCTCTGCCACAAACTACTTCCTCTCCAGGGAGAAAGGCTTTTAAGTAATTTGAAGGCTTTTATGGGTTATATTTGTATGGGTTATATTTTCATATATATAACAAATCAGTAAACATTATCTAATTTTTTAGGTCTTACACAAATATAGTGATGTCCTTTTATATTATGATTTTGAAGGGCATGATTCCTTTTTGAATTAAACTAAGTAGTATCTAATACCTATAGTGCTGAAACAGTGTTTTCATGTCAGTGAGAGTACCTGTTCCTCGGGTTGATTCAGCATTTCCTTTATACCAAACACTTTTGGAAGACTATCACCTTTTGTGTTTTTGTATGGAAGCTTTTGCTGGCTGCTCACACTTGAAGCTAAATTGTCTATGATTGTTAATGCATATTACTTACCTGCAACAATAAAAAGCATTAGTCCTGAGGTTGCTCACGGGAGCCTCTCTTGTCCTTGCATGTGTGCAGCACACCTTGTTCTGGCACAGCTAGGCAACATGATACCTGGTGTGATGTTTGGTGATATTCTATTGTAAATTAGGATGGTGTCTTTGAGTTGACACCTCAGTGGCTCAAGTTTCTCTCTACTGCCTTTTCTGTTCATCTGCTTCCTCTTCTTTGACTTTCTCATTATTGAATACTGTGAGTAGAAGGCAGTGAACGCAAGACCTTCATTTCTTTTTTTTCTGAGACAGGACTTCACTGTGTCACCCAGGCTGGAGCGCAGCGGCATGATCATGGCTCACTACAGCCTCAACCTCCAGGGCTCAAGTGATTCTTCCATCTTGCTTCCCAAGTAGCTGGGAAGCTGGGACTACAGGCACGAGTCACCCACCACTCTTGGCCAATTTTTGTATTTTTTGTGGAGACCAGGTTTCGCCACGTTACCTAGGCTGGTGTCAAACTCCTGGCCTCAAGTTATCCACCCGCCTCAGCCTCCCAAAATGCTGAGAATGTAGGCATGAGCCACCACGCCCAGCTAAGACCTTCATTTCTGGCAGCTCCGAGGACATCGCTCCAGCAGTTACTATGGCCTGGAGTCTGTTGGTGTTAACGAATTGCTGTAGGCTCTTTGAAGGAAGGACAGGGCTGGCGTTTTCTATCAGGGACTCCTCCCCACAGTAGAAGGAGCTTCTGGGACTTTGCCTTGGGCGCCAAGTAAGAGAATGCTTGCAAAGCGCTGAAGCTTTGGCATGTACTACATGCCCCTCTACCTTTTCTCCTGCTCCCTTCCCCACATCCGCTTTTCGCTCCTGCTTCCCCTCTCTTCTTCCATCTCTCCTGTCACTCCTCCAGCCTAATTCCCCTGGGAAGGATTTGATATGAATATTATGGATCATACAGAACAATGTATGCATATCTTCAAGATTTAAACAGTTACATACATGTACATTCATTTGTGACTCTTGATGTAAGGGTATATTAGTCAGGATCTAGTCAGAAAAACAAAACATCACCAAGTGGTTCAATAGGGGGATTTGGTATAGGGAGCTAATTACAAAGGTATTGAAAAAGCTAAAAGAACAAATAGGGATCTGTTATATATTCCAGAGGTTACCAACTGCAGGTAGCCATTACCACCCTTTGGGCTAAAGCAACAAAGGGAGGAGTTGTTATCAGAGCCAACAAGGGAGCTGCCTGGTGCGAACTCAGCTACAGCACAGGAGCTGCTTGGTGAGAGCAGAACCCGGGATCTGGGCCACCCAGGGGTAATTGGAACCATGGAGGGTGTACCCCACAGGGGGCTGGAATAATGGAGGATGTGGCCACTCTGCAAATGCCACATGGAGTAGAGGAGGCAGGGGGAGAAATACCCTGACCTTTTTCTTCCTCGTTTATCTGATCTCCTGCTAGTATCTCATTTGTCTATTGACATCAGAAGCCAGCTGTCTAGGACTGTAGTTTATAGGGTTCAGTCATGTGAAATAGGAGGGAGGAGAATAGATGGGAGACCAAACAGAGGACTGGCACTGAGGCCAAGGCCTTTTCCTTAACTGTGGTTCCTATGATTATAGTCATGCATTATTTTCCTAATGCAAGTCACTTCCCTAATGCACTTTCTATCATTAACATTTTAGATTTTTTTATGGTGGATTTTCGAAGTGGAGATTGCAAAGCAGTCTGCATGTAGGATTCTGCAGTAGCCTCCTAAATTTGTTTTTCTGCTTCCATCCTTACCATCCCCAACCCTTATCTGTTCTCTATATGTAGTCAGAGGGATTCCGTTATAACAGAAGTCGGATTGCTTCTCTGTTCATGACCTCCAGTGGGTTCCATCTCACTCCCAGTAAAAGCGTAAGTGTTTATAGTGGCACACCAGACCCTACATGATCTGTCCTCCCACCTCTCCCCCTTGCTCTCTCTGCTCCAGCTAAAACTTGCCTCTTTGCTGTTCGTGGAACTGCCAGCATGTTCCTACCTTTGCCTTCATTCTTACTGTTCTCTGTACCTGAAAGTTCCTTCCCCAGGCATCTCTCCCTCACCTCCTTTGCCTTTGCTCAACCATTAACTCAATGAGGCTTTCCCTGGCCTCCCTATTTAAAGTTGCTACCACACCCTGCCCCACCCACATACACTTCTACCCATCTGTAAGCTTTCTACTTTCCTTCCCTGTTTTGCACTAATTACCTCTTAATATACTATACAACACATTCATTATCTTCCCCCTTGACACACATAAATGTAAGCTGCATGAGGGCAGAGATTTTTAAAAATTCTCCTGTCAGTTTTGTTCATAGAACAATGTCTAGCACATGTTGTAGTTGAATGAACAGTTGAATTCAGGTACCATTGAATGAGTTCCTAGATCTCCTAGGTAGAGTCCTTCCTAGATTCTTAAGATTTCATTCCCCTAATCTTTTTCAGTTGTGTTAATTATATTTAATGTGACAGCAATAATTTATCAGCTTGCTTTTAGTGAGTCTTTCCAAAATGTTTAACTTCATTTTTAATAGAAAAAAACTTTTTCACTTAAATTTTTGAGTCAGTAAAGACTTCTGGATTCAAATTACAGTTCTGCCGCTTACTAGCTGTTTGACCATGGCTTATGCCTCAGTTTCCTGGTTTGTATATAGGGGTGATAATAGTACCCATGTCTGTGTGGCTATGAGTATTACATTGATGCATGAAAGATGCTTTAAATAGTCTATACAGTAAGGGCTCTGATATGGCTTGGCTGTGTTCCCACCCAAATCTCATCTTGAGTTGTAGCTCCCATAATTCCCATGTGTTGTGGGAGGGATCTAGTGGGAGGTAATTGAATCACGGGGTTGGGTCTTTCCCATGCTGTTCTCATGATAGTGAATAAGTCTCATGAGATCTGATGGTTTTATAAAGAGGAGTTTCCCTGCACACACTCTCTTGACTGTTGCCATATAAGTTGTCCCTTTGCTCTTTCTTCCTCTTCCGCCATGATTGTGTGGCCTCCCCAGCCACATGGAACTGTGAGTTCATCAAACCTCTTCTTACTGATAAATTACCCAGTCTTGGGTATGTCTTTATTAGCAGCATGAGAGCAGACTAATACAGGTTCATTAAGTCT
Source organism: Homo sapiens (assembly GCF_000001405.40). Lineage (NCBI taxonomy): Eukaryota > Metazoa > Chordata > Mammalia > Primates > Hominidae > Homo > Homo sapiens. The sequence goes on along the minus strand of NC_000007.14, from coordinate 122,851,517 downwards.
TAGCTATTATTTTTAGTACTGGTTTACATGCTGCAACAAGGAAGAATGCACCCCTCAGGCTTCCTGCTGTGGGAAGCATAATTGATAGCTGAACTGCTGCTCCTCTGAGTCCACCTTCACTCTGAGGCCATGGTTTCTGTGGACTTTCCTGAGCCAGTGATTGGGCACAGAAGGGACAGCTAGACCCATTCCTGTCCTCTATTGAGTGACTTTAAGCTCAAGGACTCCTCAGTGGCCCAGTTGAACATCCCTGGGGACTGCACTGTAGTCCAATTCTCATATCTTCCCTCTTTCCTTCTGTAGACATCACACCTGCACCTTGTTCTGAGAGTGCTCCCTGCCTTCTCCTGTTCCCTACTGCAAGATGTCTTTTGCATGTTTAATTTTGTGTAGTGTTTGCTTCTTGGCAACCCAAATGAATGCACATGATATTGAAATATTAGTAATTATAACTCATTACAGTGATAAGTGACATATGTGAGTTGGGAGACACAACTATCTCATTGTAGGCATACAACTTAGCTGGTCTTAGTGGGAGTAGAGAGATACTTGGCCAGTGCTTACCAGCTGCCATATGCTGGGCAGGGTAAGAATATTGCTAGGGTGAACAGAGAACATCTACTAAACTGGGTTGCAAAGCAGGAGGGCCAGCCCCTTAAATGCTGGTGTTAGCCACAGGGACAATGCCAGTGCCATAGAGGAGCTGGTAACTGGGGCATTATTTTGATCAAGGTGTAATGAATCCATGATGGAAGACACTTGATAATAAGGCTTTGTGGACTAAAAGGCCTTAGCTCCAGCCTGCTCTTCTCTCTAGGAGAGTACTAGAAGCTGGAGGATGGGGATGGGGGACCCCCAGAGTTCCCTACAGAGAAGGGAGCTGACCATCAGGATAGGGGAAGAAAGAGTTTGAGTTTCCCCAGCTCCCTTCTTTCCAGACAAGTTAATACTTCTGCTTAAGCACCTCCAAAAAGAGGGAGAGATACAGATATTGCCAATAAAAGAATAAAATGTGCTCCCCGCCCCCCTGCCACAAGGAAGACATCTCCAAAGCTGGAGGCAGTTGGAGCACACCTCAGAAGAATCCATAAGTGCTTTGGGAGGGATTCAATCCACTGCAACCCAGTGCTCTGGGGAGGGAAGGTGTCACCCCCCTAGGTGGTGATCTGACACAGCAGGGCTGAGAAGTCCATGTCTGCATTGGAGGAGAAGTCTTCATCCCCTGAAAGGAGGCTGCTGGGGAGTCCTGGGGCCCCCAGTGGAGCAGGAGCTGGGTCAGGGGGCCTCTGGGTCCCTGTCACTTGGCGAGTTATAGCCTCAGGGTACTCTATCAGCATGGGCTTAGTTGTGTGGGAAGCCACAGATACGCCCTGTTCAGCAGTTGCTAAAACTCGGAGTTGTTGATGGATGCCAGGTCTGTGAACACAGCTGGGTCTGTGCTGTTGCCAAGCAAGGCCCCCAGGTCTTCATCATCAAACTGCAGATGCAGCAGGGCCTTCTGTTCCTTCCCCAGCCTAGGCAGGCTTGGGGGCAGGTGGGCCCATAGCTTGAGGAAAGCCTGGGGCTAGTACTGGGCCAGGAGCTGGGGCCTGGGCCAGAGCTGATGCCATGGTTGGGGCAGGGGCTGGGGCCAAAGCTGAGGCCTGGCTTGAGATCTGCCCAGAAGGAAACACCATAGTGGGAAACTCATCATAGTTGATGGTGCTGAGGGATGATGTAAAGGGAGAGGGCTGGGGGCTGGCTTGGGGACAGTTTTTACTGGCCATTGTTGGAGCTTCTACTGAGAAATAGTATTGGCTTTTTAAATTGAAAGCTCCTTGAATGCAAAGACCCAATCAAATGCCTCTTTTATAGCAGCCATAGCAGCTGGCTACAGTAGTAAACATATAAATGCTTAATAACAATTTGTTAAATCAACATTCCTTAACGCACAGACTCTGTTTTCACTTTGCTTGGAAAGTGTGAATAGGTGATAAAGATGTTGCGGACAGCTGGGGACCGCAGAGACTGAGAAGCTCCATAGTTTATGAACTTTGTGACTTTACCAAGGAAACGTCCTTGGAAATCTATGGCAGTGGCATTTCTGATGTCCTGAGTACAAATAACCAAGCTTTCAGAATTCTTCTATGCCCTAAGAATATTTTAAAAGAGGCTTGGTAAAATGCAAATTAAAATGTTTTTTGGTGATTTTTGACTAAGCAAATTAAATATAAGTGAAAAAATAGTTTCCTCCAGATATTTTACAGATTGAGGAGAGCTTCAGAATGTTCCAACGTTCTTTGTAAACAAAGCTTAAAATTTTTTGATAAACATCAGTCAGGTTTGTGTTTATGAAAAATAGTGGGCAACCAACATGCTTAATTAAGCTAATCTTTGATATAAATGCAAATTTCTGAGTTGTCCGTGTATAGTTTAGTAAGGAGACTAAGTTTAGGTTGAATTTTGCCCTTAGTCTTCAAATGGAAACTTTAGAATCAGAAGATTGAAAGGTTTAGTAATTGTTCATTAACCTGCCTGGGACTTTGGAAAGCTGGTTTCATGCCTTTGCATGAAAACTCTTAATAGAATATGAAAAGCTGTTCCAAAATACTTCAGGAGCATTTTTTTTCTTAGTAAAGTCTTCAGAAAGATAGCTTTTCTGTGTAAATCCCCAGGTTCCTAGATGTAGTTCCTCTCCCTTTCCCATCTTCCTTATTTTATGTGAGTTGCTTGAAGCTGCCGGTTACTTAGGTGTCTGAAACTCTTGGGGAAAAAGTCAGAGACGTCATGGCATTTTACACACAGATGCAAGATACTAATACAGTCCATTAACATGGAAATACTTATTTTAACCTGAAGTAACCTCTGAATGAGAGAATGAAACACAGTATAATGGGGAAAAAACAGGCATTTGAGGCTGTGGCATATGTTTGAATCGCAGTTTTGCCTCTTTCTAGTATCTGATCCTTTTTAGCTTTATAAAAGTTCTTTATTTTTCACCAACCAGGGACAGATACTGATAGCATCTGATCTTGAATATTTTAGAGCCTTTGGGGGTCCTGGCTCCTCTACTGTGAGAACGTTCAGCCTAGACCTGGCCATGGTAGCCTGTAGATAAATGGGCTCTTCCCTAGGAGGCTGTGCAAGTGTTTGCCAATTTAAGGAGGGCCCTATTTCCTCTTGAATCTTTCCTTTGAAATTGAGGAGAGATTCAGTTTCTCCTTTCCCCATTGTTCCAGCAGTGACCTCTGTGGGCTCTGTCGCAGAGGAAGGGTTTGTCTTCCTGCAACACTGCCTTACTGGGTACTCCTCTCTTAGTTATGCTGGTTGCTAGGCTTGAGAGTAAGAGCATTGCTTTTATCAGAGACATTCCTAAAACTACAAGACCTTAGCTAAAGGCAAAATGTTGAGTATTCTAATAAGATTAAGACATTAGCTATAGGCAAAATATTGCATATGATGATGAAACTTAGCCATAGGCAAAGAGTTGAGTGTTCTAATGAGATCAGGTTCAAACCTTCTGTCCTGGCAAATCACCATGCAGTTGCTCTAGAAGATTAGTTTTCTTTTGTTCCCACCTATTATTGCTGTTTTCATATAGGATGATGTTTTACTGGCTTTGCTACCGTATTGCTTTCAACCACATTTGTTTAACAAGTACTTTAATACATGCTATCAACCATTCTAACCACAGCTACTCCTATTGTATTTTTTGTTCCTTTCCATATGTGAAACAATTTGCATTAAGGAGATTAAAATCTAAGTAAGTATGAGTTCGGAGCAGTAACCAGTAAGACTATGTGGGTTTGCACTGAATCTTCACAATGTTCTAGAAATGTGAGCTAAGGCAAATTTACTTTGGAAAATCTAAGTTTTCCCACGCCATAAGCTTAGTATCTTTCCCATAGAACTGTTGTTAATGATGACAAGAAAAAAAAAAATCTAAGTAGCTACAGCAAAGGCTTTGTATGTTTTGGCCATTTTTATATAACAAACTAATGGTATGAGAACAATACAATAAAATGGCCAAAGACACAGAGCTGAACACATAATTATTGAAGAAAGTAAAAGACTCATCAGAGTTGAAAGGAGTTTAATCACAGATTTCTAACAGGAGTTGAGTGTTGAGCTAGATTAGAAGAGATGAATACCGGCTGGGCACGGTGGCTCACACCTGTAATCCTAGCACTCTGGGAGGCGGAGGAGGGAGGATTGCTTGAGCTCAGGAGTTCTAGACCAGCCTGGCCAACATGGCAAAACCCTGTCTCTAGTAAAAATACAAAAGTTAGCTGGGTATGGTGGCATGAGCCTGTAGTCCCAGCTACTTGAGAGGCCAAGATAGGAGAATTGCTTGAACCCAGGAGGCGGAGGTTGCAGTGAGCTGAGATTGCGCCACTGCACTCCAGCCTGGACAACACAGCAAGACTCCATTTCAAAAAAGAAAAAAAAAGGTATGAATGTGAAGAATAATGGAGAAGGGAGACAATTGAGGTGATTAGAGCAGTGGCTTTCAAACTCTAACATGTGTAAAGTCACCAGTGGAGTCCTTTAAAATGCATGTTCCTGGATCTGCTGCCGGGCATACTGGGTCAGTAGGTTTGGTATGAGGCCTAGGAATCTGCATTTTAATAAGCACTCCAGCTTTGGCTACTGGCCATACTAAGAAACTTTTGGTAGAGATTTGCTGCAGGGTCATGCACAGCATGGCATACTTCTATAAGGGAGTGGTGCCAGCTTGAAGATCATCTCAGGAAGTGAAAGAGAGCTGTTATTGTCCTTACCACTTAATCAGCTTTAGTACTTTTGTGTTTTGTTTCCTGGGACCTCATTTTTGTGTGCTCAGCCTATTCACTCTTCCTTGCTCCTTATCGAGATGTAAATAACTGGGCAGCCTCTTCCTTAAAATTATTGGCTCCTATATTTAAAGAGTTGCCACAACATAGTCTTCTGCTTTATAACTAATATTGCAATTCCTTTATCTGTATATTAATTTTAATGCTGAATCTGAATATAAATATATAGTTCAATTAAATAATCTGAGGTGGCATTTCAAATACCTCATTCTTGGCTTTAGTTTGCCTGTGTAACACCACTTTTGTAGCTAACCAAATTCAGCCTAAAGTTTACTTTTGAAATGTACAAAGCACACTCATAAAAACTTGCAAAATTTGTAAAGTATTTACAGTGATTTTCTTGTTATATCAGAGATTTATACCTTTTGCTTTAGTTTGCAATTTAGTGTACAATCTTTACAGCTATTTTTCTTGCACTGGGTTGTTAAATCAGTTTTATATCTTTTTATTCCTTGGAGTAGAGATGAATAAACCTTGCTTACTAGATTTTGTAATACCTTTATCACTTAATATTTGAACATCCTTAGCACTTTAATTTTAATATGGCTAAATGGAATATGTAAGATGCAATGTTTGCCATTTAGTACCCTGCATTACAATAAATGTTTTAGAATTTTAACTGTGAAATCTTACAGATAAACAGCCAGAACTCATCATATTTTCTTACTCCTTAATTTTTAGAATACATAGATGCTTCAGTTTTCCTCTTTGATGTGATTTTAACCATTGTGTTGAATGAGGGACCACCGTGTTGGCGAGCAATCATAACGCTATTTTGTGTTTCCCTCTCTATCCCTTTTAGTACTTTTTGACCAACCTTCCCCTTTGGATGGAATCTCAGATTGGTGCCATAACTTTGCTTGGGTAATAACATGGACAATTTATCAAGTTTTCCTGTTGCTTGTAGCCCCCAAAAGACTATTTCAATAATTCATGTCCTGTGCTATGTCATAGTTAAAAGCCCAAACTGCATTTAAAGTTGAAGACTCTCCCCTGTGCATGTGAACCTGCTCTAGGCTGGAAGCCTGCAGTGGGATAGTTGATGTGGAGGGCTTTTCAACCCAAGCTTGCTGGCCTGGTGTGTGACTCCTGAGGGGATGTAGCGAGGAGAATGGAGAAAGGGCAGTGCCACTCAAGAAAGACTGATGCCATATGGCATTTTCATACTCCGGGGTTGGCAAGAGTTTAAAATTAACTCTCTTGTGTGGATGTTTTCCAGTTTTCATTGCCATCATTTTTGGAAGATTTCTTCCTGAGAGCATCCAACTCTGGCTTTGTGTTGCTGGCAGTGCCACGCTTGTGGTTGTTTTTTATCTGACATCAAACCTTTACCCATTTTCTTTTGAGACCATCTCATGCTAGGCAAGAAGCTGCTTTGTGTGAGGTTGCTCTTAGAATAAGTCCTGGGTCCCTTCTTCAGGGGTCACATCTTAGCACACACAAACCTGGGCCCAAAGATGGGTGGGGGCAATTTGCTGAGCCACCACTTACTGGACATGAGAGAAAAGTATTTATTACTTCAGATCTTTTATGTTTATTATCCTGCTTCTGACTGATGACAGTATCCCCTCTTCTCCCTCATTTCTGGGATTTGTGATAGAGAATGTAGGTTATTTATTTGGCTTATCAGCAGGGAATAGTGACTAGGAAGCCTTATTTGAAGTTTTAAGTCTCTCAAAAGCATCTTGATCTTGCCTGTACTATAAGCTTATAGGATGATTAAAAACTAGGGGGAAAAATGCAAAAAAGGAGCCTTAGAATAAAATGATTTTTTTTTTTTACCTTTTTTCATTTTGATGTTGTTTTAAGCCACATGTCTATCTTTACATCCAAGGTTTGCTCAATCTCTTCAGCCTTATGTGAATCCTCCCCACTCACTTTGTCTCTGAAACTTAAATATTTGCCTGACCTTTTTAATCACATCAGACTTCCTGGATTTCCTGTCCTTTATCTGATGTGACTTTGGATAAACTCTTGATTGTATACATTATACCTGAGCCCCTGAGCATAAACTATGTAACTTAGGATACATTACTATAGATGTATTTTTAAAAAGACTTTTCTATTTAGTTAAGCAATATTGTTTTCTGTGCTAATATTTGAGTGCCAGTCTTCTAAAATATTTCCTGTGCATTAATGTGATAAAACAGGATATCCCATGATATTTTTAATTCCTCTCACAGTTTGAATATTATAGATGTTCTTTGAGAAGGAAACTCTTATAAAAAGTGATTGAAAAGATATGTCGTTTAGGTGATTCATCTCCTGGAAATGAGAGTTGTAGTAGTGAACAAAGAATCCTGATTTTTAACATAACATTGAGTATCTCATTTGGAGTCAAGGGCAAGCGGGATGTTTTTTTAACTTTAAAACTATGAAAGGGCGTGATTACCACTAATTTTAAAGGATAAAGTTTCATACAAATGTGAAATCCAACTTAGTTACATCTGGATTGTGTTCCTGTTCCCCTAGTTCTTTGCCTCTTGCCTTGTAACAGTTAACCCCAACCTGTAACTTCAGTCTCACCTCCAGGTGAGGCTCGTCCTGTCCCTAGTGGGGCCGTGTGAGGAGCTTCTGGAAGCAGAAGGCTACAGACTCACTGTGGCTGGGGCTTGTGTTTGGTCCTGTGCTCACCTTGGTGCCCAGTTGCCTGGAAACTGGATTCCTAACTAACTCGTCTATGATCCTGTCTCTGCTGGTTATCCCAGTTTCCTTTCAGCCTCAATAGGTACTCATCTCGAATTCTTTGCTTCCCTTTTTGTTGGGCCTCTCTGCTCATAATGCCTTCTAAGCATGCTGGTCCTCACCTGGATCCTTTCTTCACTTTACACTTTTGCCTCCTGTTGACCCTTGCCTGCCATTTCATCATGTAGACTCATCTGCCCATTTCAGATCTGCTGCTAGACCCATGGCCCTCTTTACCATCTCTTCATTAGTCAGCTCTCCTTTTTTCTAGCTCTTGTGTTCTCATCAGTGTGCAATTTCAAGTCAAGCATTCCCCAGTCTCTCTTGTCAGACTGCTCAGTTTTATGGTGAAATTACCTTTCTTTTGTCAAATGTCACAATCTGGCATATAATGTCATAGCTTCCTAAAGAACTGGACTCATTGTTTGAGAACTCACACATGCATTGTTTGCTGTGCTGGGGTTACCGTCCATTATCATTAAGTACTAGTATATCTTAAGTTGTGATCTCACTATTTGTTTCAAATATCCCCTCATGCCAAAAGCTGGTTATAGCTTTTTGACAGACAGTGACACCCCATAGGTCAAAGTAGTTGGTCAGTCAGTCGTCCTAAACTTATCATTTTGATGCTGTTTTGATACCTTTTTTCCACTGTGGCAGATATAAGTGTAATTAAGTCCTGTAGCTTTCTATCTCCATCCTTATATATTGTTGAGGAGAAATTTCATCTACTATGTGATTACATTAGGAAAGCCAAAAAAAAAAGCAACTCTTATGATGTGTGATTGAGTACATGCTTTTGTCTAGCATTCATTCAAAAATGAGAGTTATCTGGTATTCACAGAAAGCATTGCTCCTTTTAATGAAGGCTTTTGTTTTTCCAGCTTCGGTATCCTAAGCTAATTCTGAAAAATCAACACAATCTCTTAAGTACTTTAATTATATGAGATTAAAGCATTTTTTCCCTTGTGTCTTCTTCCACATTCAAATATGATAGTTTGTTTTGATTTCTGCCCTCATTATAGTTCCTTCTTAAAAACATTTTCCTAGTATTGTGGTCACTGAAAGGCTTTGAAGGCTCCCTAGCTTATTTCCTTTAATTTTCCTTAGAGCAAAATCATGTTGTCCTCAACCTAAGCATTGCTTGGGCCCTTAGTGGATAGTGTAGGCAAGGGTTTTCTTTTCCTTTCTTGTCTTCTTCCTCCCTCCTTTACACCTTCTAGCTATATTTTGTGGCATAATTATCTTTGTATTTCTAGTATATATTAAAATATACCAATTTTTACTATCAACTTTCTATTTTTTATTCAACCCATATATTGTTCACATGCTTATAACTCTAACATAATAAAAATATGACATTTGTTTTTCTTATACAATACTGTAAGCATTTTCTACATTGGCCTTTATAGTAGCTTAATGATCATTTCTGTATTATCATATTGTTGGTCACTTGGATTGTTCTTGAATTTTTGGTTTTTGATATTAAGCATCAAAGTCTTTGTGGTGGTTAAAGAGGAAATAGGAGAAGGCATCAGATTATCAAGGTCCTGTTACTGGATTTCAGGGCAGGGTTGAAACTGGCAAGAACACAGCTGCAAACCAGAAATTGGGCAGAAAGCGTTCATGAGGATGGACACACAATGAGCTTATCCCATTGTACCAGATTTTTTTCATTTGCTTTTCTAGACCCATTTTCCACCCTCCTCCGTCCTGCTTTCTGCTCTAGAGGCTTTCCCCTGTGGATGGCTGTAGTCGAGTTTGGTCCATGGAGAGCCTGACAGAAGCAGAGGGAGGAAAGAGAAGTCAAAATGTTCATTCCCCTGGCTCTTCCCTTGCAGGGGCATCTGAAGTGGGCCGTGTTCCTGAGCCAAAGCTCATGCTCCCCATAAAGCAACCACATGTGTGACTATTCCTGGGGTTTCAGGAGCTGCTCCTCATCTCTCCTTTTCCAGCCTAGGAGGTAACAACTCAGCTGCTGCTAACCCAGGCCTGCTTCCCATCCCTAATGGTTTCTCTTCACCCACACCTTGTAAATCATCCTTCTGTAAAGAAACCCTCCATGTTATCCCATTTTGAGTATCCCATCTCTTTCCTATTGAGTGGTCACGCTGGAACTTTCCTTAGAGTGGAAAATTCTGGATACTACCTCTAATAGGAGTTAGGGTAAAAAAAATACAGTACTAAACTTTTATTGTATTGACTCAGGCTGATGGTCTTCAGTTCTTCCTTCTTAGAATGGTTTTATAAAGAACAGCTGAAAATTTAAGGCAACTCTTCGTTTTCTTTAGTTATTTAATGGTGTGTGGAGATTTTCTACATTTTTTGCATATTCAGATCTTTGGATCTTCTCTTTTTCAGCTTTGTGTTTTCTCCTACTCTTGCGGCAAAGCTTGAGGAAAATTAGTATCTTTACAGAAACCTAAGAAATGCTCAGTTTTCATTTCTGTCTCTACTTTGATAAGTTGGTTTTAAAATTTATCACTACTATAGCATATTTTATACAGTAAGGTATAGGTTTAAGTTGAAAGTATCCTATGGTGATCCCTAATTATTTTTCAAGTAATTCTTCCCAATCTTTTGGCTTGGTGATATCTAATTTAGCATATGTTAAACTCCATATAATTAGTTTTTTTTCTGGGGCTCCTACTTTTTACATCAATTTCCTTTTCTAAATTCGTGATAATACACTAGGGTTTTAATGATTGGTACTTTGTAATAAGTATGTCAAGAAAGGCAACAATGCCTTGTCTCTTCCATGTTTCTTTTTTAGGGTATTTGACAACATATTCTTTGAGATTAAGTTTTGATTTATTTTGTCAACAAATTTGATAGTTTGACTAATATTCCAAGAAATATAGGCATTAACTAAAAAGGAATTGACATTTTTGCCATATTTACCTATTTCATAAGGAAACATGTTCTTCCTCCATTTATTTGAGTGATTTCTTATATTGATCAATTTGTTAAATTACAGTATTGTAAAACAGTTTTGTTACATAAACTCTTGCTCAGTTTAAGCATTTTATAACTTTTGTTGTTCTTATGGGCTTTCTTCTTGTGTTAATTTTTACCTAGTTGTTAGTATAAGAGACTGCAATTTTTTATTATGTACATGGCTTCTTTACTAAACATTGTTAATAAATTTTCTGTAGATATTTATTATTTCTGCAAAATATAGTATTACTCTGTTTCATATCACATTCAAAAATTTTTAAAGAATATTAATGGTGATAGTGGGCTTCTTTTTTGAGACAGCATCTCCTTGTGTTACTCAGACTAGTCTCAAGTTTCTGGGCTCAGGATATCTTCCTGCCTCAGCCTCTGGAGTACCTGGGACTACAGGTGCATACCACCATGCCTGCCTCTCCTGGCTACATTTTGGTAATTCGGCCTACCCTAAGTTTTTTCTTGCTGATTTGATGGCTTTTCTTTTTTTTTTTTTTTGCATTTAAAAATAGAAAGTGTTTAATTAAAAAATAATTCACAATTTATTTAATGAGATTTTGAAAGGATATATGTGAGTCTACATTCTGATTTCATGTTTGTGTGCATTTTTTTTCTTTTTTTAAATTATACTTTAAGTTCTAGGGTACATGTGCAAAACGTGCAGGTTTGTTACATATGTATACATGTGCCATGTTGGTGTGCTGCACCCATTAACTCATCATTTACATTAGGTATATCTCCTAATGCTATCCCTTCCTCCTCCCCCCACCCCACAACAGGCCCTGGTGTGTGATGTTCCCCTTCCTGTGTCCAAGTGTTCTCACTGTTCAATTCCCACCTATGAGTGAGAACATGCGGTATTTGGTTTTCTGTCCTTGTGATAGTTTGCTCAGAACGATGGTTTCCAGCTTCATCCATGTCCCTACAAAGGACATGAACTCATCCTTTTTTTGGCTGCATAGTATTCCATGGTGTATATGTGCCTCATTTTCTTAATCCAGTCTATCATTGATGGACATTTGGGTTGGTTCCAAGTCTTTGCTATTGTGAATAGTGCCGCAATAAACATATGTGTGCATGTCTCTTTATAGAGGTATGATTTATAATCCTTTGGGTATACACCCAGTAATGGGATGGCTGGGTCAAATGGTATTTCTAGTTTTAGATCCTTGAGGAATTGCCACACTGTCTTCCACAATGGTTGAACCAGTTTACAGTCCCACCAACAGTGTAAAAGTGTTCCTATTTCTCCACATCCTCTCCAGCACCTGTTGTTTCCTGACTTTTTAATGATTGCCATTCTAACTGGTGTGAGATGGTATCTCATTGTGGTTTTGATTTGCATTTCTCTGATGACCAGTGGTGATGAGCATTTTCTCATGTGTCTGTTGGCTGCATAAATGTCTTCTTTTGAGAAGTGTCTGTTCATATCCTTTGCCCACTTTTTGATGGGGTTGTTTGTTTTTTTCCTGTAAATTTGTTTGAGTTCTTTGTAGATTCTGGATATTAGCCCTTTGTCAGATGAGTAGATTGCAAAAATGTTCTCCCATTCTGTAGGTTGTCTGTTCACTCTGATGGTAGTTTCTTTTGCTGTGCAGAAGTTCTTTAGTTTAGTTAGATCCCATTTGTCAATTTTGGCTTTTGTTGCCATTGCTTTTGGTGTTTTAGACATGAAGTCCTTGCCCATGCCTATGTCCTGAATGGTATTGCCTAGGTTTTCTTCTAGGGTTTTTATGGTTTTAGGTCTAACATTTAAGTCTTTAATCCATCTTGAATTAATTTTTGTATAAGGTGTAAGGAAGGGATCCAGTTTCAGCTGTCTACATAAGGCTAGCCAGTTTTCCCAGCACCATTTATTAAATAGGGAATCCTTTCCCCATTTCTTGTTTTTGTCAGGTTTCTCAAAGATCAGATGGTTATAGATGTGTGGTATTATTTCTGAGGGCTCTGTTCTGTTCCATTGGTCTATATCTCTGTTTTGGTACCAGCACCGTGCTGTTTTGGTGACTGTAGCCTTGTAGTATGGTTTGAAGTGAGGTAGCATGATGCCTCCAGCTTTGTTCTTTTGGCTTAGGATTGTCTTGGCAATACAGGCTCTTTTTTGGTTCCATATGAACTTTAAAGTAGTTTTTTCCAATTCTGTGAAGAAAGTCTTTGGTAACTTGATGGGGAGGGCATTGAATCTATAAATTACCTTGGGCAGTATGACCGTTTTCACGATATTGATTCTTCCTATCCATGAGCATGGAATTTTCTTCCATTTGTTTGTGTTCTCTTTTATTTCGTTGAGCAGTGGTTTGTAGTTCTCCTTGAAGAGGTCCTTCATATCCCTTGTAAGTTGGATTCCTAGGTATTTTATTCTCTTTGAAGCAATTGTGAATGGGAGTTCACTCATGATTTGACTCTCTGTTTGTCTGTTATTGGTTTATAAGAATGCTTGTGATTTTTGCACATTGATTTTGTATCCTGAGACTTTGCTGAAGTTGCTTATCAGCTTAAGGAGATTTGGGGCTGAGACAATGGGGTTTTCTGGATATACAATCATGTCATCTGCAAACAGGGACAATTTGACTTCCCTTTTCCTAATTGAGTACCCTTTCTTTCTTCCTCCTGCCTAATTGCCCTGGCCAGAACTTCCAACACTATGTTGAATAGGAATGGTGAGAGAGGGCATCCCTGTTTGTGCCAGTTTTCAAAGGGAATTCTTCCAGTTTTTGCCCATTCAGTATAATATTGGCTGTGGGTTTGTCATAAATAGCTCTTATTATTTTGAGATATGTCCCATCAATGCCGAATTTATTGAGAGTTTTTAGCATGAAGGGCTGTTGAATTTTGTCAAAGGCCTTTTCTGCATCTGTTGAGATAATCATGTGGTTTTTGTCTTTGGTTCTGTTTATATGCTGGATTACATTTATTGATTTGTATATGTTGAACCAGCCTTGCATCCCAGGGATGAAGCCCACTTGATCATGGTGGATAAGCTTTTTGATGTGCTGCTGGATTCAGTTTGCCAGTATTTTATTGAGGATTTTTGCATCAATATTCATCAGGCATATTCGTCTAAAATTCTCTTTTTTTGTTGTGTCTCTGCCAGGCTTTGGTATCAGGATGATGCTGGCCTCATAAAATGAGTTAGGGAGGATTCCCTCTTTTTCTGTTGATTGGAATAGTTTCAGAAGGAATGGTACCAGCTCCTCCTTGTACCTCTGTTAGAATTCAGCTGTGAATCCCTGTGGTGCTGGACTTTTATTGGTTGGTAGGCTATTAATTATTGCCTCAATTTCAGAGCCTGTTATTGGTCTATTCAGGGATTCAACTTCTTCCTGGTTTATTGTTGGGAGAGTGTATGTGTCCAGGAATTTATCCATTTCTTGTAGATTTTCTAGTTTATTTGCATAGAGGTGTTTATAGTATTCTCTGATGGTAGTTTGTATTTCTGTGGGATCGGTGGTGATATCCTCTTTATCATTTTTTATTGCGTCTATTTGATTCTTCTCTCTTTTCTTCTTTATTAGTCTTGCTAGTGGTCTATCAATTTTGTTGATCTCTTCAAAAAACCAGTTCCTGGATTCACTGATTTTTGGAAGGGTTTTTTGTGTCTCTGTCGCCTTCAGTTGTGCTCTGATCTTAGTTATTTCTTGCCTTCTGCTAGCTTTTGAATGTGTTTGCTCTTGCTTCTCTAGTTCTTTTAATTGTGATGTTAGGGTTTCAATTTTAGATCTTTCCTGCTTTCTCTTGTGGGCATTTAGTGCTATAAATTTCCCTCTACCCACTGCTTTAAATGTGTCCCAGAGATTCTGGTGTGTTGTGTCTTTGTTTTCATTGGTTTCAAAGAACATCTATATTTCTGCCTTCATTTCGTTATGTACCCAGTAGTCATTCAGGAGCAGGTTGTTCAGTTTCCATGTAGTTGAGCGGTTTTGAGTGAGTTTCTTAATCCTGAGTTCTAGTTTGATTGCACTGTGGTCTGAGAGACAGTTTGTTATAATTTATGTTCTTTTACATTTGCTGAGGAGTGCTTTACTTCCAACTGTGTGGTCAATTTTGGAATAAGCAAGATATGGTGCTGAGAAGAATGTATATTCTGTTGATTTGGGGTGGAGCGTTCTGTAGATGTCTATTAGGTCCGCTTGGTGCAGAGCTGAGTTCAATTCCTGGATATCCTTGTTAACTTTCTGTCTCGTTGATCTGTCTAATGTTGACAGTGGGGTGTTAAAGTCTCCCATTATTATTGTGTGAGAGTCTAAGTCTCTCTGTAGATCTCTAAGGCCTTGCTTTATGAATCTGGGTGCTCCTGTATTGGGTGCATATATATTTAAGATAGTTAGCTCTTCTTGTTGAATTGATCCCTTTACCATTATGTAATGGCCTTCTTTGTCTCTTTTGATCTTTGTTGGTTTAAAGTCTGTTTTATCAGAGACTAGGATTGCAACCCCTTCCTTTTTTTGTTCCATTTGCTTGGTAGATCTTCCTCCATCCCTTTATTTTGAGCCTATGTGTGTCTCTGCACGTGAGATGTGTCTCCTGAAGACAGCACACTGATGGGTCTTGACTCTTAATCCAATTTGCCAGTCTGTGTCATTTAATTGGAGGATTTAGCCCATTTACATTTAAGGTTAATATTGTTATGTGTGAATTTGATCCTGTCATTATGATGTTAGCTGGCTATTTTGCTTGTTAGTTGATGCAGTTTCTTCCCAGCCTCGGTGGTCTTTACAATTTGGCATGTTTTTGCAGTGGCTGGTGCTGTTTGTTCCTTTCCATGTTTAGTGCTTCCTTCAGGAGCTCTTTTAGGGCAGGCCTGGTGGTGACAAAATCTCTTATCATTTGCTTGTCTGTAAAGGATTTTATTTCTCCTTCACTTATGAAGCTTAGTTTGGCTGCATATGAAATTCTGGGTTGAAAATTGTTTTCTTTAAGAATGTTGAATATTGGCCCCCACTCTCTTCTGGCTTGTAGAGTTTCTGCTGAGAGATCCACTGTTAGTCTGATGTGCTTCCCTTTGTGGGTAACCCGACCTTTCTCTCTGGCTGCCCTTAACATTTTTTCCTTCATTTCAACTTTGGTGAATCTGACAATTATGTGTCTTGGAGTTGCTCTTCTCGAGGAGTATCTTTGTGGCGTTCTCTGTATTTCCTGAGTTTGAATGTTGGCCTGCCTTGCTAGATTGGGGAAGTTCTCCCGGATAATATCCTTCAGAGTGTTTTCCAACTTGGTTCCATTCTCCCCGTCACTTTCAGGTGCACCAATCAGACATAGGTTTGGTCTTTTCATATAGTCCCATATTTCTTGGAGGCTTTGTTCATTTATTTTTACCCTTTTTTCTCTAAACTTCTCACTTCATTTCATTTATTTGATCTTCCATCACTGATACCCTTTCTTCCAGTTGATTGAATCGGCTACTGAAGCTTGTACATTCATCACGTAGTTCTCATGCCATGGTTTTCAGTTCCATCAGGTCATTTAAGGACTTCTCTACACTGGGTATTCTAGTTATCCGTTCGTCTAATCTTTTTTCAAGGTTTTTAGCTTCTTTGCGTTGGGTTCGAACTTCTGCCTTTAGCTCAGAGAAGTTTGATTATCTGAAGCCTTCTTCTCTCAACTCGTCAAAGTCATTCTCCATCCAGCTTTGTTCCATTGCTGGCGAGGAGCTGCGTTCCTTTGGAGGGGGAGAGGTGCTCTGATTTTTAGAATTTTCAGCTTTTCTGCTCTGCTTTTTCCCCATCTTTGTGGTTTTATCTACCTTTGGTCTTTGATGATGGTGATGTACAGGTGGGGTTTTGGTGTGGATGTCCTTTCTGTTTGTTAGTTTTCCTTCTAACAGTCAGGACCTTCAGCTGCAGGTCTGTTGGAGTTTGTGGAAGGTCTACTCCAGACCCATTTTGCCTGGGTATCAGCAGCAGAGGCTGCAGAACATCGAATATTGCTGAACAGCAAATGTTGCTGCCTGATCATTCCTCTGGAAGCTTTGTCTCAGAGGGGTACCCAAACATGTGAGGTGTCTGTCTGTCCCTCCTGGGGGGTGCCTCCCCATTAGGCTACTCGGGCGTCAGGGACCCACTTGAGGAGGCAGTCTGTCCGTTCTCAGTTCTCAAACTCTGTGCTGGGAGAAACACTACTCACTTCAAAGCTGTCAGACAGGGACATTTAAATGTGCAGAGGTTTCTGCTGCCTTTGTTCAGCTATGCCCTGCCCCCAGAGGTGGAGTCTACAGAGGCAGGCAGGCCTCCTTGAGCTGCGGTGGGCTCCACCCAGTTCGAGCTTCCAGGCTGCTTTGTTTACCTACTCGAGCCTCAGCGATGGCAGGTGCCCCTCCCCCAGCCTCGCTGCCGCCTTGCAGTTTGATCTCAGACTGCTGTGCTAGCAGTGAGCAAGGCTCCGTGGGTGTGGGACCCTCCAAGCCAGGCGCCGTATATAATCTCCTGGTATGCTGTTTGCTAAGACCCTTGGAAAAGTGCAGTATTAGGGTGGGAGTGACCCAGTTTTCCAGGTGCTGTCTGTCACGGCTTTCCTTGGCTAGGAAAGGGAATTCCCTTACCCCTTGTGCTCCCCGGGTGAGGCATTGCCTCACCCTGCTTCGGATCTCGCTCAGTGGGCTGCACCCGCTGTCCTGCACCCACTGTTTGACACACCTCAGTGAGATGAACCCGGTACCTCAGTTGGAAATGCAGAAATTACCCGTGTCGCTCACGCTGGGAGCTGTAGACTGGAGCTGTTCCTATTCAGCCATCTTGGAACTGCCTGGCTCTTCTTTTTCTTATTTAGCATTTCAGATTTCTTCAACTCTGTATTTAGGGTAATTTCCCAAAGGTTAGGCTTTGAATTTTAGTTATTTTCCATTGAAGTTTGCTATTTTCTTACTTTCTACCATATTACCTTCTACCATCATGTTAGCTGTCATCTCCACTCTTCCAGGTCTGTCTTGCTTGTTAACTTAAAGGGCACACCTTCCTGAACAGTTTATAAGTTTACTTTAACCAAACCTGTTTTTTAAGTTGTTCTCTGGTTTCTGTATGTCCGTCTTTTTTTCCACCCAGGCTGCAGGCTTGCTTAAGAACCAGCTCAAATCTGTTTCTCATCTAAAACCTTTCCAGGGCACCCCAATCTGATATATATTTTTTGAATTCTTATAGCAATTGTTATGTCATGTTCCAATTAATCAAAGACTTTTATTGTTAATTTAAACTGTGCTTTAAAAAACTTCTTTAATGCTATTGAGGTGAATTTTTTAAGGGTGCCGTCTTTGGGTACATGTTGAACATTGAGAAGTAGAAATATACTCTTATCTTTTACCTTTTAAGAATATTTTGTTACTTAACCACTTCTCTTTCTTCAGCCTTAGTATTTAAACATAAAGGCCAGGCGTGGTGGCTCATGTCTGTAACCCCAGCACTTTCGGAGGCCGAGGTGGGCAGATCACTTGAGGTCAGGAGTTCGAGACCAGCCTGGCCAACATGGTGAAACCCCATCTCTACTAAAATTACAAAAAAACAAAACAAAACAAACAAACAAAAAAAAACAAAGCTGGGTGTGGTGGGAGGACGGGGGCACTTGTAATCCAAGCTACTTGGGAGGCTGAGGGCTGAGGCAAGAGAATTGCTCGAACCCGGGAGGCAAAGGTTGCAGTGAGCTGAGATTGTGCCACTGTACTCCAGCCCGGGCAACAGAGCGAGACTCCATCTCAAAAATAAAATAAAATAAATAAATAAAGCATGGTACATATCAATTTATTAATTCTTTCTTGAATTGATTTACAATAACAATATGGTGAAAAATGGTCAATTTTAGTAGTACTTAAAACAGCGCAAACAACTAAATACCATTTCCATCTATTAGATTAGACAAAGTTTTGAATTCTGTAATCACCTGTCATGTTGCCATGAAAATAGTGTCTCATGTGATCAAAATTAGGTAAAACAAACATGTTACAGACAGAACAAAGGCTGGAAGGAAATATGAAGATGTTAGTAGTAGTTGTGCATGGATAGTGAATCTATCTTTTTTCCTCCCTAGATGATTGTTTCTCACAATTTTTCATAGGAAATAGATGTTAGAATGCCATATTGCTGTTCTGCAGTTAAAGACGAGAAATGTATTCACATAATCTGGGAAGGGAAACAAAAGTGAAGAGAAATGCACTATTTCATTATAATTAAGCTGTCTTTTTTAAAAAAAAGCCAGCAGTCTCTCATTCTCAGTATAAAAATTGCTTCATTTCATAGAAAAAGGGGAATTTGGGTGATACTTGCATGGATCTTACTATCTTATGGCAGTTCCCATATTGTACTGTGATTTCTCCACTATTAAAGTTTTGTCAGACACATTTTTGAATTACTTCAGTTTATATTTGTAACCAGCATTTTAACATCTGCTCAGTTTAACATATGTGATGTTTACTTTTGTTACCTTTCAGTGGTAAAGCCAGACAACATTACTGCCATCCACTCCCACAGATATGCTGGTAGGTCTCTGGTAGCACAGGCAGAGGAGGTCTAGTTGTATTCTACCATTATTTAATGCAGATGGAAGACTAGACCCAGGGAAATATGCGCTTATATCTCCAAATGACCGCTGGACAGAGATGGCTGCGTAAGATTAACTTAGGCTTTTTGAATGTCACCACATTTTTCTTGCACAGTTGATACAAGAAAAGGGTCACTTAGAAGACCAGGTCTCTAAGCTCACACTTTTTAAAAGTTTTACTTACTATTGTGTGTGTGCACACATGGGTGGGTTTTTTTTTTTTTTACACACTTTTTGTATTTGTCTATCTCCAGTTTTTTTTCTCTGTTTTACCTAAGACCTTGATCTTGAAAACTGTAATTTTGCCAAAATACTTTAAAGAAAGTAACCTGCTGATGGTTTTGAGGGGATTACAGTATTTATTTAAATGTTTGTTCACCATGAGACTAGAATTTCATTAAGGGCAGAACTGATTTTTCATCCATGTATCTTGACAATGCTTGATACATAATTGGTAATCATTAGATATTTTTGAATGGTTTTAGAGTGAAATATATACATGTACATAAACCATAACTATACACCTAAAGTGAGAGTATATTATAGCATAATTTATGTTGCATTCATATAACCAGGATGACAGCATCCACTCTTCTCTTTGGAGTATTGAAATATAGTTTTTTTCTCTCTAGATTGGTGCTTCCCTTTTTAAAGACAGACTTTCATTAGTTTTCTAGCATGGCAAGAATATTATAATTTATCACAAACCAGTCTTTCATTGTTATATTTGAGAGTGGAGCTGCAGTAGCCATCTCAGTGTATGCCTTTCTTCTGTATGGTCCCCTCTTACAGCACTCAGAGTAAAAAGGGATCTACAGTTTTTGGCAAAATTGCTTTATTGGGAGAGTGATGAATTTTTCACAAGTACAGGCTTTGGCCTGTGCTGAGATGGAAAGCTAGAAGTGAGGTTCAGGCGGTTGAAATTCTATTGGCAGGAATTCCAGGGACTTAATGTGAAACAGCAATTCTTTCCCTCCTCCAGGAAGAATTATTGAAGTACTTCCCCATTTGGGGATATAATTCAGGTCCTTTTACTTTAAAAATGAGTTTTATTTACATGTCTCCAATTGAAATACAAGTGTGATTATAAGTTCTGATGGGAATTTCCATAATTGAAGATACTGATGGTTTTTGAAGACTAGAATGTTTTTCTTTTTTATGGTACAAATGACATAGGGTTACATTTCCAGTTGAGCGAAAACACCCAAATGACAGCACCAGTAATGAACAGTCATTTTGTTGCTTGAGATAGTGGTGTATTATAGGACTAGTTGCTTACACCTTTCTTGATGGTGTGATGTTGGACTTGGTTTCCCTTTTACAGTAAGGACAGGAGTTGAATAATAATAATAACCCCAGTTGATTATGTTCAAGAGAAAGAAGGAAAAGGAGGCTGACTTTCTTGTAGGTCATTGAGTTTTGCATGGTAGTGCTTCTTCTAGCACAACTTCTAAACTTCTCTTTCTCTTTCAGTAGCCTAATAGTAGGGCCCCTAAATTTTAATTTCTCCATTAAATTTAATAAAACAATATTCTGATGTTGGACTTTTCTTCCTGTTTCCACTCAAATCCTCTAGTTTTTCTATTTGTTTTTAAGTTCTGAGTGGTGACAGATCTGATTGCTTTTTTATAATGAGGACATTTTATAAGTACTTTATTTGTAGTTTCATGGTTTTATACCAGAGATTTGCAGATGGAAAGCATTAAGTGATTCTGTTTATTAAATAGAATGAGATCGTTTAATAGCTAAAAGAGATATTTTGTTATTGGACTTGAAACTATCTTAAACCTTCTTTTAATTTTGCAGTCCACAGATTGTTTGCTTTATGATGAGACTTTTTGCTTTTCATGTTTGTTCTCAGAATAACCTATGAGATAGAAAATTGAAGACGCCTCAGCATTGAAATCCAATGTTTTTGCATTTGTTACAAATTGAAATATGCAAATTGTTGAAAAATATTCATTATCCTTTGCTAATGCGCTATATATGGGAGCAATTAAATTTCCTTTTAGTTTATTTTGATAACTACTGTTTGCTTATTTTAAAATTGTTGCATGTTATTCAGGAGTATTTCACTTCTTTGCAGACCTTTTGAGATCAGTGAGATTTGCATCCTTTGATTTTTTTTTTTTAGCAGTGTCAGAATAAGAATATTTAACTGATTTTATGCTGTATTTGTTGCAGTGTCAATGAATGGAATGCCATTTGTTTTGTCCTTATTTCTCTTAAAATAGAATCCTTGTTTTAAAGATTTGACATTTATTTTGCCTTTTTATCTTGCAGCCAGACATGCACTCCTTTGGTGATTTCCTAGGGCTGAAGTCTCTCTGCATTGTGGTGTTTGGTTAAGATCCAGAGACCTTGGAGACAGACTACCTGGGTTTGAATAGCGGTTCTGCCTGTTACTTGCCGTGTCACCTTGGGCAAGCCAGTTAACCTTTCTGTGTCCAAAGTTTTCTCTCCTTGAAACAGTGATAATGGTCCCTACTTGTACTGTTTTTTTTTTTAATATGATATTGTGGTATAAGGCATAATGAATAGTTATATAGTACACCTCATTTTATACATAAATAGGTATCTCATCTCTCTTGCTCTTCTTACTGGACATCACAATGTTTGGAAAAGTGGCTGCCCATTTGCTATTTTGAATTAGCTTGGCTTAAATAAATTATTTGATTGGTGACTTTTGAGATACAACACCATCTTTAAGGCACCATAGAAGGATATTGTAATTAATGAAGACTTCTAAAAATAAATATTATAACATAGAGGTTTTATTTTTACTTCTGAATGTTTTCTTAAAAGACACCTTTCAAATTATATTTTTACAGTGGTTCTAAAACACACTTAATACATGAAATGATGGAAGCTGATGGCTGGAAGTTAAAAGTGAAGTAGACTGTGTAACTGTTGAACTATGTCACAAGCTTTTTGTATGCATTTTTCACGATATATTTTAAAAGATAGTTTAAATTTAGTTTAACATTTACCTTTTTTTCCATAGGATAAATAAAAGTTGATTTGAGTGTGGCTTTTGCACACAAGAGTAGGAATCTGAGGAGTTGGTCTTATAATTACCTATATATAAGACTCATTTCTCCTTGTAAAACACATTTGTGAACTAAATTGATCCAGCGATGTTTCCTTCAAAGTGTGAAGGGGAGAGCATTTCTAATCCTTTTGGATTCTCTGCTTCATCCTAATGTTGAAGGAAAAATATGGCATGTTTGAATTTATTAGTGCCAGTAGTATAAATTTTATATATTACTTTAAAATGTGGTGAGTAGAAGGTTGGTGAGAGTGGAGGACAGTGCTTTTTGATGATGAAGATAATACCTAGGTTCTATTATTACTGACCTCAGGCTGAGCACACCCTGACAATAATGGACCTGTTCCTTCTTAAGGAAAAACAGAATAACATCATCATATTTTTGGTATCTGATTTTGTATTTTAGAATGTTCATTTAGAGATGAAACTTTTAAATATATAATGCTTTTAAAATGATTTAAAACATTCGCACACATGAGGTCCAGAAAAGATGGTATAAGAGATAACCAAAGGAGAAGTCTAAAATGTGGTAAGAAGGTGAGGCAGCTTGGGACAGCACAGTGGTAGGATACATTCTGTTCCCCCAGACTCAACAGAAGTCCACCCTGACCTAGCATTTCTTGACCCATGGCTTAGAATATTATCAAGTGCTAGAACAGAGCTATCAGCTGCAGGTGTTGTATCCAGTAAAGCTATTATCCAGGAAAGTAAAAGGGGAAAAAACAGTCTCAGATGAAAGAAGGCAAAGAACTTGTTGCTAACAGACTTTTGCTTAAAAGTTGGCTAAAGTTCTTCAAAAAGAAAGGAAATCATAGAATAAATCTTAGAGAACCAGGAAGAAGGAAGGAACAGATAACTTAAATATGAGTACATACAATAGGCTAAACTTGTCTCCGTGACTTTTATAAATTATATTTGATTTATTGAAACAAAAATTGTAGTGCCATATAATACTCAAGACAATGATATTTTAAAGTGATGAAGGCAAAGAGAACTAAGTGAAAGTGAGATTTCCAGAGGAAACAAGTAGAAAACACACATCACAGACTTAATATGAACATCTCAATAATTATCTTAAAAATGAAAGTTCTAAGCTTACAAAAAACAGAGATAGAGTGGATAAAAAAAAAAGGAACCCATTATATGTTGCTTACAGGAAACTCCCTTCAAATTCAATGACAGGTAAGTTGAAAGTAGAAGAGAATAATTATACCATGTAAATGATAAAAAATAGTAGAAATGGTTATATCAACACCTGATAATTTAGGCTTCAAAGAAAATAAAATTATTAGAGATACTAGTTCTAGACAAGAAGTTATTAGAGGCAACATAAGATGACAGGGTAAACCTACCACAGAGACATGATGATCCTAAATGGATATGTATCAAACAACAGTGCCTCAAAATGAAGTGAACATTAATAGAACTGAAAGGAAAATCAGACATCCACAGTTATTGGCAGGGACTTAAGCATTCCCCTCTCAAGCCAGTGTTGATAGAACTACTAGACAAAAATCAGCAAGGTCATAGAAAATGTAAACAACACAAACCACCACTGAATATTGAACCTGCCTTGCTGAAATAAATTCCACTTCACCATAGTGTAGAATTCTTTTTATGTGTTGCTGAATTCTTTTTGTTGATATTTTTTAAGGAGTTTTGCAATTATAGACATGAGTGATACTTGTCTGTATTTTTTTTTTGTACTGTTTTTGTCTGATGTTGATATCAGGATAATGCCACCTTCATAAAATGAGTTAGGAAGTATTCTCTCCTACCTTTTATCCTGGAAAAATTGTTTAGAATTGTAGCTAATTCTTTTTTCTTTTCATTTCTTTTTTTTTTTTGAGATGGAATTTCGCTCATGTTGCCCAGGCTGGAGTGCAATGGCACGATCTTGGCTCACCAGAACCTCCGCCTCCCAGGTTCAAACGATTCTCCTGCCTCAGCCTCCCAAGTAGCTGGGATTATATGTGTGCACCACCAGGCCCAGCTAATTTTTTATTTTTAGTAGAGACAGTGTTTCTCCATGTTGGTCAGGCTGGTCGCAAACTCCCAACCTCCCAAAGTGCTGGGATTACATGTGTGAGCCACCACACCTGGCCAATTATAGCTAATTCTTTAAATATTTACTAGAATTTTCTTTGAAACCATCTAGGGCTGGAGATTTTCTTTTTTGGATATTTTTAAATCACAATTTTAAATTTCAATTTCCTTAGTAGTGAGAGGGCTATTGAAATGATCATTTTTATATTGAGTGATCTGCAGAAGATTGTGTTTCTTCAGGAATTGGTACATTTTTCTGTAAGCTGTCATATTTTTGAGCATCAAGTTGTTCATAGTAGTCTCTCATATTTTACTGGCTATAAGATTTATAGTGATAGCACCCATCTCATTCTTGACATTGGTGTTTTGTGTCTTCTTATTATTGTCTCTTTTTTTGTTACTGTTGCTGGAGGTTTACCAGTTGTTTTTCTCCCCAAGATCCAGCTTTTGTTTGATTTTCCTTTGTTGTTTTCCTATTTTTAATTTCATTGATTTACGTTCTTATGTTTATTATTTCCTTCCTTTTGCTTGCTTTGAATTTATTCTTTTTCTGGGTTCTTAACGTGAGAGATTAGGTTATTGTAGACATTTTTTTTTCTAATCTATGCATTTAATGCTACAAATTTTCCTTTCAGTAATGTTTTAGCTGTGTTCCACAAGTTTTAATGTGCTGGGATTTTCTTCTGTCCTGTTTTCCATTTCAGTGATCTTTTCCCCTGTCCCATCTATTCTGCCACTGAGTCCAACCAATGCATTTTTATTTTGATTATTGTATACTGCATTTCTAAAATTTCTTATTTTTTTTTCTTCATAAATTCTGTTGCCTTGCTGAGATGTTCTTTTCCTTTGCTGAGGCTTTCTATTTTATATTCATTTATTTTAAGCATATTTATGATTGTTTATTTTTTATTATGGCCACCTTAAAATCTTTGTCAGATAAATCTAACATTTCTGTCATTTCTGTTGATTATCTCTTTTCATTTAGTTTGAGATCTTCTTGGTTTTGGTTATGATAAGTGACTTTCTGCTGAAACCTAGCTATTTTTGTATTATGTTATGAGACTTGGGATGTTGTTTAAACTTTGTGTTTTAACTGGTAGTTTTGGATACTGCTCCAGCAGCATTTTCCATGAGAAAGGAGAACACTGCCTTCTTAAGTCCAAATGGAGGTAGAAGTGCAGGTTCCTCACTCAGCCCTAGTTGGCATGGGGATGGGGCTCTTTATCACTCCTGGGTTGGGGTGGGATTTCTGCCTGTCTCCTATCTACAGATGCCATGGTATTCCCACTGGGTGATGATGAAAGTCGCTACTCTCCACTAGGCCTACTCTGTCACCACTTCAGTGGAAATGGAAGGGTGCTGCCTTGCTGTATGGGACCTGAAGTTAAGCTCCCCATGTTGTCTCCATGGACACAGGAGGTGGTAGGATCTTGTTACCCAGTGTGCACCATAGTTGTAGCTTGCTACTTGGCGTTCTTACACCACCCTGGTATTAATGTTAGGCACCTTTTGAAATTCTCTCCAGAGCAGAATTCTACGCTCCCACTTGACCTTGGCTGGCCTGGAGGGGACGTGGGCAAACTTGAATTAGTTAGATGGATTGTATCAAAGTCAATATACTGGTTGTAATATTATACTGTAGTATTGCAAAACATTAACATTGGGGCATGCTGACATTGAATGTCTTTGTGTTATTTCTTACAACTGCATATTATTCTGCAATTATCTCAGTAAAAATTTTAATTAAAAAAAGTTAAAGAATGTAAAGATAAAAATTAAGGAAAAATGTTTGTTTTCAGAGTCAAAACAATATATAATAAGATATATTCACAAAAATCTTTCAGCCCTGTTTCCTTTACCTTGTTCTTTCTCTGCTTCTGTAAGTAATCATATTAACCACTTTTGGTCAATCTTTCTATTGCTTCTTTTGGCAATCCTTTTTTTGTTGTTGTTTTTCCCATTTTAATTTTATCTCTCCCTCCCACTCATAAGGAAGGTATTATATTGAAACATTATTTGCACCATGCTTTTTCATTTAGTTGTTTTCCTTGAGATCACTCTGTATGAGAGATCTAGAGCTTTTCCTCATTGCCTTGAATGGATGAATCACAGTTTATTTGCTTTTACAATTGATGGCATGATATCCTCATGCTTGGGTTATTTTCTATTTTACAAAGTGTATTTTGGGAAATACTACAGATGGGATTTCTGAATCAACAGTAAACATATTTGTAACTTTGCCACAATTTTTAATTGTGGAGACTTTATAACATTTAATATCTGTTAGGGCTAGACAACCTCCCTCCTCATCCAGTTACTGCACTTTTTCTAGCTATTTTTGCTATTTATTTTTCAACCTTGAACTCTTTATTCAACCTTTGAAAGACATGTGGATTGTTTTTAGTTTTTGGCTATTGGATAATGTCTCTGTTACTTTTTTCGTTTCCTTGGCCAAAAATTTAGTATATGAAAATGATAGCATCTCAGTCAGATCAGTGAGAAAAAGATGGACTTTTTAATAAATAGTGTTGGAACAACCAGATAGCCATATGGAGAAAGATAAAACTAGATGTGTTCCTCACATGATATACTAGAACAAATTCCAAATTCCGGGTAACTTCTAAATATAAAAAATAAAATCATGCAAGCACTTAGGAGTGGAGGAAACTCTCCTGTATATGATTCAAAACTGAGAAACAATTAAAAAATCTTAATACACTGACATGGCAGAAAACCTCATAAGCAGGATTAAAATACTCTGACAAATTTTGGAAAAAACATGCAGCCTATCATAGCTAAAGGACTAAAAGTATTTATTTGTAAAGAACTTCAAAAAATTAGGAAGATGTAATAACTAAATAAAGAGCAAAGGATATGAACAGACAGTTAAAAGAAAACTAAATACAAATGGCCCTTTATCATATGAAAATATACTTAATTCTCAAAAAAATTAAACTGTAATGAGATATCAGATTGTCAAGAATCCAGAAGTTTAATATTTGTTGCTGGCAGAGCTTCAAGAAAACAAATACTTTTAGACATTGCCTATGAGTTCAAATTCACCAGTGCCTATATGAGAGTTGTGTTGGCGGTAATGGTTAAAAGCATGGACCTTATATTGAGATGGACCTTAGCTCTTACTAGCCATGTGACCTTGCACAAGATCCTTATCCTCCCTCAGTTTTAGTCTTTTCATCAATGAAATGGGCAATCATAAAAATATTTATCTTGGGTGATTGCTGTGAGAATCAAATGATATAAGCAAACACTCAGTTTACTGTATTATCTATATTTTTTTCAACTTTATTTCTTTTAAATGTTGGGTGATAATTTTTAAGGGATTAGGAAATGTAGAGTAAGCCATTAACTGCAGATCAAAGGGACAAAATGATATTTTGAGTCTGAGACTGGGAAAGTACAAGCCAATGTCTTTTGCATGTGTAAGTTACTGGGGTTGGAAGATTGGAGTGTGGAAATGGAGCTCTCTACTGAGGCAGTACAGTAGAACTCCCAGTGAGCTTTTTTTTAAAAAAACAAGGAACACCCTCCTGCACAACCCCTGAGTCTGATGCTTACCTACTGGAATAGATGGTGAGGAATCTGGGCAGAAGAGAAGGGTGAACAGGTGCCAAGTGGAGGAGAGAGACTTCCAGATACTTGGTTTCGGAGTTAGGTCTATTCCAAGTCATATATTTTCTTAAATTTTCTGAGTTAACTCTCAGTGAAGTCTCTGTTACTTGCAATGAAAATATTCCTTCTAATTGCATCCGTTCTCCATTCATAGTTAATTATAGAGCCTTGCTACTGAAAGTCTACGGACAGGCAAGATCAGCTTTACTAAAGATTGTTAGAAATTCTGATTCTCTAGTCCCACCCCCAAGCCTACTGAATTAGAATCTGCCTATAAGCACGCTCTCCAAGAGACTTCTATGCACATTAAATCATATGAGAGGCATTTCATAGCCAATACTCTTATAGTAAACCTGTCTGGGGGCAGGGGGTAAAGTAAACAAGGGGGAGGGGAGCAGGAGAGAGATTCACTTATGTTAAACACTGTATACATATTATGCACTAAATATCTTACATTTAGGAGATAGACTCGGATCTATACATTTCATAGAGGTGGAAACCAAGGCAAAAGGAAGATTTTTTCCCCCTAAAATAGAATGGCATTGTGCAATTGAGAAATTACTATGAGATGACCATTAGATGTTTCTTTAATGATAAAGATTGAATTTTTTTGGAGTATACTCCTTGCTATAATTCTGTTACAGATAATCAGATTTAAAATGTACAAAAGATCTGAATAGACTTTTCTCAAAAAGAAGACATGCAAATGTCCCAGAGGTATATGAAAAAATGTTCAACATCACTAATTATCAGAGAAATACAAATCAAAACTATAATGAGATATCATCTCACCTAGTGAAAATTTTCATGCGTGTCCATGTGAAGAGACCACCAAACAGGCTTTGTGTGAGCAACATGGCTGTTTATTTCACCTGGGTGCAGGCGGGGTGAGTCCGAAAAGAGAGTCAGCGAAGGGAGATAGGGGTGGGGCCATTTTATAGGATTTGGGTAGGTAAAGGAAAATTACAGTCAAAGGGGGGTTCTCTGGCGGGCAGGAGTGGGGGTCGCAAGGTGTTCAGTGGGGGTGCTTTTTGAGCCAGGATGAGCCAGGAAAAGGACTTTCACAAGGTAATGTCATCACTTAAGGCAAGGATCGGCCATTTACACTTTTTTTGTGGTGGAATGTCATCAGTTAAGGTGGGGCAGGGCATATTCACTTCTTTTATGATTCTTCAGTTACTTCAGGCCATCTGGGCATATACGTGCAAGTCACAGGGGATGCGATGGCTTGGCTTGGGCTCAGAGGCCTGACATTTCTGCCTTCTTATATTAATAAGAAAAATAAAACAAAATAGTGTTGAAGTGTTGGGGTGGCGAAAATTTTTGGGGGGTGGTATGGAGAGAGAATGGGCGATGTTTCTCAGGGTTGCTTCAAGCAGGATTAGGGGCGGTGTGGGAACCTAGAGTGGGAGAGATTAAGCTGAAGGGAGGTCTTGTGGTAAGGGGTGATATTGTGGGGATATTAGAAGAAACATTTGTCTTATAGAATGATTGGTGATGGCCTGGATACGGTTTTGGATGAATTGAGAAATTAAATGGAATAACAGAAGGAGAAAAACAGGTATAAAAGGTCTAAGAATTGGGACGACTCAGGATATCTGATTAGAGAGTGCCTAAGGAGATTCAGCATAGTCCTGCCCTCAAAGATTATTTATTTACTTCAAGAGTTAAGAGTGGCAGTTTGGGGATAGCACCAGGAGATATCAGCTGTGATGGCTTGGAAAAACAGTGTAAACCGGCAGTGTAAACAAGAGCAGGGCGTGTATGAGTAGTTGAGAACGGTGAATAGGAGTATGACTAGACAGAAGATAGTAGGGATGACAAGTTTTTTGGGGCACAGTCTAAGTTGGTCTGGTGTCTGGAATGAGACTGGGGCCTAATAAAAAGGAGCATCTATACAGGAGCTTAAATGGGCTGTACCCTGTAGCATTCCGAGGACAGGCCTGAATTCTGAGAAGGGAAAGTGGTAAAAGTATTGTCCAGTCCTTTTTAAGTTGGTGGCTGAGCTTGGTGAGGTGTATTTTTAAAAGACCTTTAGTCCATTCTACTTTTCTTGAAGATGGAGGACCTTAAGGGATATAAAGGTTTCACAGAATACTAAGAGCCTGAAAAACTGCTTGGCTGATTTGACTAATAAAGGCTCACCTGTTATCAGACTGTATTGAGGTGGGAAGGCTAAACTGGGGAATTATGTCTGACAGAACGGAAGAAATGACTGCGGTGGCCATCTCAGACCCTGTAGGAAAGGCCTCTACCTATCCAGTGAAAGTATCTACCTAGATTAAAAGGTATTTTAGTTACCTGACTCAGGGCATGTTGAGTAAAGCTAATTTGCCAGTCCTGGGTGGGGCAAATCCTTGAGCTTGATGTGTAGGGAAGGGAGGGGGCCTGAATAATCCCTGAGGAGTAGTAGAATAGCAGATGGAACACTGAGAAGTTATTTCCTTGAGGATAGATTTCCACGATGGAAAGGAAATGAGAGGTTCTAAGAGGCGGGCTAGTGGCTTGTACTATATAGCATAACCTGCCTTTGCTGGTGTGTGGTGATTAGGCCTGGTGGAACCGCCATCAATAAATCAAGCATGATCAGGGTGAGGAACAGGAAAGAAGCAAATTTGGGGAAATGGGGTGAATGTAAGGTGGATCAGAGAGATACAGTCATGGGGGTCAGGTGTGGTATCAGGAATAATGTGGGAGGCTGGATTGAAGTCTGGGCCAGGAACAACAGTAATTGTGGGAGACTCAACAAAGAGTGAGTATAGCTGAAGGAGCCAGGAAGCAGAAAGTATATGCGTCAGGTATGAGGAAGAAAATAGATTTTGGAAGTTATGAGAACTGTAGAGAGTGAGTTGAGCATAGTTTGTGATTTTGAGGGCCTCTAAAAGTATTAATGCAGTGGCAGCCACTGCATGCAGACATGAGGGCTAGGCTAAAACAGTAAGGTCGGCCGGGCGCGGTGGCTCACGCCTGTAATCCCAGCACTTTGGGAGGCCGAGGCGGGCGGATCACGAGGTCAGGAGATCGAGACCATCCTGGCTAACAAGGTGAAACCCCGTCTCTACTAAAAATACAAAAAATTAGCCGGGCGTGGTAGCGGGCGCCTGTAGTCCCAGCTACTCGGGAGGCTGAGGCAGGAGAATGGCGTGAACCCGGGAGGCGGAGCTTGCAGTGAGCCGAGATCGCGCCACTGCACTCCAGCCTGGGCGACAGAGCGAGACTCCGTCTCAAAAAAAAAAAAAAAAAAAAACAAAAAACAAAAAACAGTAAGGTCAAGTTGTTTGGACAGAAAGGCTACAGGGTGTGGTCCTGGCTCTTGTGTAAGAATTCTGACCACACTAACCATGCCTAGGAAGGAAAGGAGTTGTTGTTTTGTAGAAGGTGCTGGGGTTTGAGAGATCAGTCGGATGCAATTGGCAGGGAGAGCACGTGTGTTTTTATGAGAATTATGCCAAGATAGGTAACAGATGAGGAAGAAATTTGGGCTTGATTGAAGTAATGGGGGCTATCTGTGAAGCTTTGTGGCAGTGCAGCCTAGGTAATTTGCTGAGCTTGTTGGCTGTCAGGGTCAGTCCAAGTGAAAGTGAAGAGAGGCTGGGATTAAGGGTGCAAAGGAATAGTAAAGAAAGCATATTTGAGATCTAGAACAGAATAATGGGTTGTAGAGGCAGGTATTGAGGATAGGAGAGTATATGGGTTTGGCACCACAGGGTGGATAGGCAAAACAATTTGGTTGATTAGGCACAGATCCTGAACTAACTTGTAAGGCTTGTCTGGTTTTAGGACAGGTAAAATGGGGGAATTGTAAGGAGAGTTTATAGGCTTTATAAAGGCCATGCTGTAGCAGGCTAGTGATAACAGGCTTTAATCTTTTTAAAGCATGCTGCAGGATGGGATATTGGCGTTGAGTGGGGTAAGGGTGATTAGGTTTTAATGAGATGGTAAGGGGTGCATGATCATGCCAAGGAGGGAGTAGAGGTATCTTATACTTGTGAATTAAGGTGGGGGGATACAAGAGGAGGATGCAAAGGAGGCTTTGGATTGGGAAGAAGGGTGGCGATGAGATATAGCTGTAGTCCAGGAATAGTCAGGGAAGCAGATAATTTAGTTAAAGTGTCTCAGCCTAATAAGGGAACTGGGCAGGTGGGGATAACTAAAAAGGAGTGCTTAAAAGAGTACTGTCTAAGTTGGCACCAGAGTTGGGGAGTTTTAAGAGGTTTAGAAGCCTGGCTGTCAATACCCACAACAGTTATGGAGGCAAGGGAAACAGGCCCTTGAAAAGAAGGTAATGTGGAGTGGGTAGCCTCTGTACTGATTAAGAAGGGGACGGGGCTTACCTTCCATTGTGAGAGTTACCCGAAGCTTGGCGTCCGTGATGGTCTAGGGGGCTTCCAAGGCGATCGGGCAGTGTCAGTCTTCAGCCGCTAAGCCGAGAAGATCTGGGAAGGAGTCAGACAGAGAGCCTTGGGCCAGAGTTCCAGGGGCTCTGGGAGTGGCTGCCAGGTGAGTTGAACAGTCCGATTTTCAGTGGGGTCCCACACAGATGGGACGTGGCTTAGGAGGAATCCTGGGCTGCGGGCATTCCTTGGCCCAGTGGCCAAATATCTGGCACATGTAGCAAGCTCCTGTGGGAGGAGGTTCTGGAGGAATGCCTGGCTGCTGCAGTTCAGGCGTTTGGAAGTTCTTGTGTGCTGGAGATGTGGCTGGGGTTTGTCTCACAGTGGAGGCAAGGAATTGCAACTTTTTTCTATTATTGTTCACCTTGAAGGCGAGGTTAATTAAATCCTGTTGTGGGGTTTGAGGGCTGGAATTTAATTTTTGGAGTTTTATTTAATGTCGGGAGCAGATTGGGTAATAAAATGTATTTTGAGAATAAGACGGCCTTTTGACCTTTTAGGGTCTAGGGCTGTAAAGCGTCTCAGGGTTGCTGCCAAACAAGTCATGAGCTGGGCTGGATTTTTATATTTGTTGAAAAAGTGCCTAAATGCTGTCTGATTTGGGATAAAGAAAAAGGAGCATTAACCTTGACTATGCCTTTAGCTCCAGCCACCTTTTTAAGAGTAAATTGCTGGGCAGGATGGGGAGGGCTAGTCAGGGAACAAAACTGTAAGCTGGACCAGGTGTGAGGAGGGGAGGTGATAAAAAGATTATAGGGTGGAGGAGCAGATGCTGAGGAAGAATTGGGACCTAGCTCGGCCTGGCAAGGAGCAGCCTGGGGAGGAAGGGAGAGGTCAGATGGGTCTGTAGAAAAGGAAGATTAGAAAGACTCAGTGATGCTTGGGGTTGGTACTGAGGGGACAGGCGGGAGGGAAAGAAGGAAGATTTGGGACGAGTTGCACTGGGCACAGAGACTAGGAAGGGACTGACGTGTAAAAGAATGCCTGGACGTCAGGCACCTCAGACCGTTTGCCTATTTTACGACAAGAATTATTTAGATCTTGCAGGATGGAAAAATTCAAAGTGCCATTTTCTGGCTATTTGGAACTACTGTCGAGTTTGTATTGGGGTCAAGTGGCATTGCAGAAGAAAATAAGGCATTTAGGTTTTAGGTCAGGTGTGAGTTGAAGAGGTTTTAAGTTTTTGAGAACAGAGGCCAAGGGAGTAGAAGGAGGAATGGAGGGTGGAAGGTTGCCCATAGTGAAGGAAGCAAGCCTAGAGAAAAGAGGGAGTAGAGAAATGGAGGGAAGGGGTTCGGGGGTTCTTACCTTCCAGAAAAGTAGGAAAAGGGGTTGGGGTGCAGAGATAAGAGGTTGGGGCATGGAAATAAGGGATGGGGCACAGAAATAAGGGATGGGGTGCAGAAATAAGGGGTCGGGGCATGGAAATAAGGGGTCAGGGCACGGAAATAAAGGGTCGGGGCACAGAAATAAGGGGTTGGGGCACGGAAATAAGGGATTGGGGCACAGAGATAAGGGATTGGGGCGCAGAGATAAGAGGTCGGGGCATGGAAATAAGGGATTGGGGTGCAGAGATATAAGAGGTTGGGGCATGGAAATAAGGGATTGGGGCGCAGAGATACGAGGTTGGGGTAATTGCCCCTCTAGAAAAGCAGGACTTGCCGCTAAGAGTGAAGGAGAAGGGGTTGAGGGGTACTTGCCCCTCCCGCAGAAAAGCAGAGAAGGGGTAGAGACAAGGAGAGAAGGGATTGGGGTACTTGCCCCTTTCCCAGAAAAGCAGGACTTGCCACTAAGGGTGAAGGACCAAGGCAGGCATCCCTGGGTGGTCTGACACCTTTGAAACGTGGGTGAATAATCAGAGAGGCGTCCCTGCAATGATTAAACACCAAGGGAAGGCTGCCTTCCCAGTCTGTGACCGGCGCCAGAGTTTTGGGTCCACGGATAAAACGTGTCGCCTTTGTCTCTCCCAGAAAATGAAAGGAATTGAAATTAAGAGAAGGGAGAGATTGAAGAGTGGAAAGGAGAAAGTGGTTGAGGGACAGTGATGAGAGAGGTTGGAGAAGAGAATAAGAAGAGGCCGCTTACCTGATTTAAAATTGGTGAGATGTTCCTTGGGCTGGTCAGTCTGAGGACCTGAGGTTGTAGGTGGATCTTTCTCATGGAGCAAAGAACAGGAGGACAGGGGATTGATCTCCCAAGGGAGGTCCCCCCATCCGAGTCACAGCACCAAATTTCATGTGCGTCCGTTTGAAGAGACCACCAAACAGGCTTTGTGTGAGCAACATGGCTGCTTATTTCACCTGGGTGCAGGCGGGCTGAGTCTGAAAAGAGAGTTAGCGAAGGGAGATATGGGTGGGGCCGTTTTATAGGATTTGAGTAGGTAAAGGAAAATTACAGTCAAAGGGGGGTTCTCTGGCGGGCAGGAGTGGGGGTCGCAAGGTGTTCAGTGGGGGTGCTTTTTGAGCCAGGATGAGCCAGGAAAAGGACTTTCACAAGGTAATGCCATCATTTAAGGCAAGGATCGGCCATTTACACTTCTTTTGTGGTGGAATGTCATCAGTTAAGGTGGGGCAGGGCATATTCACTTCTTTTATGATTCTTCAGTTACTTCAGGCCATCTGGGCATATACGTGCAAGTCACAGGGGATGCGATGGCTTGGCTTGGGCTCAGAGGCCTGACAAAAATGACTTTTACAAAAAAGACAGGCAATAATGGATGCTGCCGAAGACATGGAGAAAGGGGAACTCTTCCTACAGTGTAACTGAGAATGTACATTCACAAAGCTATTATGGAAAACAGTATGGAGGTTCCTCCAAAAACTAAAAATAGAACTACTGTATGATCCAGCAATTCCACTGCTGTATGTCCAAAAGAAAGGAGATCATAATATTTAAGAGCTACCTGTACTTTCAGGTTTATTGCAGCACTATTCACAATAGCCAAGATATGGAATCAACGTAAATGTCCACTGATGAATGGATAAAGAAAATGTGCACATGTACCCACAGGGATATTATTCAGCCATAAAAAAGAATGAAATCTTGTCATTTGCAACAACCCAGATGGCACTGGAAGACATTATGTTAAGTGAAATAAGCCAGACACAGAAAGACAAATTTTGCATGTTCTCATATTTGGGAGCTAAAAAAATCTAAAAAATAAATTGATCTCGTGGAGATAGAGAGTAGAATAATGGTTAGAAGAGGCTGGGAAAGATAGTGGGTAAGGGGTGGGTGGGGGTGGGGAAAGATAAAGAAGAGTTGGCTAGTGGTTAAAAAAATAGGAAGAAAGGATAAGATCTAATGTTCAGTAGCATGATAAGGTGACTGTAGTTAATAATAATTTATTGTATATTTCAACATAACTAAAACAGTGGAATTGGAATATTCCTAGCACAAAAAATGATAAATACCTGAGATGATGGATATCCTAATTACCCTCATTTGATAATTAACATTGTATGCTTGTATCAAAATTTCACATGTACTCCTAAATATGTACAACTATTAGGTATCAATAAAACTTTTAATTTTTTTTTAAATT
The DNA here is from genome assembly GCF_000001405.40 of Homo sapiens. Taxonomy (NCBI): domain Eukaryota; kingdom Metazoa; phylum Chordata; class Mammalia; order Primates; family Hominidae; genus Homo; species Homo sapiens. The sequence goes on along the minus strand of NC_000007.14, from coordinate 122,815,865 downwards.
AACCTTCGAGAAAGCAGAACTTCCTTGTCTTTTCTTTCTGCTAATTTGGTTAATTCTTTAGCAAAATGATTTCAGTTGGAGCTGCTTTCTGACAGTAAAATGGAAACAACTTCTTCTATCAGTGACTGCTAGTTTAGTGGTAATAATGGATGTGGCTTTATAATGATGTAGAAATTTATATGGATTTATGCTCTATCAGCTTTGTCGATGTCTAACGTTTCGCTGCAATATATTTTGAATTTTTTTTGTATTTCATTATTACCCATGGATTTTTTTTTTCCTCCAGGTCTATTGCTATTGTGTTTCTGTTTTTCCCTCTTAGAGCATGTCTGCCTTCTTGAGTGAGACAGGGAAAACTTATACTTGTTTTCATTGACTTCTAAATGAGGGTTAATGTTTTGATCTTTTGTTACAAATTGTGGATGAACTTTTCTGAGGTAAGGCTTTGTGAAATTAGCTGTTATCGGCTTTTCCAGATGTGGGATAAAAGCAGTATCATTTGAATAACTTTATAGCTCTTGAGTATTCCTTGGGACCTAGGCACATTTCTTGCCAGAAGCAAATTAGCTAACATTTTTGTTTTGGTTAGGAGTGCATCTCTAGTAGATGAGCTTTGCAGACTGACTTAACAGTTTAACTAGAGGAAACAAACCTTACATTATGTGTAGAATGAAATTTTAATGATGTGCAGGAGTAACACGCTCAAACCACTTTCTTTATTGTAGCTATGTTGCAGTCTATATGGAAGTCTCTGTTTTGTTAAACCTCTTTTCTTTAGATCTTAACTCCTTCTTGGCATTGGCATATAAAACTGCATGCTGCTGCTTGTTTTTGTTTTTAGCCTTTCTGCCTTCTAAGTTGGGTTCTTTGTGCAAGAGTTCTGGGGCCGACCTAGGAATAATTCCACACAGCTTGTTATAGTAAACAGAGCCTGAATCCAAATTGTCTAAAGGAAGTTTCTACTTACCCAGAATATGGCAAATTTAATGAAACAATGTACATTCCATTTGATGGTTGACATCATAGTTTCTTGATTCATAGTAATTCTTCTCAATAAAATAGCGAAATGCTGTTTATTTTCAATTCCATGTAATGAAAACAACGGATTCAATTTAATGTATGTGTTAGATTAGGGGTTAGCAAATCTTTTTTTGTAAAGGGCCACATGGTAAATATTTTATGCTTTATGGATCAGATTGTCTCTGTCTTGACAGTTCAACTCTGCTGTTGTAGTACAAAAGCAGCAATAAATTGTACACAAATGAATGAGTACGGCTGTGTTCCAATAAAACTTAGTTTATAGACACTACAATTTTAATTTCTTATAATTTTGACATGTCATGAATAATTATCTTTTTTCTTTTTAGCCATTTAAACATGTGAAGATATTCTTAGCTTTCAGGACACACAAAACCAGTTTGCTGACCTCCAGAATATAGAATTTATTATTTTTACCAACCATGTTATGGATCTAGTGGTGTGATTCAGATGCTTCTCTGAGTAATCCATTTGATGTATCAAAAATCTGTTTGTTTTGAGCTTCACTAAGTTAAGAAGATATCATGTCATCATTTTGCTTAAGTGGTCTGCTTAGTATAAGTCTCCTTAATTTGGTTATTTCTGTTAAGATTTTACTAGTCACGTTATTACCATCAAAACCTCTGCTTGATTTTTTTTTTTCCCTTCCAAATTCTTACCATGTTATCATATAGGAACCAGAATAGCTTGGTTTAGTTAAGAACTTTGAAGTCAGCTTCCACATACCCAGGTATGCTATCTGGGCCAAGTTACTGAAATTTTTCTCAGACTCAGTTTACTTAGCTATAAAATGGGGATAACATGACTAGCTTTGCCCTTACGTCCTTGTATACACATTGACGAAGTAATTTTTAAATCAAAGAATTGAATCTAGAATGGATAGTCAATATTACCTTAAAACTTTCACTCAGCCCTCACATCTCTCTGGTTAACATTTTATGGGACTTATTTATTTGTTCAGCATTAATTTAAGGGAAGATATTTGAAAAAATGGGAAGTTAGTACATATATGGTTTAAAAATAAATATAATCTATTCATTAAGTATTTTCCAATATCCACTGTCTTTTATTGTGCTCTACTAAAAATGATGTTACCATATAAAGCCTCAAAAAATAATTGGGATAAGGCTTTTCCTTAGAATAATGCGGTTTTTATGCAATGAAATTGTCAGAATGCCCCTTTGCAGCCTCCATGCATTTCCAGGCGTTTACTTAAGTCCAACTTGATAATAAAGTTCTGCTTTTAAGAACATTTCTGCATTTGAAAGACTCAGCATAAAAAAGTGAGGTAATTTACGAGTGACAGTAGTTTTGAATGGTTTTTGACTAGAGAACTATAAACACTCCGTTGATGGTAATAAACAATTTGAAATGATGAGTTATGTAATTTCACAGTAACGTTTTAGCAAAGAGACTTAAATGTAATTATTACAAATTAGCATAATTAAAAAATATAATTACTGTAGGTTGTTCATATAATTAAATCTAAAAATTGGACTTGTATAGAAAATTAAAGTGTTTGTTCCTTTTCATGATTTTGCTTTAAGTATGTTTTCTTAATTGGGAGTGGGAAAGAAGAAAAATATGTAAAATGTAGGTATTGACTTACTTCTTGCAGGGAGGGTCAAAGAAGCTTGGTACTGATGGACATAATTAGCTTGCAGTTTTCTCTAGGATAATAACACCAACTTTTTAAAAACTTTTTTTTCCGTACCTGTGCTGCTTTGAAATCTGATTGAGCAGAGGAAGAAGAATGGAAAGTGATAGGGCCTCAGTCCTGTTATTGAGGCTTTTCCTGCTGTGTCCCATATTGGATATATCACCAAATAATCTGATTACTAGATTTTGGGGTCCAAGGCCCAATTGGCAAACAGCCCATAGAGAATGAACTAAAAACATCCGATGTGTTTTCAGTGTGCATCAAACAGTAATGTTGGTTCTGTAGAGTAAGTTTGTACTAGTGCACTGTAGTTACTTTAAAAATGGCTGTAATGGTAGTAATAGAACTAGGTTTTATCTTTAGCATCTGGTCTGCCATAATACCTGGAAGGTGGTAGGGGCTGTATTATTTGTTGAATGAATAACCATCATGTGTTGGGAGCACGGTGGAGAGAGTCTGAAGATAAATAAGACATTGGTCCTATCATAAAGAAAGCAAACTCTCCTCTCCCCCTGTCCCACCAATATACACACATTTTTTAGGAGAAAAAATAGAAGACTTATTATTTGAAAAATGAATTCCAGTACCTATTTTTGAAAATAAAATTCAAGCCATTACCTAGGAATTCTGTTCGATCCTACAGTTATTCCCACCTAATTCATGACAGGTCCTGGGCTAGCTGCTGGGCCAGAGCCTCTACTTTCTTTTTTTCTTTCTTTCTTTGCTTGCTCTCTCTCTCTCTCTCTTTTTTTTTTTTCCAAACAAGTGTTTTTAATGGTTATGATTTCCACCTTAAAAAGACATTTAAATTTTTTTATATTTGTTTTCTACATTTATCATCTAATAGACTTTTTAGCTTTAGCATTGTTCAAAGTTTTACAACATTATAGCTAACCAGAATAAGTGCTACTTATTTTTTTTTACTTCAGTTTTCTATCAATGGGTCATGAAACTCTTTTAGAACAGTTCTTTACCAACATATATAACCTCCATGAATATACTAATTTTCCATCTTATAGATGGGGAATTGATTTGCTTCAGGAATCCCTGGGGAAGACATTAGGACAAGTAGAATCTTTAGTCCTTTGGGACTTCTATCTGCTAAGTTCTATGAAAGGAAATATAGAGGAGTGAAAAAAAAAAATAGGTGAATTCCCAGATTAACTGAGGACTGAGAATACTGAAATTCTAAAGGAGGAAGAGAACAGTAAATAAGTGATTGAGTGGATAATTAAATGAAAGAGAGTTTCTTCCACTTAGCAAATGATCTGTCTAATCAGTAGTTCTGTTTAGCACAGTGTCATGTAATAAAATGTCCTTGAAAAAAACTGATTCTTTATCTCCGTGTCTAAGAAGCCACTTTTATCTGGGAAGGATATCAAAGAAATATGTTGACGTACTTAGGTAACTATGACATAGGAGAACAAGGTACTTTTATCTAATATGCACCAAAGACCATAATTTGTTTTTAAAAATTACCATTATACATGTCTGTCGTCCCTTTTTTTGTTTTAAAATATTCAGATTTAATAGCTATATTATAGATACATGGGTTTTCAATTATTGGTGACTGAAAACCTTTCTGCTGGCAGGTATATTATCTTAATCTTAGTTAAATACTAAAATGCAAATAGTTTAAATTACTTTAAAAATAAATGGCATAATATGTAAAAACATGAAAAATTATTTTGAAAGTCCAAAATTATCCAGATATTCAATTTACTAGAAGCAGCTACATTTTGGACTCTAGAAAATCATGCTAGATGTTCATCAACATATCCAAAGATAATTTTATAGCTGTGTTATTTTGCTGATTAGGAAATAGGGACAGAAAAGTTAATCACCCCTCCAGATTAACTTGGAAGGCAGCCATATGCTACTTACTATCTAAAGGACCTTTGTAATTTATTTGTCCTTACTTTTCTCATCAGCTGAATGGGAAAGCAATCATTTACAGGGTGTTACTAGAAGAATTGAATGAGATTATATGGGTAGCACATTGCCTGTGGACAGCATATGTTCAGAAAATGGTGGTTCATTTGCCTATCTTGTCAAAGTTAAAAATAGCTATTATTTATTAGAAAATGCTTTTCTTCCCTCATTCCATGTGTTTATCAGAACGTGACATACTCTAGTTTACCAAAGGGATCTTGCTTTCATATGTAGTTTATACAAGCACTAGAATATATTAGTTGCCAACATCTAACACATTAACAGAAGTAGGAGGCAAGATGGATACAAACAGCTAAATCAGTATTAAGCAATATTTTTTTAGGCTGGGCATGGTGGCTCATTCCCATAATCCCAGAACTTTGAGAGGCCAGGGCAGGAGAATCACTTGAAGCCAGGAGTTTGATACCAGCCTAGGCAACATAGTGAGACCTCATCTCTATCAAAAAATTTTTAAAAATTAGCCAGGCACTGTGGTGTGTGCCTGTAGTCCCAGCTACTCATGAAGCTGAGGCAGAAGGATCACTTGAGCTAAAAAAGCAAATTCCTGAGCCCCAGACCTATCTAACAATATAGATAAAATCCTGCGAATAAATGGTTATATTGCTTTCTTAAACATTATTACATTATTACATAGCCTGTTGGGAATCAGCTCCTGGAATCTACGTTTTAAATAGGACTTAAGGACTTAAGGTGATTCTTTTTACTTTAAAGTTTGAGAATCCCTGATTACTGTGGTCTCCAAAATTCCTCAACCAGTTTCTTGAGAATTTCATAGAGAAATGACAAGTTGTGCTATGAGCAATATAAAAATCATACATATGACCTGGAAGACATACACCAGTTTCACCTTCTGGTCTGAGACCATGACAAATTCTGTGTGCACTAAATGCAAATGGATCTTCCAAGGGGTGGAAGTAGGTCAATAGGAGCCACAAGCTTCCTTATTTACCTCCTTACTTACCTTCCCACTTACTAGGGAATCTGAAGAGTTCTGGGGAAGGAAGAAATCATATGCTTCTTCCTAAATTATTTTTAGAGGTGAAGCAAAGCCATTACTTGGTACAACATTTTCCAAACCTAGTTTCAAGGACAGACGGATGCTAGATGTAAACTTACTTGGGCAAAAGCTAGAGTAAACAAATTTAATCAGGTCCTCTACTGCAAGGTATAGCTGAGATCTCAGAGCTTGGGTCTTCAAGTAGAATACACCATGAACTGTTTTCCAGCTCATTTGACATAGAACATGTGTGCATATGTGTATATGTGTGTAATAACCATTAGCACCTGCCATTAGTACCTTTGAATGACTGAAATTTTGGAAATTCTGGCTTAGAGGTTGACACGTGGAAAGACGAGAGAATCTGTTGTCTTTAGAGTTGTATATATAGGCAACAAGCTCTTACCCTATGAGGGTGGACTGGACACTTGCATGAACTTATACATTCCAGGTTCTGTATATCCCGAGAATAACAAGACAGGAGGAGACATTATTTCCCACAGGAGTTGTTAGTATTTGACTTCTTATAATTAGTCTTTCCTTGGACCATTATAAAATTGCCAAATTAGACCAAAATATTTAACTGGGGAACATCATCTTGAATTCCTAGTATGAGGCAGTCTTTTTTTTTTTTTTTTGAGACAGTGTCTCTCTCTATTGCCCAGGCTGGAGTGCAATGGCACGATCTCAGCGCACTGCAACGTCTGCTTCCCGGGTTCAAGCAATTCTCTGCCTCAGCCTCCCGAGTAGCTGGGATTACAGGCACCCACCACCATGCCTGCCTAAATTTTTTTTTTCTTTTTTTTTTTTTTAGTAGAGATGGGGTTTCACCATCTTGGCCAGGCTGGTCTTGAACTCTTGATCTCATGATCCACCCGCCTCGGCCTCCCAAAGTGCTGGGATTATAGGCGTGAGCCACTGCGCCCGGCTGAGGCAGTCTATGGATGATTGTAGATTTAAAGAGATACCATATCACAAAGCTGATTCACACTAGGAGGTGAGGGAGCACACTTTTGTCTTAGACCCTTGCCATATTTTTAACTTTGCCATTTTGGTATTTTAAAACATTGTTATATGAAACAATATTTATACAATGTATATACAGAAAACCACATGAAGCAGATATGAAGCATAATGAGTTACTAAAGGCAAACATCCTTGTTTTGGTAACAAGGGGATACAGAGCCTTGCCAAGTACTCCAGGAGCCTGTAAGTGTCCCCTCCTGTTAAGAATATAAGGAACATATAGTCCTACATTTAATGAAAATTATTAGTATGACAATCTGAACTTTTATATACATACATATATCATGCATATTTACCATACATATATAAAATGAAAGATAAATAAGCTTATATTTCCTAGATCTTTTCTTTTTGTACTGAAAATCTGTAGAAACAGTAACCAATCTAGTGATAGTGAGCATTCCTAGGACCAAGATAAAAGTCCTGAAATAAGGCTTTCCAGAAATTCATTCAATATCTTGGTTGTATTGAAGCAGAACATTATTGTGGCAACTGCTGGGATTTCAGAAAAAGCCATAAGGGTACTATACCTCTGTTCAGAGATATCTGAACTGGATTTGTTTTACATTTACAAGGAAAACTTCAATTTATGTATAAGAAGTAGACAGTTTGACATCTAACTTCCTTGCCTCAAAGCAACACTTTTAAGTGTCTGTGTGGGCTGTCTTAGACCAAGCAAGTGGTTTATGTTTTATCACTCCAGCAGAAGGTAATGAAACTGTTATCTTGTGTATTAATGTTATACCACAGGACTTCATGTTCTTGATCAACAAAGTTGTCACAGTAGTTAAGATTAATAAGTGGCAGAGAATGTAACTGGGCTATACTTTGATATTGCAAAACCACATTTTACTTTCTTAATTCTAAATCACAAGGGTACGAACTGCAGAAATACTAATGTTGTAAAAACATGAACATAGAATGTTGCCAGGGAAGCAGTTTAACAACACACTGCACCATTAATACATATCAGAAAGCCCATATTTCCTAGCTTTTTTTTCTACAGAAGACACATAGAAGCAATAACCAATCTGGTAATCGTGAGCACTCCTAGTACCAAGACTTGACGTTCTGAAATACTGCTTTCCATAAATTTATTCAGTATATTAGTTGTATTGAAGTAGAATGTTATTGTGGCAAGTGCTGAGGCTTCAGAATATGTTGGAAGGGTACTGTGCCTCTGTTTAGAGCTATCTGAACTGGATTTGTTTTACATCTACAGTGAAAACTTTATATCTACGTCATTTGTTGAAGTCTTAATCCCTAGTACCTCAGAATGTAACCATATTTGGAGATAAGGTCTTTACAGAGGTGATTACATTAAAATGAGGCCTTTTTGGTGATCCCTAATCTGGTCTTACTGGTATCCTTCTAAGAAAAGGAAACTTGGGAAACAGACCACCTTCCCCCAATGCCCCCCATGCCAAGATTGTATGTGCACACAGAGGAAAGGCCATGTGAGGATATAGCAAGAGGGTATCCATTTGCAAGTCAGTGGAGGAGGCCTCAGAAGAAACCGGACCTGCCAACACTTTGATCTTGGACTTCCAGCCTCTAGAACTGTGAGGAAATAAATTTCTGTTGCTTAAGCCACCCAGTCTGTGGCATTTTGTTATATTAATAGCAACCCCAAAAGGAACAAACTTGGAAGGGGAGCCGCCTCCCGAGGCTGGGTTTCAGACCTCATTGTAGACATTATGATTGTGGCCTATTGGATGTCAGAGAAGTTTGCTGAGTTGTCCAGGCCAGAGTTGGTCCATACTTTCCAGTGGAGCAGAAAATTTCTCTCCAGATTATAGGCAACTTGAGGCTGGCAGGCCTGGAACACCTCTCATGGGTTCAGGTGGGCCCAGCCTGGTGGATGGACACATGGAGGGATTCAGGCACTGGGGATATGATCACTGGCTAAGTGATGTGAGTCTTGGAGCCTGCAGTGTCTGTGTTGGGAGGGCCATGGTGACATGTTCACTGGGCCAGAGTTGGGCTGGCTATGAACTTACCAAGGGTCTGTGGGTTGGGGCATACCGCTGGGGTAGGCCACCAGCACATGCCCCCTGCATGCACTGCTTGTAGCAGGGTGGCAGGAGCATAAAGAAGCAAATACAAATGTGCTGGAACGAGGAAAGAAAGCCCCTTCCTCTTGCTCTGTCCTTACAGTATCCCCTAATGACAAAACTTAGCATCATTTTCACTGCAAAGGAGGAATGCTTACTTCTAGTGTTCAGCTCTCTTTTTAGAAAATAAACAGTGGATTTGGTGCTAAGAGGCAATAGATTGATAGTTGTCACATGTATTCTCCCCTGTCCCATAGATTAACACAGTCTTTAAGGCTGTTTGGAAATCATGAAACAAAAACAAATTTTGCAACAACTTATTTTAGTTTTAATATAATCTGTCCTTAGATAATAAGCTAACAGATTTCTATATTTGAATATTATTAAGTAATCATAGAAGAAAAGATTACCTAAGTGGTAGGTCTGGGGGAAATTCTTAGCACTAACTTCATCACTCATGGTTTAGATAATCTGTATTATTTGTTGCAATTACTATGTTAGAATATTTCCTGGACTGCATTAATGTTAAGCTGTGAGAGAAAGATAAAATCATTCGGGTTGTTGTTAATAGATGGCAGGACTCTGATTGTCAATTTGTTTTTTAGACATCTTAAAATATTTAAGTCAGTGTTAAAGCAGCATTGGTGTTGTAAACCCATTAATTGTCCATGCCAATATAGTGAAGTAACTAAAGAGATAATTAATTGGGCAATAAATTGTAGATTCTGGCCCTTATTTCCCAATCACATTTCGTTAGATTTGTTTTTAGTTCTGTGGGTACAGTAGTAGAAAAAAATGACATAGATCAAATTATGATTATTACCAGTTCTAAACACTTTTATTTCATTGTAGAACTGAGATCATCACAATACTGATTTATTCATTCTAAAGTGAACACTAATCTTCCACATCCTCAGAGATATAAGGAAACATTTAGATAGTCAACTTTCCTAACTTGAATTTATAATTTTGTAAATTGCTTATGAATAGCTTCTAACAATGTGAGTCTCATCTATTGTGACTGCCACATTAAGAAAATCCAAAAGCCTCAAGAAATCAGGGCTAGTACTTCTTATTTATATTTTCAGAAATGATCATAAAACAAAGGTTTGCACATTCAGTGCTCTAATATAAATATTAATACATATAAAAATCCATACCTCCTACTTAACAGAGAAAGGGCTATTTTGTTGGCAAGTTTAAAAATATTTAAAACATCCATGAAGAGCTAATGTTACAGCTGTGTGCCTCATTTTGCTGCCCTATCCAAATTTAAGCATTCACAGGGCTGTAGCAAATTAAAGGTATCCATGTGCATTTTTTCTTCCTTTTGGGAGAGAAGTCTCTCTTGTGAGTTATAGGGCACGTATTTCCTGGTATCTAACTGGTGCCTTTGTGTATACTACCAGCATTGGCCTTTCACCAGCCCTTGACATTCAGAGACCCTCTGCTGTGGCTTCTCCTGATACCTGGTTGCTTGACTCATAACCAGGAATGGTGATTATGTGACATGTCTGAATTAAAGAGAAGGCAATTTTGGAAGGACCACAACTTAGGCTGTAAGCTGATAAGTATAGAGAGTTTTGATCTTTGGTTCCACTGTTAAAATTACTAGAACCTTACTCATCTGGACCTAAACTATCTAAAATATAAGGGAAGTAAACAATAAAAATAATTGAAGACCGGGTGTGGTGGCTCACTCCTGTAATCTCAGCACTTTGGGAGGCCAAGGCAGGCGGATCACTAGGTCAGGAGATTGAGACCATCCTGGCCAACATGCTGAAAACCCATCTCTACTAAAAATTCAAAAATTAGCTAGGCGTGGTGGCAAGTGCCTGTAGTCCCAGCTACTAGGGAGGCTGAGGCAGGAGAATCACTTGAACCCTGGAGGCAGAGGTTGCAGTGAGCCGAGATAGTGCCACTGCACTCCAGCCTGGCGACAGAGCAAGAATCCTTCTCAATAACAATAATAATAATAATAATGATTGAAAATGCTTTCAGCATTTATCAGGGTACCTTGCTGGGGGTTAGCTATGGGGTTACAAAGGTGATTCATGTGGCTCTTGTTCTTAAGAAACTTGTAGTTAATAAAGGAACACAAGATACATACACAATTATTATTAAATAATGTATCTCTAAATGAGTATAACAGAGTTCTCTCACTGAAGTACACAAGGTTGTGATAGATAAGAATTCTATTTACCAATCCCCAGAGCTTATTCATTGTTTCATGTACAATTTTAGTAAGCCTATTTAATTTTTAAGTATATGGTATTAGAAATAGCAAACAAATGAGGATAAGAATTTCTATAGGCAGCATAGTGAATTACCATGAAAAATGACAGTTGACTTCAAGGCAAGACATAGGAAATCTTACAGAGCATATAAGAATTTGAAAAGGATGGCAATCCAGCATCATTTGATATAGGAACACTGACCCTTTATGATGCATTGGGTCCTGAGGTGTCTCTGTATCACAATATTGAGTATAATTGCCATTCATAAGATAATTCCGCAGTTTAAGAAAGGCTTAAATTTCGCATCTTTTTCTTACACTACACACTCTAGTTCTACCAACATTCTTGACATTTCCTTAAAATGTCATTTAAGAAATTTTCTATTAAAAACAATAAATTAAATGATCTTCTGTCTTTAAACCAAACTGTCAGTGATTCTAAAATCATCAGCCATTCATTTGTATAGGATGTTAGAGAGCAGATGTTTAATTATATTGAGTATTTTCCTGAAAGAAAAATAAAATAACCTAAATGCACAGGTTATACCTGTGGCTGGAAAAATGCAACGTGCTAGTCCTCAGCAGTTGTATCTATTTGAAGTCATGACTGATAGCTAATGCCTTGTCTTGGCTTATAAGAAGTTGGTTTAAAATGAATTCATTAGTTTTCCCTTATGGAGAAATACTGGTTCTGCTAATGCCTTGGCACTGATGCGGGGAAAGGAAACTAAGTGGGCTAGGATTAAAGCTTCACCTCTAGACTTTTCTGAACAAACTAGAGTGCAGGTCAGTCAGGAACCAGAGATAAGAGAGCAGTGTGGTAGCTGGGAATGAGTGACCACAGTGAACTGGCCAAAGGAGAGCTGTCCCTTAAGCAAAAGCTTCAGAGTGTGCTTTGCAGTGTTTTTTTTTTTTTTTTTTTTTTTTCCATTCAAGCCTGGTTTTAAAAAGACAGGATAAGCAGCAGGTCAAAACTAGGGATCCTAAGTACAGGAATTCTCACTTTATTAAGTAACCCATCCCCTAGAGAAATTTGAATATAAGATGTGTATTAGGAAAACCAGGACTTAACAGGACTTAAGTGTAATCACTTTGGTTATTTTAAAAATGTTTTGATAGCTATCTGCATTTGACTTGTATCATGCTTAGTTGCAAAGTACTTGTTTTCTTCATTAAATTTTTATCACCACCGATCCCACAGACATACAAACTACCATCAAAGAATACTATAAATTTTTAAAATGAATCAAATGGATATCTGATTTCTTAAATGTTTTGGTTGAAGAGACCAATGATCAGAGGCATGAGCTGCCAAGCCACAAGCTCACCATCTAGTGGTGAAAGTTTCCTGTGATTTATGGCTTTGTCACATTTTCATGTGATTCTGATAGAAAACACCATAGAAAATGGCAAGCTCTGTGTCACAGAGGCAGCAATGTAGCGTTCTTTCAGACTCCAAAATGAGATTCCATCACAGAACATTCTCTCTTCTGTTCTTCCTCTTGCAGCAGCAGGGTGAGAATTTAGGGAGGTTTTGTTCTTGTTCCTAACTTCAAAGGGAAAAAATGAGTCTTTCTGAATTGTGATTTCCCTTTACAGAACAAATGCTGGCAACATTTACCTTTTTTCACTTAAGATTTTGCATTTTTTAAAGCAGCAGGACAGGGATTAAGTGGGTTTCTATGAGCAGCACTGAGTGTATTTCCAGTGTGGCTTGTTGAGTTCAAGGTTATAATTTTGAATGTTTTTTTCTGAGTTTATATATGTTGTGACAAAGGTAATAAGGGAGTTGGAGGAAGTGAAGAGGCCTGTTTTCTTAAAACACATACCTATGCATACAATAACAAACCTATATTGAGTTTTTCTTCCTTTAAATATAATTCATATTTTTTTAGAAAATGTGAAAATAAAACATTAAATACAAATAAAGTCATTTAAAATATATGAGTGGAGGTAATTGTTGTATTATGTGCATCCATATATGTCTTTTGTGCACATAAATTTGACTACAAAAATGGAATTGTGCTCTACGTTCCATTTGCTTTAATTCCTGTCCCTAATTGTTCTTCAGCAACATCAGTTTAATGGCTGTATATTATTCCATTGTATTTATGTGTAATTCTTTGGCTCTGTAGGTTTTTAGATTGCTGCTAATGGTGAAAGTAGACACGTGCTTTAAGAATTTTAAGAACAATAAGCTCATGTGTCAGTCATTGTGATACCAGCTATCTGGAAATGACAAGAGAGACATGATTTCTGAGCTCTTGGAACATAGTTCTGATGGGAGTGCTAGAGGGTAAGCATTGTTTAGTTGTTTAGAGGATAAACATCTCATAGATGAGATGGTCACAGTTTGAAGTGGATGATTGGATAGATCACACCTAGGGTGTATTATGGGCCTGTATGTGCTTGCCTACCTTAAATAAAGAAGTCCAAGAACGGATTTTTGGGGGCTGAGATCCAATGAGTGAGACTGACCAGCGATTACCGAAGAGTGGAGGTACACAGCATGTGACGCAGAGGGAACAGGAAGTGCATTAGGCAGGGCCTGAGGCAGGAAACAGCACAGCTTGTTCTAAGAAGGGAATAATCGTAGGTTCTCTGGTATTTCTTTTTTTCTCATTGAAAATGAATTGTAAATGCATGTCAGTTTTTAAGAGCTGAGCTTTTTTGGGTGCATTTGTAGGGTAATCAGGGGGATATTTCACACATTTACAGTATAGAGTCCTCCAAAATAGAAGTATGAAAACTCTTTACTTATTTGAGTTTTTTTAATGTCCTTCAGTAATTTGCTTTTATAAATAGATTTTATACATGCTGTGACACTGTTTAGACATCTTATAGCTTTTCTAAATAGATTTTATACATGCTGTGATACTGTTTAGACATCTTGTAGCTTTTCTATTATGAGAGATTTTTAAGTAATACTTTTTAATTATTTGAATGTTGATTTTATATTTGAATCTTTACCAGAGTCTTATCAATTCTAATAGTTTTTTAAAAAGTGATTCTCACCTGCGCAGAGTGGCTCACGCCTGTAATCCCAGCACTTTGGGAGGCTGAGTTGGTTGGATTGATAGAGCCTGGGGTATATAGTGAGACCATGTCTCCAGAAAAAAAAAATAAATAAAAATTAAAAAAAAAGATTCTCTTGGCTTTTTCATTTTCATGTAGTTATATAATTTGTTCAGGAAAGACAATTTTTACATTTTTTTCTTTCCTACATATGCTTCTTTTTGGTTAACATTTTCTTTTCTCATTGCATTTACTGAAAGTTCCATTATGTAACTTTATAGTAGCAATGATAATAGGTATCCTTGTCTTTTTCCTGATCTAATGGGAACATGTGTAATATTTCTTCACTATTACATGTGGTGATTTGTGCTAGATATTTTTTATTAAATGAAGGACCTTGAATACTGTTCCTTGCTTGCTAATACATTTTGTTAGCAAAGTGATGAATTACTTAGATCAAAATCTTTCAAGCACTTACTGATATGATCACATGGGTTTTGTCCTTTAATCTGTTAATGTAACAGATTTCTTTAGGAGTTTTTTTAATACATATTGGACCACTTAAGCATATCTGGTATAAACATTAGTAGGTTTAGGATTTTTGCAGCATTTCTTATAACGTACATTGGCTTTTGGTGCTGTCTTTGTCTGATTTTGGTTAGTGGATTATGTTAGTCTTACAGTTGAACATTCTGTTTTGGTCTCTATCTCTCCCTATATGTACATATTTTTGAGTATTGCTTTGGCTTATAGCATTTCTAGTTTTAAATGTGCTTTCTTTGCCCAGTTTTTATGTACAATTTTCATTTTAATTTTCTCTTTAGCCCAAATAGTGTTTTTCTTAATTACCCCAAGGTAAGAAGTTCACTTGAATTTTCTTTTTTTTTTTTTTTTTGAGGCAGAGTCTCGCTCTGTCGCACAGGCTGGAGTACAGTGGCACAATCTTGGCTCACCAAAAATCTCCACCTCCTGAGTCCAAGTGATTCTCCTGCCTCAGCCTCCCAAGTAGCTGGGATTACAGGCATGTGCCACCACGCCCGGCTAATTTTTGTATTTTTAGTAGAGACAGGGTTTTACCATGTTGGTCAGGCTGGTTGCGAACTCCTGACTTCGAAAGTGATCTGCCTGCCTTGGCCTCCCAAAGTGCTGGGATTACAGACGTGAGCCACCACACCCAGCTGAATTTTTTGTTTGCTCTTTTCCTCCTTTAGTTGTAAATTCTTATTTTACTATACTAGCTCTATTATTGAAGCCTCATATAATGTGGTTCCTTTTTTTTACTTCATGATCTAGGACCCTGCTATTCAAAATGTAGTTCCCAGGCAGTTAACAGCATTAAGGCAAATTCTCAGCCCCCAACCTACATCTACTACTTTAGAATCTCAATTTTAAGAAGATCCCAGGGTATTCCTATGAATTTTAATGTTTAGAAGTCACTGCTCTGGAACTTGATCAGTTTTTGTAAAGCTTATAGATTACAACAGTGTTTTTATTTTAAAAGCTTATCTGTTTATGAGGTAAAATTTTCTCTCTAATAATGTATTTTGGCAAGTTGTCGTGTTGAACCTCTATGTGCTTTTTATTTTGAGAAATCTGAAGGAGATGTTAAATTTTCCAGTATGATTCTACATATATCAAAATATTTCTCATAAATTTTATATTGTGAACCAATAAATGTTGAGTAGGAATAAAACTAGTATTATAACCGTGGATGTTTTTGCATGTTATTTTATTCAATGTTTAATATAGTCCAGGCACTGAACTTGCTAGTAGATAGTAAAATAATATCTTTTATGTAAATGCTACTTTTCCACTTGTTAAATACAATTTATGCCATATGTAGTGTTTGCATATGATGTGGTTTTCTACCCAGGATAACCGAGTAGTAGAGGTTACATATCTTTTTTTCTGAAGAGCTGCCAGAGGCAGGCTTTCAACAGTCACATAGCTTGTAAGTGGCCAAGTGAGAATATAAATTTACACCACCTGATTTGAGTTTCAGTGGCCTTTCCTCAATGCCGATAGATGTGTTGACTGAAAGAAGTATGAATATGAGACATTGAACAAACTCTCTATGATAGAAAGTGAACAGTTGAACATTTAAAAAACTTTTAATTGCTAGGTGTATTTTGACTAATATGAGTGCCAGTGTTAACATTTTAATCTCCTTGTTCAGACTCCTTTTGACACATAGATTATAATCTTGCATTTGATTCCATTTAAATTATTTAGGTTAATTGCATTCTAGATAGCTATACTTCTTTTCTTTTTTTTTTTTTTTTTGAGATGGAATCTGGCTCTGTCACCCAGGCTGGAGTGCAGTGGTGCGATCTCTGCTTACTGCAAGCTCCACCTCCCGGGGTTCACGCCATTCTCCCGCCTCAGCCTCCCAAGTAGCTGGGACTACAGGCGCCCACCACCACGCCCGGCTAATTTTGTTTTTGTATTTTTAGTAGAGACGGGGTTTCACTGTGTTAGCCAGGATGGTCTCGATCTCCTGACCTCGTGATCCACCCGCCTTGGCCTCCCAAAGTGCTGGGACTACAGGCGTGAGCCACCGCGCCCAGCCCTACATAGCTATACTTCTTAAAAATATGCTTCTGTCTTCTCTCAATCTAGAAAGAAAAGAATAATACTGTATCTGTGTTCTGTTTTTTCTGGCATTAGTTAGTCACTACATTTTAAGGCAATATTATTGCCAAGGCAATTGGCCAAATGTGAGAGCTGGTATTTAAAGGAAATGGCCATATTTTTGAATGGTGCAAAGACTACAAACTTGAATCTATTTAAGATTTGTTTATAAGGCACTTTCTTATTTATCTTGTGACTGTATGAAAATGTGACAGCATTTTTACGATTGGAAGACCATTTCTCTAAATGGGAGGCACACCTGAACAAATGATTGCACTTGTCCTCCTTGTCACAGGGATAAGGCTGTCTTTCATCAGGTGAACATCTAGCTGTCCAAGGTAACTGTGTTAATGAGAGCCTTCTACAAAGGAAGATTTCTTCCCCTCCTGACTCCCTGTCTTGCAAAAATCAAGCAGAAGTTGAGGCAAGTGTACATAAGTATTTTCTGTGAGCTCAGGAAAACTCAAACATTACTTTCATAGTGTAACTCTTTTATTTTCCTTCTGGAACAAGTTCTTGATGAAGTAGAGTTTATAGTAAAACAGAAGTTTCTCTAGAGTTTCAATATAATTAAGTCTACAAAAAAATTGCTTGTGATGGAGGCAATGGTAGAGTTTCCTACAGCAATTTCAGTAAGGGGCCCTCATTGAGACTTTTGTCAGAAAGATTTCCCTGTAATATTACATATCGAGTAAAATAAAAGTAAGCTTTGCAAAACTAACCTTTTGTTGGCTTTGTAGCATTTGGGATAATATAGGACATCTATATACATTGATGTAGCTGCAGAGGCTATAAACAAATGTCCTCTGGGTAGTCCTGGTTCCAGTTTAAATAGGGAGCTTAATATTGTTTCAGTTAATACTTCAGACTTTAGATGGCCTAGTTAGACTGTGGTGAAGTTTATACACTTATTTTGAACATTCATTAGGGAGAGTGGCATTTTACCTTGGTCTAGGGGCTGGGTGAACTGCAGCCCTGGACAAGTATTGATGTTTGGGTCAAGGAGGAGGATGTGTTTAGGGACGATCACAGCACCTTTTCCTCTCTTGTTTTTTCCTTTTGATAGAATAAGGAGTTAGGGAAGGAAAGGGAAACCTCATTGGTAAGAATTGTATTGTGGTGTTAAAATGTTTTATAGAGTTTTTTTTTAATGCAACAACTGCATTGGAAAACTGTTATTCAGTTTTGCATAAAATTGAACTTGCTCTGTGACAAAGCAGTTTTACTCCTTGATATATAACATTGAAAAAAAAAACCTGCACAAAAAAACTTGACACAAATATTAAATAAACATGTATAACTCAAAATAATGCAAATCTCTATGAATTAGAGAATGAGTTAAAATCATACATTCATATGATGAAATATTTTTATTTATTTTTTAATTTAACTTTTAAGTTCAGGGGTACATGAGCAGGTTTGTTATATAGGTAATTGTGTCATGGAGGTTTGTTGTACAGATTATTTTGTCAAACCGGGTATTATTCCTAGTACCTGTTAGTTATTTTTCCTTATCCTCTCCCTCCTCCCTGCCTCCACCCTGCAATAAGCTCTGGTGTCTGTTGTTCCCGTCTGTGTCCATCATTCCCCTCTAGGTGTCCATGTGTTCTCATCATTTAGCTCCCACTTATAAATGATAACGTGGTATTTAGTTTTCCATTCCTGCATTAGTTTGCTAAGGATAATGGCCTCCAGCTCCATCTATGTCTCTGCAAAGAATGTGATCTTGTTCTTTTTTATGGTGCATACTGTTCCATGGGGTATATGTACCACATTTTCTCTATCCATTCCACCATTGATGGACATTTAGTTTGATTCCATGTGTTTGTTATTGTGAATAGTGCTGCAGTGAACACACACGTGCATGTGTGTCTTTAATAGAATGATTTATATTCCTTTGGGTATATACCTGGTAATGGGATTGCTGAGTCAAATGATAGTTCTGTTTTTAGGTCATTGAGAAATTGCCACACTGTGTTCCACAATGGTTGAACTAATTTACACTCCCACCAACAGTGTATAAGCATTCCTTTTTCTGCAACATCACCATCATCTGTTATTTGACTTTTTAATAATAGCCATTTGACTGATATAAGATGATATCTCGTTGTGGTTTGATTTGCGTGTCTCTAATGATAGGTGATGTTGAGCTTTTTTTTTCATATGATTGTTATCCACATGTATATCTTCTTTTGAAAAGTGTCTATTTATGTCGTTTGCCTGCTTTTTAATGTTTTTTTTTCTTGTAAATTTAAGTTCTTTATAGACGCTGGATGTTAGACTTTTGTCAGATGCATAGTTTGCAAAAATTGTCTCCTATTTTGTAGGTTGTCTGTTCACTCTGTTGATAGTTTGCTGTGCAGAGGCTGTTTAGTTGAGTTAGATCCCATTCATCAGTTTTTGTTTTTGTTGCGATTGCTTTTGGTGTCTTCACCATGAAATCATTGCCCATTGCTCTTTCCGGAATGGTATTGCCTAGATTGTCTTCCAGGGTTTTTTTTTTCAGTTTTGGATTTTACATGTAAGTCTTTTTTCCATCTTGAGTTAATTTTTGTATATGGTATAAGGAAGGAGTCCAGTTTCAGTCTTCTGCATATGGGTAGCCAGTAATAACAGCACCATTTATTGAATAGGGAATCCTTTCCTCCTAGCTTGTTTTGTCAGGTTTGTTGAAGATCTGATAGTTGTAGGTGTGCAGCCTTATTTCTGGGCTCTGTATGCTGTTCCATTGGTTTATGTATCTGTTTTTATACCAGCACCATGCTGTTTTGGTTACTGTAGCCCTGTAGTATAGTTTGAAGTTGGGTAGTGTGATGCCTCCACCTTTGTTCATTTTGCTTAAGGTTGCCTTGGCTATTTGGGCTCCATATGAATTTTAGTTCCATATGAATTTTAAAATAGTTTTTTTCAAGTTCTGTGAAGAATGTCAATGGAAGTTTAATGGAAGAGCATTGAATTATAAATTGCTTTGGGCAGTATGGCCAATTTAACAATATTGAGTCTTCCTATCCATGAGCATGGAATGTTTTCCTATTTGTTTGTGTCATCTCTGATAGCTTTGAGCAGTTGTGTAGTTATCCTTGTGGAGATATTTCACCTCCCTGGCTAGTTGTATTCCTAGGTATTTTGTTCTTTTTGTGGCAATTGTGAATGGGACTGTGTTCTTGATTTGGCTCTCGGCTTAACTGTTTTTGGTGTATAGGAATGTTAGTGATTTTTTTCTCATTGATTTTGTATCCTGAGACTTTACTGAAGTTGCTTATCAACTTAAGGAGCTTATGGGCTGATGCTATGGGGTTTTCTAGATATAGGATCATGTTGTCTGCAAACAAGGATAGTTTGACTTTCTCTCTTCCTATTTGGATGCCCTATATTGCTTTCTCTTGCCTGACAGCCCTGGCCAGGACTTCCCATACTGTGTTGAATAGGAGTGGTGAGAGAGGGCATCCTTGTCTTTTGCTGGTTTTCAAGGGGAATGCTTCCAGCTTTTGCCCATTCAGTATGATGTTTGTGGTGGGTATGTCATAGATGGCTCTTATTTTGAGGTATAGTCCTTCAATATCTAGTTTATTGATAGTTTTTAACATGAATAGGTGTTGAATTTTATCGAAAGTTTTTTCTACATAGATTGAGATTCTCATGTGGTTTTTGTCTTTAGTTCTGTTTGTGATAAATCATATTTATTGACTTGTGTATGTTGAACCAACTTTGCATCCTAGGGAAAAAGCTGGCTTGATCATGGTGGATAAGCTTCTTGAAGTGATGCCGGATTCAGTTTGCTTTTAGGCTGTTCATTAAGGATTCAATTTTAGAGCTCATTATTGGTCTGTTCAGGGGTTCACATTTTCCTGGTTGAGTCTTGGGAGGGTGTATGTGTCCAGGAATTTATCCATTTCTTCTAGATTTTCTAGTTTATGTGCACGGAAGTGTTCATGATATTCTCTGATGGTTGTTTGTATTTCTATGGGGTCAGTGGTAATATCCCCCTTGTTGTTTCTGATTTTGTTTATTTGAATCTTCTCTATTCTTTATTAGTCTAGCTAGTGATCTATTAATTTTTTCAAAAAAATTGCTCCTGGATTTGTTGATCTTTTGAATTTTTTTTTTTATGTCTCAATCTCCTTCAGTTCAGATCTGATTTTAGTTATTTATTGTCTTCTGCTAGCTTTGGGATTTGTTTGCTCTTGGTTCTCTAGTTCTTTCAGTTGTGATGTGAGGTTATTAACTTGAGATCTTTGTAACTTTCTGATGTGGGCATTTAGCGCTACAAATTTCCCTCTTAACATGGCCTTAGCTGTGTCCCAGAGATTCTGGTATGTTGTATCTTTGTTCTCATTAGTTTCAAAGAACTTCTTGATATGTCCCTTAATTTCATTATTTCCCCCAATTCATTCAGGAGCAGTTGATTCAATTTCCATCTAATTGTATGGTTTTGAGTGAATTTCTTAGTCTTGATTTCCAATTTGATTATGCTGTTGTCAGAAAGGGTTTTTTTTTTTTTTTAAAATGATTTCAGTTCTTTTGCTGAGGAGTGTTTTACTTCTGATTATGTGATTGATTTTAGAGGATGTGCCATGTGGTGATAAGAACAATGTATATTGTGTTGTTTTGGGATTGAGAGTTCTGTAGCTATCTATCAGGTCCCTTTGATCCAGTACTGAGCTCAGGTCCTGAATATCTTTGTTAGTTTTCTGTCTTGATGATTTAATATTGTCAGTGGGATGTCAAGCTCTCCCACTATTATTGCGTGGGAGTTGAAGTCTGATAGACAAAATAGCCAGTATAGAAAAGAATGTAAACAACTTGATAGAGCTGAAAAACACACTACAAGAATTTTATAATGCAATTACAAGCATTAATATCAAAACAGACCAGGTGGAGGAAAGAATCTCAGAGCTTGAAGTCTGGCTTTCTGAAATAAGACAATTAGACAAGAGTACAGAAAAAAATGAGAAGGAAATGAACAAAACCTCCGAGAAATATGGGATTATATAAGGAGACTAAATCTATGACTCATTGGTGTCCCCAAAAGAGATAGGGAGAATGGTATCAACTTGGTAAACATATTTTAGGATATCATCCATGAGAACTTCCCCAATCTACCTAGAGTGGCCAACATTCAGGTTTAGGAAATGAAGCAAGAAGATCATCCACAAGACATGTAATCGTCAGATTCTCTAGGCTGAAATGAAAGAAAAAATGTTCATGACAGCTAGAAAGGTCAGGACGCCTACAAAGAGAAGCCCGTCAGACTAACAGCAGACCTCTCAGCAGAAACCCTACAAACCAGAAGAGATTGGGGGTCAATACTCAACATTCTTAAAGAAAAGAAATTCCAACCTAGAGTTTGTTTTCAGGCAAAGTAAGCCTCATAAGTGAAGAGGAAATAAGATCTTTTTCAGAAAGGCAAATGCTAAGGGAGTCCATTACCACCAGACATGCCTTACAAGAGCTCCTGAAGGAAGCACTAAGTCTGGAAAGGAAAGATCATTACCAGCCACTACAAAAACACACTGAAGTACATAGACCAGTGACGCTATGAAGCAACCACATAAACAAGTCTGCAAAATAACCAGCTAACATCATGAGGATAGGATCAAATTCACACGTATCAATACTAACCTTGAATGTAAATGGGTTAAATGTCCCAATTAAAAGACACACCATGTTAAGCTGGATAAAAAAGCAAGACCCATTGATATGCTGTCTTTAAGGGACCCATCTCACATGCAGTGACACACATAAGCTCAAAATAAAAGGATGGAGAAAAATCTACCAGGCAAATGGAAAACAGAAATAAGCAGGGATTGTGATCCTAGTTTCAGACAAAACAGACTTTAAACCAACAAAGATTTAAAAAGATAAAGAAGGGCATTACATAATTGTTACAGGGCTCAATTCAGCAAGAAGCTCTCACTATCTTAAATGTATATGCACCCAGCATGGAAGCACCCAGATTCATAAAGCAAGTTCTTAGAATTTCTCAAGAGACTTAGACTCCCACACAGTTGTAAACATTTTTGAAGATATTATAATGAAAATTGGGGTCTGATCTTCAAAAAAGGAATTATGTTCAAAAATAGGGGCTGGAGGGATGCACCAAGGAGTTTCAATCAATGGAAATGAAAAATGAAGAGAAACAACAGTAAAGGAGGACCTGAATGGTCCTTTTACACATTTGATATAACAAATCAGTGTTTCTTTTAGAAAGGCTTTTAGTGCATGTAATGATATGGCTGAAAGGTACAGCATTTTAATTTTTTCATTTGCACTCAGGACTCTTTGAACAAAGATCCAATATGAATGCTTTAATTTGTACAAATATGTAGTTGGTGGTGAATTAAATTAGAGTTGCACAAATCCTATTCAGTATATATTGAACTAGAAGTTGCCAGAAGCATAGTGCTATTAGGTGAGCAGTTAGTCTGGAGAGACCAGATGCTTTGCTGTTAGCTGTTTCTTGGCCTAGGGTGAGCAGTGTACCTTTCTTTGTTCACTGTATTCATGTTTAACAGTGAATATCTTATAATTGGTTAAATTTCTTTGCTTTGCTTTATAAAGAAAATACACTATTGGAAAGATCAGCAAATCTAATGTACTTGAAATCTATAATGACATACTACTAAATAAGTTTGTTAATCTTATAGGTGTATCTCTAAAGTCTGTTGCATTTTTTAAAATAGTGTCTTAGTCTGTTCAAGCTGCAACAACAAGATACCATAAACTGGGTAGCTTATAAACAACAGAACTTTATTTCTAACAGTTCTGGAGGCTGGAAGGTCCAAGGTCAAGGTACTGAAGATTTCACCTCTCGTGAGGCCGTGCTTCCTGGTTTATAGGTGGCTGTTATTTCAGTATAACCTCACATGGCTGAAAGAGGGATGGGGTCTCTCTGGGGCCTAGAGCCTCCTTTATAAGGGTACTAATCCTATTCATTAGTGCTCCATTCATGAACTAATCACCTCTTAAGAGCCCACCTCCAAATACCGTCACTTTGGGAGTTAGGATTTCAACACATGAATTTTGGGGGAGGACACAAACATTCAGACCATAGCAGGGAGTTTAAAATGAAATGTTTTATGGATTAGCTTTTCTCAGGATGTTAGCAGAATAACTGTGGTATCCTCTGTTTACCAAAGGGAGCATTTCACAACACATTTTGCTTGGTACAAGGTTATGGCTTGATTGGCAATACTGAGTTTGCCTTTGAGGTTCCTTCCATTACTGTATTCAGGGGAAAGCAAATGGGCTATCTGGGAATTGATCTGTTGTCTACAAACTGATTTAGCCATTTAACTTGGTTCCCTTAGGACATCAAAAATTAACATAAAATGTATTTTCTTTACCATTGATGATTTTTCAAAATAATTGGATTCCTACAAATCAGACTGTTTTTAATGGTTATGTAGATGAGATAATTGAGATAAAATGTATTTATTTGTGATTTAGTCAACCTTTTTTATTGGTAATTTCTGATAGGCCTTTAATTTTGAACTAACATTTTAAATTGTGGTTTATAATTAGATCAAGTTCATTCTTTAAAATTTTAAGCTCAAATTGAAAAACTTCTAAGATAGGCTGTTTTGTAAAAATTCTTTTATCCTGTGTTGCCATGGTTAGTGTTATTAAATAGCAATGAAATAAATATGTTGATAAAGTCATTAAATCACAATACACTTGTTGATGGCATCCTGTATAGTCTTTCTCCAGATTGTGTTTGAAAAACTACTGTTAATGGGCAGCTATTATGAGTTGCTATGCTGGTATGTTTCAGTATGCTTGACTTTCTTATCCTTTGCTGAGTTCAGGAAAGAAAAAGTCAAGATTTAGTTTATATTGAGAATCAAAGAAAATGACCCATGGAAGATTAGAATATTTGAAAGAAAAAAAAAAGAGTAGCAAGGTTTAAGAAGTGTGTGTGTGTATCTTTCAAAAGAGCTTCATCTCATACCATCCGTGGTTTCCTTAGTATTTCTTTCTGTAGTTTAAAATCTGAACATTAAACAATATTATTTCATACCTAGGAGGGAGAATAATTTATTATATAAGACTGTGATGTCTAAATGAGAACTTCAGCATGTGAATCTCATGCATTACAAATAGTTTTATTGTACTTTTCCTCGCGCCGTTGATACAATCTTATACAACTTTATTTTGTTCTGGTAGTCAGCATGGCCCACAACGTTTAAGAACAGACATTCAGACAGCTAGGGGAATTGATGTGCCTGTGCATACTCTATGGGCACACTGCATATTGAAATCTGAGATAAAAATGATTTGTCCCTTTGCTTTCGTATTTTGGGTGCTACCATTTCTTTATGTACCTGATCATAGTTAATATTCCTACATCCATTAGTGTTGAGACGTGGTGGCTATAGGAAAAATTATAATGATGGGCTCTTGGGAGAGCTTGGCTGTACAGCAGCTTGGATTTTATGACTGTGAATTTTCAAGTGGTAGATCAATTAGGCAGAACTAGTCATGCATTGCAGTATCTTTAAGAGCTATCTTAAAACAAATTTCAGACCTGGATGGTATTCATGAGCTATAATTTGAAGAATGACTGAGGCTATGAGTACTAGATTTAGGCACTTTGAAGAAAAAAACATTTCATATGGATTAAGTTGGATGTTTTATTCATAAGAGCTGGTTTGATCTTTATATGCCTTGATATTTTTAAGTCCTGTAGTTCCTGTTTTAAATTTATTACTATACAGTCTTTATTTGCAACAATTAAATTGGCCAGGGGTAGGTGGTGATTAGAAACATTTTCTTGGATTATAGGAACATTAATAAAATCCCATTTGAAGTAAATTCACTCAGAAACTTAATTCTTTTCTTTTTTTTTTTTTTTTTTTAGAAACGCTGTCTGGCTGTCCCCTTGGCTGTCATGCAGTGACGCAATCATACCTCACTGCAGCTGTGAATGTCTGGGCCCAAGGGATCCTCCTGCTTTAGCCTCTTGAGTAGCTAGGAATACAAGCGCACATCACTGCACCTGGCTAATTTTTAAAATTTTTCTGTAGACACAGGGACTCCTTTTGTTGCCCAGGCTGGCCTCAAACTCCTGTCTTCAAGCAATCCTCCTGCCTTGGCCTACCAAATTGCTGGGATGACAGGCATGAGCCATTGCTCCTGGCCTTTTTCTATTTTTAATTCACAATCTTATCTTTGCAAACTTTGATACAAAGACCTCTGTTTCTCTTTTCAAAAAAAAAAAAAAAAAACACTTAATATTTGTTTGCCTATTCTTATGTGAACATGTAGAATTTCTTATGTTTCTTTCCCTTAGTACTCTGTCTTTATAGTTCGTTTTTCTAAGAAAATGGATGAGGGGTATTTTTATTTCATTTTCTATGACATGCTTATTTGTATCCCTGATCAGCATTGCTCCTATGTTTAAGAAACTAGCTCTTCATCTCTCAGAATGGCAGATTTTTTCCACACATAGTTTTTGCCTTTCTAAACAGTGTGTTATGTTTTATTTTTGGTTTCTGTAAACAAGTTTTAAAGTTTTATGTAGTCAAATTATTAGTGTTTCCCTTTTGGCATCTGGGATTTATCTACAAATAACTTTTGAAAGCATTTGTTAAATGTACATATTTATCTGTAGACGTTTTTAACTGTATTTACTTTCTTAAAACATATTGTGGTTATTTTGTTAGTGTGTGTGGTAGGGGGAAAATTTGTATTTGTGTCCTCTAGGTTTGGGAACTAAAGATGTTTTGAGGTTAGAGTGTAATGCTTATAGTGAATAGCTGAGCTTTTTATATTCCTTAACAGATATCCCTTGCAAGACTCTTGCTCTTCTGAATGCTTTTCAAAGCAAGACAAAGTAGTTGAGGGAATTAAATAGCAGCTCTTACTACTAATTACTGGGCCTTTGTGGTAAACGAACCAGTTAAAGGCCAATCCTTCCTTGCAATGTGCTGGCCTTGGGGGAGATAGGATAGGAAGGCAGTAAGCTTCCTTTCTGAAGAGTATAAAAACACTGAGCCCTGAATAGACTATTCTGGGCTGCTGTAGTTGGCATTCTGCACCTCCCTAGTTTGCATGATTTTCTGATAAATGAAATCTACTCCTCTGCTGACATTCCCTTCACCTCTTCATGCTCCTGCCTCCTAGGGGTAATCAGTGCACCCAAGCCGAGGACCAAGAAAAACCATTACCATTTCCTCTGCCACCCATCACTGAGGACATAAGGACTCTGAGCATCTTAAATTCTGGGACCAAGAGTTACAGAGGTCAAGTACTGCTTCCTCTTGTGATCAGCATCCAACAGGAGCCAAGGTGTTCTAAGTGTTGAAATCAAGGGTTAGTAAAAGGGAAATGATGAACTGTTTTCATTGCTGAAGCAGGCCTTTCCTCAGTGCTGGTGGCTAGTTGAGGACTTAAGCCCTGAGGAGGACAAGTTCACTTAGGCCCAAATGAACGCAAGGAACAAAGTGGAGCTCTATGACCTCCAGGAGAACAGTTTTATTGTATAAAGCTTTGCTTGAACCTAAACTCAATCATGGAAAGGTGGATACCAAGATTTAAGTCTTGGCATAGTGCAATCAGCCTAAAGCCATCAGGTTCAAAGCTATAGTCCAACGAAGGCAGGATTGTTGACTTATGACAATGAGGTAGACTCTACAGCAGAGAAACCACTTATAAAGCTGCTCAATAATCAAAGGAAAAGAGTCATAGGATTTTTTGAGAAGGGCGGAGTTTAAGTGAAATATAAACAAAGCAATTTTTGGTAAGTTTAAGGCAAAGCAGGGCTTGTGTGTCAATGGGTCACACAATTTGCATCAATATCACTGCAATGTGGACCAGGGTCCTGTTTGCTTGCAAACTACAAAGTTAAGAGTGATGTGAAATGCCATGTCCAGAACTCCCTTTTCTAAAGCTCTAGGTGATAAATCGAGGCCATTTCTTTGTGTCAGAGTAACTTAGATCCTCCAGACAAAAATGAAATGCTTCATTCTGAGTACTATAATTTCAAACAGCAGAGTTTCTGGTGATTTTAGAGCACAAAGTTTCCCAGTGAGTCAGAAAACTACTAGTAGACAAAGAAAGGGGTTGTTAAGACACTTTATAGTAGCAGAATGTCCTTGAAAAAAGTATTGTTTCCTATTAACCCTGAAGCTGGCTCTGTTTCTGTTATTCTCCAGCCTGATGGCTGGGCAGATTTTTACATTCTTTGTCTGAGTTAACTTCTACTTTCTCAGTCTCCCATAGTGTGCTCTTATTCTCACAGGGGGGATGTTTATTGTCAGCTAGTCTTTGAGTTCTATTTGTCAGGATCTTCCTTTCCTCTCTCTAGTTGGACCATGTAAATACTGCCTAAAAGCCTTTCCAGTTTTTTAAGCTGGTGGCTGGACCTTGGGAGCCTATTTAATGAGGATGAAGAATCAGATGGTTGATAATACTTTGCTTCACTCCCTGAATGTGGTGGACTTTTGTGAGTAAAGAAGGATGTTCCTGAAGGCTACTCTAACAGCTAATACCAAGTATCCTGGAATTCAGTTACTTTATTACGTTTGAATTCTTCCTTGTCCCTGCCCCACACTCAGAAGTGGGAGGCTACAATGTGCTTTGCATTGCACTAGGCACTTACATTAATTACTAAGGTGAATACAATGTGGTTTTCATCTTCCAGGAACCAGCTGTCTATTGGCGGAGATGGATATGGAAGCAAATCATTGCAGTGTACTGTAGTATTAGAGTAAAGGTAAATAAACTCTGTTGGCTAACTGACCATTCCTAACTTCCCTTTGAAGTTGAATAATTCTTCAGTCATCTAGAATTTGGGCTTTGCAGTGAAATATGTCTGGACTTGAAGAGAAAGATAGAATGAGAGTATCATCCAGAAAGTTTTATAATTGATAACAAGTAACTAGCTGGTAGACCTGTGGTTTCTGTGGTCCCTTCTGAATTCTCCAAGGAATACATATATATGCAAAAGTTCATGATACTTTTACATTGCTGTCAAATGACATAAAACACAAGTGATAAAATTTTCAGCTTTTTCTTGGGGTTGGGGGTGTATAGAGGCACTTTATAAAACCCTCATGAGATTGAGGTGCAGGGTGTTTAGATATCTACGCTCAAATCATTCAGCTGATATGCACATTAGCTGTTCCTCATTGCTTAAAGTTTGTATTCCTTCTGGAGTGGCTTCTCTAGATAATATTTAAATGAAAGGGTTGAAAATAGTGGTTTCCAAACAGTCCTGCATACTGTTACAAGGTTCGTTTCTTAAATCTTGAGCAAGGCCTACTACCTGCCTGGCATTTTCTAGCACTGAGGATGTAGCTGTGAGAAATGCTACATCCATGACCTGTTCTCATGGAACCTGGTTTCTAGTGGGAAGATGCTTAGGGCTGGGAGGATGGGTCACAAGTAGGTTCAGTTCCACACACATCTTTTTTTCCAGTGTGAGCATTTAGTTAAGCTCTCTTTTGAACAAAGCACGACCAAATAAGTCTGAAAACCACTCTTATAGAAAAAAAAATGGGGATATGGTGGTGCTTTATTGTCCTCGACTCAATTCTCATATAATGGAGAGGGCTCTGAAAGTAGTAGTTGTATTCCTGTCTTAAACACGAAACTCGTAACAGTAGTAAAAAAATTTACATCTCAAAATTGAAAGGCAAAATTATCCACAAAGGTTGTGCCATATATTTATCTCACCAATGGCTACAACACACTCAATGTTAAATTTATAATATCAAAGTTCTTCATAAATTCTTACAGGTCATATTTCCTAATATTGACAAATGGTAGAAGAGAAAGAAGGATGCCACTCTCTATTCACCCTCCTCCAGCTGAACATCTATAATTTATAAATGTACTGCTTATGTATTTGTTTATATCTGTAAATCATTTTGATTTGCTCCAGACATTATCTGATCAGTCCTTTATCCCAGTGTCTTGACTGTGCTTAATTCTGCCTCCTCTCCTTTGAATCTTGCTATTTACATTCTAATGCTCATTATGAGGAGAACAACCATTCTTCATGGCTTCTCATCCATTTTCCCGATGATGCTAATTTGCCATTTACATGAACAAAAGTTGTATTTAGATGTTTATTATAAAGACCAGAAATAAGAAAATAAAAGTCCGTGTTATCCCTTCTAGAAGTTATATGAAATAGACGAGACTACTAGAAGTTATAGTTAGAAGATCTGAATGTGGTAACAATAAAAGTGGAATGTGGAAAATAAAAGTCCATATTATCCCTTCTAGAAGTTAATGAAATAGACATGACTACTAGAAGTTATAATTTGAAGATCTGCATGTGGTTTATTTCTTCTTTTAGAACCACATTACCTGCATCTTCTGAGCCAGAGGACCTATAGGCAACTGATCTCAGGGAACCCTTGTGCTGTGTGGGCTTTCGGGAGAGGAAATGGTGTGTGGGGCTTGAGGTGGGAGGGCTTCCTCTAAATGGTCTGAGCCCTAGTGAGAGAATAGTGTTGGAACCTCAGGATAAAGAGCTCCAGAGGGGTAGATTCTAGAGCCTGGTCTTCAAAGATCAGAAGATTCCTGGGGGTAGGGATATGAGAGTCTCCCTAACCCCCACAAAACCCAAGAAAGGACCTCAATGGGTAGATAGGATTATCCATGTCCTTGAGCCCAAGAGGAGGGCAGGGAGACCTGAGAGCAAAAAGGCTTTCCACTGCTATTTCTGAAGGGGAAATAGCTTCTCGTTTTTACACATCTCACACAAGTAAGATTCAGACCCTTTAGGGCTCTAGTTCAAAATTCACCTGGGGTATTTACATAAGTACTAATGCCTGGGTACCTCCTCCAGAGACTCTTATCAAACTGGTTCTGGGCATTATCAGTTTAAACTAAATAAACCACAGAACAACTCCCCAAGTGATTCTAATATGAAGCCAAATTAGAGAACTAACAATCAGACTTTAGCCTCCACAAAATGACAATCTACATAAGTATACAAAATCATACAATCTCTTTGTCCTGCAGGCAAATAGAGGAACACCAGACAGTCAGAACAAGTGTGATGTGAAGTAGCAATGTTGGAGGAGACGTGAACATTTGAAAAAGTAAAAATAAAAGTATAATACCTAGGGAGATTCAACTGTAGCACCTACAACATTTTAAGCATGATTCCTAATTAAGTAACACAAGGGAAAAAGGGTAGCTGCTGAGACCTGATTTACTGTTCTGGTTGATCAAATGTAAAACACATCTCAAATCCCAGAGCATAAATATGAAAATATGATTAAAAGTTAGAAATCTTGAGGGGAAAAATAAGAGTCTTGGAGATTTGATTCCAGGGACCTGAAATGAAAATAATTGATGTTCAACAAGGTGAAAAAGGAACATAAATAGGAAATAGGAAAGGTAATAATTATATAATAGACAATATTCTTGACCTGAGCTAAAGAAAGATTTTGGCCCGCAAAGTAAAAAGGCTTAATAAGGTCTAGACTCACCTGATGAGAAAAGACCCATGTCCAGACACATTCTGATAAAATTCTCAAATTCTCTAATGATATATACAGATGGCTCCAGAAAAAAAAAATACTAAAGTTACCTTAAGAAAAGGATGAAGTGTGAGAACCAACCTGGCACTGGTTTTCTCATCTGCAAGTTAGGAAGATGGGGCATCCACACACTACTGAGAGAAATAGACCACAATCCAAGAATCTTACTTTCAACTTATATCATTTTCCTGCCTAGATTAAGAAAAGGACTTGAGAGATATGTAATCATTCAGAAAGTATCACCCACATATTGTATCCAAGAGTAGATGTGAATCAAACAGTAAATGAACCAGAATAGAGACTTCAAGGTGGGAAAACATGAAGAGGAAATAAGCACAGTAAATCTTAACACATGAGTGCGTATGTATTTAGAAAGTACATGGATGGAGATAGCTGTTTTGGGATTTGTAATTTAAATGCAAAGTAAAGATATATTAAACTTCCTCAAAAATCTAAAAGTAAACAGTACCCAACGACCTGAAAGTTGGGAATGGTGAATAGAGAAGTAGAAACATTCTAAAAAGATCTTAGGGAGGAGGATGAGATAGTGAAAATAAACAATATTTTAAAAAACTGAGCTTATTAGGGGATGTGAGATGATAAATAGTGGGTCATGGTGGGAAAAATAATTTTAATGGAAGTTATAATCTTATTTTCAAAGAATAGAGTCATACCATTTAATTTTAAGAAGAATTAAATAGACGTGACTACTAATGGAATGAAACACTACACAAAATTTCCAATTTAGTGAGGGAAAATGTTCGGGTTCAATCAGGTTAGTGGGAAAAATATTAAAGATAGTTATAGTAATAGCCGCAAGCCCTCTTGGAAGGCCTGAGAGTTTGCATAACATCGGTAATAGATATGGTCGAAGGCATCCTAATCCTTACCTTTAGTAAATAGCTTAAAGTTGGTACAAAGGAAGGCGGAGTAGTTTACCTAGGTAGCTCACTTACTCATGTGGTCTTAAGGCTAACCTTTGATGTACCTCAGTTGCTTAAGTGGTTTTTACTCGGAAAGTCCACAATGTCAATTATCCTCTAATGGTTTTGACTCAAGCCTTTGTTAATTAATCTTACTGAATAAATGTGGGTCTCACTAGCTGATTGGGGCCGTGGTAGCAACTGTTTACAACACTCAGCAAGGAGTCTGTAAGCAGCGTGGACAGACACTCTCAGCTGGACTGGCAAAACAGAATATCTGTGTGTCAGTGTACATTATTCATCCATCACCAGGTCAAGGGTCTGCAAGGGACAGACACCCCCACAGCTGGTGCTCCTGTGAGAGGAGTGCTACCACAGTTGGTGCCCCATGTGAGGAACGCTGCGGCAGGAAAAATAGTAACTTGATCAGCCCCTCAAACATAAGGAAAAGGAACAAGAAACAATATAAAATGACTAATAAACACAAAGTAAGATGGAAGGAATAAAATCAACCACAATAGTTATTATATTAAATACAAACAGATTGAATAACAAAATTACAAGCCAGATATCAGACTGGGTTACAAAAGTAAACCTAGCTATATGCTGGTTTTTTTGTTTTTGTTTTTTTTTTTTTTTGAGATGGAGTCTCGCTTTGTCGCCTCTCGGCTCACTGCAAGCTCCCCCTCCCAGGTTCACGCCATTCTCCTGCCTCAGCCTCCCGAGTAGCTGGGACCACAGGCGCCCGCCCACCACCACGCCCGGCTAATTTTTTGTATTTTTAGTAGCAATGGGGATTCACTGTGTTAGCTAGGATATATGCTGTTTATTGTTTTGTCATTAGTGAGTTTATAAGAACGTTTGAAATACAGAAATGCATATAAATAATACTGGGAAATGCAAAATGAGTCATTCAATAGAGTCAATATAAGAAAAGGAGAAATAGTATAAAAAGGAATACTGAGTAGAAATAAAAGGCAAATTTACTTTAAAGATAAGTTTTAAAATATGGATGTACCAAACAACATATCAGCTAAAATATTAAAAAATAATAAAATGTGACTAAAACAGAAAATCCATGTATCAGTACATTTGGTTCAGATGACCAAATACTTTCTTAGTATCTGTTGATGTGCTATAATTTTATCTATCATTTCCAATGAAGACTAAGCAAAGAAGGAAATTAAAACTCAATTTTTTGTTGTTGTTGTTGTTGTTGCTGAGACAGGGTCTCACTCTGTCACCCAGGGTGGAGTGCAATGGCATGAACATGCCTCACTGCAGCCTCAACATCCCTGGTTCAAATGATTCTCCCACCTTAGCATCCTGAGTAGCTGGGACCGCAGACATGCATCACTACACCGTGCTAATTTTTGTTGTTGTTGTTGTAGAGATGGGGTTTCACCATGTTGCCCAGGCTTAAAAGCCAATTTTTAACATTTAGAATAAAGATTTGCTACTGGTGTTTCAGTAATGAGCAGGATACTGAACTATACTGTTATTTAACAATTCTATGAAGATTTTAGCAAATGGATTAGCAAAATAGCCACAAAGACATGGCAAGAGGAGATTATCCCTCTTACTAATGTGTTATTTTGTCCCTGAAAATCCCAAGGAGTCTAATTTTTTTAAAAAGTAGAATTATGGAAATTTGCTAAGGTTGCTAGATATAAGGTAAATACACAATATCAATAGCTTTTCTTTATTCTCACACTAAGCATTTAGAAATGAAAATGTAAATAATTATTTAGAATAATATGATACAACTGTAAAATAGTGAGAAATTCAGCAAGATAAGCATAAGACCTATGTGATGAAAACTAAAATTTTTCTGTCATAAAATCTGAACAAATGGATTGACATTTCATGTCCTTAGATGAAAGATTCAGTAGCATGTAAATGTCAAGACACCCAAAATAAATAGACAGAATTAAAGCCTTTTTATTTCATATTTCACCGTGGTTATTTTTGAAATAGGATGGAAAAATTATAAAGGTTATGTGGAAGATTAAATGCCTAAGAAAGAAAATTTACTGAGGGATAAATTGGTTACTCAAATCAGATTTTCTAAATAAAACAGTGTAAATTCATTACAATCAATATAGTATTAAAAATAAGTAGGTCAGTGAAATAAAATTTAGAAATATATTCTTGTATATAATAGAACTGAACATGATGGTGACAATTGATTAGGAAAAGGATAGATTAAGAAAGGATACATTATTTATGAGTGTTGCATATTTGTATCTCTGGAATTATGAGTATGGAACAAAATATTCAAAGTTGTATCATCAGTTGTTAGCAGTTGAAGGAAATAAATGTGAAATCTCTTATGTATTACAATACAGTGAAGTATAAATGGGATAAGACAAATTAAAAATAAGACAGAATCTTGGATTTAGGGGCTAGTAGAAACACAAACTGTGAAAGAGAAAATATTTGAGTTTGTCAAATAAGTCTTTTGAATGGCAGAAGAGGCTATAAACAAGTTCAATAGGCTAAGACAATAATAATCCCCTTGTATATGTAATGTAGATGGCAAAGTATTTATAGCAATTGCATGGAAAATCCTCTTATAATAAATAAGGAAAAGATATTTTAATAGGATAATGGGTAAAAACCAAAAATAGTTCAAAGGACAACAAATTGAAATGATCAACAAGTTTATGAAAAGATTCAAATTAAAGTAACAACAAAGGTTACTTTCTGTCCATCAGATTAATAGTATTTTAGTCATGAGTGTGGTAAGAAAGTATTAATTAATAATCATGAGTGTGGTAAGAAAGTATTCTTATATATGATTTTCTACAAAGTGTTTTGTCAAAATGTATTGAAATTAAATGCCTCTACACTTTGACTCAGCACTCCCACATATGAAACTTAATCCCATAGAATAAAAGCAGCCTTAAATAAGAATACATGTGTAAGAGTGATTTTTGCATTGTTTGTAGTCACATAAAACCAAAACCAATATAAACGCTGTCAGAGGGAATAGAGTGTAAATCGTGGTGCAGCCACATACCATATACTATTATACAGCCCTTAAAAGAACGGCTAACACTTTGGGAGGCTGAGGTGGAAGAACTGCTTGTGCCCAGGAGTTAGAGACCAGCTGGGCAGCATAGTGAGACTCTCTCTCTCAAAAAATAAAAAATAATAAAAATTAGTGGTGTGGAGACACACACATGTAGTCTCAGCTATTTGTGAGGCTGAGACTTGAGCCCTGGAGGTTGAGGCTGCACTCTAGATAGAGGAAGACCCTGTCTCCAAACAAACAAACAAACCCAGAATGGGCTAAATCGGATTATTGATGGGACAGGGTGGTGGTGGTGGTTCCTGGAGGTATTAATATTAGATGTATAGTCTAACAAAGGCAGGGTAATTTCCCACCTTTTTAAAAACAGTAGCTGTGATTAAAAATTATTTTATTGTAATTTATATAGTTGGATGCATATTTATATCTCTAGAATTATGAGTATGGAGCAAAATATTCAAAGTTGTATCATCAGTTGTTAGCAGTTGCAGAGAGGGGGATGTTGCTCTGGGTTAGTTAGAAGACTCAGTATACAGAAGTTCAGTAAAGGACCTTCAATGGAATCAAGCAGAAAAGAAAACAAGTGCACATGGTAAAGAATCATGATTGTGATTATATTTATATTTTTATGTAAAATTATATGTGTACAGAAATAAGATTTTAAAAAATATAGTCTCTCTTTTGGACCTCTGATTTCAGGATAAGTTGAGACTACATACCTCTTTTCTCCTAAAATTATGGAAAGAACCAAAAATTACATAAAAATTAGAAAATGGCAACATGGAAGGATGCCACCAAGTAGCCTGAGACTTTGAGGAATTTTTTAGCATTTCTGCAACAGAGAGAATAAGAGAAATGCCCATCAGAGCTGACTGGTCTTTGATTCAACACAGGCAAGGAATGGCTACCTAGGAAGTCAATGGATGGGACTCATCCAGAAGTAAATAGTCCATAGGTATATAGTAGCAAGATATTGGAGCATGATAGGGAGAGGGGGAGGACAGAGCATAGGACAACAAAATGAAGTCCCTTGGAAGACTCATCAATGGATTCTACCTGTGAGAATCGTGATTTCCTGCAGTGGGCTTTGCTTGCTGTGACATTCAACTTTCGAAGATGTTGAAGTACTATTAGAAAGGGGGGAAACAAAGTTTGTGAACCAAGAAGTCTATACTCAGTTCTATATTATGGATGAGTATTGTAGTTTAGATTATTGTTCAGCAAATGCTCACTCTCTTTCTTGTCCACTCTGGGCAGAATTTATTTTTCTGCCCTTTTTGAGAGGGCAGATTTGAGCTTGGCCTTTTGACTTGCTTTATCCAATGAAATGTCTGTGGGTATGATATGAGCAGAGGCTTGAAATGTGCTATATGGTTGGGCTTGGTTCCCTGAGAGCTGCTGACCTCCACCACAAGAAGAATGTCTTGCTAGCTTCCACTCTTTGCACCTGATCCAAAATGAGACCAGTAGAATAGTCACCCTAGTTGGCCTGCAGCCTGAAGTAGAGCTGTCCCACCTAAAGTGTGGGAACAAAGGCTTATTGTTGTGTGCACTGAGATTCTGTGGTTGGTTGGTGTATTAGTCCATTTTCATACTGCTAAGAGGAAATACCCAAGACTGGATAATTTATAAAAAAAAATAGGTTTAATGGACTCACAGTTCCACATGGCTGGGGAGGCCTCACAATCACAGCAGAAGGCAAAGGAGAAGCGAAGGTACATCTTACGTGGTGGCAGACAAGAGAGTGTGTGCAGAGGGACTGCCCTTAGTGAAACCATCAGATCTTGTGGGACTTATTCACTATCACAAGAAGAGCATGGGAAAAACCCACTGCCATGATTCAATTACTTCCTACCAGGTCCCTCCCATGACATGTGGGGATCTACAATTCAAGATGAGATTTGGGTGGGGACACAGCCAAACTGTATCATTCCACCCCTGGTCCCTCCCAAGTTTCATGTCGTCACATTTTAAAACTAATCATGCCTTCCCAACAGTCCCCAGAGTCTTAACTCATTTCAGCATTAATTCAAAAGTCCCAAACCTCAATTCTTGACTTCTGTGCACCCACAGGCTCAACACCACACAGAAGCTGCCAAGGCTTGGGGCTTGCACCCCGTGAGGCCACAACCCAAGCTATACCTTGGTCCTTTAGCTGTGGCTGGAGCAGCTGGGACACAGGGCACCAAGTCCCTAGGTGGCACACAGCAAAGGGTCACTGGGCCAGGTCCACAAAACCATTTTTTCCTTCCAGGCCTCTGGGCCTATGATGGGAGGGACTGCTGGGAAGGTATCTGATATGCCCTGGAGACATTTACCCCATTGTCTTGGTGATTAACATTGGGCTCCATGTTACTTGGGCAAATTTTTGCAACAGGCTTGACTTTCTCCCCAGAAAATCAGTTTTTCTTTTCTTTTTCTTTTCTATTATATCATCAGGCAGCTAGTTTTCCAAACTTTTATGTTCTGCTTCCTCTTGAACACTTTGCTACTTAGAGATTTCTTCCACCAGATTCCCTAAATCATCTCTCTCAAGTTCAAAGTTCCACAGATCTCTAGGGCAGGGGCAAAATGCCACCAGTTTCTTTGTATAGTAAGAGTGACCTTTACTCCAGCTTCCAACAGGTTCCTTATCTCCATCTGAGACCACCTCAGCCTGGACTTTATTGTCCATATCACTATCAGCATTTTGGTCAAAGCCATTCAACAAGTCTCTAGGAAGCTCCAAACTTTCCTACATTTTCTTGTCTTCTGAGCCCCCGAAGTCTCTAGGAAGTTCCAAACTTTCCCACATTTTCCTGTCTTCTGACCCCTCTGAACTATTCCAACCTCTGCCTGTTACCCAGTTCCAAAGTCAAGTTCACATTTTTGCGTATCGTTATAGCAGCACCCCACTCTATGGGTACCAGTTTACTGTATTAGTCCATTCTCATGCTGCTAATAAAGACATACGTGAGACTGGGTAATTTATAAAGGAGAGAGGTTTAATTGATTCACAGTTCCACAGGGCTAGGAGGCCTCAGGAAACTTACAAGCAGGGCGGAAGGGGAACAAACATGCTCTTCTTCTCAAGGTGGCTGCAAGGAGAAGTGCAGAGGGAAGTGGGGGAAAGCCTATTATAAAACCATCAGATCTCATGAGAACTCGCTCACTATCATGAGAATAGCATGGAGGTAACCACCTCCATGATTCACTTACCTCCCACCAGTTCCCTCCCATGACACATGGGAATTATAAGAACTACAGTTCAAGATGACATTTGGGTGGGGACATAGCCAAACTGTATCAGTCACCTTGTAGCCCGTTTAAGAGATGTCATTTTCCAGGCTCCTTTGCAATTACTTGTGATCAAGTTCTGGCCAATATGTAAGCACACATAATGAATAAAGTTACAAGGTGTCGCCTTTTTCTCTTGTTGCCTGGAATGTGGATATGAGAGCTGGAGCTCCAACAGCCATACTGGATCTTGAATCAGTCTGCTAAGGATTTGGTGGCAGCAATGGTACAAAAAACCTGGTGACAATGGAGCTGCCATCCCTTCCCTGGACTGCCTACTTTTAGGTTCCTTTTATGAGAGAAATAAGCTATTTTACTTAAGATATTGTTATTTTTCTTGTTATTCTTTTACTTAATTATTATTATTTTTTTAGACAGGATCTCACTCTGTTGCCTAGGCTGGAGTGCAATGGCATGATCACAGCACACTGCAGCCTCAGTCTCCTAGGCTCAAGCAGTCTTTCTGCCTCAACCTCGTGAGTAGCTGGGACTACAGGCACACACTGCCGTGCTTGGCTAATTTTCAAACTTTTTGTAGAGATGGGGTCACACTATATTGCCCAGGATGGTCTCCTTTTCCTGGGCTCAAGCAATCGTCCTGCCTCTGTCTCCCAAAGTGCTGGCATTACAGGCATGAGCTACTGCACCTGGCCTTCTTGTTATTATTGTTGCTAGAGTTACATGCAAGGTGCTACCAGTCTCTTTGTATAGCAAGAGTGACCTTTACTCCAAATTCCAACTATTCCTCATCTCCATCTGAGACCACCTCAGCCTGGACTTCATTGACCATATTACTATCAGCATTTTGGTCAAAGCCATTCAACAAGTCTTTAGGAAATTCTAAACTTTCCCACATCTTCCTGTCTTCTGAGCACTCTAAGTCTCTAGGAAGTTCCAAACTTTCCCACATTTTCCTGTTTTTTGTTTGTTTGTTTGTTTTTAGTTTTTTTTTTTCTTTTTTCTGAGCCCTCCAAACTGTTCCAATCTGCCTGTTCCTCAGTTTCAAAGTCACTTCCACATTTTTGGGTATCCTTATAGCAGTACCCCACTCTACCAGTACTAATTTACTGTATTAGTACATTTTCATACCACTATGAAGAAATCACCTATACTGTTGTAGTTACTTTATAAAGAAAAATAGGTTTAATGGACTGATAGTTCCTCATGGCTGTGGAGCCCTCACAATCATGGCAGAAGATGAAGGAAGAGCAAAGGCATGTCTTACATGGCAGCATGCAAGAGAGCATGTGTAGGGGATCTGCCCTTTATAAAGCCATCAGATCTCATGAGATTTATTCACTATCATGAGAACAGCATGGGAAAAACCTGCCCCACATGATTTTATTACCTTGCTCCAGGTCCCTCTCATGACACCTGGGGATTATGGGAGCTACAATTCAATATGAGATTTGGGTGGGGACACAGCCAAACCATATAGTTGGTATATAACAATAGGTGAATGAAACAATATTTAAAAAACCCTCCTTTTTGTTGTTATTATGTAGACCTAAGAAAGTATATGCCCATCTAACTTCTCTAGAAAAAAATTTTTGAACTTGAATAAATACTGTACCAAATGAAAACAACTTATAGGAACAGAGAAAGGAGTGGAATGGAAGGAATCACAGCAGACATTGAAACTAGCAGAACTTATGATTAAATTTGAATGACTTCCTAAGAAAGTTGTGAAACTTAATGCAATTGTTAGGAAAAGATTTTCAAAATTCAAGAGCTGTACTGCTAATTAAAAAAACTGAAAATCTAACATCAATACAATCCAGGAAGGTGACAGGGATTGGAAATTAAAACCATGCTTATGGTCATGTTTTATTAGGGGGAGATATCATTTATAGTGTTAATTCTGGATGGTGATAATCAAATATAGGTTCAGATATGCTAAATTAAAGGTAACCACAAGTACAAAAGAAATATGGCACAGAGGGTGAATTTGTTTTCTAACCAGGGTACCAAATAAATATGTTGCCTTTCTCTTGGGCAAAGTTTGGGTAGATTTGCTAGTAGCTCCTTTAAAATAATTGGTATTTCCTGGGCTCTGAGTTTTCTCAGGTGTGACACAGATGCACTTTAGATGCAGCATCCCCCTGGGCTACCTTGAATCACCCTTTGGGATCTGGCAGCAAAGACAGCCCATGGGAACATGAAGCTATTGCTGCCTTCTGTGTTGTGAACAGTAACATCCTTTATCTCTGACCCAGGAGCCTCATGAATTGTGTCAGCGTCTATGACGCTATGGCAGACTAATTTGTTATCTTGCAAATAGTCTAAGACTTTAGTCTTAGGCTTAGACTCTTAGACTCTTCACAAACATTGTGCTGCACTGTTTGTTAAATGTTTTTAATATCGCCATTGGATAAAAGACACGGTGTACCCAGAATGAATATAATTTCCATAAAACTTTTATAACACAAAACAACCTAGCAACTGAATATATAAAATGAAAACTTCTAGAAGTAGGTTAATTTTGTATTTTAAAAAAAACACACATAGTTGAGAGACTAACACAATTCTTTGAGAATTTAACAGAAAAAATGAGCAAAAGTAAGTAATTTTAGGAAATTTGGCCATCACCCTCAAAAAGCTTGAGTGGTTATATATTAATTATTTGTGGATATAGATATGCACACAGACACATACCATCTTATTAAAAAGGTAATGTAAATTAGGTGCTCATGAAACAGTTAGATACATTAAATATATATTGTAGGCCTCAAAGGAAAGTTAATAAATTCTCAAGAGTAGAAATAATTCAGTCTTTATTTGCTTTCCTACATCCATTTAAACTAGAAATTCAGAATAACTAAAAATTCTAATCTAACAGAAACTAAACATTCTTCTAAATAACTTGAGGATCAGAGAGCATATCAGATGTGAAATTAGACTGCAGAATTGATAAGAAATGTACTCTATAGCAAAGATTATGGTAATTGGGCAAACCATAATTGGTAGAACATTTATAACCTATGCTTTTATTAAACAAACTGATCCCAAAATAAATGAAGGAAGAATTCAGGCCTAGAAAACTGTCTTAACTAACTTTTTCTTGGAAATGGTTCTGGTTCTCATGGCTAAATATAAGCCTGTGTTAACACGTTGTTCCATTTATAGAAAAGAAAAAAATACAGCTCTTTACATTTTAAAGAAAGTAAATTGGTTTGAGATGACTTTTTTGTCAGTTCTTTTGTTTCCAGAGTGTGTGTGTGTGTGTGTGTGTGTGTGTGTGTGTGTGTGTGTATATCTATCTATGTCTATATATATATATTTGTTGTTGAAGAGACTTGAATAAATTTTAGCAAATTAATTTTTAACTTCAAAATCAACTTTCAATAATTTAGACTTTTAGAGATTAATATATATGGCAATAGTGATTGAAATTGAAAATGTAATTGAAAAGTTATTCTTTCTCTTTTTTATTTTAAAATCTAAAATGCTTGCAAGACTTTAGTGTCTCTGAACTACACTGATTTTTCTAGCTATTTTTCATTTTTTTGTAGCCTATTAATAAAAACTTTGACCTATAATATATAAAGTTTATGCAAGACAGAAAGCTAAGCAGACATAAATTTATAATTCGTCTATTGTCAGAACAAACAAGGTGAAGGAAAATGTGAATGCCAAACATCAGGGAACAAAACTAGTAAGAGCTAGCTGTCTTCATTTCTTTAAAATGTGAAAGGTAATTTAAGGAAAGCTTTGCAAGAAAACTGGGATGATAATTTGAAGTACAGTTATGGAAAAGTAGTTTGCTACAAGTAGAAAA
Source organism: Homo sapiens (assembly GCF_000001405.40). NCBI lineage: Eukaryota > Metazoa > Chordata > Mammalia > Primates > Hominidae > Homo > Homo sapiens. Next base: position 122,773,743 of record NC_000007.14, on the reverse strand, counting down.
GAAGGTTTTAAAAAGGTACTTTTTATGCCAACCCTTTTCTGTGATTAAAGCAATGCCTGAAAAAGCAATACTTGTTCACTGCACAACATAAAGGATGTGTGTAAACAAATAAAAATAGTTTGTATGAATCCTACAGCTCTTTTAGGAAGCCTTTTTTGAACTTCTGGTCTGGGTTATATTCCTTCTTTTGTGCCAAGACACCCTCTTCATTGTTTCATAGTGTTTAATGCACAGTATTAAAGTGATCCATTTATCTTTTCTATCTTTTCCGAAGGTATCTTTAAAGTTTAAACAATGTCTCCATTTTCATATTATCAGCAGTTTAGTGCTGATAATTTAGTGCTGTAATTAATAGCATTAAGTAAATGAACACGGATATTATTACCTTCTAAAGATTGATTTATTATAGAAAAGGAGTTACTGATTTAAGTAGTATAAACAGTCTTTAGGCCTTAGGCTAAGGGGTTTTTCAGAAATGCTCTACCAGTTTCCATGATATGGAAACATGTTCACCACGTTTCCATATCACCGTGTCCTTTCTAGCATTTAATACTATAATTTTCAAATCTTTGTTCATTTAATCAATACAAATAACTTACTTTAATATGCTTTCTTTTCATTACTAGAACAATTGGACATTTGAAATAATTTAGCAATTCGTGAATTGTTCGTGTTTTCTGACCTTCATTATACTGAGATCTAACTCTAATAAAGTTATTAACTTTTTGTTCATTTCATGTGGTGCCATTTTCTTCCCATTTGTTGGCTTTTCAATTTTCTTGAGAATCTATTTTGATAAACAGAAATTTTGTCTATTTAAAATTGTTGACTTTTTGTCATCTCCTTTGCCTGGAAAGTCCTTCTCTGTCAAGAGCTTAGATTTTTACCTTTATTTTCTTGTAACTTTATATGGCTTAAGTATCTTATCTAGGCATAGTCTGTTGTAGTTACTGGATCTGCAATAACTGTGCATGTGGATTTGAGAACTGACATCAGCTTCCCATCTAGAAACATATGGTATGTCTCTCCAATTTTTAAGCCATCCTTTAAATCTCAGTAAAGATTTGTTTTCTTTATATAGAATCTTTGAGCCCTTTTTTTTGTATTTTAGTTTGTGATTGCTTTTGCCAGTGGATTTTTCTGTTACCTTAAACAATTATTCTTACTATACAGGAAAGCTGTTGATTTTTTGCAAATTTAACTGTATCTGTTGAATTTACCAGACTCCCTTATTGGCAAATAATTAGTTACTCAGGTCATTCTGGTTTTCTGATGGAATGTAGTATCTAAAAGTAAAGTGGCATTTTAAAATTTTGGTCTAGCTTTCAGTGGGACTGTCATTAATTTTTCACCTGTTAGGAATGCTGTTTATTTGGCATGTATTAACATCAGTTTATGGTTTCAAAATGTTTGGACTATTGAAGTGATATGTTAATCACATTTTTACTATGAACCGTTCTTGAAGAAATATGACAATCTTAGTGGATACTTATTTTAATATAATTGATTCACTTTTAATCTTTCAAATATTTAGTGTAATCACCAAATGTGGATGTTTTTATAGGCTACTCAAACCCTACCTCTGTTCTTCAGTTCTCATCTAAGCAGTATTACATTAACATTCCCACTGAATTCTAAACTTTGTTTTCTTTCACTCCTCCATGTCAAGTGTATTAGCTCAAAACCAGTTCTAACACTGAATATATGAAATCTCTTCCTCTGTCCATCTCCTCCACTGTTCCTCACTGTTCCTCACCTGGTCTATTGGAACTGTCTCCTAAGTTGTCCCCCTACCTGATTTTTCTCTCCCTAACACAAATCTGATCATGCCAGTTCAATTGTTAAAGTTAAATGATGGTGTCACCTTACCTCACTGTTCAGTTGACACTCTTTTTCTGTGTTATTTCCAGCTTGGACTGTTGTCAGGTACCCACAGTTTCTCTTTTTTAGCCTTACTGCATTGCTTAACTTTACAGAAACAGGATATGGAGTCCTCACAGCCTAGAATGATCCACTGCCTTGTTTTCTTCGTGACCACACCTTCCCTCTTTGGCTTGGGATCCCCCTCACCTTGGGAGTGTTTTACAACACTGTGGCTATTCACACTGATTTTAGGTGTCTTTCCTTTCTACTCCCATTGTATCCTTTACATTTATATTCTACTTATTGCACATTATTTCAATTAATTTCCTTGCCACTTTCTCCACTGGAAATTTCTTGAGAGGAAAAATCATATGCCTTATTCATCTTATTCAATGTGCCTCCTAAATAATAGAGACTCAGTAGATATTTGTTGGGTGATAGGATGGATGCATGGGTGAACAGACTACCCATAGCCAAATTATAGTAGCACCCATTGTCTTCATTATAGTAGTAACCATAGCTTACATTATAGTAATATCCATAGCCTGGTATTTTCCTCTTCCTCATTGCTACCGGAGTGTTCTCTCTGAAAGATTAGTCTAATCCTTTTACAAAGCATTATAAATCCTTCAGTGACTTTCAACATTCATATGATAAAGTATTTTAAGCAATGTTTCTCCAGACTTTAACAGCCCAAGGCTGCAGCTGTCAACTCCTACTGCAGGTTATGTTTCCCTGGGGAGCTTTGAAAATTCCAGGATATCTAGGCCCTGCCCCAGACCAATTAAATTAATCCCTGAGGTTCAGCCTCAGTATGGGCATTTTTCAAAAAGCCCATGATTCTAACTCTGCAGCAGGATAAAACTTGCCCTGTCCACAGCTTCAGAATTTCTGGCAGCCTCCAGTCACTGAGTATATGTGGAAATGCCTGAGTAAAGCCTTATGGAGCACTGAGAATTTTTCCTGGCTTCCTGGCTTTCTGCTGAGACCTGCTTCGTCACTTGACGCCTTAAAGCCCTTTTGTCCTAGTTGTCTGGAACCTGCTTGAGTGCCCTGCAGCAGCTCCTGCTGCACCTGCTGATGCTTCTGCCTCATGGTGTGGCATGGTTGCTGTCCACATCTGCCCTGTGGGTGCCGCCATCTATAATGCAGGCACCTTTAGATCCTGAGCATGCAGAAGCTGGGCCATGTTCCTTAAAGCCCTCTGGATAATTGATCTCTGCATTTGCTCCAAGCAAGCTGTACTGGGCACTAATTTGAAGAGGAAACAGTGTCTTTTTTGTCTCTTCCATGTTATACTCTGTTCATTAGATGAAACAAAAGTATCTTATTCTCCCATAAGTACTGAGTTCAGGGGAGTGGGGTCAGGGAACCTTGTGAGTTGCAGCAGATACTGTGTTACGTGTAAATTTCCCTCTAAGGAGGTTACTTTGTCACTGGCTAAGGTGGAAGGTGATCCTTCTCACTGTATTCTTTAAAGTGAGGTTTTCCAAAAATAAAAAATAAATAATAATAATAATTAGAGGATCTCTTAGTCCCTCATATTTTCTATACTTTTTTTCTATAACAGTATTGTATTCCCTTCCTACTTACTACAATGATTTCATGATTTGCATGATATAGGGTGGGTAGAGAATGGGGGTAGGAAAGAAGGAAAAGAAATGAGCATTGTATGGCTGTCATTGCATAAACAGACTGTACACACAGAATTCTTATTTAAGTGAGGTAAGGTGTGCTGAGGGTTGAGTTCTTCAGTGAGACCTGGTTCTAATTCTTGTTCCCTCAGTTATAGTTGATGTTCTTGGGAGTTGCTTAACCTTTCTATGTGTCAGGCTCCCTATTTGTAAAACAGAGCTAGTACTTCCTATCTTATGGGTGGTTGTGTGGATTGAGTTAATATATGTAAAATGCTGAAAATAATACTTGACCCATAGAAAGTGCTCAGTAAATATTAGCTGTAATGAAAATCATGACAATTATAATTTAACCCTCACAGCAGCCATTTGTGGTTTTTATCACAGCAGCCATTTGTGGTTTAGGGGGTTAAGAAAGGAACCTCAGAAAATTGAAATCACATGTCCAAGGTTACACAGTCAACAATTGGTAGGTTCAAACCTGTGTCTGTCTCACCCTGAAGCCCATGCCTTTTGTGCGATCCCGTATTGCCCCTGAACAAGAGGTGAAGGTATTTAATCCACTTCCATTTTGAAATTTATAATTAGGACATTTTTAGTTTTTATTTTATCTAAGAGACTTGAGAAAATGGCTTTTAGCAAATGGATGAATAACATTTCCAAACACTTGTGTTCTGTGTATAGCATGATTTAGAGGAGGAATTCTCCGTTTTAAGCTCTGTGCTTTGAAACTTGGCTGTCATTCTTCATTGCTGTTATGAGGTGAAGAGTTGGGGATGTAGGTGACGTATTTGAATGAACACAAAGAGGTGGAGTGAAGGAATGTAGGGATTCTGTTCCTGGAGGGCTCAGTGAGTCCTCAGAATTGTGTCCCTGTAAGTTGTGGGTCCATGTATGGCTTTCCCAAGATACGGAAAGCTCTATCTATCCTGTTAGGAATTTGGAGTGAACAGAAATGTTGCCAGAGCTCTATCCAAAGGGGAGGGTGAGATTTGACTCTAATTTTTAGCTGTGAATTTTAAAACCATGTGTTGGTGAAAGAATACAAACTAAGAGTCTTCTTATGTGATAATCATAAACTAGGCTGAATTGTCTTGAGGGCAGTGCTAGTAAAAAAGCAGAACATTACTTACAGTTGTCTTACTCACTTACTTGATTCTCTGAAACTCTTGTGGTCTGTATCTCACATTAAACATAGACCCAATTTGACAGCGCTATTTGAATGGCAGCCTTGTTGTGATCTAGAAATATAGATCTGACAGCTGTGACCGTTTCTTTCTTTTTTTTTTTCTGATAATGGCACTTAGCAGCATATGCTGTCTTTCAGGTTATCTACATTTTCCGTTTTAAGCTCTGTGCTTTGAAACTTGGCTGTCATTCTTCATTTGTGTTTTCTTTTTAGCATAAAATATATCTTCCATGCTCTCTTGTGGCTTTCTACACATGGGGTCTTTGGGCTATTCAGTACTGAAATACAAGACATAAAAGAGAAAATATTTGCTTATAAACCTAAACATATGGCTTCCAGAGGAGCTGTTATTACTTATCTAATTATCCACAGTATGATTTTCTTCACATTGAAGAAGAAATTTTAAAAATATCATGAATTTTATATCTCTACAATATTGAAAACATTTATTTTGATTCCTTTTTAGGCATTTTGTTTTCAATTTAGAAAGTCAGAATCCTCTTTGTCTGATACGGTTTTAAAGATCACTACTGAACGATCAGTAGGCAAGGTAACATGGCATTTCTAAAGCCTTCAGATTTCTAGACCTTAAGATTAAGCAGTCATATATTTGCCTCCCATATTTAATTTTAGAAATGTCCTAAATCAGTTTTGAAACAAAGTAGGAATACTTTAAAAATTCTTGTTTTTCTAACAGGATGATTTTGCTTAGATTTATATATGACTTTGTTGCATATTTCTGATGTGGGTAACTAAATACGTTACCTTCACTTTTACTACCATTCTAAAGTAGCAATTAGGAAATGAAGATGGAATGAAGGTAGGAAATGTGTGCTCACCAAGATCAGCTGTTTTTCTATGGCTAATATATGTTGGATGCTTGTCTCACTTGGTCAAGTCCTTGATTAAGTAACTTGAAGGTATCTGCTTTAAACCTCACTTTATTAAGGAGAAAGTTTGGCTTTCATCACCACATTTTACTTTGTTATTTTGTGATTGACAACTGGCTGCAGATGGTAATAAAACCTGTATATAAGGCCAGAAACTCACTTTAACCATCTCTCCCTCCTGATATCACTTATTTTTCTAGAATTGTGAACAAAAAGGAATGTAGGCTTATTGTCTCTAGTGAAATAACAAACAAGAGGCAGCAGATCCGTGTCACAGTTAGCATCCCAGAATTCTAGAAGCTCAAATTTTCAATGCAGATCATCTACGTTCTACTATAAAACACTTTCTTTTACTCCTTTTAACTCCAACCTAATGCATGACTGAAAATCTGGGAGTTCTTCAAATTAGTAATAGCTTCTATTCTCATATTTTACTAAAGGTACTTGGAATTAGATTATTTGGAATATTAATAAATGACTAATTTACAGTTACTAAAATTATTTACACACCATCTATGGGTAGGTCCCGGGGAGTGAGAGAAAGGCACAAAGGGTGTGCCAGCTGAGCAGAATTAGGGCCTTTGTTGGTCTAACTGTATGCGTTTGAATGCCTCTCAACTATTGACTTTTCATTTTAGAAATAGTCACACAGTAATCCCTCTCCAACCGAGAAGCTTAACATTCCTGAAAAACACTATGGTTGGCACAACTATGGTCTCTGAGGAAATAAGGGGTTAGGGTAGCATACTATTTCAAAGCATAGCCTTTGGAACCAAGCAGACCTGGGTTTTGAATCCCAGCTCTATCACTTATCTGCATGGGCAGTTTCTTTAACTTCTGAAATGTGTTCTCACCTTTAATATAGGAATAATAACATCGACCTCACAGTTGTAAAGATGAGATGAGGAAAAAAATGCTTTTTAGTTTAGTGTCTAAAACCCAGGAAGGATCCTGTAAATGTGGATGTCTGAACTATGTAGGGGAAAATATTAAAATGACATAATATGTATTTAGAAACTCATTAAATAAAATTTCTAGAAACATCTGCTTCAAAACAATCTATTTAATTGCACTAAAACCTGCTTTGGAAGGCAACTGTCTCTCAACTATTGTTTTAGGATACAATGATTTTTGTATTAAGTATTTAATAAGTGCTAGACATGTGTTTTACATTTGTCTTTTGTTCTTTATATGTATTCACTAATTTCATTCTTATGTCAGTCCTGTCAAATAGATACTATTGTTATTCCTACCTCATATGTAGGAAATACAGCTTTGAAGAATATGAGAATGTGTTACTTTCCCAGTAACTAGCAAATGATAGAGCTGGGATTTAATATCAGTTCTGCCAAACAGAGTGACAGTTACCTGTCACTCCTTATCTTGTCAGCTATGATGTCATGATCTGCTGACACACATTCTTCCACATCTCTGTGTTCTACAAAGTTTTAAAAAGTTTTTAAAATAGCCACTGCTTGAGCTTTACTTTTACACTGGTATACACACTTACACCTTTTCTTAGTTGTGAGCAAGATGGCGTTTCAAAATTATCCTGATTTATTAAAGGACATACTCTCCTGAGCTGAATCTGTCCATATATTCAAAGTGAAAGGAATGAACAGTTGTCCTACCTTGTGGTCCAATAAACTTGGTTTTTAGGGCTGGGTAACAGGTTTGCGTGTGGGGAGTGAACTAAATGGCAAATTGGTAAAATGATTAGAAATGTAGAAATATTCTTATCGGTATAAAATATTTCTAAATTACAACTGGCTAATAGTCACTCTATATTGCATTTATGTGACTATGGTTCAAATAATGCAGAAACCTTCTACCTATTGTGTGTATGGTTTGGATGTGATTTGTCCTCTCCAAAACTCATGTTGAAATTTGATTCCCAAAGTTGCAGTGTTGTGTGGTAGGGAGTGGGAGATATTTGGTCCATGGGGGTGGATTCCTCATGAATACATTTTTATGCCTTTCTCTAGTAGTGAGTTCATTTTCTCTTGGAACTGGGTTACTGCAAGAGTGTGGTGTTCCTTTTCTTATTTGGCCTCTTTGCATGTGCCTGCTCCCCCTTCCGTTTCCCTACCATGAGTTGAAGCAGCATGAGACCCTCACCAGAAGGGGTTCCCAAATCTTAGATTTCCCAACCTCCAGAATCACAAGACCAATAAACTTTCCTTTATGTATTACCCAGTGTCAGGTATTCTGTTAAAGCAACACAAAATGGACTAAGACGTTGTCTATTCATCTTCACAATTCCTCTACAGGAATTGAGCCCAGAAATCCAACCTGGATTTTATATAAGAGCTCCACAACCAGCCAGCTCTGTGTGATGTTGGCAATGTCACCTAACTGGAGTATGTCTTCTCAACTATAAAATAGAGATAAAAATTACCAGATAGTTTGCTTTGATGATTAAATGAGTTTAGATTTCAGCTAGCATAGTATATACAAGGATGTCAATTATTGATAGCTGCTACTTCAACTATAATTTTTATTGTTGTTCTATACAGTCCTCTATATAGAGGACATGTTATTTTCCTAACCAATGGAATATACTTTAGCTAGATAACTATTATAGTTTTATTTTAAATAGACATTGTAACAATGTTCATGAAGTAGGTACTGTAGGAGGATCTGGAGCCCAGAAAAAGTTGATACCATAGTCCTTTAGATAGGCACTTGTGATTCATTAGTTCCCAACTGCTCAGTCATTTATCCATGTACTCATTAATTTTTATTTAGATTTCTACCATGTTCTGGGCACTGTTCTGGATGATGGCTGTCCACCCTCAGCTCCCAGAGTGTGTTGATTAATTTATCATTTTTAAAAATACAGGTCAGCAGTAAGCAGTATAAGCATACTACGATTCTCCATAGCCAAATTTAAAACTTGAATTAGAGACTTAGACCCCTACTTGATGGAACTGTAATTTGAGCCCTGACATTTGCTGGAGTAAAATATAACTGTGAGCCTTCTAAATCTTGATCTGTCCAACAGACTATTTGGAATGCCTGAACTTTGTTACATGCCAGAACATGTACAGCCCAATTGGTATAATCCATGGAAGTGTCAGATGAGCTACTATGTTTGTATTAAATTCATGAGAGAGTGAATCAGGGTGTGACTCCATGTGTTTCAGAAAGTGCACCTACTTGGTGAACCATCTGATTGTACCAAGCTGAGTTGTGGTAGGAGGTACAGAAATAGCAAAGTTATTTAGTAAAATACCTGGGCTACAAGTGTGGGTTTAAGTGTAATAGGCTTCAGATTTTGTAGATGGGGAAAATAAGGCTTAGAAAGTTGAAATGGCTCGGTGGAAACTATCCAGTTAATGGAATGCCTGCTTGCCTGTCTGCCTTCGATGCACGCAGTACATTTCCTTCTCTGGGCCTTGATGTTTGGCTGTTTCTTCTACTTGGTCTGTTCCTCCCACTGATATTATTTGAATGACTTATTCTTTCACTTAGGTCTCTAGTCTTACATCCTTTAAGAGTTCTTCCCTTTTTCACCATTCTATCTAAAGTAGCACTCTTTCCTCTCCCTCTCTGTTGCTATACCCTGACTACTTATTTTGCTTCATTCCATTCAGCACCATCTTACACTGTGTTTACACACTGACTTGTTGTGTCTTTCTGTATTTATATCTAGAACGTAAGCTCCACAAAGATAGACTATTTGTTTTCTTTAGGATTATATTTTCAATGCCTAGGAAAACGCTTGGCACATTGTAGGAACTAAATATTTTTCAAATTAATGAACAAATCTATTTGTCAGATAGTTATGTGTCTACAATTATGGTTGCTGAGGATACAGTTATAAATAGGACAGCTAGTCTGATGAACATCTTATTTTCAAGTAGAGAGGAAATAAGTAAGACAGGAAATTTACTGTGTGTGCTCTTCTGTGACAGGGATATGAATAGGGTGATGTAGGAACACGTAAGAGGGTCTTCAGCCTTAGGGATCAGATAAGGCATTCTGGAGAATGTGATATCTAAGCTGAGTCAGAAGAAGCTGTGTAGAAGCAGCTGGAGTGAAACAAGTATGTGGGGAGTTGAGCAGGGAAGGCAAACCAGGCAGAGGGAGCTCCAAATGGAGGTGCCTAGGGGACCAAAAAGCTCGAGCATCTTAGAGGTTATAATTATGTGCCTAAATGAGGAAATCTTAAAAGTACTTTTTAGCCAAGTTGAATTTATACACTTTTGGATATGTCAATGAAACAAATATGTAATCATATTTATTTGGCTACAATAAATCCCATGTCATATAAAATAGTGTATTGGAAATAGTGCAGTCTATGGCTGTAACACCCTGAATGCGCCCGATCTCATCTGATCTCAGAAATGGTGATGTTTCTGCTTTCATAATTTGGAAAGATCTTGAAAACATTTCATGTCTGTCTTTCATGTCAGTTTTGTCATGAATAGAACCCCTTTGGAATTATCAAAGTTCTCCAGAGCTTGTCATATTTACTTTCCTGGGTTTATTCGCTTATTAATTCAGTAAGAAGCATTATAGAGCAACTCCTTTGTGCCAAGCACTATGAATTAAAATGGACAAAGACCCTTAACACTGAATAATGGAGTTTACCTTTAGAATGTTTATGATACAGTCCATTTTGACGATGGATATGATGGCATTACTGACAGTATTATCCCAAAATATATCAATACTTTGGCTCTTTTCTCTGTTTCTTCTAACAAATACATATGACCCATATTTCTAAATAATATTCATATACTGCTGTAACTGGGTTTGTCAATTTTAGCCATTATTTGCTGATTTCTTATTGTCGTGGAGTAGGATTCAGCACTCTCATCACACTATCCCCTTTGCTTTTCTTTCTTTCTGGGGAGGAATCCCTTAGTTTCATAGACTTGTATTCATGTTTTTGCTTAGATCATGATTCATTATTTATATTATGCACATCCAAATATTATTTGCAATTGGGAGTTGCTATGCAATATGATTATATTTCCTTCCTTTTGTTTTTCCTAAATCAAATGATGACTTGGTTATTTGTGTGCTCAGTTTTCTCTGTATCAATCATTAATTTTCCCATATCATCCAAAGGCCTGTTAACACAGCCTTCCACAAAGTTGATCATATCCAAGAAACATATCTGTGTGTGTGTGTGTTTCCATCTACTATTGAAACTGGTTGCTCTGTAGGTCACCTTCGCAGGCCTCCTGAAATTTCCTTTTGCTTTTTTTCAGAGTCCTTTTCCCTGTTCCCAATGACCTCCTATCTTTCTCTTTCTTGGTCTTTTCATTGTTTGGGTGGAACATATTCTCTGTAGCTTCATCATTGAAAGGAAGGTAGGGTGATGAAGTGTATCAGGATGACACTTAGCAAATGTGCCATTTGAGACACACTGCTCCCATTTGGACTGGTGGCCTTCTATGACTGGTGCTTATCTGTCATCCTAAGATCTCTTCTGTCATCTTGAAAATTCCCTTTTCCTCTCTCCTTGGTTAAAGTTTTTGTGTTTTATGACTTTATTATCCTCTTTCTTGAGAGAGGTGCATGGGAGAAATACTTTTTAAATTCTTGATTTTGAAAAATGTTTCTTTCTTATCCAACTCAACTGATAGTTTAACTGGGTAACGAATTTTAATGGCAAATCAGTTTCCTTCAAATTTTTGAAGTCTTTTCTCTGTTCTTAGTTTCTGGTAAAGAGTATGAAGCTATTCTAATTCTTCATCTTTGTATTACAATGATTTGCTTTGATTCATATTAACTTCCATCCTTGTTGGGAACTCAGCATTCTTAATTTGTTAATTTGTGTGCCTCCCTTCTGGGAGATTTTCTTGAATTATTTGTTAATGACTTGCTTTTTATTAATAGCTTTCTCTTCTCTCTTTCTGGAATTCCACTGAATCTGCTGTTGGACTGCCGCCCAGCTTGTTCTCTGATTTATTTATCCCTTCACTTTTATTTTCTCTGTCTTCTTCTTTTTTCTCTATCTTTGGGGGATTTCTTGAACTTTATCTTCCAACGCCTCTATTGAGTACTTCTTTTCTGTTGTTTTATATATACATATACATATATACACATGTATATTACACATATATACACTTTTATATATACACACATAAATATACGTGTGTGTGTGTGTGTGTGTGTGTGTGTATATATATATATATATTTTTTTTTTTTTTTTTTGAGGCAGAGTCTCACTTTTCACCCAGGCTAGAGTGTAGTGGCATGATCATGGCTAACTGCAACATCTGCCTCCTGGGTTCAAGAGAATCTTGTACCCAAGCTTCCGTAGTAGCTAGGATTACCGGTGCATGCCACCACACCCGGCTAATTTTTTTTTTTTTTTCAGTAGAGATGTGGTTTCGCCATGTTGGCCAGGCTTGTTTCAAACTCCTGATCTCAAGTGATCTGCCCACCTCAGCCTCCCAAAGTGCTGGGATTACAGGTGTGAGCCACCATGCCTGGCCTACATTTTTAATTTTCAAGAGCTTTTTTTTTGTTTGCTTAATACGTTTTTAGTGCTTCATATTCTTGTTTCCTGTTGTGTATTTTATTTTTCAGATAAAGTAAGAATAGGGTGGTGGTTTTTGTCGTCCTGCTGGTCTGATTCTTCTAAGTTGCCTTTTTCCATTAATTTTTTTAAAGATTTTGTGTTAGAGACTTTTCATACTTCTCAGACAATCCTTGCTTGTATGCACACTTTGTAAGAGTTAAGGGGATTAAAAAATGTTTGAAAGCTCTCAGGATATAGGTGAGGCTTATTAATTTGTGATCTGGCATTACTTTGTGAGCATCTCTGGCCATCAGCTATATTTATTTTTTCATCTTGTGGGCTTAGTTTGATTCCTCAGAGATGAGTATTGGCCTGGCTGCCCATGTTCCAGGAATGAGTGGAGGAAGAAGCTTTCTTTTTAACATTGTGTATGGAAACGTTCACTTAATTCTTTCCTTTTCAGTATTGCATCCCACTTTCAGTTATGTCTGGGTTTCCCAGGCTGGAGACCCTCTTTTTCCCAGAGAAGAAGTCTTCAGTGTTTTCCCAAAATAGTGACAGGCAGTTGCCCAGCAGTGTAGAATTTGTTAGGAGATATAAGGATATGTTTCATGATAATTTTTCAACAAGACTATTTTGTTCACCTCCCACCCCTGCTTTTACCCATACAGTGCCAGAAGTATTAGATGCTGACAGTGTCTGAGGTTTTCTTTTTTTTATTATTATCATACTTTAAGTTTTAGGGTACATGTGCACAACGTGCAGGTTAGTTACATATGTATACATGTGCCATGTTGGTGTGCTGCACCCAGTAACTCGTCATTTAACATTAGGTATATCTCCAAATGCTATCCCGCCCCCCTCCCCCCACCCCACAACAGGCCCCAGTGTGTGATGTTCCCCTTCCTGTATCCATGCATTCTCATTGTTCAATTCCCACCTATGAGTGAGAACATGCGGTGTTTGGTTTTTTGTCCTTGCGATAGTTTGCTGAGAATAATGGTTTCCAGCTTCATCCATGTCCCTACAAAGGACATGAACTCATCATTTTTTATGGCTGCATAGTATTCCATGGTGTATATGTGCCACATTTTCTTAGTCCAGTTTTCAAGGATTCTTTGGTATTAACTAGGGATGGTACTGAACTCTCTACATTATCAGGTTAGGATTTGGCTTTTTGGAATCCGCTAGTTCAGTTAATAGTTATTCATGTGTTTTCCAGTTTCCAAAATTTTGTTGCTGTTGACTCTTACTATTATAGTGTGTCTTAAAAATGTTTACTTTTAGTGAGATGTGTTAGGAATGAATACAATTTAATATTATATATATCTGCTAAACATGAAAAATGAATTAGTTGACTATATCTATAAATAATTACCTAAATATACATATACAGACATTTATAATTGGGGATTGCTGTACAATATGATTTTATTTTCATCTTTTTTTACCTGAAGCTGATGACTTCTTTGCTTAGCATATACAGTGCTTAATAATATGTTTTACAGGTACAGTTAATTATAATTATATAGTTTGCTTAGTAATTATACAGTGTGTCTATATCTATGTATGCCTATGTGTATGAAATGTATAAACATATTGATTCTAGTATAGACTGTGTGTAAAATTATTCATTGTACTATAAGCATAGGTAAATATATGTGCTGTGCCGTGTGTGTGTGTGTATATATATATATATATAAAATACACCTATATACACCCACATAAATAAAATTTGTGACTGAATTAGTTTAAAGACTCATATTAGCTGTGTAGTTGGCTTCTATTTTATACGCTCACTTAGGAATAATCCTATTTAGATTTTGCTTCTTCCTTTGCTAGCTAGTTTTAGACATTTACCATATAATTTGAATAAAATTAGGCAAAGTAATGTTAAAATCAAATTACGATGATAAGTTGCTTTCTTCAGAAATGGTGACAATTGGATTAATAGCAAAGGTCTGGGCAAGAAGAAATTTTGGATTCCTGCAGTCTCATTTCTGAATACTACTCAGTAATCCATTAAAATCATTGAAGTCCTCTATAAATCAGTATAATGACTATGTAGTCTATAAAATTAAGCCCTTCTACATAATGTTCAGAAGATTCAAAAGCCTTTTTTTCTGAAACCCCAAACAATTTCTGAGAACTCAGAAACACTACCTCTACCATATCTGTTTATTTACAATGTGACTTGTATGATGAAAGGTACAAAGCTGGCAATTGTTTTCTATTTGTACTTTTGAAAAACTAGAAAAGAAACATAACTTTATTCAAACAGTCTTTGATTTCTTTCCTAACCTTTGCATTTCAATCCACCCCTTGTCTTGTGTCTTTAACTCTGCCTTTTGCTGGCTGACATCTACTTCATTACTCTTAAGAGTATATGCCTTTTTGATACAATAACTGTTACTCAGGGCCATAATAATTTCATTACATCCCTGGATCCTGACTTTCAGGTGGGTGCTGAAAGATGTCAGTCAGGTAAACAAACCCAAACAGACAAGCTCCACAGTATTTTGGCAATGGCTGCTAAAACTATGGACTGTGATTCTCCACTTAGAGGGAAAATGGCAAAATTTTTTGTCTTACTCAACTTCATAGAAATGTAGTTTCCTGCTCTGAAACTGAAGATTTTTTTGGCTCATTATTTTTCCTTTAAGGACCTTTAATTTTTTTTTTTTTCCTGAAATAAGAAAATCCTAGGATGCTATTTTTGGTTTGCGCTAAGTAAAAATTTTTCTTCTAAACAAACGTATGCTTTAATTATGTTAACCTTGGTGCTTTCATTTATTTATTGATTTTTCCTGTTTTTTTCCTCCCCTAAACTCTGGTGATGAAGATTAGTTTAAAAACGTTAATGGTTTGCAGCTATCACTTTGGTTTTTAATCCCCAAGGCTTTCATGGTAGAAAAATAATTGAGTGAATGAACCCAGTACTTTCTAATTCTGAAAGGTAGCTTAGCATCTGCTCTGAGGACTGCTTAGGGAAAGGCCAGTAAATGTATGCAAATCACTTCTTCCTTGGGGCTTTTGAAGCTTTTGCTCTATGTCTTTGTGTATCTGATTTCATATTCTAAGAATAATAGAGATGATTTGATATGATGTGCCTGTTTAAAAAGTGACAACAGTTTATTTTTTAAAGGTATAGTATTTTGAATACAGCTCAAAAATATTATTTCACATAATCATGGTGCTTTACATCAAATATAAGAGGCCTTTAAAATAAGATGTGAGATTGCATTTGCTTTGTTTTACCCCTGTGGTCATTATAATACATACGCGATGTTTATAAGAACCTTAATATGAGTGATTGCAAAGAATTGGATATATTCTACTTCAACTTCTAAAAGGTTTGCTTTATTTTCAGCCTGAACTTTTCTTTGTTCTGCTGAGATGGATACATAATACCAAAAGGAGTGAGAAATTCATTTCTTTGAGACCCTGCAGGCAATATGAAAATGAATAAGGCTTGGCAATTTTCAGCAAAAAGAACTTATAATTTCATGGGCATGGGATGGTAATACATGTATATTAATAACCAACATTTTATCAAGATAGTATCTAAAAATTATAAGGAGGTTATTAAAGTATAAGGAGAAGCAAGCTTGACTTTTCTTGATTCTGTTTGCTGTGAATGTCAGTTTGTCAAATGATGTTGACTTTTTAAACTTAAATTTAGCATTTTAGGTAGGAAAAGCATCATTATCTTGGAAAAATCGTAGCTAGAGTTATAATGGTTATCTCATGCCTCTGTTGATGTTAGTTTTTTTTTCCCTGTGCTATGTGAATATATGCAGAAAAACATCCATACTAATTGAGTCTGGCCTAAATAAGACTTGTATCACTTTGTCTTTATTTTAAAATGAGTTCTGTTATGCACAAGCAGTATCGTGTGAATAATGACTACCTTGGTATTTTTAATAAAATTACCGTTTTTCTTTATTTCTCCTAATCGACAGGCATCTAGTAGCTGTTAGTCAGTTGTTTTAAAAAACTCAGCTAGGGATTGAACGTCCAAACGTAAGTGTTACTAGAGTGTTGATCAATAATTTTTAAAATTTGGGCCTATTTTTTAGGACATGGGTGTCAGGGCTGCCTAAAATTATGACATAAATCACCACAAAGCATCTAGATCAGGAACGAGAGTTCTTAGTTTGGCAGAATCTCAACCAGAAACATTACCATCCCTGGGGTGCTAAATTTATTGTAGTACAGAATGCTTTAAAAAACATTCCTGGCTGGTCACAGTGGCTCGTGCCTGTAATCCCAGCACTTTGGGTGGCTGAGGTGGGCAACTGCTTGAGCCAGGAAGTTTGAGACCAGCCTGGACAACTTGGCGAAACCCCGTCTCTACAAAAAATACAAAAATTAGCTGGTCATGGTGGCGTGCACCTCCCAAGTCCCAGCTATTTGGGAGGCTGAACTGAGAGGATCACTTGAGCCAGGTAGGTAGAAGCTGTAGTGAGCCATGATTATGCCACTGCATTCCAGCCTGGGCAATAAAGACCCTGTCTCAAAATAAATAAAAACTATACCTAACTTATGTTAACAGAAGAAGACCAGCATTGTTCAAAAACATTGCCCTTTGGTCAACAGTTCAGAGCTTCCCCACCTTTGTGTAATATACAGGTCTGCTCAGGAAGTAGCACTCACACTTATCATTGTCAAAGGTGTCCGTGGAGTTGTGCAGTGTGGTGGTTCCTTTCATACTGCACTTAAAGATATGAACTTGAGATTGGGTTCTGTAGGAGGTCTGAGGATGTAATTTTTTTTTTTTTTTCCTTGAGAGGGAGTCTTGCTCTGTTCCCCAGGCTGGAGTGCAGTGGCGCAATCTTGGCTCACTGCAACCTCTGCCTCCCAGGTTCAAGCAATTCTCCTGTCTCAGCCTCCTGAGTAGCTGGGATTACAGGTGCATGCCACCATGCCTGGCTAACTTTTTGTATTTTTAGTAGAGACGGGGTTTCACCATATTGGTCAGGCTGGTCTCGAACTCCTGACCTCAGGTGATGCACCCACTGCCACCTCTCAAAGTGCTGGGATTACAGGCGTGTGCCACCGCGCCCAACCCTTGGGAAAGAATTTATGCCATTTTTAAAATAATAGCTGATTATGACATAGTATAACATCAGAGTATTTGGAAATTCAATTATATATCAAGGGTACATTATTCTGTAACATCTATGTCTTCCTTTTTTAAAAATATAACTTCTTATTTTTATTCTTTAAATTTTGACATCTCTTTCCTAAGAAATGTGGTTGTATACATTTCTTTTGATAATGTAAATGAATTTCAAATTGAATTGAACCTTCTCATATCAAAAATTTGAAAGTAATGACTATTGTATATTTAGATGTTCTACAGTATTAGGATACAAATGATAACTAAGCAACATTTGATTTTTTCTAAGTTGGATTTTTGTTTTGAATTCATAAACTTGGTACATACCAATATATATATTAATTAAGTCCTTGTATAATTTTAGTTCATTGTGGTGTTCCACTGCCAGTTAAGTTAGTCGCCTTTTGTAACCAGTAACTATTCAATGAATCTGAAAGGGAAAATAAAGTATTTTCAGTGTTCTAAAAAACTTCAACATTTGGCTCATAAACTCCTGATTAAACCTAAACTCTTTTCTGTATCATCAGTGTGCTGTGGTAGGAAACAATAACAAATGATGTTCTGATCCCACTTTTCACATAAAAGCTGAAAACAGATGGGACAGTAGCAGCTTGGATTTTATTATATTCACTATTTTGTTAACATAATTTAATGTGGAATCCAGGAAAACGTCTACATCGCAAAGATTCTTTGGAAGAGAACTAGGTGTTACTTGAGTTGCAGTGTTTTCAGAATAAGCTCTTGATCTCAAAGCCTTTACATATTCCTATCAGTATAGAACACAAACATAGGCCTTGTTTATGAAATATCTTATCAGTTTCCCTTTTTTTTTTTTAGCCTCTCTAAATTTTGTTCCCAGTAGTTTGTTTGGGTTTTTCTCTGCAAAACAAATCGTGTTCTTCCAAGCATAACTTTTCAGGGATTTTCATTTTTATTTAAAATAGGACCATTTTTAACATCTGGGGATTCATTTTATGTACTGGAAGTTCTTTTGTTTTAATAATCTTTTGAATTAGTGTCGTCTCTGTCATCTGACAGCTCTGTCTTCATTAAACATTTTGACAACTGATACTCTTTCAATATTCTTTGCTTCATTGGTCCCAAATACAATACAGTGTTGATAATATATAGCTGATAAAGAAAAAGTGATTTTGTAGTTGATGTGAGGCATTTTGGTTTTAGCTACTCATTGCATGACTTTAGTTCAGTCTGGTAGTTATATGCCCTAGTTCATAAAATAATTTTGAAGATCTTAAACTTCATAGCCTTTTAAGTTTAAGATGAATTTATTAAGGAAAGACGTCAGCATGGTTTGCTTGGTACCTTGGCATAACTTGATAATGTTTACATGCAACATGCAAAACAAGACATGTAGACTGCAGGAAAGAATCATTAGAATATACAAATCTAAAATCTAGATTTGGTGTAATTGTCATCATACTGCTCAGTAGCAAATGTTTTTATTTGTTACTATTATCTGAAGACATTCTTCATTTAAAAACAAAAATGAAGCTGCCTGTCTTAATGGACAAAGATTTGTAAAAATTAAATCTATTTAGATATAAAGTTCTAAAGGAGACTATGAGCCATTATGAATTCAGAAACTTGATTAAAAAAATTAAGTTCTCCTATGTTCTTAAGAATATGTTTTAAAACAGACTATTTGGAAATGTTTAAAAGTAGCATCAGGAGATACTGAGGTATACATTTTCATTTAATTCAGTAATTAAAATTTAGACATTTACATTATGTGTTATTACATTCATAAGATTAAAAGTTTGAAAATTAGGCTCTGGGTGTGGTGGCTTATGCCAGTAATCCCAGCACTTTGGGAGGCCGAGGCAGGCAGATCCCCTGAGTCAGGAGTTTGAGACCAACCTGGCCAACTTGGTGAAACCCGTTTCTACTAAAAATACAAAAATTCGCCGGGCGTGATGGTGGGCACCTGTAATCCCAGCTACTCAGGAGGCTGAGGCAGGAGACTCAACTGAACCTGGGAGGCGGACGTTGCAGTGAGCCGAGATTGTGCTATTGTACCCCAGTCTGGGTGATGAGCAAAACTCCATTTCAAAAAGAAAAAAAGAAAAAAGACATTTCATGAAAACAAAAGTTTCAAAATTACATATTCTGATGCTGTCAAGGCCTTTTAGTAAGTCATTTTAATTAAATTTCATTGATTATTTACCTTAGAAGCAAACATTTTTCTAACTTATTTATCAAATTCCTTCAAGAGTCACACTTTGGTTAACAAATAAAACAAAAGCAGAAGTGGATAAAGAAATACCAACTGATAAAATTTAAAATTTAAGAATCTAATAATAAGAAAAATTAGTAATAGTGGTAATGATAAACAGCACTACTTTGTTAATAGGGACAGTTTTGAAAAGCAAAAGCAAATTAATTGCAATGAAAACTAAATACATTTGCATGTAAACAAAGACTTTTTGAGTGATAAATTGTGACTCAACCTTACTGACTGAAGGATTTAGTGGGAGGTTAAGGAGAGACACAGTTTTGTGTAACACTGCACAGCTCCTACCTGGTGGGGAGTGCTCTGCACCACATCCTATTAGCCAAAATGAAAATTAAGAAGGTTTATGGAGGAAAATGTTTAAATAATGTTAAAATTCAACTGTTTTAAACTTTTGAATGGTTGTTTAAAAGGGAAAAAAAAAAGTTTTTGGTGACCTGCAGTGTATTGATTGGGCAAATTGTGCTCTGTGAAATATGCAACACCCCAGTGGGTGAGTAGGGGAGTAAGTGTGTATGTCCCCAAGAGCATGCAAGCGTTCGTGTGTTTATATGTATACAACTGAGCTTGCTTTAGATTTGTCATCTAATTTTTGGCAGCCATAGCTGTTGGCTAAAGTGTACTGTTTTACAAACCAAGATCATAGGAAAAGAAAATTTTACTTTCTTCAATCATAACTGTATTTGAACATTCCTTTCAAAATGTCTCCATTTAACTTACAGTGTGTTGGAAAATGAGGTGTACTTTTCCCAAAATATCACTAAACCATTATTTAAGGTTAGGTTTATCTCACTTTTTGTCTCCCCCATCACTGTAGGAGTACAGGTATGTAGTAGGTTCTCAATAAATATTTGCTGAGTTATTGAATTACTGGATGTTTGAATAAACACCAAATTGGAACTTAGTCCCTTTAAATAAAAGTTGAGGCAGTTAT
The DNA here is from genome assembly GCF_000001405.40 of Homo sapiens. NCBI lineage: Eukaryota > Metazoa > Chordata > Mammalia > Primates > Hominidae > Homo > Homo sapiens. The sequence continues at coordinate 122,753,379 of NC_000007.14, read as the reverse complement.
TGCTTTAAAAAAGTTTAAAGTTTCCTCTTTGCATGTATTTAGAAAACTGTAGGGTGAATGTAGTCATAGAGAAGTGATGTGAAAGGCTTTAGACTTAAACAATGAATAATGTGAGAATGAATTTCTGTGCTCCATGTGTATGTAGCATAAAATGCATCTCTTTTTCCTAGAAAAGTAATCTTTGACTTAATTATACCCTACTAGATTTTAATTCAAAAATGTGCTTGTAAGATGTGAGCACTATTAAACTAATTTATGTAATAGGTACTAGTTGGTTTCAGTAATAAGTAATCATTTTACCCCGGGGCCATTGAATAACTTTGATCTACTGCCAGAATATCTGTGTGTCACTTTCTTGGGGTGTCTCCCTTTGGAGAGCAGAATTTCCAATCTCAGCATCTTATTAAGAACTCCCATTTATTCTCCATCTTCTTCTTGTTTCCTTCCTTTCTACAACCATTTGGCTGCCCTCTCTTGTTTGTCTTTCTTTTCTCTTTTATGTGCCCCGCTCAATTTCTAAACGAGGAAAATTATTACTTGATGCGTCCTATTCTTTTTTGGGAGCAGGTTATCAGTCAGTTGAGCTAGTGTTAAGCTGTTACATACTTCAAAGGACTGAGGGGTTTATATATTAACCTGTTGTAGGAAGTTTCACAGGGAAAGAGTTCTGAAGACAATACCATAACTGAAAGGGTTTGTCATTGTAGAACACTAGGCATTTTGGTAGGCAAAGGTAGGGTGTATGACTAATGTTTGGGAAGATGTGAGGAGCCACAAACTATCACATCTATGTCTTTGGGTTATGTAAAATTTGCCCTATGTATTGACATTTTCTTCATTACTTCATGTAATTCCTTATAATATGCAAACAATTTTAGTGTTAAATTATATTTTTAACTTCTTTAATAACTTTAATTTCTCAATTGAGGTTATAAATGTTTTTCTACCTTATTGCCAAATTTCACAGTGTTATCCAGGTACATTTCAGAGATTTATAATACTCAGGATTTCAGAAAGCTCTTCCAGAAAGTATGAGAATGTTTTGTTTATCTGTTCTTTGCTATAGAGATAATTTTGAGTTATTCTATAATTTAAAATGTAAGTAGATATCTTTATAGAGTAAACAGGGTTTCTTAATAGAATTTTGTGCAAGAGAAATTAACTGAGAAAGAAACTAATGTTAGGTAATGTGTTGCAGTATGAAAAAAATTCAGATCTACTTTAGCACAAAAATATTTAAGTTTTTCTATTCTATTTATTCACATCCTAGATTATCTTTCAGTTTTTAGCTTCCTGAATTCGTTTTGAGTGTTCTTGAGTTTTCTTGGACATCTGTTTTGTGAATTCAAGTTTCTCCTATAAAATGGAGTGGATAATGCTTCTAAATGCTAATGGGAGTATCTAAGGACTCGCTCTTCTTCAGGATAATGCTTCTAAATGCTAATGGGAGTAAATAAGGACTTGACCTGGCCCTATATCTGTCAGTAGGTGGGCAGCAGATGGGAGGAGCCAAAGGCATACCTTTTACCAATACACTTAGGACCAAAATGCATATACCATAGCCTGAGTTACACAGCATTTCACTGCGTAGCAGCCTTGTTAATATGTTTAGTATTGTGTAGGTTTTCTCTTTGGATCAGTGTAGCATGTGGCAGTGTGTGGGATATGTGGTCACTCATGAAAGGCAGTGTGCAGTGACCCTTCTCCATCCTTGTGGTTTCTGTTGGCTGTGGAGACTTGTATGTGCCGTGTGTATTGTGAGACCCTTTTCATGTTTGTTTGAATTACTTTAATTTCTTATGATATGTCAGTATTCTGTTACAAAAAGTTATTCTTGTAGGTTTTGACAAAAGGTCATCATTTACATTCTGCAAGATTCAGGGAGGTTGTGTGTGAGGGAGAATTGTCCTGGATATCAGGTGAAGGAGATCAAGCTTTCAGTTTCCACGAAACTATGCTCTCAGTCTTCCACTTAGTGGAATAGATGCATAAACTTTAGGGGGCCCTTATTTCATTACCCATTCCCTCGACATGATTTTTTTAAATCATTATTTCTAATGAGAAATTTGCATAGATGTTAGCATTTTAGATTGTTTTCCAAGCAGACAAAACATAGACTCTTAGGAAGCGCCTAGCACTTTGGGAATCCAAGGCTCGAGGAACCCTTGAGCTCAGGAGTTTGAGAACAGCCTGGGCAACATAGGCAGACCCTGTCTCTACCAAAAAACAGTAACAAAGAGAAATGCCTATATCTTAAAATATGATTCATAATTATACAAACCAGAAAATGAATCTCCTCATATTTCTTTGTCATGAGTGAAAGCCTGATTTAAAAATCGGTTTGAGTTTTATCCTGTGTGTCCCATATATTTATCTTTTCGTTTTTATGTTGGTCCAAAAAAAATTTTAGGGGTTCAGCATTCTGTTGTTTAAGTCTAAATCTACTCACTGAGCTCTCCTCAGCTTTTAGTAGATTTCTTAACTCATAATTACCATCTCCAGAAAATCCCAAACCTATAGCTGAATATCAGACTCCCTCAGGAACTTTAAAACTATACAGCTTTCCAGGCCACTCTTTTCAAAATTCTGAAATAGTAGGTGTGGGGTAGGTCTTTCGTACCTGCATTTTTTAAAAAAAGCTCTTCAGGGGATTGTAATTAGCTGGCTTTGGGATTTGTTCACTTGTTCTTCTTTCTTTAAAAATGATCACACATGTCTCTTAGTGTCATCTATTTGTCTGGTTTTAGTATTGCACAGGATGTCAAGTTCTGCTGTGGAAATTTCCTTTGAGCTGCTTTTTCAGACAACACTGAAAAGATTAAGAAATTGGAGCTGACTGGAGCCAGGAGACATTATTAAGTCCTAAGAGACAAAGGCATTATAACTGGGCATAGAAACAGGACAATCCAAAGAACAAAGGAAGATGTTGTCAAAGACATAGAAAGAGGGGGCATCAGAAGACACAATACGAATGCAAATATAGGTTGCCCATTATATTTGAATTTTAGTTAAATAATGGATTCTTTTTAGTATATATCCCAAATACTGCATAGGACATATTTATACTAAAAATTTATTCTGCACTGATGATGAAATAATTACACAAAAATGACATATTGTTTACCTGAAATTCAAATGTAAATGAGAATTCTGTATTTAATTTGGCACCCCTATCTGATGTGAAAGAAGGGCCATGGCATACTGTTGAGACTCAGCAGTGTAGCATACAATAGTCATTCAGTTAAACTAGCCCCAGAAGCAGGCTTTATTTTAAAATAGCTTTATTTTTCAGTTTGTTTATTGTTTCTTTGATAATTACTTGAATGATAGCTTTGTAACTGATAGAATAAACTTCCATTTTCTTGTCCCTCTTCCTGGGGAAGTTACATACTCTCTCTTTTTCTTTTTTTTTTTTTTTAACCTCACAGGTGAACAAATGTGCTAAAAATTTGCCTTTTCTTATTAGCAGCATTCTGTATGTATAATCAGAATTGCTTTTAGAATTAAAAATCTGAAGCATGTATTTATGTCACCCTAATGTAGATATCCAGTTTTTTTAATGCCAATCCTGAAGAGGGCTTTTATCTGTTTAATCCTCACAAATCCTTGAATTTGCTAATGTAAATTTGTTAACAATGATGTATTGAAGTTAGCATGGCATTTTTGCCACTAAAATTTGGTAAGTTTAAAGAAGGTAATAAATATAAAATGATTTTTATTATAAAAGGAGTAATAAGATCCTTGCATTTTATGTCCCTAAATACATGAATATAAATGCAATAACTAATCAATATAATTTAATTTACTTGAAATGTATTATTTTAAAGTGGGTTGCAGCTAATGTTTCTGTTTTAGGTACTGAGCAGAATTTTGTTATTTGTTAGGGAAATGTCAAGTTAGCTATTAGAAGGTGGTAGTCTCAGTCTTTTATGTACAGTTTGCTAGTTCAGGTCTCCTTACTGGATAGGCCAGGACAGAGCAGCAGTGCTAGTTGCCTATCCAGTGGCTGTTCTCTGACTACCCTTCTTCTCTCACAAATCCTTGGTTTTAATCAGCTATTAGGCACCTATTATTATACAGTGGTGGCTGGGTTCCTCTTGAGTCCCCAGAGTGAATCTTGATTGGTCAGTCGTGATATTCCATTTCCCTTACCCATTGATTTCTTTAGGAATGCACACTTGAATCAATTCTTCAGTGATACGTGGGAGAAAATATGACAGAAGGAGGATGCTGATTCTGGGAGAATTTTCTCCCTTTTTCTTAGAATAAAATTATTTTCTTCTTCAGTTTTGGTTTATTATTGTATGAGGATGCTTTGCACAGTTAATGTGGATTTCTTTGGAGGCAGTAAACTAGAAGACAAAAGCTAGCATGTGGAGAATGTAGACAGGTGGAAAAGGCCAGGGCCCTGAAATACTTCACTTAAGAGTTAAATTAACTAACTCTGGAATTCTCTTACTTTTGTACTTTTTGAGATACCTGATAATAATCCCTCCCCCACCCCCTTATTGTTTAACAGGGCGTTTTGAGTTGAGGATTCTATTACTTTCAGTGAAAAGCATTCTAACTACATTAAAGGTGTAAGATAGACCTTAATGTTTATCATATTGAGAGTCTGCCACTCCTTATCCTAGAAGGATGGTGCACAAAGATGATGAGCTGAAAGTCCCTTGCCTTCTGCTGCTACTTTTCTTCTTTTGCAGATAGCCACTTCTCATCCATGTAATACCTGGTCAAGAAAGAAAGCAAAAACTTCAGACATTTCTGAGGAAAGTAATTTTATGTCATATTTTCTTCTTCTGAAAGCAACTCTGTTAAACCACTTACTGCCTGCTGGAAAAGGCCATTGTGTGGCATGAGTTGGTCAGCATCTTTAAGCTTTTACACTGGCTCACAGTTGTCTGCTCCTGAGGCTGTCGGAATACTTTGTGATAAACATAAAGTCACTGTTTCTTGCAAATATGGCTTCAGCATATGGATCTGTGCCATGAAATGCCAGATGGTACTGAGGCACAAAGTTCTTCCTGCGTGAGAGTGATATCATCTGCAAAACAGAGCTACCCATGCTGCATCTCAACAAAGAAATCCTTTGCTCTTCTTTTGGCCTCATTGAGTCTGTCCATGAACTTATTATTTGGACAACATACAGCTATCTTAGAATTCTTTTCTTAGGCTTTGTCTGCTCCCTCCTCTTCACTCACTTGCTTCAGTGCTGGAGTCTTTGCTCAATGGTTATGACAAGATATATTCTTCAAAAAGTAATAGTGAATGGTGAATTTTCTTCTACTGTAGATGATTTACACCAGCAAACACTGTACTTAAGGTGGGATATATTGAAGGTTGGCATCTGCGTTGAAGAAATCTGCATCCTAGTAAGGAAAAGGCCACATAAGCAAGTGACAGATGTATGTATGAGGTACAGAAGTGGCACAAAGAGGATAAGATGACATAATTTGGGGGCAGCAGAAAGAAGGAGATTTCTTGGAGGTGTCGTCTTAATTAGGTTCTATGGTATTCTAGGCAGAGGAAGCAAACTGTGCAAAGGCACAATGACATAAACAACATGAATGGGACGGCGTTTTGAAGGTAAATGGGGAGGAGAGGAGCTTTTACCTCTTCAAGCTGATTAAATCATGTGATTGGCCCCAAGTGTAGCCAGTGGCTAAGAGCATATCAGTCAGATATACCTGGTTCTGCCCCCAAATTTTGTGAACTGGGTAACTTTCTTAAATTCTCTGGGCTTTAGCTTCTTCATTTGGAAAAAAACATTGAACCCACCTTATAGGGAGCTGACATTAAAATAATCTATGTAAAGAGGTTAGAATTGTGCTGAGTGTGTAGTAAATGGTCAATAAATGTTAGCTATTATGACTAGTTGTTACATTAGACATATATTAAGGGTAGTCAAGGGGATATCATACTGTTTCTAAAGAATGAGTCCCTCATTATTTAATTTGACATAGTCCACTGGAATTATTTGTAGAAAAGCGTTGGGTAGAAATTTTCTCTGGCTTATGACAGGCTCTGTTTTCTATTTTGTAGGACGGTAAAGGGTCACAGTGTGTGTTGAGCTTCCTTCCTTCCCCTCCTTTTTTCCATAGCACATGTCTGAGAAGACTTGTTTGCAAAACCTCCTGGATTTTGTCAGATCTTAGTGGGTGGCTGGGTGTTGGGGGGAATGGCTTTCTATTGCAATGAGAACTTCTCAGAATGGCTCATTAAAGTTTCTATTTCTCTTCAACTCTCTGCCTCCACAGTCATCTCTCAATTGCTGTTTGCCACAGAGATCACTCAGGCTGCTATTTGTGATAATTGGTTTACATTTGCTTTTGATGAGGTTACATTGTTAGTGGGGACCATTAGAGGCTATTATCATGGTCCTTTTCACTCTCAGAGAAGTGAGTGAGGCAGACGCTGTCAATGAATAAGAGAGTCCTAAAGCAGAATTTTGGAAGATAATGACCAACAAGACTTGCCAATTCTCTCTTAGTTACTTATTACTATGTTCAGGGAGAGTCCTGTTAAATAACTCCTCAGCACTTACCTTGATTATCATTAGTAAGGCTCAGGTGAATGAAGACCTAGAATCAAATAAGAATATAACAGTGGGTAAGGGGAATGTAGTGATAGAGCAAGCTTGTCTGGCCCACAGGTCGTATGCAGCCCAGGATGACTTTCAATGCAGCCCAACACAAATTTGTAAACTTTAAAACATGAGGGTGTGTGTGTGTGTGTGTCTGTGTGTGTGTGTCTGTGTGTTTTAGCTCATCAGCTGTCGTTAGTGTTAGTGTGTTTTACATGTGGCCCAAGACAATCTGCTTCTTCCAATATGGCCCAGGGAAGCCAAAAGATTGGACACCCCTGTGATAGAGTAAAAACTGTGGATTGGGGTTCAGGAAACCTAGGTTAGGCTCCCAGTTCTATGACCTAACTGGGTCTGTACCTTAACCTCTCAGTCTGTTTTCTTATCTATAATGTGGGGGTTGGCAGGTATTTTTTTATTCTTTTCTTTTTTTGTGGTTCTGAATGTTTGAAATCTGGTATTTCAAACTTAAAACGTATGTTAACTTGGATTAGCCACATTTCAAGTGCTCAATAGCTGCATGTGGTTAGTGACCACTGTGTTGGACAGCACAACTGTGGATCCATCTATTGTTAATTATTCACGGGCATCCATCTTAATATTTGTTTTTGTTTGTGGCTTCTGCAATTGCTGAAATAAAATGACCATGTATTTCTAAAATCATGGCAATTATAAAGCATTTAATATGTGTTAAGTATTTTTATTCTATCATTTAATGCAACAGCCCTATTAGATGTCTATTTTTACTGCCTTATTATATAGATGAAGAACTTGAGGCACTGAGGTTAAGGGACCTGCTTAAGACCCTACAACTTGTAGGGGAATCTTGGATAAAAACAGAAGTAGTCTGACTTCAGAACTCTTATTATTTCTACTTCCCCGTTAGTAATACATAAACTTACTAATTAATAAAATAGGTTAAGTTATCTATGATAGACTTTTCTGATCCATTGTGGTGTGTTGAAATTATCTGGAATTTTTATTATTGCATGATAAACCGACTTTTTTGTGGGGTCAGGCAAGCATGAGAATAGAGGATGTAGCTATCCCAGTAGGGAATAGTTTCATAGCAACCAACTGATATTTGCTTTCCCTTACTTCATTTATTCATTCTTTAAAAAAAAAAGAGGATATTCTATGTGCTAGGCCTTATCTACAACAAAAGCGGCTTTAGGATAAGAACTTGGTTTTAGGCTAAAACCAAGTTCTTATCCTAAAGCCACTTTTGTTCTAATGGAAAGACTTAAATAATAAGCAAATAAATGCCTACAAGCTGTATACAACACATTGCGTAGGGATAAACACCTTTTATTGAAAGAAGTCTGTAGCTGTGAGGGAAACGGAATAATATGGTAATCGGAAAGAATATAGGCTTTGGGATCAAGATGCTGGTTGAAATTCTATCCCTGTCTCTTACTAGATGCGAGGTTAAGTAAGATCCTTAACTTCTTTGAGCTTAGTTTCATCCTTTGTAACAAATATAGAGAATTTTAAGAAGATTAATCAGACATGTTAGAAGAGGGCAAAGTTTCAATTATGTGGGATGAAAATGTTCTGGGGATCTAGTGTACAGCATAGTGACTATAATTAATAATAATATATTTTATATTTGAAATTTGCTAAGAGTAGACCTTAAATGTTCTCACCGCTCCTGCCATGCACACACACACACAGACACAAAAGGTAACTGTAAGATGATGGGTGTGTTAATTAGCTTAGTTTTAATTATTTAACAGTGTAACATATCAAAACATTGTATACTTTGTATACCTTAAATGTTTACGTTTTTACTTGTCAGTTATAGTTCAATAAAGTAAAAAAAAAAAGAAAAATGAGATGTACATGGAATGTAGTCAGTAGAACATGACAAGGAAACTCATGGAATAATTAATGGATTTAACATTTGGAGCTTAGCATTCACCAGCTCCCTGCCCACGCCAGACAATGCCATGATGACATGTAATTTTGCTGAGGTTTGAATCGGACTGGGAGATCAATGAGAATGTGGGTAGGCGTCATTCACTTAGTGCTGAGTGAGCCTAGACTGGGTTGGGGTCCATTTGTCCACCATGCAATGGGAGTTTGCTGTTCTGTACTTATCACTTAGTTTACATTTTATTATAAAACATATTAATATGGTGTTTATAAATTTTGGGCTTTTAAATCGTCCTGTCAACACTGTGTGACAGTGGAATTTGGTTTGCCAAAATAACTTTGTTTTCAATCTATATCCAGCCAGCTTAGGTGTTCACTGTTCGCTGGGGCAAGTTTATTGGATAAGGAGTTTTTCATATGAAATAGCATGGAAAAATGTTTTAGAATAAATTAAGATGAACATTTCTTACAAAAAAACACACGATAGTACCATGGTATTTTCCCTCTGGTTAGGTATGGTACCATATTACTGTTAACTGCATATTACCAATAAATCCCAATAAGAGTGGTCAGGATGTATGGAGGTTTTCTCTCTCATGTCAAGGAAGTTGGGAGGTAGGTGGTCTAGGGTTGCAGTGCTGCTCCACTCTGTGGTGTGAGGCACTTTTTATCTTGCCACCTCACCATCTTCATGAATCAAGGTGAAACTTCAGCTAGCACATCAAATTCCATTCAGCAGGAAAAGAAAAAAGAGAAAGAAGCAAAGTGTGTTTACTTTAGCCACCTGTTACAGTTTCCTGGAAGTCAGGCATACATTTGCTTGCATCTGGTTGGTCTTAACTTGGTCATTTGACCATGTCTATACCTATCAAGTGAACCTGATATTTGTAGAATTAGATGGGCATATTTATTCACTGTCCCAAATATCTGTGCTTATGGAAGAGGACAGGAAAGTTTATTTGAATACGACACTGATAATATCAGCACATCCCACAGGGTTTATAATGTATGAGACGTAGCTGGAACCCCCTATTTTTCTGATATACAGCTTGGGATGCATTGTTATTTCAAAAACATGGAAGACACTGATGATTTTGCTTCAGTGGTTTGATGTAGCTGTTTTTGACAGTGTTGATAGGAAGGGAAGAAGAAAATAGTACTGATCCTTTAGCGTTTTCCTATTAATATCTTTCTTTAATTGACAAACCTTAAAGCTATGCGTTTGTGAATTTTAAGAAACATCTGTGCCTAGAGTAAAGACTTTTACCTTTTTGAAAAACCTTTCTCATTTTTATTACTCTTTGACATGAGGTAAATGCACACCCATGCCCCAATCCTGGAGGGACCCACAAGTTTTCTGCCACTTTGCTGTGGAATCTGACTGTGACCACCTTTACTTGCTAGGATGTCACACAGCTTCCACTGTAAGTACTGAGACTCCTGATGGGTTCTGCAGGTCAGGGCAGGCTCCATGCAGCCATGGTTGCTAGGTTCCTGGGTTGCATATTGGCTGGTCTCCTGCAGTAGTATAAATCCTGGCTTAAGTCTTTAGTTGATCCATGATTCAGAATGAAAAGGATGAAATCTAATTTGAATATGAAAAAACAGGAAACATGAGACACCTCTGAACCCTAGAATCTAAGTGTTTTTTCTGGTGGCAGTTATTATTGTGGATGAAGTATCACAGCCAGGTCAGATTTATAAAATTTAGTTTTTTCTTTTTACAAGGCTAATCTGTTGGTTGTATTTAGATGTTTGCAATTATATTTATGTTTTAGTTAAGTTTCTGCAATTTAGTTTTATATAGGATGTGCCTTATAAATTCCTGATAGATAATTTCTGCTGGTCAAATTTTCCTTCATATTTAAAAATATTTTATTCATTGGTAAATACAGTAGTCTGAAGACAAAATTAAAACATATGCTAAATAATAATAAATCAACTGCCCCAAATAATATTAATTGATTATGTTAAACTGAAGGAGTATATATAATGGCAGGATTCAGGATTCTTTCCTTAATCCTGAACTGATGAATATTTTTAAAACGACCTGGAGGAGACTATGGATAATATGTTATTATGTTAGTGATTATAACAAAGCTAAGAGAGCTCTCTAGTCATCAGGTGAAGGAATCAGAATTCCAAAATAATTCTTAACTAGAACAGTGGCTCAGATACATCTAGCAAGATGGAACATGGCTTACTGAGGCACATGTAAGAATGTTTTAGAAGTTTTTGTTGATTATAAGCACAATGTAAGTCAGTAGATGTGACTGCCAAGAAGAGTTAATTTGTTTTTAGTTTGAATTAATAGACATAGAATGCTTAGAATGTGGGAAGTGGCCCTCTCACTTATCTCTCTGTTGGCCACACTATCCTAAGAGAATGGTGATCAGTCTATCTAGTACATTTTAAGAGGGACATTGCTATTGTAGTGAGTTTCATTTGCTTAATCTTATAGTTTTCAAAGTGTTTTCCTTTTGAATTTTTATATCAAAGGGCATTATATATTTTAATTAATTTTTTTTTTTGAGATGGAGTCTCTGTCACCCAGGCTGGAGTGGAGTGGCATGATCTTGGCTCACTGCAACCTCTGCCTCTCGGGTTCAAGCGATTCTCCTGCCTCAGCCTCCCAAGTATCTGGGACGACAGGAACATGCCACCACACCCGGCTAATTTTTGTATTTTTTTTTAGTAGAGACGGGGTTTCACCACGTTGGCCACGCTGGTCTCGAACTCCTGACCTCAGGTGATCCGCCTGCCTTGACCTCCCAAAATGCTGGGATTACAGGCATGAGCCGCTGCGCCCAGTTTGTTTAGATTTTTAAAAAAGCTATAATAGCGACTCTGCGCATCTGTAAACTCAGAACTTATGATCCATTGCATCCAAGTATCCATCATACTTAGTTTTATTTAACATGGTGATTTTATGGCAAACTGGAATGTATCCTTAGGAGAGTACCCAGGATATTGGAGCGAACTGGTAAAATTTGTTCTAGAAAAGAGAAAACTCTTAAATAATCATTTTATTTTGTTCTCAAAGTCTTGAACTGCTGTGTTAAAGAATGAAAGTAACAGTCTGTTTTGTCTTAGATAGTGTATAGTACTAGAGTTGTATGGAAGCCATAGGGACACTGATTTCAATTTTTATACTTGTTCCAAATTAGAATAGGATTCACTGAGATAATAAAAGGATGTATGTATATGTGTGTGTATTAATAGGCCCAACTGGAATCTGAAAGTCTACTTTTGTAGATTTTGTACAGATTAATATGTTGATTAGAATGTTGAATAGGATCTTGGTTTAAGCTTTTTGAAATCCTCAAGATTGTAATATTTAAAAAAATAGACACAGAGTCAAGGTAAGTTTTTTTACCTGAAAGAATGGAAAAAATTGGTGTGCTGTCCAGTCTCCGTGTAGGATAGGATTTAAGGTATTCACAGTGCTTCATAACTGTTTTGAGTTTCAAGATGTACAAAGCTGCTGTTATAGCTTATTTTAAGGGTTGTTTCACTTGAAAACTCAAAATGAATAAAGTGCTAATGTTGAAAAATCTCTTTTACCTGTATTTTCTGTCTGTCCAGTTCCCACAGCCATCCTTCTTCCCTAGTTTCTGTCTATATATGGAAGCAAATTCACATACATGTTATTTATCCATTTTCTATGTGAGTGGTGACTTATTTTAACTGCTGTTCTATAACTTGCTTTCTGCCCCAAGATATTTTTAAAATATTTAAAATCAGTACATAGAGAATGTTTACATTCTTTTAATGCAATGAATAGTATACCACTGTTTATAGATGTGGCATAATTTAGTCTCCTATATATGAACATTTAGGTTATTTTCCTTGTTTTTGCAATTAAGAATTATGTGGTAAATAACCTTCTACACATGTCATTTCTCACATGTGCAGGTGTATCTGTAGTATTGATCCAATCTCAAAGTGGAATTGCTGATTCCAAGGATATGTACCTTTAAAATGGCTTCTCATACAGTTTTAATTTGTATTCTTTTTATGAATGTAGGCTTGTTTTCATGGATTAAGTCTTTTATCTGAACATATCAATTTTGTCCATTTTTCTGTTGGTTTATTTATGATGTTCTTATCAATTTCTAGGAACTCTCTATATGGTTAGAAATGAACTCTTTGGGTAATGAGTTGCAAGTATTTTTTTTTCTAGTTAATCTTTTCCTATTTTGCCTATGGTATTTTTTGCCATGTAAAATTTATTTTTAATGCAAATAAATTGATGACATTTCAGTATTTTTAATAGAGTTTATTTTTTTATGAAATTTTAATTTCACAACAAAATTGAGCTTGAGTGGATGGTACAGAAATTTCCCATATATATCCTGCCCCCACACATGCATAGCCTACACTGTTATCAACAGCTGATCTTTTTACTGTCTCCATAGCTTTGCCTTGTCCAGAATGTCATATCGTTGGAGTCGTACAGTATGTAGCCTTTTTATATTGGCTGCTTTTACATAGTAATATGCATTTAAGGTTCCTCCATGTCTTTCCATGGCTTGATAGCTTATTTCATTACTTGCTAAATAATATTCCATTGTTGGACGTACCCGAGTTTATCCATTCATCTACTGAATTTTGCAATTATGAAAAAAGCTACTTTAAACATTTGTGTACAGGTATTTGTGTGGACATAAATTTCCAACTCATTTGGGCAAGTACTAAGGACTGTGATTACTGGATCATATGATAGAAGTGTATTAATTTGTAAGAAACCATCAACCTGTTTTACAAAGTAGCTATACCATTTTGCTTTCCCAGTAGCAAAGAATGAGAGATCCTGTGGTCTATATCCTTGCCAGCATCAAGTGTTTTCTGTGTTCTGGATTTTGTTCTTTCTAATGGGTTTGTAGTAAATCTCATTATTTTAATTTGCATTTCCCTGATGACATGAGGTGGAACATCTTTTATATTATTTTAACACCATTCATTGAGTAGACCATCCATTACTACTGATTTGAGTTGCTATATAGGTGTTTTATAGTACATTTCTGATTGTATTTCGGTCTGTTTCTTCGATCTGTTCCACTGGTCTATCTCTTGGTATACAGTCTGGTTTATCTTGATAATGCAAATAGCTTTTAGGAAACTGCTTTCTGACAGCTATCCCCAGTGCTAGATTTTAAGTTTAGTTTTCTTTTCCTGCCCCATCTTGCCTATGTGAAAAAGTAGACTTCTTCTTTATGCTAATAAAGTATTCATTTATTTGCTTTTTGTATGTAATTGTCATATTTGATCCATTTTATGTCTTAAATGTAACTGCAGTATCCTCTATTCATAAAAATATTGAAGCCTGACATTTAGCCAGGTGACTCTGGCTTATTTTGTGAACTATATCAACTTTGTTGGAGCTTCCAAGAAGATGATTTGCCCAAACCTCCTTTCCTTGATTCATATCCATGAATTTTCTACACTGTAATTACCAAAGAGTAACTCACTGTTATAATAGCGGAACTTAAATACTAATGATGTAGAAATTGCAAATATTGTAGTTTAGAAGAGTTTTAAAGAACAAAAAAGATATCTTTGATAAAATAAAATTGAATGAAAAAATACACAGTTTCTAGTTTTTGAAGAGTATGTATTTTATTTATCAAGCAAAGGAGTTGGCACAAGTGATCAGTAAGGTCTCCTTCAGTTCATTGTCATTCTTTGCATACATTTCCATTGCCATTATTTTACTTGGCTTGCAAGGAGAAGCTCTTCTTGGCATTCCCAGAGCTTAGTAACTATAGTGCTTTCAGCCGCCTCACTCTCAGCAATTGCTGTCCCATTTCCATTTGGTCCCTTTTGTGAATCATGCCTAGAGAGCTAAAGTCATGAACTTAATTTGCGTTGCTAGTATGCACCCATACAAAAGGTACCTGCTTCCATTTTCTTAATATTACAGAAATGGAGATTGTAATATAATGATGATGTTCCTGCACCTCAGCTTGGTTAAGCTTCCTCTAAAATGAAGGAGATAATCTTAGTAAAGAGATGGAATGGTCTTCTTTCTTCGCTGCCCATGGCAAAAGTTTTTTTTTTTTTTTTTTCCCCCCCTGGGTACAATAGGACACTTTTTAATTTTTTTTAAATCAGTCTGTTACTCCCAGCTACAGTTTCTTTAAAAACTGTCTTATTTGTTAGAGTCCTAAATAAAACCCATTTTTTGAAAGAGCTTGTCTTCCTTTTATTTGAATGGCAGTTTAATAAGCCTTTTGAACAGATTTATACTTAATTCACATCAGCCTTCTTTTTGAGCCAAGTCATACCAGTTTGTTTAGTCTTCCTAATCCTTTAATCATTTTATCCTCAGTATGTTTCCAGATGCTTCACATCCCTCTGTAGATTCCAGAACTGGAATGAGTTTGTTAATAAAGTCTGATCAGGATCGAATGAAATGGAAGGATCATTCCTTTGCTGTTTCTTATGTATTTTGGAATTTGTTGTTTTATCTCCAAGACTATGTTGTTTTCTCTCCAGTTAAGCATAAAAAAAAAAAAAGCTTCTGCATTACCTAAGATCTAAGACGCCTTATTTCTAGTGAAGTACATGCCCCTGTGTGTACAGTTGTGCAGGGCTTAGTGCCTAGAAGGGCTCTGCACTCAGCTTAATGCTCTCTGTTCCTGCCGTCTTGAAATTGTTAATATTTTTACTAAGAAGCTCCTTATTTTTATTTTGCACTGGGCCCTACAAATTAAGTAGCTCACCCTGCTTGTAGTTGATGACTAGAGGACATGATTGATAAGTCACATTTCATGTCTAATTCACCCTCTGTATTAATTATGGAAGCTAGACCCAGGGTAAGGACCCTTGGTTGTAAACTTCCCCAGTTCAGAGCATTTTCTCCTATGTGCTCAAAGACGCATTCACTGCCTACCTGCTGCCTCTCTGTTCTCTTTTGGATTTGTCTTCTTTGTCTTCTCCTTATTATTCCTTCAATTATCTAAACTCAGGTATTGATGTATGTTTGTTCATGGAATCCAAATTTTGGCATGCAATGGCTGTTCTTTCCAGAGGGATCTTTCTTAGGGTACGTTCTGTCTTTTCAGTCTTTCTTCCTATTAACTCTTGTCCAAGGCATCCCTCCCTCATCTCTAAGCTCCTCTCTACTTTCTCTGTTTAGAACAGCTGGCGATTTTGTATAATATTATTAATATTAACTATTAGTTAATTTCTTATCCAAATTTTATATTTTCCCTGTCTCTATGAAGAAACTGGTGTGGCAATCACAAGAATTCTGGAAATTTGAGATAGAAACTTGGGGTAGAAATTTGGATTCCACTTCCATATCAGGATTCTGGAAATTTGGGGTAGAAATTTGGATTCCACTTCCATATCAGGATTACAGAGTACATGAAATGGCTTGGAAATGTTTTAAAGTCTAACCATTAGTGTCCGGGTGCAGTGGCTCATGCCTGTAATCCCAGCACACTGGGAGGCCAAGGCAGGCGGATCATTTGAGGTTAGGAGTTTGAGACCAGTCTGGCCAACATCTCTACTAAAAATACAAAAATTAGCAAGGCGTGATGGCAGGCACCATAATCCCAGTTACTCAGGAGTCTGAGGCAGGAGAATCGCTTGAACCCGGGAGGTGGAGGCTGCAGTGAGCCGAGATCGCACCACTGCACTCCAGCCTGGAAGACAGAGCTTGACTCCATCTTGAGATGGAGGTCTAACCATTAGAACAAGTAGTAGGATGTTTTAGCTTTTATTTTTCTTTACTATAAAGTTAATTCTAGATGTGAAATCTAATATACAGCAAATATGATTTTTAATAGTCATTATTTTTTCATGTACTGGCCAATTTATCTGCTTATTTTCTCTTTTTCTTGTAGCTTAACAAACAACAGTTGCAGTTACTGAAAGAACGGTTCCAGGCCTTCCTCAATGGGGAAACCCAAATTGTAGCTGACGAAGCATTTTGCAACGCAGTTCGGAGTTATTATGAGGTAAGTTTGAAGAGCTTTGTTTTTGGCTTTCCGATGCATTTTAAAAGGAGTTTTATTATTTTTATGGGTTTCTCATTTTAAAGAAGCTTGCTGGTCTGACAGGAAGGCTGTGAATTTGCAACCTTTTTGAAAGCATTGTCAGTTCTATTTAGCAATTTAAAAGCTCTAATTCCACAGCCTGGTTTTGAGAGATAAACAGAATCGAAATTAGTCACATCTTTTGAGGAGAAGTAAACTATTTAGAAAAATCTTCTGGCAGTGATTGATACAGCTGACTATAGCTATCTTTAGGTCCACATGTCTAAATTATCCTTTTAAATCTGGATTTCAATAGTAAATTGCTATCTTATGCAATTTTGTTCCCTAAGCTTTATAATAATTAAAGCTAGTAACTAATTTCAAGAGGATGAATTGAATTCTCTTTGCTTCCTAAAGAAATAATACTACCAATACCATTCTGCTGTTTCTTCTGATTCTAGCTTGTGACTCATAGGAGTTTCTCTATGGATTTCCTATGAGCACCAGTTTTCACACATGGTCATTAACTGCTTCAGTGAGTTGCCACTAGCTGTTAGTTTAGAGAATTCACTTTTTGCATAAGCAATTCAGAGTCATTTGAGGGAATGGATTCCTTTCATTGTGCAGGTACTCAACACCTTTCAGCTGAAGAAGCATAATATGCGAATATATATTAGACTAATAAACAAGGGAAAATGTGGAGATACAATGGGTCTGAACTTACCTGAGGCAAGAATATTTTTGTGTAAAAATATTAAGTAATTGGATGTACTGTTAACTGATTGGATTTGTAATAGTGATGGTATGCATCAGAGGTTAATTAATGCAACTCTAGAGAAGTTTACCTTACCCCAAGCCTCAGCCTATTGAATTAAATGAAGTTTTGCTGACTAAATATGTATATAACATAAATCTAATGTCAAGAGTGGGTATGTCCAACTGGACCTTGTCTCAGAATATCTTAACAAGTTATAGGAGCTCAAAATTTTAACATCTATAGGACCTTAGATTTCACCTTGTAAGAGTCAGAGGAAGATTTCATCATGTAAAATTCAATATTTGAATCTTACAGTATTAACTGTAAATTTCTATATTTGCCTCATGTACTTAAACTAAAGAAAAGCCAAAAGTCTGTATTTGGGATGAAGGAAATGTAGCTCAGGGGAGTAATCTGTATAAAAAGATATAAAGTTTTTAGTGAAACAGTAGGCTTATATTTGGTTTTGATAAATGCACTGCTGCACTCTAAGATGATAAGGTTAGGGAAACTGAAATTGGATCAGCAGGGGGATGAGGGAGTTCTTTGTACTATCATTGTAACTTTTGTGTAAACCTAGAATATTTCAAAATAAGTGAGTTTTTAAAAGTAAGCGTAGTATGATGTGGCCACAGTTTAGAAAAAGGCACACATTTCAACAGAATACAGATTGAAAAAAAGGCACACAAGCTGTGCTAATAAAAATATTGTAACTCCAGTGAAGGAGAGAGTATCCCCATTGTGTTCTACATGAGGATTATGTTCTCTTCTGGGCACCATATATGAATAAAAAAAGTGCACAAATTTAGTGATCAGGTTTGAAACATGCCATATGTAAGTTGAAGGAGCTGGGGGTGTTTAGCCTGTAGACAGATTCGGTTTATGGTGTTGTATGCAATCCCAAGAGTAAAACTAGGACTTGGGTGGAAACTGAAGTGGGGAAGATTTCAACCTAATATATCTAGAGTTTGGTTGCAGTGCCCCAAAATAGAATGGACTGGTTGAGTATAGCATCACAACTTGATTCTAGTGGCCTTTCACAGTCACTTGGGAAACATACTACAGAAACAGGTCCTGGGGTTCTGTCTCAGACTTTCTGAATCAGACTTACAGAATTCATGCTTTTGAAAGCTTTCCAGATGATTCTCTTAGAATTGGTGGATTGCTAACCAGTGGAATTAAATGACTACCTGCTAGGATTTTTACAGAAAGAGATGTAAGCATTGAAGAGGTGGTTTGACTTGGTGACCGAGGGTTTTTCTATACTTCTGTTCGTATTTCCAGCTAGTGTTTAGTCGTGAAACTATATCTAACATGTCTTTGTGCACGTCTCAAAATGGTGTTAAGATTTGTGATGCTCATTATGGAGTCTGCATTCCTGGGGTGCATTTGTGGAGTTACTGTTTTCCAGGTAATACACACTTGGTATGCAACAAACTCTTGAATGAATAAATAAATTTAGTTGGAAAAATAAGGTAGAAAAGTTGCTTCTCAATTTTTTTCCCAAAATGCCTTTCATTTTTTTAGAAGTATATTTTGCATATTTTCCTGTGATCATGATCTTTATGTTTTATTTATGTATTATTACTTTTATGTAGTAATTTTTATAGTTTACCAGAACAGTCTTAACTTTTCTTCTTTCAATATCTCCTTGCAATAAACAGTGCAAGTATTATTACCTACACTTTACATAAATAGAAATTGAAGCTCATAGAGGTTAAATGACTTTTCCAGTGTTACATATTGTAAGCATCCGAGTTAAATGTGAATCCAGATTTTCTTTTTTTTTTTTCTTTTTTTTTTTTTTTTTTTTTTTTTTTTTTACTATTTCTGGCATGCTATCGTTATTTCACAGTTGCCATTTTGAATATACCTATGTCAGGTACTGTGGGCACTTCAAAATCTATTAGCAATCTCAGACATCAGAGAAATTAAAATATATTTAAATATATATTTATATTTTAGAATAAGTCTTATAAACAAGATAATTATTCCCATCTTACTCATGAAGTTAAGTGACTTGTCCAATACTGCATAGCTAATTAAAAGCAGAGCTAAGGACCTCATACCACCATAGCTGACTAAAAGCAGACTCTTAGGTTCCATACAAGACCTGTTGAATAAGAATTTCTGAGAATGGGGCTTCAACATCTGAATTTTGAACCTGTGCTTTGTGAACAAAAGTTCTCTGAAAAGCAATTTCATTTATTTAATTTTGATTTTTAATTTAATTTATTTTGAGACAAGGTCTCATTCAGTCACCCCGACTAGAGTGCAGTGATGTGATCATAGCTTACTGTGGCCTAGAAATCCTTGACTCAAGCAATGGGCTCTGATTTTATAGTGAAAGATTTTGCACTAGGTTCCCAGTCAGGTCCACTTATGCAAATAAAGGATTCAAACTTGCTTAGCTCTCATTGGTCAACACAAGCAAGTTCTGATTGGTTGGATATCACTGGGCCCTGATTGGACAAGGTAGGTGAGCTCTGATTGGTGGGTTCAGGTGAGTTCCTGAAGTCCCAAAGTTAAACAGAGGTGTGAATTTTCAGGGAACTCAGAGTAACATTTGTGACTTCTAGTCAGCAAATGGCCACTTGACTCAATTTGAATGTAAACCTAGTTAGCTACTTGGGATCCATCTTGAAGGATTGGCTCTTTTGGGATCACATTTGTTCACAGCCTTGATAATTTTGATTCACATTGTCATTTGAGAACCATATTGATGCAGACCTTATAACTTCTAGAATGTATGTTCCATGAAAGAGCCATTTCTGTTTACCATTGTATCCCCAGTTTAGCACACAAATATATTCAATGAATACTTGATGACTGAGTGAATGGGTATTGCAGTACTTATTGCTCTATCTAGAAACTGTATATTTTGATCTTGTTTTTATTCTTACTTTCTCCACAATTCTCTTTTTCTAAAAGTATTACTTTTGTATTGTAATGAAATTTCTTTTGAATATGATTGTCCTTCATTTCATGATTTTGTGTTTCCTTGAAGATGCTAGATATATATGAAGCATGGTTGGCCTTTCATGTTCTTTCTAACCTAGTTATTCTGTGATTCTATGATCTTTTGTGGCTTCTTACATCATTTGAAGTCTGTGTTTTCAGGGATGTTATATATATTGTTTGCTGTATGCAGCTGTTGTCAACTATTAATAATCTTTAAGTGGTAATTTGCTCATTTATTATGTTTACAATCCTTTAGCTGTGATAGCCATTTCTGAATCTGTATATAATATGTATTATACATAATATATAATGTATATTATATAATATATATTATACATAGCATATATAATGTATATCATATAATATACATAGCATATATAATGTATATTATATATAATATACATTATGTATATAATATATAATGTATATATATTATATACATAATGTATGTTGAAGGATTGGCTTGAAGGATTATATATAATATATAATGATATGTAATATATAATTATATATAATATATAATGTAAATATATGTATTTATTACATAATATATATTATACACAAATATATATTACAAAGACACCCCCACCCAAGAAAATAGCACATAGAAATACCCAAAAAGATCTAATCCTAGAATATATATTATATTATATTCTTCAACAATATATATATGAACAATCCTAATAAATGTGTATTACAAATTAAATTGAAAAGATATCTTTGTACTCGTAGTATATACATTTTCTCAAAATCTGTTTGCTATTATTTTTCTCTCTCAGCTTTATGATTGCTATTTCTTGAATGATTTTTATGAATAGCCTTTTCCATCTTGATTGTAGGTCTATATAGTCTATAGACAATTACTCCATCTCAAAAAAAAAAAGTTTTCTGTCTGTTCTTATAGTGGTTGTACCTTCAGATATTCGGTTTACTTTAATACCTGGGATCTTGGTATGAAACCCGAGATATATTTCTTTTTCTCCACGTTATTTGACAAAATTCATTTCTTCTTGGTACATTTTTTTAAAGGAAATAATTTCTTTCAGCTAGATTATTCCAGGATTAGATCTTTTTGGGTATTTCTATGTGGTGTTTTCTTGGGTGGGGGGTGTCTTTGTGTGTATATGTTAGTTATAATTAATATTTACTATGAATACTGTTCAACATGTTACATAAAAGCATATACTGAGGAATGATAATGATTTTTATGTAACAATATAATTTATATCATATTTTTAATAAGATGTCTTAAGTATTATAAGTAACAAGAATAATAAAGAAGTATGTTTGTGAAATTTCTTCAATATTCTCACACACACAGTTGGCATAATTAAAAATTGACCCAAATATCTAAACCACCTAAGTTGGCAGACATGATGGTAGAGGGACGGACCAGAATAGGAAGAGAAGAAAGAAATGGCAGGTAGCATACCTAACTACTTAATAAAAGTTGGCAGTTATAATCTTGATAATTTTGCGGTTCCTAATTGTTGTTTGATTCTGCTGCACTTTCATCTTTTTTGTTAATTGAAGGGTTTTTTTTTCCCCTCTTCACCTTTTTTTTTTCTTTAAGCACCTCATTGTCTAAAGGAAGTGCTAAAATGTACACAAATTCTACAAGTGTTTGCTCTTCGTTTTTGGCCATTTTTTGGTTTTGGTCTATTTTTCAATTTAGGAAACATCATCTGACTCTGCAGTTAGGTAAACATAGGTTGATTGCAATTTGTTACTTTCCAAGCTATTCTTCCCCTCAGATATCTGCTTCTGTTTCACAGAATTCAGGTGCACTTTATCCAAATATAACAAATGACAATGTGATTTACAGTGGACATGTGGAAAAGTAAATGGTCTTTCTCTTGTAGATTTCCAAAAGGCAGTATACAGTTGCTTACTAGCTGCTTTCAGCATAATACAAACTTTCAAGTTCTGCTGTTGTACAAAATATGGATGCTAGAGCTTCTTAAAAAAAAAAAAAATTTGTGACTTGGCTTTGTTCACAACTTTTCAGAAAGGATGTATAGTTTTCTTACTGTTTTCATTTGTTTATGTTCTACTTTGGTTCCAAAGAATAAATGAGAGAGAGGTATTTAATCTTTTAAAAGTTACCAAAAAAGTATTAAAATCAGCTTTGTTGTTGCCACCCCCACCCCCACCACCATTTGCTGTTCAGATTTCCTGCTTTATAATGGGACAAATTCCTTCATTCCTTCAATGAATTAAAAAAAAATTTTTCAATATGTTTATTATGAAATTTGGGGAACAGTACTCATTTTTATCTCAAAAATGTTCTAATTCTGGCCTTTTTTTGCAAAATGTCTTGAATTGTGAAATTCAGAAATTTTCTACTGTGATATTATTTTAAGAACACTTTTTAATAGAAGTAGTATATGTTTATGTTGGCAAATTTAAGAAATATTTAAAATAAGAAATGTTTTTGTCATCCTAAAACTGCTCTAAAAATAGTACATTATAAAAAGAGAGAAAAAGAAAACAAATACCGCCTGTATAATTTCAATAGCTATAGCAACTCCTTTTACAGTTTGGTGTTTCTGTTTTGTATGTATAAAACTGGAATCTGATTTATATGACATTAGCATACTTTAATATCAGATACTCAATATAAACATGGTTTTAAGTAAATGCATAATAAATCATTGTGTGCTTGTATCTAAATATTATTTAATATCTTGCTTATTAGTTATGTTTTCATTTTTTACTATTAAAAAGTAAATGCTGAAATAATTGTTCATAGTCATAAGTTTATTATCTTGGATAAATTTCTGCAAGTAGAATTACTGGGTGATAGGTGATGAGCACTGTTTAGGTTATTTATACAGATTATTAAATTGCCCTCAAAGTAGTAACAGGTTTTTCTACCATAACCATATATGAGTGCTGTTTTTACTTGCACATTTGGTATTATCATAAAATAAATGCCAATGGTTAGGTTCCCTTATTATTATTATTTGCTATTAGTGAAGTTTAACATTTCTATATTGGTCATTCATATTTCTTTGTGAATTATCTGTTCATGTCCTATGTCCCATTTACATGTTCATTTTCTTAATACTGATTCATATAGGCATTGTTTATACACTAAGAAGATGCTTAACCCTCTGTTATGATGTGATTATTTTCTTCATTTTGTTTTTTGTATTTTGCATTAATTTTTTGTAAGTTTCTTACCTCCAATATTCACTCATTTTCTGTTCTCTTAGGATGAAAGACACATTCACATTTCAGGTAGAGACTACACTTCATTTTATTTCCTTTGGATTCTGTTTTCATGATTATAAATCACTGATAACAATGATTTACATCATACTTCCCTCTGCTGCTGCTCCTCTTCATTCCAGTTACCACCCCTCGTGTATTAGTACCTCTGTGATTTAGGTTCTCCTCAAGAGCTGATTATGTTGGTGCAACTCATGCCATTGCTTTGGAACTGTTTCCCTATCTGTAGAAGGGGGAAGATGGGACTAATATCCAGAATATACAAGGAGCTCAAAGGACTCAACAGTAAAAAAAAAAAAAAAAAAAAACCGTTAAAAATGGGCAAAGGGCATAAATAGACATTTCTCAAAAGAAGACATATAAATGGCCAACATGTATATGAAAAAATAAAAACCACAATGAAATATCATCCCACCTCAGTTAGAATGGCTATTATTAAAAAGGCAAAAAATAACAGATGTTGACAAGTATGTAGAGAAAAGGGATTTCCTATATACTGTTGGTGGGAATGTAAACTAGTACAACCTCTACAGAAAACAGTATGGAGTTTCCTTAAAAAATTAAAAATAGAAATACCATAAGATTCAGCAATCTCATTACTTGGTATTTATCCAAAGGAAATTAAATCAATATGTCAAAAGAATACCTGCATCCTCATGTTTATTGTGGCACTATTCCCAATAGCAAAGATGTGGAATCAACCTAAGTGTCTATCAACAGATGAATGGATAAATATAATGTGATATATATACACAATGGAATACTGTTGACCGTAAAAAAAAGAATGAAATCCTATCATCTGCAGCAACATGGATTGAACTGGAGGTCATTGTGTTAAGTGAAATAAGCCAGACACAGGAGGACAAATTCTGCATGATTTCCCTCATATGTAGAATCTAAGAGAGTTGATCACATGGAGGTAGCAAACGAATGATAAATACCAGAGGCTAGGAAGAGCAGGTGTTGGATAGAGGGTAAAGAGAGGTTGGGTAATGGATACAAACATACAGTTAAAGTTCTAATGTTTGATAGCAGAGTAGGGTGCCTATAGTTAACAATTATGTATTTTTCAAAACAGAAGAGAGGCGACTTGTAATATAATAAATACTTGGGTGATAGACATCCTGAATACCCTAATTTGATCATTACAAATGTAAGAAAATTATCATTAGTGTTACCTTATGCCTATAACAGAATATCACAAGTGCCCCCATGAATGTGTACAAATATAATGTATCAAAAGATAAATTTAAAATAAATAAAATTGAAAAAAATAAAAACAAAGCTCCCTCCAGTTGCACAAGTGTCTGAATGTTAATTTCTTCCGTTGTACTTCTCTTTCCTTTATCCTAGGTATTCTTGCAGTCCCCCAAAACTGTAAAGAACAAATAAAGGAGCATGACTTGATACTTTACTTTCAGGACAAATCTTCAGGTCATTGTTTTTCAATCTTTATACACACTCTTACTTCCTAGTCTAGAATACCAAGGAACTTGACTTCAGAAATTAGCTTCTTCCCAAGGAATTTGGGAATATCTACTCCAATTTTCTACCACCAGCTATCAGATTGGTATCATTCCATTTCACTTATCTCTCTTCTTCCCCTAACATTATACCTCAACTCTTCATATTTACTTAAAAATAATTGCAGTTGTTTATTGATTTCTTTGTAAAAACTAAGAGCCTTTTCAGGCTTTTAAAATTTTATGTAATTACCTTACTTTTTTATCCTTGATAGATATACTGCATTGCTTGGTCTTATGTTTGTAAGCTAGAGAGAGAGAGGAGCTGGGAAGATTGGCATTTAAATATTTTGATGAAAAATTTTTGTCATTTTACTTTGGAATAGAAAAATTTACTTTTCATATTTCAAGGGATGTTTGACCTGTCTAAATACCTTTTAAACTTTGCAATAATGCCCTGGAAAAAGCCTATTTTTTTTGTAGTGAGTTGTTGATCGCTAAGTAAACCAAGATTGGCAGGCTGTGGCAAGAGGAGATAAAAAATGTCAACACATTCATAGATGAAATCCATAACCAGTAATGAGAAGTGATATTCTAAATTTGCACTGAGCTCTGCAGATCACATTGTATTTGCTGTTTTTGATATTAACCATTGTGTTTCACTTCATATTTTCTTATATTCTAAGGATGGCATTTTAAATTAAGTGTTGAGTAAGAATTTGCACAATGTGTTTTCATGTCTGAGATTCCTATTGTTGTATACAATATCTGGGTTTCTGCTGCCTGTGAGTGTGTTCTGTAAAGTTGCCTGCATTCTTGATGGCATCCATTTTGTTATGAAGACTGGATAATGCATGGATTGTAGAATTTTGTTGCTTGAGGATAGCTGAGGAAAACATCTTGTTTGAGCATTTTCCTCTTCTCTCTTCATGCATTTTTAGGTGAAACTGAGAGTGTCAATTTTTCATGCCTACTTAGCAAATTTGTGGCAGAGGGCAGGGCTAGACCTCTGTTAACTCTTCATTCTCTTTTCTTCTGCTTGTATATTCTTAAAAAAGGATAGTACATCTATATAGGTGGGCTGTGGGTAAGTAAATCTGGTGTAAATTCTCAATTTCACCAGTGGCCTAGAAATTTAACCCAAGCTAGGTAGCTGCCAATAACAGAAAGAAGCACATGCAATTTACTTCAGTGTAGCATTTTCTAATTCCCAGGCCCAAGGAAAGGCTGCTCAGTTTAGAGCTAACACATTGCAAAGGTAGGACCTTGACAGATCTGAGATGCTTATGTTTGTGCTATGCCATAGTCTTAATACTTTAAACTGGCACCCCAGTTCAGAAAGAATTTACGCTCATACCTATTTATAATCCTTTGAAGGGCACATTTGTTTATCAGGCTCTCTGATACCCTTGGTTCTTTAAATCCAGTGTCAGCAAAGCTGTGTCTTTCATGAGGGAAAAATGCCAAGTTAGTACTTAGAGGAATTCTGAGCCGTGGCACTGCTGAAGCTTTCTGATGGGGAGGTCCATTTGACCACAGATTCCATTTTACAGGATTACTCCTTCATTAATCAGGGAAATGCTCTTTAACTTTAAATGCCTTTCCTCAGGAAGTTATTTAGTTTTATTCATTTTACTTTATCTTGTCAGCTTAAGGTTAAGTAATGTTTCTTTGAACACCTATAGTTAGTTATCCACCTCATTCAAGCAAACTCTATCTTATATGTGGATAGTTTTTTTTTTTTTTTTGTATCAGGAAGCTCTTCCTAATTTTACGGTTACAATTTTCTTTTATGTTCTTTTTTAAAAGTTTTTAAGAGTAAATAATCCCATTTCCCTGACTCTATGACCCTGACAGCATCATAAGTTTTATGTTTGCTCAAATGTTACTCTTAAGTCAGTTTCGTGCATGTCGTTTGCTAATCCTCTGTCAGATTTACTCAATAGTTCTTTTTATCATTAAGCTTCTATTTTAGAGCTTTATTTCTTTTCTTTGGCTTCAGGGATAGATCTTGAGAGAAAACACGTGTACCTGTGTTAGCACAGTCACAGTGGGGGCTGGCTTCACCTTGACATATTTAAAGCTTTTCTCTTTCAGTGTCATAAAAATGGATAGATTAAGCTTTTGGAAAGCATGGAACATTAAACAAGTAACGTACGCAAGCCTGTGATTAGCTAAGACAGTCATTGTTCGTCTGTTTCCTAGTACACTATTGGTTTTGTTTATAAAATTTAATTTTGTATTGATTATCAAAGTACTTATTGGGAGGATAATTTTCATTTGACACAACATAAAACATACTAAAGACATAGTCCCCCTTACAGTTGTCAAGAATATTCATTTTTGTCATTGACAGTTTCTATAAGACAGTATGGAGAATCTTATTTTCATAAGATCATTGGGAAAAGCATTCTTTTGCCTCTGAATCCAGATGGGTGAATGGGAGTTTTATTTAGAGTGGTTAAGCTGGTGAGTTAAAATTTACTGTCTTGAATAAACACTATTTGAAAAAAAAAATTCAAACTGTTTAGGAGACACCAACTCTTTTTAGGGACACGGGGATGATATAAAATATGGATGAATTTATCTTGTAAATAGGTATCTGCTATCTGTGAGGTGTCATCCAGGCGTCCTGCAGGGCGTGTTGGTTCTACCTTGCTCTTAAGTACTTCCTGTTTCAGTATGGATTAGAGTATATTCCCGGCATTTGTAACCTACATGTGAGGCAAGACCATGGTGTCTCTCTGTATCCTAGGCTGGAGTACAGTGACGTGATCAAAGCTCACTGCAGCCTCAAACTCCTGGGCTCAAGTGATCTTCTTGCCTCAGCCTCCCAAAGTGCTGGGATTATAGGCGTGAACTACTGTGCCTGGCCATTTTTTGACTTTTTAGTAATAAGCCATTCTGACTGGTGTTAAGATGCTATCTCATTGTGGTTTTAATTTGCATTTCTCAAAATGAGAGGGTGGGGGGAGGGAAGTGAGGGATGAAATACTACCTATTGGGTACGTGTACACTATTTGGGTGATGGGTACACTAAAAGCCCAGATGGTCCATGCAGTATATCCATGATATAACACAACTACACTTATACCCCCTAAATCAATCAATCTATCCATCCATCCATCCATCCACATATACACACACACACGCATATGCATATATACCTATACATATATATATAAAAGAGATGTTTTCACAGTAAAATGGACGAGTTGTAGTTTGCAAACAGGGATTTTTAATCTGGATAGAATTCAGGGGGTCTGTGAACTAGGATGGGAAAACATTAGATCCTTATATTCACTAACCTCTAAGATATAGCATTTACTTATATTATGACTTAGACAATAAAGTACAGTAGTACTAGCAGTGCCTGTGTCATTATCACCAAAAGAAACACATATATTTTCATATCACATTACATTCCACTGCAGCTCTCTCAAAATATGTTTGTGTTCATGAACTACACCGAAACTACATTACTCTTAAATCCCTTTTTAAACTTTGTTAATGAGTTGTCATAGAAACACATACTACTATAACACAAATTTGTTTTTTAAAATAATTTTATAACTATTTCATTATAATTGCTTTTCTCTGTAATCGTATGGACTTATTTTTATGCATTTAAAAGCATAATCCTGAGAAGAGATCACAATCACTAGACTTCAACAGACTGCCAAAAGGTTCATGATTCAAAAATGGTTAGAAATCGCTGACTTACAGGACTTGTGGAGGCTTCAGCACAGAGGAAATAGAATTTAAACACATGGGAAAAAAAAAGGTGAAAAAACGTTGCGAGTTTTGTTCTATCTGGATTGGACTTCCAGATCTGTGTGACTGACGGAGTTTATGTAACCTTCCCATACTTGAGTTTATTCATCTGTAAAATGGAGATAATAATGTACTTGCCTCCAAGGATGGTTGATGATTGAACCAGTTAATGAAGTTAAATTGCTAAGTACACTGCCTTAGCTAAATGTGAGCTGCTATTACTATTATTACCTACAGCATTCCTTTCCCACAAGTATCTGCCATGGTTTTGCACAATTCAGCACTTAATTTATATTATCATGTGTACTGCTTTGTGATAATTATAAGCTGCTTCAGAGCAGGATACCATGGCTTATACGACACTGAACATATACTAGACACTAAGCAATCAATTAATCTGAGTAAATAATTAATTAAGTGAATTTTTTTAAGTGCTAGTCAGGTATTGCCCTATGCCCTGGAAATAAAAAGATGAACAAGGCAAGGTCCCTGACTTCCATGAGCCCACAGTCTACTGGGAGAGACAGATTTATTTTTATTTTATTTTTATTTTTTAATTTTTCAATTATTATTATACTTTAAGTTATAGGGTATATGTGCAAAACGTGCAGGTTTGTTACATATGAATACATGTGTCATGTTGCTGTGCTGCACCCATCAACTCGTCATTTACATTAGGTATATCTCCTAATGCTATCCCTCCCCCCTCCCTCCACCCCACAACAGGCCCCAGTGTGTGATGTTCCTCTTCCTGTGTCCATGTGTTCTCATTGTTCAGTTCTCACCTATGAGTGAGAACATGTGGTGTTTGGATTTCTGTCCTTGTGACAGTTTGCTGAGAATGATGGTTTCCAGCTTCATCCATGTCCCTACAAAGGACATGAACTCATCATTTTTTATGGCTGCATAGTCTTCCATGGTGTATATGTGCCACATTTTCTTAATCCAGTCTATCATTGATGGACATTTGTGTTGGTTCCAAGTCTTTGCTATTGTGAATGGTGCCACAATAAACATATGTGTGCATGTGTCTTTATAGCAGCATGATTTATAATCCTGTGGGTATATACCCAGTAATGGGATGACTGGGTCAAATGGTATTTCTAGTTCTAGATCCTTGAGGAATCGCCACACTGTCTTCCACAATGGTTGAACTAGTTTCCCATCCCACCAGCAGTGTGAAAGTGTTCCTATTTCTCCACATCCTCTCCAGCACCTGTTGTTTCCTGACTTTTTAATGATTGCCATTCTAACTGGTTTGAGATGGTATCTCATTGTGGTTTTGATTTGCATTTCTCTGATGGCCTGTGATGATGAGCATTTTTTCATGTGTCTTTTGGCTGCATAAATGTCTTCTTTTGAGAAGTGTCTGTTCATATGCTTTGCCCACTTTTTGATGGGGTTGTTTTTTTTCTTGTAAATTTGTTTGAGTTCTTTGTAGACTCTGGATATTAGGCCTTTGTCAGATGAGTAGATTGCAAAAATGTTCTCCCATTCTGTAGGTTGCCTGTTCACTCTGATGGTAGTTTCTTTCACTGTGCAGAAGCTCTTTAGTTTAATTAGATCCCATTTGTCAATTTTGGCTTTTGTTGCCATTGCTTTTGTTGTTTTAGACATGAAGTCCTTGCCCATGCCTATGTCCTGAATGGTATTGCCTAGGTTTTCTTCTAGGGTTTTTATGGTTTTAAGTCTAACATTTAAGTCTTTAATCCATCTTGAATTAATTTTTGTATAAGGTGTAAGGAAGGGATCCAGTTTCAGCTGTCTACATATAGCTAGCCAGTTTTCCCAACACCATTTATTAAATAGGGAATCGTTTACCCATTGCTTGTTTTTGTCAGGTTTGTCAAAGATCAGACTGTTGTAGATGTGTGGTATTATTTCTGAGGGCTCTATTCTGTTCCATTGATCTATATCTCTGTTTTGGTACCAGTACCATGCTGTTTTGGTTACTGTAGCCTTGTAGTATAGTTTGAAGTCAGGTAGCATGATGCCTCCAGCTTTGTTCTTTTGGCTTAGGATTGTCTTGGCAATGCAGGCTCTTTTTTGGTTCCATATGAACTTTAAAGTAGTTTTTTCCAAGTCATTGGTAGCTTGATGGGGATGGCATTGAATCTATAAATTACCTTGGGCATTATGGCCATTTTCACAATATTGATTCTTCCTATCAATGAGCATGGAATGTTCTTCCATTTGTTTGTGTCCTTTTTTATTTCGTTGAGCAGCGGTTTGTAGTTCTCCTTGAAGAGGTCCTTCACATCCCTTGTAAGTTGGATTCCTAGGTATTTTATTCTCTTTGAAGCAATTGTGAATGGGAGTTCACTCATGATTTGGCTCTCTGTTTGTCTGTTATTGGTGTAGAAGAATGCTTGTGATTTTTGCACATTGATTTTGTATCCTGAGAGTTTGCTGAAGTTGCTTATCAGCTTAAGGAGATTTTGGGCTGAGACGATGGGGTTTTCTAGATATACAATCATGTCATCTGCAAACAGGGACAATTTGACTTCCTCTTTTCCTAATTGAATACCCTTTCTTTCTTTCTCCTGCCTGATTGCCCTGGCCAGAACTTCCAACACTATGTTGAATAGGAGTGGTGAGAGAGGGCATCCCTGTGTTGTGCCAGTTTTCAAAGGGAATGCTTCCAGTTTTTGCCCATTCAGTATGATATTGGCTGTGGGTTTGTCATAGATAGCTCTTATTCTTTTGAGATATGTCCCATCGATACCAAATTTATTGAGAGTTTTTAGCATGAAGGGTTGTTGAATTTTGTTAACGGCCTTTTCTGCATCTGTTGAGATAATCATGTGTTTTTTGTCTTTGGTTCTGTTTATATGCTGGATTACATTTATTGATTCGCGTATATTGAACCAGCCTTGTATCCCAGGGATGAAGCCCACTTGATCGTGGTGGATAAGCTTTTTGATATGCTGCTGGATTCAGTTTGCCAGTATTTTATTGAGGATTTTTGCATCGATTTTCATCAGGGATATTGGTGTAAAATTCTCTTTTTTTTTGTTGTGTCTCTGCCAGGCTTTGGTATCAGGACAATGTTGGCCTCATAAAATGAGTTAGGGAGGATTCCCTCTTTTTCTGTTGATTGGAATAGTTTCGGAAGGAATGGTACCAGCTCCTCCTTGTACCTCTGGTAGAATTCGGCTGTGAATCCATCTGGTCCTGGACTTTTTTTGGTTGGTAGGCTATTAATTATTGCCTCAATTTCAGAGCCTGTTATTGGTCTATTCAGAGATTCAACTTCTTCCTGCTTTAGTCTTGGGAGGGTGTATGTGTTGAGGAATTTATCCATTTCTTCTAGATTTTCTAGTTTATTTGCGTAGAGGTGTTTGTAGTAATCTCTGATGGTAGTTTGTATTTCTGTGGGATCGGTGGGGATATCCCCTTTATCATTTTTATTGCGTCTATTTGATTCTTCTCTCTTTTCTTCTTTATTAGTCTTGCTAGCAGTCTATCAATTTTGTTGATCTTTTCAAACAAGCAGTTCCTGGATTTGTTGGTTTTTTGAAGGGTTTTTTGTGTCTCTAAGGAGAGACAGATTTATAAGCAGGAATTAATTATTAGAATTGTCCTGGCCGACTTTACCAGCTTGGAGTGGGGTACTGAAGACAATGATGTCTTTCTTTTAAGTTTTCCTTTTTGTGTTGAGCAAACCTAGAGGACTTGAATGTGATGATGCCCACCTCAAAATGAAAATATTATGCACACAGAAATTGATACATGAATTTCTCATGAAGCTCTGAAAATTAAGATTAAGTATGTTAACATAATTAACACAACGCCTGGCACATATATTTCAAATGATAGCTTTTTTGTTAAACCATATGAAACTGCCAATATTTGGCCATTTTTGATGTACAAAAAAATACACCCCAGCTTTATGTCGGTAAATTTAATAATATTCAAACAGCAATAATCAATTCTACTTGTTAACTCTCATCGTTGTTTCTATGTGTGGCAGTAATCTTATGAACATTCAGTTTTCAATCTGAAACTAGGTGATTCACTTTTAGGAATATTACAGGAGGTATATCCTTTTTAGGGGTATATTAAAAGATCCCAAAGTTTCGCACGGGCTCTCACTCTCGCTCTGTGTGTATACACATACGTACATATATGTATGTATACGTATATATGTATGTATATACATATACATGTGTATGTATATACAGACACATGCATATATACATACACATACATATCTGCATACACATATGTATATATACTTATACGTATATACATATACATATATACATACATACATATATCTACATATACATGTAGATATGTATACATATATATGTATATATATATACAAACCTCTATTAAGTTATCTTTTATGCTTTCACAGTACCTGAAACCTTATTTATTGTCAAAGTATATTTAAGAATATACAATTACAGCATTAATACTATTTTCATGTGTTTTTAATTTTGTTTGGATATGTTTTGCGTGTCCTCTCAAATTCCTTCTAGAAATTATAACTAAAAGTGTAATTAAATGGTATTGTGGTTTTATTATGGCATACGTTTACTGCCTTTAAAATAGTTAACTCTAGAATGACTCGTTAGGTCTGATTGACACTTTTAGTATGACGTTCTATTGGTTTTACTTCTACTCAGTCACCTTTCAAGTATCCACTGATTATTTGGTATTGAAATAGTCCAGTGCTCCAAAGTTAGGAGGAGACTGCAGTATTTAATTCAAGCATAATGTTTAGGAAATACTATTTTAATAATTAGAGTTTCCATTCCAATAACTCTTTATTGAGCAAGTTCTTTCCTCTTTGAGATGGTTTATATGAGCTTGTATTTTCTATGTTACAACAAATGACTGCAGAGAGGTAGTTTTTCTTTCCCTAATGACCATTAATCTATGCAAGATTTTGATAAAGCCATAAATGATGATATTTTTTCCTTTTTTTCAGTCATGATTTTTTTCAATCACCTTGGAATATATTTAATTCTTTATATACTGCTGAGATTTTAGCTTCATTATTGAGTTTTCTGTTCTAAAAATTATTATATCACATAGAATTTAATTGCCGACCTGATTCTCTACTTTCCTAATAAATTTATGTGCACATTTGATGGTGTAGCATGGACAGAAGTTATTAAGTCAGTGATTGTAGATGGATGTGAAGAACCTTCAAGAATAAAAGTATTAAATACACTTAACCTCTGCTCGTGCATGTTAGGAAGGAAAGTGGAGACCAGCCTTTTCTCTCTCTCTTTCTGCCCAGCATGCCTTTGTTTTTCAAATTGGCGTCATTGCACATGCCAGTGCACTAAGGTGGCAGCTCTGGTGTGAACTTGGCCCCCTGCCTTCTTTAACAGAAGGATAGGGGGATAGTCAGATAGTCGGAGGAAGTGGGTGATTTGAACAAGTTCAGAGCAGGGAGGAAGGCTGTGTTGGGGACTTCCAGCTTGTTCTCCTCATGCATGAAGCCACTCATTCCCTTTCTCTCTCCCCCACCCCTTCTTCCCCTCACTTTCTTCCTTTCCTCACTTCTCCTTTCCCCTCTGTGCAGAGCTCTTGGCACCAGTCAAGCTGTCCCACCCCTCAGGGCCCTCTCAGTGACTGATGCCCATGGCTCCCTCCTCCTACACCCAAAGACCCTGGCTTGCCCATGTCTCTGATGAGAATTCAAAGGGAGCTGTGTTTATATAACGTAGAGGGATTTACCTGTGGCTTTTCCTTTACTCACTTCCTCAAAATTGTGTACATTTATGGCATAGGATGTCAGTCCTAAAAGTTTTATTATCAAAACAGTAGGTGGCAAGTAATTATTATCATAAATCCAGCAGGTTCTAGAGAAGCCAAGTTGGAGGAGAAAGCAGGATAGAGTCCACCATGACCATTGATTGTTGGGCACATTCTTTCTAAGAAACAGATTAATTCCATTGTATCTGTTCTCTGTTATCCCATACCAGCTTATGATTAGAGTCTTGAGCTCACAACTTGGTCCTCTAAGAGGTAGTCAGTGGTCAGCGCTTCAGCTTGACCACAGCGTTTGGTTCTTTCTTTAAGTGTTGTGTTGTAATGCTTGGATTATAAAAGCCTTAACACGGCCCCATTTGATCAGTTCCCTGCCAACTCTTGTATCCTCATTTCACTAAGCTTTGTTACACTCACTAGACTGTTAACAACGGAGAAAAACCTGTGGGTACTGAATATGCCATATACAACTTGCTATTTATTCTGTTCCCTGTTTAGAAGGCCATGGCTACCCTTAACTATCTGAACTTTTCCTGTCCTGTAAGACTGAGCTCACTGGCAATATCCTATAGGCTGCTTTCCCTAAGCCTCCCCATCTTTCTTCCTCCCTCTTTCTACTTCTCTCCTACCTCCTTTTCCCTCTCTCCCCTACTCACCTGCTTTCCTTTTGCCCCTCCCACATCCTCTTCCCCCTTCTTGTCATTTTTCCATGTCAAGAAATTTCCAGATATATAGGAATATGATGGAGAATGCTGACAGGCAGTTCTTTGAGTAGTCAAATTAAGATGTAATGGTTGAATTGTATAATGGCAATCACATAAACTACATATATAAAGCTTCTAGCTTAGTAAACTCTAAATGTGTTTTTTTAAACTAAAGAATGAGGGGGCCAGGCGTGGTGGCTCATGCCTGTAATCCCAACATTTTAGGAGGCTGAGGCATGAGGATCGCTTTGAGTCCAGGAGTTCGAGACCAGTCTGGGCAATATAGAGAGACTTTGTCTCTACAAAAAAAAAAAAAAAAAAAAAAAAAAAAAAAAATTAGCCGAGTGTGGTGGAATGCACCTATATAGTACCAGCAACTCGGGAGGCTGAAGCAGAGGATCACTTGAACTCAGCTAGTTAAGGCTGCAGTGACCTATGATTGTGTCACTGTACTCCAGCGTAGGTGACAGAGCAAGACCTTGTCTTCAAACAGACAAAAAAGAATGTGGGATATACTGCTCTTGTGCTAGGATAATTGAGTTGTATTTCAATATTTTTCTGCACAGGAATTTTACTACACAGGGAAAATGCTTATGCCCTCACCAAGGTGCATTTATAAATTTAAGGCCCATTAGCTAAACAATGAAAGGGATGGAAAGATTTCGGTTGCTGCAGGTTGTATAAGAAGATTTTCTATATTAGAGTGTTGTTTACCCTCCTGAATCTTGAAGCTACTTCATTTTGAGTATTTACATCTAGTTATGAAAGTTAGTTATTACTCTTTCAGTTCCAACATAACTTCCACATAGAAACATTTAACCAGTATCATATGTAAGTTGTGTCATAAGTAAGTGTCTTATAATTTTTGTAAACATTTTTATGTGGTCTTTTCAGTTTAATATTCTTACCTATTCTAAAAGTATTTGAAAAATGCAGGAATAATTATTTGTAATCTGGTTTTTATGTGTTTTTACCCTCAATTTACACATCTTTGAAGTTGCCAGACTACTCAGGCATTGCTACTAAATGTTTGTCAACTTTACTTGCTTTGTGGGACCAAATTGAGAAGATGAGATAACTTCTTAATTGGGTTTTGACAAGCCTATTTGAAAAATTAACTCACAATTATAACAAGTGAAAGATAAAGACAAGTATGTTGAAAATAAGCTGTAGGATAAATTGTATCCTGAATTCAAAAGTATGGATATCAAAAATATATTAGGAAGTATTCACACAACAAAAGGAGTCTTTGTTTTGCCATTTAGCTCATTATAAAGTTCTAAGTGGCAAATTTTGTTGGGAT
This sequence comes from Homo sapiens, assembly GCF_000001405.40. Taxonomy (NCBI): domain Eukaryota; kingdom Metazoa; phylum Chordata; class Mammalia; order Primates; family Hominidae; genus Homo; species Homo sapiens. The sequence continues at coordinate 122,717,010 of NC_000007.14, read as the reverse complement.
ATTGAAAATCAGAAATGATACCACGTTACAGAGTTTGTCAACATTTGAAATTTTATTTTGTGTTCTAGTAGAAAAAGTCATGTTCACATTGCAAGTAGGGACAAAACCCCATTATTTCCTTTGGGTTCTGCTTTCTTGTTTATAAATCAGTGTTTCCCTTTCTGGGCCTCCCTCCATTCCCCACCCCTCCCAAGAACCACCATATTAGCAGAGTCAGTGCCCCTTGGTCGCACTCTACCTTTTACTCCCTCCTCATGATTTACCTGGTAGATGAGGCTGGAAGGAGAAACCAGGCATGCCTGCCTTTCTTATTTATTTATTTATTTTTAATTGTTATACTTTAAGTTCTAGGGTACATGTGCACAACGTGCAGGTTTGTTACATATGTATACATGTGCCATGTTGGTGTGCTGCACCCATTAACTCATCATTTACCTTAGGTATATCTCCTAATGCTATCCCTCCCCGCTCCCCCGACCCTACAAAGGACAGAAAACCAAATGTGTTCCTTTCTGTGTGGAGCTTTCTGCTGACTGGGAGCTCCCTTACCCCTGCTCTTTTAGGCTGTTAGCTTTGCAAGGGATTTTGTCTAGGAGTAGAGACGTAGGTTGTATTTTCCTGCCTTTTTGGTAGTGATGGTAGCAGAAGGGGGTGGGCCTGCCCTATGCAGTGTGGACCATTGTTTTAGATATCAGAAATGTAGCATAGTACATATGCCACATGTTAGATAGTACCCCAGTAAGGTCCGAGGCAGGCTTTTTTTCATAAAACAAATATTCCTTCAGCAACATATATGAATAGTCATACTGAATGAATGCATAGACTTCCATTACTTCAGATCAGTTTTTTAAAAAATTAATATTTTAATTGACAAATTATAATTGTATATGTTTATGGTGTATAATGTGATGTTATGACATATATACAAAATGGAATGAGTAAATCAAGCTAAGTAACATATTTATCACCTCACATACTTTTTTTGTGATGAGAACATTTGAAATGTATTCTTCTAGCAATTTTGAAATATCAGGTTTTTTCCCCTCCCCCAATGAATTTGCTGCATACTTATGGGGAAAAAATACCTTTAGAGTTTTCATATTGAATTGTAGATAGAAGATTACAGCTCTTAGTAAAATCTAGAGGAGCAAAATCATGTCATTATTGTTTCTGCTAGTGTCAGGGTGGATGACTTTAAGCTTTGGTAGTACCTTACTAGGGGCAGACCATGTGGGGTTTTTACTTTGGAGCTTTGCACTGTGGTTGGTTTTTGTACTTGTACAATTGGCTTTTTTTTTTTCTTTGCAATGCGTTGTGTTGAGAGGTTTTAAGCCTTGTGTCTGTGAGAATTTTGACCATAGAAGATGACTAAAGCTATCTTTGTCCGTAGGAAAGCAGCTTTCGTTTTACAGGCAGACCCTGTATGCTTCAGACCTTATTCAAAGCAGAATGACCTCTGTTTGGACAGTGTACAGAAAAGAGAGTCTTTTTCATGTTTTTAAGGCATAGGCAGAATAATATTTGCTACTTTTAAATTACAAGGCACGGAAATCCTGTGTCAGTTATAAAAGAGCCAATCATGGATTCATGTGTCTTATTCACAAGCTCAAGTCACCACTTTGCCATCTGCGTTCTGGAAGGAGAAACCTTACCTAGGAGATAGGGTTCTGAGGCCTAACCAGTCCTAACTAGGGACATTGGCTGCCAAAGACTGAGAAAGGCATTACAGTGCTTATAGTCAACAGAGGCTTAAAATCTAAGGTGTGTCCATAACTCCTGTATATCGGTATGAAAACTCAGACAATCCCTGAACAATGTGAATAAGGGATATGAATAACAAGTCAAAGAATAGGAAACTTAAATGACCAATAAGCTCTATTAGCTTCATGTAGTTGCTGTATCAAATTGCCATAAACGGAATTGTTTAAAACAACAGAAACTTATTCTCTCACAGTTGTGGAGGCCAGAAGTCTGTAGTCAAGGTATCAATAGGGCTGTACTCCCTCTAGAAGCTCTAGGGGAGATGTCTTCCTGTGGTTCATCCACTTATAGCTGTATGACGTTTAACCAATTACACACTTGATCTCCATTTTCTAATTGATAAAACGAGATTCTGATAGTGTCTACTTCACTGCAGTGTTGTGAATTTTAAATGAGATAAGACAGAGTGCTAAACACCAAATGTTAAGTAAAGACTCAAATCGGAACTTATTATTACTGTAAGTTTCTATTATTCAACAAATTATAAGTAATACACTTGAAATATTAGCTAGTACAGTTTTGTAAGAACACTATACGAAACACCTTGTGAGTAAATAGACTTATTCCTATGAGTGGCAATGGATCTTGTGCTAGTCTCCTCTTGAAGATTTATTGCTTACCCTTCATAGCCCATCTTGTATGTATTTGTTTTGGTAAGAAATTAACATGCAAAAAGCAAATTTTTGGGTCCTTCGTCTCTCCACTTGACTATGGATTCTTTTTGTAACTGTTTTACCCATAGCCCCACTTATTGTTTGTTTTTTTAAAAAAATGATGATAGTAAAACATTAAAAGAAGTTGTTTACCAAAGATTTTAAAATGGAAATGTAAGTAAAATGAGACATAGGAAATCAAGCTAAATACTAAAGACAGCTAGAAACAATCTGAAAGTTGTAGATTTGATAGAAACAGTGAATACTATGTCCACTTTGTATTCTTGTAGGTATAGACTGCTACTTACATGTATTTTCAGATTAACCATGTCGTTTTGCTTCTCGATTTTTATGGAATATCGTTTACTTTTCCCACCTGAGTAATCTGTTAGTATAACCTTACCAAATAAATAGAAACTACTAGAACAATAATAATTTACCTCTAGGTCTTGCTAGAACTAGTTGTTTAAGTGGATTATACAAACATTTGCTTTCTGTCATGGTAACCTCCTCTTTTCCCTAAATCTCAAACTAAATTTGAATCATTGGTGACATGAATGTTCTTCTTGAAGTTTGACATGGATTATGAATGTAATAATTAGTTGGAGAAACCAGGCTCTTTGTCAACATATTGAAAAATATTGTGCCAGCAGAGCTAATGAAAAGCTTTACTTCTTTGTTTTACTTTTGTTTTTATGGGTGGTCTGTGGATGTGAGGGAACAAAAAAGACCTTTTTGTTTTTTAAAGTTGGCCTGTACATTATAACTATAAAATGTATAATAAGTAAGTTCTATCACTGTTTTCATGCATCTTCTATGAATCATGAAATATTTTATCCCTAATGTGCATTCAAATACTAGCTGCTTAGCTGGAGGTGTTACTAGGTATTTGTGTAAAGAGATCACTTGTCTTCAAGAATATATGTTATATATGGAAAAGTGATACTTATCACTTTTTTTTTTCTTTACCAATATTTTATGTCAAAATAGAAACTTCCTTACAATTGTTAAGATTGAAAAAAATGGTTACAGATCATGGCATCATCTTTAGTAAATTGGGTGAATAAGACAATGATTTAAATATGATGGGTGCTGGCAGTGAACACACATCAGTTTGTGTATGAGCCAAGTAGTGCTCTAAGTGCTTTAAAGACTGTGCATTGTTTCTTTTAATCCTCATGGGAGTCCCAAAAATTTGGTACTAATGTTATCTCTCTTTTACAGGTAAGGGAACTAAGGCACATGAGTTTAGATAGGTTGCCTAAGTTGTAGAGCTAGTGTTAAGTACAGGATTTAAACTCAGGCAGTCTGGCTTAAAAATTAATTAAACTTGCAAAATTCAACAATTGCTATTCCTGGTAAAACTAACGAGACTTAAGACTGTGAAAATTATATAAAACAAAGCTTTGTTTTTAAATATAAAAATTTAAAGCTCCATCAGATCTGAATGAAGGAAACTTTGTGAACAGATATGCTGTATGGGCTGCTTTGTTTTTCATTGTATGAAATATCCTAAGGAAAGTGATAACTTAGGATATCAGAACTATATAATGATTAAACTGTCCTACCTTGGGGACAGGATTTATTTTTGTGTGTGCCGTAACCTGAATGTTTGTGTTCCCCTTGAGATGTTGAAATCTTGACCCCCAAGGTGATGGTATTAGGAGGTGGGGACTTTGGGAGGTGATTAGCTCATGGGAGCAGAGCCCACATGAGTAGAATTAGTGTTCTTATAAAAGAGGCTTGAGAGAGACCCCCTTACTCTTTCCACAATGTAAGAACACAGCGAAAAGGTGCTTTCTATTAACCAGAAAGCAAGCCCTCATGAGACACCAAATCTACTTAATCCTGGACTTCTCGGCCTCCAGAACTGTGCAAAAATAAATTTCTACTGCTTATAAGCTACCCAGTTTATGGTAATTTGTTATAACAGCCCAAACAGACTAAGATACTGTGCTTCTCTGGTCCTTCCTTCATACCTTATTTAGCGTATTATCATATCAGAAAGTCAGTTCCTTGGAAAAAATATAACCATGACCTCATCTTTGAATCCCTGGGTACACAAAAGAGTCATTAGGACAGGAGATTGTTCCTTTTTGATCAGTGCTGTAGCCCTAAAATTGTGTGCACTTACTATTAAGTACTATGCACATAGTAGGGTCTTGATAAATATTCGAATGAGTGAAATAATCAATAATGTAGACATTTTGAATAGATGGTTCTTAGATTGTGCTTCTAGAGGGAATATGAAAAACAACTAAGGCATGGCAGGTCCTTAGTCATGCCAGAGAAGCACCTTTGTTATATCAAATCAAATAAGAAATTGATACAAATCAGTGCACTGGGTCCTGTAGGAAGATGAAGGAGCATAGCGAAGTCCTGCCCTCGAAAATCTTATAATTTGAGAGGTAAAGATGACAACCTTTGTAAGAGGGGGAAAAAGTAACATTGTTTTCAACACTAGAAGAAAAATATCACAAGATATTATAGAAATAATTTCCTAAGAAAGGATGTAGAGTATGAAGAAAATAGTGCTTATTGCTTAAAAGATACAAGAGTGTTTTTTTTTAAATTTAAAAATGTACATGTATGCTGTATGTACTGTTTTAACTGCAAAATATGTTTAAATACAAAAATAAAAAACATGGCTGGACGTGGTGGCTCACACCTGTAATCCCAGCACTTTGAGAGGCTGAGGCAGGTGGATCACAAGGTCAGGAGTTCGAGACCAGCCTGACCAACATGGTGAAACCCCGTCTCTACTAAAAATACAAAAATTAGCCGGGTGTGGTGGCACGTGCCTGTAATCCCAGCTATTCAGGGGGCTGAGGCAGGAGAATCGCTTGAACCCTGGAGGCAGAGGTTGCAGTGAGCCAAGATCACGCTACTGTACTCCATCCTGGGTGACAGAGAGAGACTCTGTCTAAAAAAAGAAAAAAAATGTAAAACATATATTGTGACAGTTCATAGGAAAAAGAACTCACTTTGCACTGAATTAATCAGGGAAGCTTTGTGGGGACTGCAGGATTCAACTGTCACTTGGGGTAGAAATAGAAGGCATTCTGGATTGGAGAAAAAGTTGGTTGCAATTAGAAATTTTTTCTTTTAACTATTACTCCTGATGTAATGTTAGAGTTTTCTCTGAGGTACCATGGTATACATAATTGGTATAGTTTTCTCTTAATAATGACTCTTTGGGGCTCATGACCTGATATATAGTTGTAGATCTATATTTAAATATCTTGAGAGATATAGCTATATATTCATTTACATAAAAATAATTAAAGGAGAATTTTTATCCCTGTAAAGGCTGCTGCTTATATGTTAGAAATGGTTATTACTTTATGGCTGCATATTATTCCATATTTAGTCCATTTTTCAGATACAGAGATGTAGATGAAATTTATTCTCGACTTTTGGAGAGAAAATGTAAGACAGATGGCCTCTGATCCTGTGATATTAAATAAGCCTTTTTCTGGACAACTGTTGTCAATGTAATTCTTAACTGAGGGAAGACTTGTCAAATCATTGCCTGTTCTCTTTCTTTAAAAAAGTGAGTAGTTGTATAAAGCATAGATTATAAAAGCTCCAGATATGTCTTAATATTTTGAAGAGAAAGTACTTGAAAATCAACATTTTGTCAGGGACCTTGAGCAAGTTTTATTGTGCTAGTGTAGAGACAGAAGGGAGAAAACAGGATTTTTAAAAAATGAATCAGATAAGACCACTGCTCACAAGATATTCTAAACCAAGTGAAAGTATAGACAGACATATATGCCTCTAATTATATATAATATAAGGCAAAATTAAATGACTGCCAAATAGGTACAAAAATAATGTGTCATAGGAACAGGTGGTTTTGGCTAGGGAGATCACAAATGGGAGATTGAAATGGGTCTGTAAAGATGATGGGAATTTTATTAGCTGGAAAATGGAAGAAAAAGTTTTTCAGGATTGAGAAGAGGAAGGAAGGCCCATTTATTGAATACCTACCAAGCTAAGCTAGCAGTGTGCTTGGCGATTTACAAACAGAAGTGAAATATGTCATCCAATACTCATCAAGGCCCTAGAGGCAGACTTTACTTTTCCAGACTACAGATGAGAAAGCTGAGGCTCAATGTGGCTCAGCTTAAATGGCTAGCATGTAGCAGAAACTGGATTTCACTACATGACACATCTGTCACACGGCCTGGTGCTTTAATACACTGTTCACTGTTTCTGCTAGTGTGATGTCTCTATGCTCATGTTGTTGTCATCGTTTTTCTCTGCTCCTTCACGGGAGGGATTAAATTATATAACAAATAAGAAAGGGTTTTGTGATCTGTGAATTGGAAAAACGTAAGGAGAAAATCTCCTTAATCACCTCTGCCCTGTTATTTCTGACTGCTGGGAACTCACTCAGAGTTAACCACAGACTCACTCAGAGTTAACCATCATAGGACTTGTATTAGGAAGGCAATGCATATGCAAACTTTCAATGACTGATTGTGGCTTAGGAAGATTTTTTTTTTTTTGGGTTGGCAGAAGGTCATTTTTTTTTTTTTTTTATTATACTTTAAGTTTTAGGGTACGTGTGCACAATGTGCAGGTTAGTTACATATGTGCCATGCTGGTGTGCTGCACCCATTAACTCGTCATTTAGCATTAGGTATATCTCCTAATGCTATCCCTTCCCTCTCCCCCAACCCCACAACAGTCCCCAGAGTGTGATGTTCCCCTTCCTGTGTCCATGTGTTCTCATTGTTCAATTCCCATCTATGAGTGAGAACATGTGGTGTTTGGTTTTTTGTCCTTGCGATAGTTTACTGAGAATGATGATTTCCAATTTCATCCATGTCCCTACAAAGGACGTGAACTCATCATTTTTTATGGCTGCATAGTGTTCCATGGTGTATATATGCCATATTTTCTTACTCCAGTCTATCATTGTTGGACATTTGGGTTGGTTCCAAGTCTTTGCTATTGTGAATAGTGCCGCAATAAACATACGTGTGCATGTGTCTTTATAGCAGCATGATTTATAGTCCTTTGGGTATATACCCAGTAATGGGATGGCTGGGTCAAATGGTATTTCTAGTTCTAGATCCCTGAGGAATCGCTGCACTGGCTTCCACAATGGTTGAACTAGTTTACAGTCCCACCAACAGTGTAAAAGTGTTCCTATTTCTCCACATCCTCTCCAGCACCTGTTGTTTCCTGACTTTTTAATGATTGCCATTCTAACTGGTGTAAGATGGTATCTCATTGTGGTTTTGATTTGCATTTCTCTGATGGCCAGTGATGATGAGCATTTTTTCATGTGTCTTTTGGCTGCATAAATGTCTTCTTTTGAGAAGTGTCTGTTCATATCCTTGTGGCTTAGGAAGATTTAGAGTCTGTTTTAAGCTTTAGGACAATCTTGAAATGATGGAGTCCCAGAAGCAGCCTGCAGAACCTTTTGGTCCTCATCCTTGGATCTTAATAATGAGAAGGGCAGAGTAGCCTATTAAGAGAACAGGACAATTGCTGGTGGTGATTTAAAGGAATCTGCTTGGTATATTTTTCCTCTTTTGAGTATATTGCCTATTCACCACTGCCTCAAACAAAAATCCAGTCTAAATGGTTGAGTTAATATGAAGATACATTTTGTTCCGAGCTCAAAGATAATAATTATACTACGGCCAAATATTGTCTTAATCTTGTGTTTACTTAAGACTATTTACCTCTTCCTTCTGCCTCCTAGTGCAAAGACTACAATGTGAATTTTTCCCCCCGTTACTTCCCAGAGTAGTAATAATGAGTTCCTACTCTGATTACCATTCTATCTTCTAAATCGGTAGACTGAATAAGGAAAAAATTGTTTTCAATTTATTGTTAAAGTTATGTAGACCATGACTTGAATTCTGAATGAAGAAGAGAGTTTAATTTAGTTTATTTATGCCCATTACAATTTAAATGGATTTGATCATATTCCAAATGCTCATTTATCTTTGTATTAAGGTATGGCTAAGGAATCAAGTTTTATGATTGCTAAGAGCAAGGAAGATATATATATATATATATATATATATATATATATATATATATATATATATATCTCGAATACAATATGTTTGGATCTACATATCCAATATATATATATATATATATATATATCCACACACATATATATATACACACACATATTGTGTGTACATATATAGAATCAGTTGAACTCATTATGAATATTCTAACTATCCTATACTCTTACTGAAATGATCACCTTTCTGAAGATAAAACTCAGTAGATACAATTTTGCATAAGGAATATTACTGGATAGAATACAGAGGATAATGACGCTATCAATTTAATTCAACTTTTATTGAGAACCTATGATGTGGTAGATATTGTCCTAGAAGCTGGGTATTAAAAAGATGAGAATAAGATTTAATCCTGTCCTTCAAGGAGATTAATAGAATAGTTAATTTTGTAGAGGGAATTATATCAGGATTTTTTCTAAATGGGTAGATTATAGCAGCACTTGCAACAGGAGGACAAATGGATAACTATATGAGATGACAGATATGGTCATTTGTTCCATTATAGCAACCATTTTACTATATATGTGTACCTTACAGCATCATGTTATACACATTAAATATACACAACAAAATTTACTTAAAATATATATATAGAAATAAGAATTATAGTTGCCACAATCCAGAAATGCCTTTATATAAACTAGTTTTGTTACATGAAACTATGAAGTTTTTTTAACCAGTAATATATTAGCTGTAATTAGAGGAGATGCTTGCAAATAATAACATATATATATATATAAGAAAACATTAAAAATTGTAAAAGTAAAGATTCTGCTTTCAGAAAAATATTATCATTAGTACTCTTTGCTTTTGTGCTGCTCTCAGTGAGGTACTTTAGAGTCAATATTCTGTTTTCCTCAGATCTCGTTATGATTCATTTAATTTCTTGCAAAAAAAACATACATAGTTGTAGTGTTTGAGCCTAAATGCAAAATAAATGTTTTTTGAATTCCTAGAGAGCTCTCATGATATTATAGCTCTGGATACTGACACTTGTGAGGTAGTTTATTGGTTTTCCTTTCATCTTAAAGATGCTATCTGAGCAGTGCAATGTGATTGTATTTATCTGTTTTGCTTTATTGGAGTAGAGATTTCTGGAAGTGTGAGCACTCTTACCCATAGAGATCAAAGAATAGCAGAGGGGTAGAGGTCAGTTAGTTGATTTTTTCTCTCTTAATAATAGTTATAACCTTCTAAAAAATTTAATTGGCGCCTGGAAGTTATAGGATACATGCATATATACATCCAACTTGCATGTAACTCTTTTATTCTGCCTAGATGATGCCCTCCTTAAGGTCAGAGCCATGTTGTGTCCCCATTAACAGAGACTCTGGCTCATGTCAGTGCCTTGTGTACAGTGCATATTACATGTTTGTTGCGGTTAATGGTTAAGTATTATTCCTTTGGGGATACTTCAGGAATTTAGAGCCTGTAACTGCCATTGTGCCTGCCTGCTTACCTTCTGGTTCATGTCTTTCCCCTTAGTAACACAGCATTCAAATCTTCACCCTTCCTCTGGCCATGTGCTCAGCCAGGGAAAGAGCTCTCTACAACAGGATAAATCATGATTAACCTAAGATAATCATGATGATTCCACTCCGGTTTCCAAGGATTTCATTAGGCATGGGTTTGTGAAGCAATTCTAGCCAAAGAGACATTGAGGGAAGTCTGGTAAGTTTCTGGAAAAAAAAAATGTGTGTGTGTGTGTACATACATATATATATATGTGTGTGTGTGTATATATATATGTATGTACACACACACACATACATTTTATATATATATATATTCCTTGCTCTTATATAAGTATATATACATATATATGAGCAAGGAATATGTATATATAAAAGAATATATATATGTATGTTCTACCTATCTCTTGTTAAGAGCATGTAACTATATATATATACACACACACACAACCTATCTCTTAAGTGTGTGTGATATATATATATATACATATTCGCTGTTAACAAGAGTTAGGTAGAATGACTTTTTGAACCAGTTGAACCAACCCTAGTAATATGTTTCAGTTCTCTTTAGCCTGCCTACAAAAGGAATATATAAACATATATATATTCCTTGAATATATAAGCATATATATATATTCCTTGAATATATAAGCATATATATATATTCCTTGAATATATAAGCATATATATATATTCCTTGAATATATAAGCATATATATATATTCCTTGAATATATAAGCATATATATATATTCCTTGAATATATAAGCATATATATATTCCTTGAATATATAAACATATATATATTCCTTGAATATATAAGCATATATGTATTCCTTGAATATATAAGCATATATGTATTCCTTGAATATATAAGCATATATATGTATTCCTTGAATATATAAGCATATATATATTCCTTGAATATATAAGCATATATATATATTCCTTGAATATATAAGCATATATATATATTCCTTGAATATATAAACATATATATATTCCTTGAATATATAAATCCTTGAATATATAATATATATTTATATAATATATAATATATATAAATATTATATAATATATAATATTATATATTATATTATATTATATATATATTATATATTATATTATATAATATATTATATATTATATTATATAATATATTATATATTATATTATATTTATTATATTATATTATATATAATATGTATAATATGTTATATAATATATATTATATATAAATATATATTATTATATATCATATATATTATATTATATATGATATATATTATATAATATATCATATATTATATATTATATATATTATATATTATATAATATATGATATATTATATAATATATGATATATTATATATAATATGTGATATATTATATAATATATTATATATGAGATATATTATATAATATATTATATATCATATATAATATATATAAATGTTATATAATATATAAAATATATTATATAATATATAATATAGATAATATATAATATAAATATATATAATATATAATATAGATAATACACAATATAAATATAGATAATATATAATATAGATAATATATAATATAAATATATATAATATATAATATAGATAATATATAATATTATATTACATATTATATATTATCTCTACTAATATATTTCAATTCTCTGTAACCTACCTGCAAAATTCAACAGAATGAAAAACTCTTCAATATTTGGCTGTTAGAAAGAATGTCCATGTATTGAATAAATGATCTAAAAGGAACAGATTACAGTAGCCTCAATCATCCAGTCTCTCTCTCTGTCTCCCAGTCACATGCGGTTCCAGGAAGACTCTTAGACCTCATTCTGATAAAATATATGCAATTTGTCATGATACTTAATGGACTAAAAGGTAACTTGTACAGATCTCTCCTGTTTCTATTCCAGGGAAAACTAGAGAAATTAAGTTGCATTGAGGGCCTCATCCTTGATGGAAGCATTGTCAATTATAAAAGCTTATTTTGTGTCGAGAATTTATACCTGACCACCCATCGGGGTTGGGAGAGTTTTGGGATGCTTCTCTCCTCAGGCTGTTTCATTAGATTAGGGTTTCTTAACCTTACTATTGATATTTTGGACCACATAATTTCTTATTATGTGGAGCTACTATGTGCATTTTCAGATGTTTTAGTGGCAACGCTGGTGTGTACTCGCTAGATGCTGGTAGCACTCTCTAATTGTGACAATCAAAAAATGTCTGCAGAAGCAGCCAGATGTCCCCTGAGAGGCAAAATTGCCCCCAAGTTGAAAACCACTTTTTAAGAGATAGATGATTGTTTCTTATAGGTCTATTTTGTTGTAAGACGAGGGCAGAAGAGAGGGCAGTTCTATCATTGCCTTAACCACTTTATATTATAATGAGAAAAATAGAATGAATGAGCTAAGTTCCTCAAATTGGTCCTTTCAACCATACAGAGAACCTTTTGATGTGAGATATGTTTTGAAGCAAAATATAGTTACAGGTTAAACACTTCACCCACAAAAAATCTGCAAAATAAAAAGTCAGAGTTATATTATTTTGTAATCCTACTTCCAAAGGTTAAATAATCACAGATTTAACAAATTACCTCTAATATGATGATGTTAAACCGTCTTCTTAATGAGGCTTCAATTTGTCACTGTTAATAGAATCAGCCAGGAATTCACTCCATTTGAACATGAAAAAAAAAAAGTCTACCTGTAAGGACAGTTCAGGTGTTACCTGAATCATGCTTCAACAGAATTGCATGAATGGGACAAGTAGACTGTTTCCTAGAGTTTTTTTTTAAAAAAGCAAATATTAACTAAAATACAGGGAATACTAACAAATATTAACTAAAATAGGCCAGGGAATACAATAAATGCTTTTGTCCAAATGAGAAAACTCTATCATGTCTATGATTAAATGTTCATGTCCATTTTTCACACTAGGAAATAAGGTCTTTTCTTTTTCTATCCCTAGGACTTTGTGGCATGCTGAGCACATAGAAGATAACCTATACATGATAGAAAATAAATTTTTGAGTGGGTGTTGCCAATTTATTGGCTCCTTGAAACAGACTTTAGATAAAGATTTAAGATAAAACTAAACAATAAGGCATCTTTAAAGCCGTAAAGATTCTGTAATTTGCAAAAATCATGTAGTGATTTTTTATCATTGTGGCCATCCTTTCCTCTTCCCACTACTGTCCTTCCAGTTACTAAATCTGTTATTCAGCCTTTGTCTGTGTCTCTACATCTATGCTGCTACTTTGAGTCCAAGCCACTATCTTCTTTTGCCTAAGCTCATTCTCTTGTTATTCTCCCTCTCCAATACATTTTCCCCATAAAGCAACCAAAGTGAACATTTTGAAACACATTTGTCACCTCCCTGGCTTAGAACCCTACAGTGTGTTTCTCTTGTCCTTGGGACATCATCCAAAATCCTTAGCCTCTACAAGAGTAGGGCCGTCTCTATTTTCTTCTCCAATATATGTCCACTCTCAGTATTTGCCAGCACATAGTAGGTTCTTACCAGAAGATGGGACTGTATTAGGCTAACAATAAGAGTTTACACTGTTTTCTTAGTGTTGGATCTTTAGGTGTGGGATAGGCATTTAATGTGGGAAGTGGGTGGGAATGGTTTGCTCCTACTTCCCACAGAATGCCATACTGGGTAGTGTTGAACCATCCCACAGAATGCCATATTCGGTAGTGTTGAACCATCCCACAGAATGCCATATTGGGTAGTGTTGAACCATGCATGAAAACTGGCAACTGGCCCAGGTACATGCACTAATACATGAATTATTTTTATCTTTGCCTTTGCCTTACAGCTAGAAAAAACATTATATGGCTGGGTAGATTTTCAGTCTCTCCAGAACTAAGGAAGAAACCCAAGGCTTTAAAAAATTCTTACCAGTTTATTTATTGCTTTACAGCCTATTCAAATTGTTATGTATCTTGACTCATTGCTTAGCTTTTTGGCCAATAGGATTTCAGGATGCAATGCACTAATATAAACTCTTGGATTGGTTTAACTACCTCTGATGTCATAATTTCCCCATTTGGATGTCATAATTTTCTTGAAATCACATGGTACCAATCACAAGTCTTGTTATTTTGTTTCATTATGAGAAAGATAATCTACTAAATATTAAAATACTGGAAGGAGCAAGATAGCTTTGATCCAGGGAGACCTTTTCCATTTATGTGCTTTAGTAATCTGCCGCCAACAAGCTATCTTCTTTATGTTCTTCTACAACTGATGTTGTTTTGTTTTCTCATGTTTGTCTCTTAATAGACAAATGGAGGCATGAGCTTCCTTAGAATTACCCCTTCGACGCATAGTTCTGTTTCATCTGGACTTTTGAGGCTTAGTATCTTTCTACTACTTAGCTTTCCTGACTCAAACGGAAAAGCCATTTGGACAGCTCACCTGAATATAACATTTCAGGTTGGAAATGAGATCACATCGGAATTAGGAGAGAGTGGAGTGTTCGGGAATCATTCTCCTCTGGAAAGGGTGTCTGGTGTGGTGGCACTTCCTGAAGGATGGAATCAGAATGCCTGTCATCCTTTGACCAATTTCAGCAGGCCCAAACAGGCAGACTCATGGCTGGCCCTCATCGAACGTGGAGGCTGTACTTTTACACATAAAATCAACGTGGCAGCAGAGAAGGGAGCAAATGGGGTGATCATCTACAACTATCAAGGTACGGGCAGTAAAGTATTTCCCATGTCTCACCAGGGGACGGAAAATATAGTCGCGGTGATGATAAGCAACCTGAAAGGCATGGAAATTTTGCACTCGATTCAGAAAGGAGTCTATGTGACAGTCATCATTGAAGTGGGGAGAATGCACATGCAGTGGGTGAGCCATTACATCATGTATCTATTTACCTTCCTGGCTGCCACAATTGCCTACTTTTACTTAGATTGCGTCTGGAGACTTACACCTAGAGTGCCCAATTCTTTCACCAGGAGGCGAAGTCAAATAAAGACAGATGTGAAGAAAGCTATTGACCAGCTTCAACTGCGAGTTCTCAAAGAAGGGGATGAGGAATTAGACCTAAATGAAGACAACTGTGTTGTTTGCTTTGACACATACAAACCCCAAGATGTAGTACGCATTTTAACTTGCAAACATTTTTTCCATAAGGCATGCATTGACCCCTGGCTTTTAGCCCATAGGACATGTCCCATGTGCAAGTGTGACATCCTGAAAACTTAAGAAATCTGGAGAATTTTCTGAAGATGTAACCAGATCTTTCCAAATACAAAGATTAGATAAATTGTCTTATTGTACTTTATGTAGAGAGAAAATTTCAGCTTCTCTACCCAAGTATGAACAAGGGTGAAATTTGTGTTTTAAAAATAAAACTCCTTATCATGCCCAGCTATTTGAACTTCTTGTCTTTCTAATCAGTTTTAATTGTTTTTTTAGGTGAATTTTATTTTATTTATTTATTTTTTATTATACTTTAAGTTTTAGGGTACATGGGCACAACGTGCAGGTTAGTTACATATGTATACATGTGCCATGTTGGTGTGCTGCACCCAGTAACTCGTCATTTAACATTAGGTATATCTCCAAATGCTATCCCTCCCCGCTTCCCCCACCCCACAACAGGCCCCGGTGTGTGACGTTCCCCTTCCTGTGTCCATGTGTTCTCATTGTTCAATTCCCACCTATGAGTGAGAACATGCGGTGTTTGGTTTTTTGTCCTTGCGATAGTTCGCTGAGAATGATGGTTTCCAGCTTCATCCATGTCCCTACAAAGGACATGAACTCATCCATTTTTATGGCTGCATAGTATTCCATGGTGTATATGTGCCACATTTTCTTAATCGTATCCCTTTTTGCCCTTATCCAAATAAGAACATTAGTATATGTTAAAAACAAATTTTTTTTTCTTCAAGTTACTAGGATTGTGACATTGCCATAGAGAATTAGCCATGCTATTTTAAAGTTTCCTTTTTTAATACTAATTCTTGTACTTTGTTTCCACATTTTGACTAATTTTGGTATCTAATAATTTATATCTCTGATTCTCCATGGTTAATTAATTTTATTAATACCCAGGAAATCTAGTTTCCAAAGCTACTCACTGGATTGGTAATGTGTTCTAAATAATTATTTTAGATGATAGTACTTTGGATATGTAAGGAAAAGTGTTCTAAATTATTATAGGCTTCATTTAGGATAACATTGCAAACATTCACTTTTGTTTGCCAGAGCTCTTTAAATCCTAGCATAGTGACTCAGCTATGGTAGCAGATTTCTTTTCTAGAAGTGTCCTTAGTAAATGCTTCTCTTTTCCTCTCCAAATGGTAATGAATGTTTCTCTGGGGGCATTTTGATAACATAGGGCAGAGCTAAAATTTTGTTCAATTGCCTTTCGATGTTATATTCTTTGCCTTATTTTGCATCTTCCTTTTTTCTAGTAGATGAATAAACACCTATATAACAATGAGAGACAGAAAGATTTAGGTATTGTTGTATTGATGAAAATTTCTGTTTCTGGATGATATGCTAAACTTTTGATACCTCAGTGTCACTTTGTGAATATACACACCATATACTACCTTTTAAAATGTGCAGGGATGTATGAAAATAAAATCGGATTAATGGCCTTTGGGAGAGAAAATCAACCTTTATGGGTATGTTTTATATCATCAGTATTCTTTTTATACTAGTTTTTGTTGGCCCATAGGGCCCTTTGTTCCTTCATCTTTCTTGTCTCAAATTACCATGTTGTAGATTTACATTTCATAAGAAGTAACAGCTCCTTTAGTCCTGGTGAGTTCCAACCAAAAGTGACTTCTAGCACTTTACGTATGTAGACCAGAGACATTCATGTTCAAGGTCAGAATCTTTGGCCTCGGTTTCCTAGCTGGTGGGAAAAAACCCACTGAGATTCACCGCCAAGAAAGTGTACCAGTAGCAGCGTGGCTGCTTGTGAACTTACTATGCTTGTGAGTCCACATGCCATCCTTTAGCTTTGATGTCATATTGTGCCACTGACATGATTGTGGCAAAAACATAGGCAGAGTGGACAGAGCCTGTGGAATCTTCTAATAGGGATATTTGTTAAGTTCTGCAAAAATGTTTGATAAAAGCATCTACTTATTGCTGCTAATGGTTAACTTTAAGTGTGCACCTTGAAGTTTTTCTTAATAGCTGTTTTTTAAAAAATGAATTGTGCCAAACTAATATGACTATATTTAATCTTTCCCTTGACACCCTTTCTCCTCCTCTTTCAAAATATTGTTTGATTAATAACAGACATCAAAGTCTGCAGAGAAATTAGCTTCCCTAGATATCAGTCCTTTCTTTACTCCTGTCAGTCTTACTACATTTGTACAGTCAATGTAAGACAGAGAAAGTGAGGCAGAAGTAAACTGAGCAGGATCCCTTACTTTAAAACAGCAAAACCATAAAACAAAAGCCACAAACTTCTCAGAAAGCTTAAATTAAATAAATGCAATATAATGGTTTATGTGATGAATCAAAAATTAGCAGTGTGACTTTTACTTTTTGATGTAAAAATAATGTCACTAAGCTCACCACTTTTGCCTCACATCCGGTCACTGCACTAATTTTTAATTATCCTTTTTTTTAGCTTGCCATTTTGTTGGAAATATCTCCTTCACTTGCTGGGAAAATAAAACATTCTTACATGTGCTTTCAGGCTTTAAAGAGCACACATTGTATGAATTTTAGATTTAATTTTTAGTTTAATGTGCTATCTACTACCATTATATGTAGCTCAGTGATTATATCCATCTTATAACAACATAGAAATCACCCATAACAGCATTTAAGCCAATAAATTCACAGTATGCTCTAAGCTCTTATCTAATTGGCTGCTGGGTCTTGCATGTCATAATCACATCACACAATAGTAAGCAGTATCTAGAGTTAACAGTAGGGGATTTATTTTTCAATCTAAAGTTTTTCACCTCTCTCTAGTAAGACATCTGAAACTCATAAGCCATCTTTAAGAATTTCTTACAAAAACATGCTGGAAGACAGTGGATCTTGTTTGTATCCTGAAGATTTTTTTCTCTTCGTTATTTTAAATTAATTGTCAACAGATGTGCAACTGTTAGGTTGGTTCTTAAGTCACTCGGAGAAGAGAGAGATGCATCTACTCAAGGTTGGCACTTGGAGAAACAACACTGCCTCTTCCTGGCTTATGAAGTTCAGTGTTCTTTGGCTTGTTAGTCAGAACTGTTGCAGAGCAAGTGTTGTTTGGATGGCTTATATGAACATATCATTTCATGTTGGGAATCATGTGTTGTCAGAGTTGGGAGAGACTGGAGTCTTTGGAAGAAGCTCCACTTTGAAGAGAGTGGCAGGAGTTATAGTGCCACCAGAGGGAAAAATCCAAAATGCATGTAATCCCAATACCATTTTCAGCCGATCAAAGTACTCAGAGACCTGGCTTGCACTTATTGAACGGGGAGGTTGTACCTTCACACAGAAAATTAAAGTGGCAACTGAGAAGGGAGCCAGTGGAGTGATCATCTATAACGTTCCAGGTACTGGCAACCAGGTGTTCCCCATGTTTCATCAGGCATTTGAAGATGTCGTTGTGGTTATGATTGGTAACTTAAAAGGCACGGAAATTTTCCATTTAATTAAGAAGGGAGTTCTCATTACAGCCGTGGTTGAGGTGGGGAGAAAGCACATCATCTGGATGAATCACTATTTGGTCTCTTTTGTGATTGTCACAACTGCTACCTTAGCATATTTCATCTTTTATCACATTCATAGACTTTGTTTAGCAAGGATTCAGAACCGGAGATGGCAGCGATTAACAACAGATCTTCAGAACACATTTGGACAACTCCAACTTCGAGTAGTAAAAGAGGGGGATGAAGAAATAAATCCAAATGGGGATAGCTGCGTAATTTGCTTTGAACGCTATAAGCCTAATGACATAGTTCGTATTCTGACTTGTAAACATTTTTTCCACAAGAATTGCATTGACCCCTGGATTTTACCCCATGGGACATGCCCCATTTGCAAATGTGATATTCTTAAAGTTTTGGGGATTCAAGTGGTTGTTGAAAATGGAACAGAACCTTTGCAAGTTCTAATGTCAAATGAACTGCCTGAAACCTTATCACCTAGTGAAGAGGAGACAAATAATGAAGTTTCTCCTGCAGGAACCTCAGATAAAGTAATCCATGTGGAGGAGAACCCTACTTCTCAGAATAATGACATCCAGCCTCATTCAGTAGTGGAAGATGTTCATCCTTCACCTTGATGGCATGACTTTTGAGGAAGTGTATTAAACCTGTATGTGAAATCAGGTCCTAATACTGACAAGCAGTTTGTCTGTTTGAAGTGTGGTTTTTGTGTCCTTTTTTGTTACTTCAGTAATTTTATACATTCTTTGTCCAACCTCAAAGATAGCAAAAAAGTCCTAGCGGGATTTTTTTTGTGCAATTTTGGACCTTTGCTAAGTGTAATTTTTTGTCAATGTATGTTACTCCTGTGAGTGTACATATGTATATTTATATGTACACATTCATGTTAAAGCTAAGGACAAACTTATTTTCTTAAATATTTACTGTACATATATTGGGTTCTATTTTGGTAAGAAAATTACTGATATGTAATATGTTCTAATACAGAAAGTATCAATTAAGTTTGAAAACAATAAATTATCTTTTATGTGCTAGGAAGAGTAAAAATTATCTTTTGATAACATATTTATAGTATGTCTTAGTTGTGAGGTTATTGTGCTGTTTTTTTCTTTTGCATTCTTGGCATGAACATTTTACAAAATCTTATTATTCTTATTCTTGATAAATAGTTCTGTTCAAGCAGTTAGTACATTTTTTTTGTGATATGCATCTGTATAGTGAAATTTTAAAATAAAATACTAGCACTCTTTAAGTGAACAGCAACTATTTTAGTGTCCAGTGTTACTTACAATAATTGTTACATATTCATAATACATAGAACGACTTTGATACTTAGTCATGGCAAATTTACTTCCCATGTGTTTCTCCCCACTCCCCAATTTGTTTTCTTAAATAAAATGTTTAATCTATGCCAGACTATTCTTGAAATAAGTGATACAATATAGAAATTATTATTATTATGATATGGTCATGTTTCTTTTGTTCACTATATTCTCAGGGTCCAGCAGAGTTCCTGGCACTCGAGTATTTTTGAATGAATGAATAAGTGAATGATAAATATCTTTGTTGTAATGCAACTATTATGTGTTAATTTGAAAAACTTGACTGTTTTTCCCAATTATACAAAATAACAGAAAATTTTGAAGTTTTTCACTCTAAATTACTTTGAAAAAATATTAAATTATAATTTTAGCCCAGAATTTATTATTACAGTTCAGCATGCATAATTTTAATGAGCAGCTTTGAACTCTAAGGCTAACACTGGGATTTGAATTGCTGCGCAGCCTTGGAGGGTGACCTAGTGAAGAGGAATCTTGTGAGTTGCTCAGTGTTAACAATACTGCAATTCAGACACAGGTAGAAGGGCAGTAGTTAGCTATAACTGCTTCCATGACCATGGGGTCATGGAAGACTAAAGGAGGAGAGACACTAATCTAAGGCCAGGAAGAATCGGCAAAAACTGGGCAAATGACCAGGTGTGAGCCATGCCTTGCTTGGTACACAAAGGCTTTTTTACACACAACTTTAGAGACTTTTGTGTTAATCACAAGAGCTCTTCTTTGAAAGAACTGCATAGCACTGGACTACTGGAGGATTTAGCAGGAACACTAAGTGTTATTTTGAGCTTACCCTGGGAGAGTAAAGTCATTTCCTGAGGGACGAGGGACCACACTGAAGAGAGAGGACACTGAGGACCCCATGACAGCTGTCCCTAAAAGGATAAATTAGCTGCCCACCTAATCAGGATAAATTGTCATTCTTTGGCCACTGTTAATGTTTCTGCCACTAGAGGATAGCAGCGGATGGGGGTGGGGTGGCTAAAGTGATTTCTACCATTTGTCCAAGAAAATCACTAGAGCTATGACAATGAATGCATCTGTAGTGTTGGCAGTCCCTGCACCTAGAGTTCCAGGGTCATTGCAGCTCTGTGTACTCTTGTGTGGGGTACTTGTTCCATGACATCTGGTAGTTCAGGAATTTGTTTGCTATTCACACTGACAGTGCAATTGTGTTTTTCATTCTCCCTCCACATCCTTGTTCATTTTTCCTTTTCTTTTTTCTCCTCCTTTTCCTTTGTTCATCATTGTCAATCTAAGACCTGAGTTACTCCCATGCATAAGAAATTGGCATGTGCATACTTCTATGATATAACCTTTGTTAATGTGGACATTTAACATTTAACACAGTGTGCTTGTTTGATCTGAGAATTTTCTATGGATGTTCTTTAAAGGGTGGTTAGAATCTATATTTGGAGTGGGAGGGAAAGGGTCAAGTCAGTGAAAATGGGAACTGTCTGCTGAGTGGCTACCATGTGCCAGGTAGAGGACTAAGCACTTTACATAGCTGTTTCTTTTATGTCAGAACAAAACAGTTTTAATCTTAGTGTTTAGAATGTTGTAAACAGATCAATAAACCCCTTTTACTCTGGGTTTACTAAATAGAACTTGGAAATAGCACTACTATATCAAATTTATTCATTATAATAGATTTTCACTTATTCTGTGGGCTATATACCATTTTCTCTTGTACCTAGTGATGCAAACATATCTTGTCATAATGACATGGGACTAATAATGTGAATTACAGAAGGGAGTTTATGTTCCTTGTAAGAATTAAGCTTGCTTTTTTATTCACTCCTCAGATAAATTAGGTTTAATATTTTACTACAGTGAAAAATATTCTAACGCATTTCAACTCTTATCGGGTGGTGCTATAGGTGAAATGACTCACTCCATCTATACAGTACCTCTTGTTATAGGACACACTACATTGATAATATCCCTATCTCTTGCTATAGAATTATTATAATGCAACTGTCCTGCAGAGAATGTTAGTCAGCTATTTATTTGCACTAGTGTGAGCCTTTCAAAGGATTAGTGAGCCAGGGATCTGACTTTTCTGATGGGATTTAAACCCCTTCACCACATTTAACGGGTTTTGAAGCAGCACGTAGGTATCAACTGGGAGAAAGATGAGCATTTGGGAAGGCACTGAAGCAAGCAGAGAAATTTTTACATGCTGCTACTGTGAAGGAGTCTTTCTCATGCCAGTTCCATTCTCCCATTCCATCATTTACCATGAACACCTGTTTTTGTATTTTAAAAACAAATTTGGTTTTTTGGCTTTGTACTTACTGTATTTTTTAATATTTAGTTCTTAATGATGAAAAATAAAGATTATAAATTAATACACTTACCAGCACAGAAATATCTTTAAATACATACTTGGTTTTATAAGTGGGGGGAAGGGAGTGTACTTTAGAAAAACAGATGGTCTCTTTCCTACCAGTAAGTGTTATTCTACCACAATTTGTTACCTCCCCTTTTCATAGCCACACCACAGCTTCTAACCCCTCTCTCCACAATTATGGCAGCATCTTTATCAGACCTCCAAGTTACTGTGTCCCGTGATGATTTTTAGATGCTGCCATGCATATTTTTCATCACTGTTGATGACCAGGGTGACTCTGATTTCAAAACTCTTCTACACATGTCCAGTTTAGCAACACACTGTTGTTGCCACACATCATGTTCTGTCATCTTTGAAAACTTAACAACTCACAGCATCTTTTTCAGAATTCCCTCTGCATTTGCTTGACTGCTCATCTCCACTACTTCTTCAGACTTATTCTTGGTTCTCATTCCAAGCAGTTTCCCTTAATTGTTGTCCCTATCTTCCCAGTCCATCTCTTCTTTTCCAGCTTCAGCCTAGAAGCAATTGTAAGTCATTTTAGTTTTACCAAGTGCCACCAAATTCCTTGCCTCCTACACTTTCCTACAATATCATTTGCCTACCCTGAATCATTTCTACATCTGCTTTTAATACTTCTAAACAGTCAGCTATTACTCAAGTTGTAATATTTATTATTATCTGATGTCAACCAGATCTTTGCTTCTGTTGAAAAATCCTTCAGTAATCTCTTAACTCTTTTATTTTTTTGAGACAGAGCTCTTCCTCTGTCACCCAGGCTGGAGTGCAGTGGCACGATCTTGGCTTACTGCAAACTCCTCCTTCTAAGTTGAAGTGATTCTCCTTCCTCAGCCTCCCAAGTAGCTGATTACAGGTGTGCACCACCACGCCCAGCTAATTTATTTATTTATTTTTACTTTTAGTAGAGTTGGGGTTTTGCCATGTTGCCCAGGCTGGTCTTGAACTCCTGAGCTCAGGCAGTCTGCCCACCTCAGCCTCCCAAAGTGCTAGGTTTATAGGCACGAGCCACTACGCCCAGCCTCTTACTCCCTTTTATAGTCCCCATAGAGTAGTACTTCAAAACCTTGGCTGCACATCGGAATCACCTGGAGAGCTTTTCCAAGTCTCAGTGTTCAGGATGCATTCATGACATCTGGGCTGGGACCCAGGCATTGATAGTTTTTGAAGTTGCCCAGGGTATTCCAGTGTGCACACAAGACTGAGAACCACTGCCAGAGGACTGTTCCAAAGAACCTTTAATCAGGTCCCAAATTTCACCTTCTGTTTCCTTAAGTTTGACTTATTTTCACTTTACTGAAAGTATCTTGGTAGAAATCAAAATATCAAGGTAGAAAGTGTTAAATTTCTATTCCTCATAGAGAGGAATTGATAAAGGCTTGTGGCGATATGAAGGGCAGAATTTCAACTGGAGTGATAATTAGGGAACACTTAAAGAAGGAAATGATATTTGAAATGGAACTCTACTTTGTGGGAAGAAGGACATTCTAATGGAGAGAACAGTGTTAACAGTATTTTTATAAAGGAGCTTTGAGTGTCACATGGAATTTTGGTTAAGAAACTTGAAGACACAGTGTAAGGAACATGGCTGTGCTTTGGTCAAGGACAGGCTGAGGTAAACATCCAGAGTGACTCAGCAAGTTTAGAGTGCAGGCGTATAACTCCACCTGTTATCACAGCCATGTGGCCATAACATGGGAAGATTTATCATTTGGCTCTAAGCCACTATTGTCTGTAAAAGGTATAATTGCCCTGCTGACACTGTATAGGCACACTTGTGCCCAGAGAGAGAGAGTTAAGCTGCTGACCCTGAAGGCAATGGAGAGCAGGCTGTGCAGCCAGCTCAAGCAGCCAAGACAGAGAGAACAGTGCGTGAGAGCTGTGGATGGGAAAGCTGCTGAATAAAACTACATTTCACCTGCTTACGGCCCCGAGTGTTCTTTCAGCTATCTGTCCATCCACCCACTCCCCTCGGACCTCAGCAGGGGCTGGACCCTGGGCATGACGTTTGGTGTACTCATGAACCTGACAGTTGGCATAGTTGGCCAGATGAGGTGAGTGGGTCTTCAGTTCTGAGGGGTCTTGGGTCGGCTATGTGGCCGCAGCATGGGCTGTGGTACCCAGTGGCAGCGGTGCTGCCTGGGTGGGCCCCAGTGGAAACGTGGGAGGCAGTAGACAGGTCTCCCATGAGTGTGGAGAAGGTACTGAAGCACCAGGAACTGCACAGCACTAAGGAAAAGCATACCTTCGCTGGCAGAGTCACATGGGCGTTTGTAACTGTGCTGCAGGAATTGCATGCCCAGTCCCTGCAGGATGCAGCGCAGGGAGAAAGAACCTCTGTTGCAGGCTCGCCCAGTGATCCACCAGAAAATATAGCATGAGTAGCTGTTGGGCACCAAGGGTGAGCCTAGGGACCCTCCCCCCACCACCGTGGTGGAACACATTTTATATGGTGCCTGCACCCCCGCTATGTTGCGGGAGTCAAGCAAGTAATGTCGGCAGTCATGTACAGACTTAGTGCAAGTCATTCAGGAGAAGGACGTTGGTGTACAACCTGGTCCTGCCCGAGTATTCCAGTTCACAGATTGCCTGCTGCAGTCAGGTGGAAGTGTAAAGCCTTTTCTGTTTGATAAGAGACTGGCCGAGATGCCTGGCTTGGGTGGCACCAGACAACCAAAGGCCATATGCGGACTTGGCAATCCACTAGTCTCTGAACCCGGATAAATTTCCGGGCAGAGCTGTGTTTATTAATGGTTATGAAGACCAGTCAGTGAAAGTGGAACCTGTGTCTGCACCTTGGCGTTCGCCACTTGGCTGTCTGCTTGTCCACTGTGCACATCTCTCCCATGCCTGGAGACATTCTGGGGGTGGATGTTTTGCACAGCTTGACAGCTGTGCTGTCTGTCACGGACTTGCTGGACTGCTTGACAATAGAACTGGGATGGTGCCACTGTGTGGTGGACCTGACCAATGCATTCCTCTCAATCAACATTGCTCCAGAGAGCCAGGAACAGTCTGCCTTCATGGGAGGGTGACAATGGACTTTCATAGTGTCACTGCAGGACTATATGCATAGCCTCATCATATGTCATGATCTTGTTGATGACGTTATGCGAACCTCTGGTTCTCTTGCAGATTTAGAAGTGGCAATGCCCACCTTGCCTGGGGTTGCATGGTGAGGCTTACACAGCCAAGCAGGCTCTTCAGTAGGCACAAGACCTATGGGTAGTTGACTAGGGGTGCCCATTTAAACTGAATGTGCATGTGACCACAAATAGTGTTGGCTAGGGCCTATAGCAGTGCATGGAGACCTTGGAAGTGCCAACAGGCTTTTAGTCCTAGCTGTGGAAGGGAGCTGAGCTCCAGTGTTCATTAATACAGAAGCAGTTAGTAATAGCAGATGGGTGCATTCATGGGTAGTGACCCCCTGGACTGGGAAAGCAGTTAGTAACTACATATGCTGCCCATCAGGCTCATAAGAGTGTGGCAGAATGGGTTACAGTCGTCATATGGACGACTTACCTGATAGCAGGATGGGTGCATTCATGGGTAGTGACTCCCCGGATAAGGACGGTGCAGACATCCACTTTAGTGAAGTGAAGCACCTGCTTAGAGCAGCGGAGTATGCTGAGTACAAGTCCCTTAGCAGCAGAGTTACAAGAAGTCTTGGGACCTGTAGTCCTAATGCAAGATAAGGCCATGGGGCCGGAGGTACACCTAGAATCTGCACCTTCACTATAAGGAATGGTATCCCCCCATTCCTAATGGGGCATGGTACACAGGTCTAGTCGAGATACTTGTGCTGCCTGGACTGTTGTCACAGTCCGGCCATTCTACTGACACTATATGGTTTGATACCAAGTGTGGGCAAAGTAGCTAATGAGCTAAACTCAGAGCAATGTGGATGGTGATCACCAAGAAGGTGACACCTACAGTAATCTGCAGCTGTAGCTGGGCAGTTTATTGAGGCTTAACCTTGTTGTTAATTATGTGAAAGTTATAGAATTACCTAGTCACCAACCCACATAGGGCCAGGCCATGTGGCCGGATCCATGAGAGGAAGGATGACCTTCTCCAACCAGTTACGAGGATGAGAGATAATCTGTTATTACCTGCCCCAATACCCCTAAAAGTAGGGAGACAAAACCTGGTGTCAGCCATGGACCCTCCAAGCCCCTCATTGCAGATGGTTGGCGATTGTGGCCTCCTGTGGGGAAGGGTCTGCAGTATAACTTACATGTTACTCCTTGGGTATTTAATGTGTGACCTCCACAATTAGCCGTTCGTAGGGGAACGGCCAGGGAAGGAACCCTCCTCCGGGAACATATGTACTGTCTGTGTGGACTATCATAAACTTCCCTGTAACTTTGGCATGGGTGCAGGACCCAAGGGAACCACAGAAAGCTGATGAGGTGTAGCATCATCACCCAGGGCAGAAGCCCTTGGCAGCTGCATTGTTATCCAGGGATGAAAAATTGACTTGAATTTTGCCTGAGGGACGTGATTTACCCTGGTTAGTATCCGTGCTTGCTTTGTTGTTTCAGCTGTAAGTTGGCATGCTCCAGTAGCATTGTGGACTGGTTCCACACCTTACTGAGGTGACCAATGTCTCTAACTGTTGGATCGGCACTGTCCTTCCAGCAGCAGCTGCGGATGGCTTGCCCTGGCGTGTGCATCCAGCTTCTGTGCAGAACTGCACACTGTCCAGGCCTCGTGGACAGTGGGTGGGATGCAACACATCAAGCTTTGAATAGGAGGCGTCACAAAACCCATGGCAAGCCTGCCCCCTGGCTGACTCTAGCGTCCATGATGGATGGAGCTGTCTAATGGGAGAACACGTGGTGCCCCCATTGCGGACACCACCATGTATAGAGCAGCACTGGGGTAAAGTCACTGTGGGATGGTTGCCTGCTGAGGTTTGTGCAAACATAACACGATCACTACACCAAGGGTGTTGTGGAATAAGCGGCCTTACCAAGGCTGGGCCCCAGTGGACTTTGTACCCCCTGGGAGTTGATGGGTCTGTGAGGGCACAGGATGGCCATATCTGCCAGCCAATTGGACTGTACCTGAGGGTGGCCCCATGTGCCTGCCACTGTGCTTTCCACATTGCCTGGTCACCTACATGACTAGAGGGTGCTGCGTTTCCAGTTTTTGTGAGTGGGGTGGGCCCCCTTGTGGTTCTATCCCTTAGCAATAACTGTTCCTGGAGCAGGTGTCATTACTGTAGGAAATGCAAGTTACAGCCCTTGCAGAGCACACAGCTCGGGCCCTGAATTGCATCTGAGTTGCCCTCCTTTTGTTAACTGATAAGGTTAATCAGATCAGGAAGGTGGTGCTACAAAACCGGATGGCCTTAGACATAGCCACAGCTGCCCAAGGTGGCACTTGTGCCCTTGTAGGGACACAATGTTGAAAACTCATCCCTGACAACCACCAGAACATAATGGCAGCTTTACAAGGGGTGTCCCAGGAGGTTAAGGTGATTGAGCGCCTTGATGATGACCCCTGGAAGAGATGGTGGGCATCTCTGGGCTCTGGCCTACATTGGGCTCTAATAATCATGAGTAGCATAGCAGGAATATTAGTAGTATGTTGTTGCTCCTTATATTGTTGCTGTGGCCTATAGGTCCAAGGTGCAGCCCTATGTGCACCGGTCCTCACTAAAAGGACTCCATCAGCCTAGGGGGTGGAATGTAAGGCTTGTGTGCCAAGCCTATATATCAAACCTATGTACCCAAAACTTATGTATAAAGCCTGTGTGTATATATATCGAGCCTATGTACCAAAGCTTATGTATATAACCTGTGTATCCAAGGCCTATGTCTCCCTTGGCCGAGGGGGTGGAGTGTAAGGAACATGGCTGTGCTTTTGTCAAGGACAGGCTGAGTGACTCAGCGAGTTTAGAGCTCAGGTGTATAACTCCCCGTTACCACAACCATGTAGCCATAAAATGGGAAGGCTCATCATTTGGCTCTAAGCCACTATTGTTTGTAAAAGGTATCATTGCCCTGCTGACACTATATAGGGACTCTCGTGCCCAGAGAGAGAAAATTAAGCTGCTGACCCTGAAGGCAAGGGAGAGCCAGCAGCACAGCTGTGTGTGGGAGCTGCCAGCTCAAACAGCTGAGACAGAGCGGACACTCTAAGAGAGGTGCTGATGAGAGAGCTTCTGAATAAAGCCATATTTCATCTACCTATGTCTCCCTGAGTTTTCTTTCAGCTGTTTGCCACTCATCCACCCACTCCCTCCAGACCTCAGCATGGGCTGGAACCTGACCCTGAACCTAACACATGAAACTTAGAAGGCTGTTGCAATGATCCAGGAGTGATAAAGTGAAAATATAAATGAAGGCAGTGGCAAGTGAATTGGGTGGGTCGCCTACAAGATAATATGTTCTTTGATTTCACTTGCTGGTGTGAATTTTCTACTTCATTTTTCCATGACCAGGGTAACACTGATTTTAAAACCTCTCTACATCCTAACCTTTATCTTCAGTTCATCTCCAATTTACCAACACACCATGGATACAGAAGAGGTGGGTATGGGTCAGGGGGAGTAGAGGAAGAGTGAAGAGTTAAGAATGACTCCCTGCTTTCTGGCTTGGGCCGCTATGTTATAATAATGACATTCAGTGAGATGGAAAATGACAATGAGGTGAATTAAGTTTGAAGTAGAAGAGTACAGATTTTGAATATGTCATAGAACAGATTCTGGGTGATGTTCATGGCATAGCTGGAAATATAGGTCTATACTTAGACTAATTAAATGAGATAAATGTAAAAAATTAACAAAAGGCTTGATACATGTTAAGTACTAACTTGTGATTTATTAACAAAATAATTTAACCACCAATGACATTTATATTAGTGGTGATTTTACTATTATGTAAATTTCAGTGTTACTATTTTTGGCTCCCTGAATTTGTAGTATCCCTATGTACTATGTTATAAGATATTTTTGTCACCCAAGAATGCTTAGCAGGCTGAGTAAAGCTGGCAAGTGTGATAGGAATAGAGGGAGGGGTGGTAATAATCTTAGCTATAATACACAAGGTGTTGCTACATTCCCTTAATAGGTAGAATCTCATTTAATCCTTAACAGTAATGCTATGAGATAGGCATTATTGGTATCCTCATTCTTGAGATGAAGAAATGGAGACGCAGAGAGACTGAGTAACTTGCCCAAAGTTAAACAGCTGGTATGTGACACACAGAACCTATATTTGAACTTGTTCTGGTTCCACAGCTCATGGTCTTAACCACTACCCTGCAGTTAGCTTGAAACACTAGTTTTTAAGTAAAGGACAAAGCATTAGGATGAGTCCAGCTTTAAGGGCTTAAAGAAATGCACAGTGGAAGAAAAATCCCAGCTAAAGGCATTGGGAGTGCTAGCTGGAGGGTGGTTGAATGATACCTTACGTGATCTCAACATAATTAGGAAAGAAAAAGGAGTTGTGTGAGGGTGAAGATATGGCCAGGGTATATCTGATTTGAGTAAAAAGAAATATTGAGCTGTAGGAATGGATGTTTCCATTTAGGAAGTACTGATATTGGAGCTAGTAGCTCCCTTGTGTAAAAAGTATTTAGTTTGAAGGGTTTTGATGTAGGCTGCCTTTCTGCTGAAGTTCAAAAGGGGTAAAAAATTGTGTAATTATCCTAATAATTGATATCAATCCTTTTTAAAAGTTTAAGCTTAAAAAGCATAGTTAGGCCAGGTGTGGTGGCTCACCCCTGTAATCCCAGCACTGTGGGAAGCTGAGGCAGACAGATGACCCGAGGCCAGGAGTTTGAGACCAGCCTGGCCAACATGGTAAAACCCCGTCTCTACTAAAAATACAAAAGTTAGCCGGGCGTAGTGACACATTCCTGTAATACCAGCTACTCGGGAGCCTGAAGCATGAGAATTGCTTGAGCACGGGAGGCGGAGGTTGCAGTGAGCCGAGATTGTGCCACTGCACACCAGCCTGGCAGAATGAGACTCTGTCAGGGTGGAGAACAGTGCAGAGCATAGTTACTTTTCAAAAAGAACATGTGCCTTTTACATCAGACCACCTGCATTCACTTTCTGTCCCCAGGGAAAAGCATCTTCGAGCAGCCTCAGCATCACCTGGGAACTTGTTAGAAATGCAAATTCTTAAGCTCACTGCAGAGTTTACAGAAACTTGAGGAGGGGGCAGCAATCTGGTTCACCAAGTCCTCCAGCTGATTCTAATGCGTACTCGAGTTTAAGAACCTCACTTAGATCAGATAGTTCATTTTCAGCAATGATGCATCACAGCTGTAATAAAAATAGTATAATAGTGTAATTGAAAATCTCAGTAACTGCTATTACTACATTAATACAAGATACATTTAGGCATATTTCACATGTACAATAGGTTTCTGACTTCTGCATGACTGTGCAAAGAAATCCTTTCCTCTCCCAGTACTGGTTTCTCTATCCGCTACCACTATCACAACTGTCAAGGGAGTTGTGAGTAAACTAATAGATTTTAGATAATTTGCAATTTATAAATAAAAGAATAGAAAAAAACTGAAAAGTATGAACAGTTTTGGGCAGTCCACACTGGAAGAGAATAGTTAATTCCATTATATTCACTAAAGATCTGATATCAATATACTAAAAAAGTGGACCACAGGTGAAATTCAGAAGGGAGTCATGTAAATTTCTAGGTTCGGGTCCATAAAACCAGCTTCACAAATACTGGTGGGATACTTAGTTTAGCTTCCATAATAATGTAGGTGAAAATAAGTTCAGGGTAAGGCATTGGGAGTGTATGTAGGCCCTCCAAAGGTTTGTGGCATCTTCCTCTGCTTTAACAGCATTGCTTCTCTAACTGGAATGAATTACTGTCTTCCTCCTTGATTGTAAGATCTTACCCATATGGCAGGTTCATTGATTCATTCAACAAATATTGATTGCCCTGGAGATACAGTGGTGAACCATATAAAATGCCTGCCATCATGGAGCTTACTTGCTAGTGGGAAGAAAATACAATAAATGTCATGTGCTACGTAGTTATAAGTGCTGTGGAGAAAAATAGAAAACAGAATAGGGAACTACAAAAGACAGAGATGCAGCTTTAAATAGAAGAGACATCACCAAGAAGATAATGAGCTGAACAAAGACCTGAAAAGAATGAATGAAGGCCTTAATCTAGAACCTGTGCAGAAAAAGTGAAACTTGTGTTAAGGAGAGCCAGTAGGATAGTAAGTGGGTCTTGTCATCTGAGAAGTGTCAGGAACGTTTAACCTGCAAGACAGAAGACAGTGTTAGCTGCCATCAAACGCTTGAAGAATGGGCTTGGGAAGAATTTGATTTTCTTTGTTTTTGCAGGGATTAGCATGCAATAAGAAAATGACAGCTACAGGGAGAGCATTGCCACTTGGAAACAACTTTGCAGATGTTGTTCCTGCCTGTAGACAGGTTATTGCCTTCAGAGAGCCTAGTTTCTCTTCCTTAAAGGAGTTTGATATTGTTTGGATGTCACTTTAGTGGTGGTGATGGTGAGTGAATTCAAGCTTTAGAAGGGTGATTGGATTTATACCTTTGGGTCGCTCACAATCCTGGGAATCAGATTCTGGGATTAAAAAGCAATAACATTGCTATTCCACATGTAGTTGCCATCTGTTAAAAAAATAAACAACTACAAGGTATAAACTATAAAATCTATTCAACAAATATTTATTGAGAGCCACTGTATGCCAGGGAAATTTAGTTAAGTTTTGGGTTCATTTTGCTTTAATTTAACAGAATGTTTGTTTTTAAAATTGATTTACTTTCCAGACTTTTTTTTCCATTTTTACTTTGGAACTTCATTCCTCTGCAGCAGGCCCTTGGATTATCAAGAGTAAATAACGTGCTATCCTTAAGATTTATGTTTTATAAACCTAGGATTTGAGAGGGTAGCAACTCATTCTCTGGTGTCTTGGTAGTATTGTGGAACATGTAATGGTTTGGCTTTTAGAAATCTCTTTCCTCCCAACTTCCTTGTTAACATTGGCATATCACCCATCTTCTCAAGTGAAAGGTTTTTTTGAGGTATTTTATCAGCAGCAAAGGACTGGTATTTATTGATTTCTCATCCATTGTGGAATATTTTATAAAATATAAAATCATGTGTTTGACTTATTCTAAAATGCATAACAATAATTTGAATTGATGAAGGATTGGGTTGATACGTGAAAGAACAAATAGAATAAAATGTTAATTGTAGAATCTAGTAGGTGTATATATATGTGTGTATATATATATATGCTTACTACAAACTTCTTTAAACTTTTCTATATGTTTAAACATTTTTATAATAAAATATTGGGGGAAAATCATGCTTTTGGATGCTATGGCAATGTAATATCAGTTCAGAAGTTTCTAAAAAACTATGCTCTCTGTACAGTAAGTCCTCACAGTCCTCACTTAACATAGTTGATAGATTCTCAGAAACTGTGATTTTTAAGTGAAACGACATATAATGATATCAATTTAACCACAGGCTGATGGATATAAGTAAGAGTCAAGTTCCTACAGCCTATTTCTGGTCACAAAAATATCACCAAACTTCTAAACAAAAACCAAAACACTTCTAATATTTAGCATGGAAATAAATGTGAGCTCTCTATACATTTAATAAAGATAAATAAAAACAAGTAAGTAAGTAAGACAATTATCCACTTATTTTAGTTAAGGGTCACAGGTGGTCAGAACCTAGCAGCTCAGGGTACAAGGCAAGCACCTTGTAGAGGATGCCATCTCATCACAGGGCACGCTCACACACACCCCCACACTAACTCACACCAGGACAGTGTAGACACAGTGAACCTCATATACATGTCTTTGGGATGTGGGAGGAAACTGGAGTACCTGGAGGAAACCCATGTAGACTTGGGGAGAACATGCAAACTCCACACAGACAGCAGCCCCAACTGGGAATCTGTTTGTTTTTTTTTTCTTCATTAACATTATATCAAAGCAAGCTTATTAGAGGACCGCCCTTCTGTACTTGCTGAGGGACAGGAAACAGTCTGGGTACTGTCATTGGTCCACAGATAACATTTTAAGTAGCAGTGATTTTAAAATTTATTTCACTATGTCATGTAGTATTAAAAAAAATATGTTGAGAAAGTTATTCCACTTTGTAAGCACATATCAAAACATCACGTTGTACCCCATAATATATAAAATTGTTACGAAACAAAAAGTATTTTTAAAAGTGATATTGATACAGAACCACTGGGTTCCAAGCTAAACCCCCACCCTTAAGCCTGGAATGGTGGTTGTAAGAGAAAACAACTGACCCTGTTTTTCTTGGTTTTCCCACCCAAATGTTGCCTTTTTGGCCTGCCACACTTCTATCCTGTGCCCTTAAAAAGACTTCAGCTGGCAGAGCAACACATAAGCTGCTGAGCATCAGGGATACAAGTGGCTGAGGAGTAAGCTGAGAAGCAGCAACTGAGCATCAGAAACTACAGATAGATGTGGCTAACTTCAGACAGCGTGGCTTCAGGGAAAGATCACCTTCTTCCTGCACCATCCCCTTTCCAACTCTCATCCCGCCAAGAACCACTTCCATCACCAAATAAAATCATCCACATACACTACCCTTCAATCTGTTCATGTGACCTGATTCTTCCTGGACGCCAGACAAGAACCAAGAGGACAGGGGCTGGGAGCTGCTCCAGGGCCCACACAGAGCCTGCTCCCACAAGAGAGGAGCAACTGGCCGTTCCAGCAATCGTTTGTTCCAGTCTCTACAATTGCTTGCTTGCATGTTCTCTCTCGTGAGGAGTGGCCAGTGACAGGCTGAGTGAAACAGGCCACTGAGTTCCCACCCAAGAGGGGGATCAAGGTCAAGGGAATTATCCCATCTCTAGATTACCTGTATTCCACTGATGAGGAAACTGACCCAGAATGGTTCAGAGTCTCTTAGCTTGTGTCACACCTTGAACTCTCGGGTCTCCTCATGCCCTCTCAGTTTTGTTACATTATTTCCCAGCTGATGAGTGGAGAGTAGCACAGAAGTAAGGATGAGGTGAATTGAATTCTGTAATTGAAGTTGGAATACTGTAAAGCTGTAAGACAGCATGGGAACACATATTTTTTTTCAGATAGTAAACATATATTAAGGATTTATTCAACATTAGATATATTATGAGGCTTCAAAAGTAATACACTAAATTTTTAAGATTTATTTTCTGTATTATTACAGTGAGGGCAAAACAAGAAAAACATTTTCTTTATAGAATAGATGGAAAATAGCCCAAGAAACATTCAGACTTTTCTATCACACCATGAAACACATTGAATGAAGGTGGAAGAGATGGCTTAGGCTGAAAATATGGCGTGGAAAGCTGGTATCTTCTTTGACTTTGTGGCTACGTGTAGAAGCTTTTCTCTAGAAATTCTTATTTGCCATTCCGTTGCTCCCTTTTCCATGATGAACAACAAGATTTTTCTTCCACTTTAGGGTCTCAGTCTTTGTTGCACAGTGTCAAACAGATTGGAAGCCCAGGTAGGGTGCAGTGATCTTTGTGTTTATACAAGAGGCTTGGTAAATCTTCACTTTCAGTCTCATAAGTACAAGGTTAAGGAGTATTTGCTGTTGGCTTAGGGAAATTTAAACTAAGCATTTAGTTGGAAAATACCTAGGAAGAAAGACTCAAAGATCTGCTATTAGCTGATATTAGAAGAAAAAAGCTTTAGAACGACTTCATAATATTGATAAGATTATGGTAATACCATGTGTATGTATTATTTTCCAAACAAGCAAACAAAAAAAAAAGCTTTATGCTTTTCAAATCCCATTTGTATTCATTTGGGTCTAGACTCATCTCAGTTCTTAAAACAGGATGTAAGAAGGCATAGACAGTTCAAGGCTTTATATTTGGTCTAAGGGTTTTATTTTTATTTTTATTTATTTTTTTTTAGATGTTGTTTTTTTTCTTTCTTTTATTATTATTATTATTTTTTTACAATTTCCATTTTATTTTTCTCCAGAGAATAACCTGTCTTCAGTCTTTAAGAACTCAGCTCCTTACATGGGCTTTGGTGGGGGACGTGGGGCAGCACCCGCAGGTCTAAATCTGGGTGGGGGTGTTCGGTCCTTGCGGGCTTCACGAGATCGATTCCTGACTACTTTGCTGTGAATTGCACAACTCACACAGTAATGTAGCTTCACATACAGCTTGGGAAGCACATAGGCATCGAAGACGCTTGCTTCAGAAATGTCCCTGACTGCTACGGCCTCCACTATGTTTCGAATGACGAATTTCTTAATGGCCTTGTCCTTGGGCACGCATCGGGCACAGTTAGTACAGCGAACAGGTTGCACGTGGCCGCGGCCCTTTTTGGCACGACCATTGTTCCTTCTTTTCTTTGTCATCTTGGAGGCACGGACCGGAGAGCTCTTTCTTTTATTATTATACTTTAAGTTTTAGGGTACATGTGCACATTGTGCAGGTTCATTACATATGTATACATGTGCCATGCTGGTGCACTGCACCCACTAACTTGTCATCTAGCATTAGGTATATCTCCCAATGCTATCCCTCCCCCTCCCCCCACCCTACAACAGTCCCCAGAGTGTGATGTTCCCCTTCCTGTGTCCATGTGGTCTCATTGTTCAATTCCCACCTATGAGTGAGAATATGCGGTGTTTGGTTTTTTGTTCTTGCGATAGTTTACTGAGAATGATGATTTCCAATTTCATCCATGTCCCTACAAAGGACATGAACTCATCATTTTGTATGGCTGCATAGTATTCCATGGTGTATATGTGCCACATTTTCTTAATCCAGTCTATCATTGTTGGACATTTGGGTTGGTTCCAAGTCTTTGCTATTGTGAATAATGCCGCAATAAACATACGTGTGCCTGTGTCTTTATAGAAGCATGATTTATAGTCCTTTGGGTATATACCCAGTAATGGGATGGCTGGGTCAAATGGTATTTCTAGTTTTTTAGATGTTTTATTGTTTTTCTTTTTGAGACAGTCTCACTCTGTTGCCCAGGCTGGAGTGCAGTGGCATTATCCCGACCCACTGCAACCTCCACCTCTCAGACTCAAGTGATTCTCATGCCTCAGCTTCCTGAGTAGCTGGGATTACAGGCGTGCACCACCACACCTGGCTAATTTTTGTATTTTTAATAGAGACAGGCTTTTGCCATGTTGGCCAGGCTGGTCTCGAACTCCTGACCTCAGGTGATCCACCCACCTTGGTCTCCCAAAGTGCTGGGATTACAGGTATGAGCCACCATGCCTGGCCTGGTCTAAGGGCTTTAGATTTGATATGAGGGGTTTAGATTAATCATAAGGGATTTAGAAAAGTTGGAAGGATCTTTTGAAAGCAAGTGTCTCCTAGTTTATAGATAAGGGTCTAGAGGTATTTCTTAACAAAATTTATTTTTTAGATAAAACAGATTATTTGCTATTAGTTTTAAGCTGTGATTCTTCACATTTGATAGGTAAAGAAATGGGATTGTTTAAACGAGTGTTTTTCAAATCTTTGGAATTCATGGATTAGTAAATAAAAACAGAGGTCAGATATTGTACTTTTTTTGTGTGCCAAGAAAGGTAATTAACCATTGCAACAACAATAAAACTGCCTTTGCAAAGATTATGACAGAGAAATCTAACATAGCTGACTCTATCTTGCTTCTAGCCTCATAGGCTGGCTGTCTTTGTTCATTCCTGTACATAGGTCAAGCTAATCATGGCAAAGATTTAGTTTATAGTTTAACTTGGAAGCAAAGATGATAATAGTCCCTCTCTAAAACTAAACCCCTTCTTTCTCAGGGACTAAAAACCATCTTTGTAAAACTAATGAAAGGCCACAAGATTAGGATTGTGAGAGGGGCCTGAGTTCTGCTATTGGGGGAAATTCAGCCCCCGATATTTCAATGTGGGTCCTTTGCTATGTTCCCTCAGTGTTGGCCGGTCTGAGAAATAAAGGGAAAGAGTACAAAAGAGAGAAATTTTAAAGCTGGATGTCCAGGGGAGACATAATATGTCGGCAGGTTCCGTGATGCCCCCTGAGCCGTAAAACCAGCAAGTTTTTACCAGCAATTTTCAAAGGGGAGGGAGTATACGAATAGGGTGTGGGTCACAGAGATCACATGCTTTAAGGGCAACAAAAGATCACAAGGCAGAAGGTCAGGGTGAGATCACAAGGTTAGGGCGAGATCACAAGGTCAGGGTGAAACTAGAATCACTAATGAACGTCCACGTCCTGCTGTGCACACATTGTCATTGATAAACATCTTAACAGGATTCAAGAGCAGAGAACCGGTCTGACTAGAATTCGCCAGGCTGGAATTTCCTAATCCTAGCAAGCCTGGGGGTGCTGCAGGAGAGTAGGGCATGTTTCATTCCTATCTACATGTGCATGAGGCAGACACTCCCAGGGTGGCCATTTTAGAGCCCCCCCCCCCCAGGAATGCATTCTTTTCCCAGGGCTGTTAATTATTAATATTCCTTACTGGGGAAAGAATTCAGTGATATTTATCTTACCTGTTTTCGGTAATAAGAGAAATATGGCTCTGTCCTGCCCGGCCCACAGGCAGCCAGACTTTAAGGTTATCTCCCTTGTTCCCTGAAAATCACTGTTACCCTGTTCTTAAGGTGCCCAGATTTCATATTGTTCAAACGCACATGCTTTACGAACAATTTGTGCAGTTAACGCAGTCATTACAGGGTCCTGGGCAACATACATCCTCAACTTACGAAGATGACGGGATTAAGAGATAAAAGACAGGCATAGGAAATTATAAGAGTATTGATTGGGGAAGTGTTAAATGTCCATGAAATCTTCACAATTTATGTTCTGCCATGGTTTCAGCTGGTCCCTCCATTCGAGGTCCCTGACTTCCTGCAACATTCTGCTAAAATGTAGGCAT
Source organism: Homo sapiens (assembly GCF_000001405.40). Taxonomy (NCBI): domain Eukaryota; kingdom Metazoa; phylum Chordata; class Mammalia; order Primates; family Hominidae; genus Homo; species Homo sapiens. Next base: position 122,678,801 of record NC_000007.14, on the reverse strand, counting down.
AATTTCTGTAACCCCTTACTGTTCAGTAGTCCTATGGCCAGAGGTCACAAGATTTGTGACTTCCCTGAATTGCTCCTATAGATAACATCACTATGTAGAACCTAAGATCGGCCTTTTGAGGTATCTTTCACATTTTTGCATTTTTGACCACCAACTAAATCCACCCAGACCCACAGTAGTGGTGCAACCCATCCTATGGCCCCTACTCAGAGGCTAAGTGCAGGAGGACCATTTCCCACACACCTGTGATTTCACCTCTAAGCAGTCAACATTCCCCATTTCCTAAACCCTTGCCCACCAAATTATCCTTACAAAAAACGTAAACTCCAAGCCTTTGAGAGATTAATTTGAGTAATAACTCCCATCTTCTGTGTGGCCAGCCTTGCATTAATAAAATTCCTTCTCTATTGTTATAGCACAGTCTCAGTGAGTTGGTTTTGTCTGTGCAGCTGTGTGGGAAGAATCCATTGGATGAATACAGCAACAAAACCACACATTTACAGTTAATAACATTGTATTACAAAAAGTGACTTCTTGTACCTACAGTTTCAACTATTAGAATATTAAAATCAGCTTTATTAAAATGGACTTTGAAGTCCTTGTATTTTCTTTTTTCACTTTGAATTCATGAAAACTTCATCCCACACTGGTCAGCACAGCAGCCTTTAGATTCAATAACTTTCCAAAGTCCATTACCACAAGGACCTAATGATTTCCTTTAAAATTTGAGTGTCTAATGATACTAGACACTACAGAGATTTCAAAGATGCAGTTTGCAGTCTTAACAAGAGAGACATACAATGATGTGGTATAAGACAGGACAGCAGTGTTTTATACCTACACAGAGCATGGGAAAGTATTAAGATGGCTTAGAATAGAGAAATACCATCAAGCTGCGGAATGCTTGACAAACAGGTGAACAGGAGCATTCTCCTGCCTAATCCTTACCAATCCATTTACTCATTGGCCCTTCCAGCTCAGCCGAATGAGCCACAAATTGATAAATTGCTGAACTTGATTGCATGGTGGTGAAAAAGGGAGCTCTAGAGTGAGACTGGGCTTAAATCTTGACTCTTCCACACTCTGGCTGTGTGATCTTGGCCATGTCTCTTTACTTCTGTATGCTTTTTGGGTTTTTATTGTTGTTGTTGTTGTTGTTTACCTTTAAGATAAATACTAGCACCTTCTTTATGCAGTTGTGAGGGTTAATATACATGAAGTCCCTAAAATAAATTTTAGCTATTTGCAAAATACAGTTTTTATCATGTGACTCTCTGCCTTAAATATTGATGGCATTCCATGCTCCTGGGATAAAGACCAGAGCACTTTCCAGGCCTGACAAAGCCCACCCGTCCTCCTCAGGCACCTCCCATTCCACTGTACTCTCAGGCCCTTCACTGCAGCCCAGGGAGCTGCCTTAAGGCCCCCTTAGATAGGCTGTGTTCCCTCTACCCACTGTCTCCTGGCCCCTTGGTTCCTTTTGATTTGCAAATTCTTTGTCTTCAGATCTCTGCTCACCTCCTCAGGGAAGCCACCATGACCTCCTCAGCTAGATTCAAACTTTGTTACAAACTTATAGCACCAGAAATTCTCACTAGTATTTATCAAGCCACAGGCATATTGGTTTGTATAACCATTTGTTTGCCCCACTGTAAGCTCTAGGAAGGAAGCAAACCCTTGCTTATGACACCTGATCATATTGCCTGGCATTTTGGTTTGTCTTGGTAAACATTTATTGAACAAATGGTTAAGCTATGGGGGTGGGAATGTACGCAGAGTGTGGAGGGCTACACAAGTGTGTCCTTTTACTGGAACAGAAAATATGTTCTTGAAAGAAATGGAAGAGAAGGCTAGAAGGTAGGTTGAGGGAGACTTGGATGGATAAAAAGCCTGGCACAAAACAGTGCCAACAAAGAATCCATTGACTGGCTTTGGGCACACAAAGTGACCTGGAAAAAAAAAATACTGTCACCAAGCACTTACAGTGAGTTCGGAATCTTGTCCCATGGAAATGATGGTTTGGTTCACAGTCTGGAGAAGTTTCTCCATGATAATCTGGATCTGCCTCTGAGTTGGCCCCATGTCCTTCCTGTACAGCACCTCCAGGATGTGGCTGAGCAGCTGACAGCAGGCCTCCAGGTTCTCCTGTCTCTCCAGATGGTACTTGAGCTGATCAGTCATCATGGGAAGCAGGATCTCTCTGTAGTCATGCTGTGTGAAGTGGATATTTAATTGGGGCTAACAGCATCCTTCTCCAACTGCTGCTTGAACATAAGCTTATTGTATTGCAATGTAGTGAGCAGTCGAGATACAGCCTGGTATATAAAATGTCCTCATTTTTCAAATGAATGTCAAAGTTGAAGGGTAAGCAAACCAACTTTAAAGACAAACATTTGGCTCTTGTTTTCTCATTACTTGTGGCAAAAGACATGTATTTTCTGCTAAGTCTTCATTCTTCTGGCAGTTTCTCTGTAGTGTTTACATTTAAGGTGCCATTAATAAAATTTTATGAAGGACCCTAACAAGTAATTGAGATACTCCCCCTTAGTTATTTTATTGTCTACTCTAATGTATTGTAGGTGTTTCTCGTAAACAGACTAATCAGTCAGGAACCTATTCATTTTTTAAAGAATATTTTAATAATTTAGACAGTCCAAGTTTCGGATCATGTTGGCTTTTCCCAGGGTTTACTGCTCTCCTCCCCACCCCCTTACCTTAAGTTTGTTTCCTTTGGCAAAAGATGCACAAGTAGGTCTTTATTTTATTTTATTTTGAGGTTCAAGAGGTTATAATTTCTTTTTTTGTTGTTGTTTTTTTTACTTTGGGTTCTGGGATGCATGTACAGAACGTGCAGGTTTGTTGCATGGGCGTGCATGTGCCGTGGTGGTTTGCTGCACCTATCAACCCATAGTCTAAATTTTAAGCCCTGTGTGCATTGGGTGTTTGTCCTAATCCTCTCCCCTCCTTTAACCCCCAGCGCCCCCAACAGGCCCTGGTGTATGTTGTTCCCCTCCCTGCGTGCATGTGTTCTCATTGTTTAGCTCCCACTTATGAGTGAGAATGTATGGTGTTTGGTTTTCTGGTCCTGTGTTGGTTTGCTTGGAATGATGGCTTCCAGCTTCGTCCACATTCCTGCAGAGGACATGAACTCATTCTTTTTTTATGGCTGCGTGGTATTCCATGGTGTATATGTGCCACATTTTCTTTATTCAGACATATGCACACATATGTTTATTGCAGCATTATTTATAATAGCAAAGACTTGGAACCAACCCGAATGCCCATCAGTGATAGACTGGATAATTTTTAAAAAATTTAGTACACGTTATCATTTAACTCACCTTGGTGGATGACTTTTCCAAAAAATAACTGGAAATGAAAGGAGAGAACATCACTTTAGAGTTTTCACTTGAAATCAGAGGAGGCACACTGGCCTTTTCCGGTACGTGACCATTGTTCTTTCTCCACATCTAGGGCGTTAACAGGGAGCCAAAGTGTGTCTTCTTGGACAGCATAGTCAGAATGGAGCCCCGGGCTCCTTTGCATTTCTGTGTCTGGTGTCACCACAGAGGACTCCGTTTTGTGTGAGTCACAGACAGGTCCCACAGATGGACAAATGCTGCCTTAGTGTGTTTCCATCCAGTAAAACAGTTCATGTCTTAGAGCTTCAGCACACTTGAGGTTCAGATTTTCCTTTTTAAAGTGTATCTCTTTTAAGTTTGGATTACAACACGTATGAATCAGGAAGTAAAATGTTTCCACGTAAAAAAAATACTGGTATTTACATACTGGAAAACCAAAATTATTTGATTTCTAGTGAGACTAAACTTCACCACAGTTACAAAGCTTCATGAATTGATAACACCTGAAAAGTAGTTTTAAAATCTATGTTGCTGTTTCTCCAAGGACAGCATAGGTTATGGAAATTATGAGACAATATTTTATTTGGCATTATTCAGGAGAAAAAGGCATGTCTTATAAGTGAGACTCTTGTACTTTTCTCAGCGTTTTGCTGAACACATGCTGGCAGCCTTCCTGGAACCATCTCATAGCCACAATGATTTGGCAAGCAGATAATGTTTTTCTCGTCATTATAAAATCCTTTTAAATCAAAGAAGTAATGCATGGTTCAAATCAACAGCAATGTGTGAACAATAAGGGCTTCTGTGGAAAAGTATGTTTGAAGCCTTGTTTAGACAGCTGAGCAGACTTACTTTTGGCAGATATAGTTTCTTGTTATAGTAATCACATTTCACTTTTGTTATTAGTTCACCGCGACTTTGTTAAGATATTCAGTGACTTCTTTGGTATATAAGCTGAGTAGATTAATGGGAAGAGTGGCAGTTGGTGGTGCTCAGATTGAAGGCTGTATGTAAGTTAAAATTTACTGAAATGTGGACAAATGTGACATACATAGTGAAAGGTGACAAAGTGCTAGCAGCCCTTGCTCGCTCTTGGTGCCTCCTCAGCCTCGATGTCCACTCTGGCCATGCTCAAGGAGCCCTTCAGCCCACCGCTGCGCTGTGGGAGCCACTCTCTGGGCTGGCTGAGGCCGGAGCTGGCTCCCTCTGCTTGCAGGGAGGTGTGAAGGGAGAGGTGCGGGCGGGGACCCGGGGCTGTGCGGGGCGCTTGCAGGACAGCGTGAGTTCCGGGTGGGCATGGGCTCAGTGGGCCCCACACTTGGAGCGGCCAGCCAGCACCGCTGGCCCCGGGAAGTAAGGGGTTTAGCACCTGGGCCAGCAGCTGTGGAGGGTGTGCCGGATCCCCCAGTACTGCCAGCCCGCCCGAGCCGCGCTGGAGTTCTCACTGGGCCTCAGCCGCCTCCCCGCTCAGGGTTGGGGACCTGCAGCCCGCCATGCCCTAGCTCCCCAACCAACCCCCACCCCCACCCCCCGCCGTGGGCTCCCAGTGGCCCAAGCCTCCCCAACAGGCACCACCTCCTGCTCCACGGCACCCGGTCCCATCTGCCGCCCTAGGTTTGAGGAGTGCCAGTGCACGGTGCGGGACTGGTGGGCAGCTCTGCCTGCAGCCCTGGTGTGGGATCCACTAGGCGAAGCCAGTTGGGCCCCTGAGTCCAGTGGGGACTTGGAGAACTTTTATGTCTAGCTGGAGGATTGTATATGCAACAATCAGCAATCTGTGTCTAGCTCGGGATTCATGGCTGCACCAATCAGCACTCTGTATTTAGCTAATCTGGTGGGGACTTGGAGAACTTTTATGTCTAGCTGGAGGATTGTAAATGCACCCATCAGCACTCTGTGTCTAGCTAATCTGGCTTGGAGACCTTTTGTGTCTAACTAAAGGATTGTAAACACACCATTCAGCACTCTGTATCTAGCTAATCTAGTGGGGACTTGGAGAACTTTTATGTCCAGCTAGAGGATTGTAAATGTACCAATCAGCACTCTGTGTCTAGCTCAGGGATTGTAAATGCACCAATGAGCACCCTGTCAAAACGGACCAATCAGTTCTCTGTAAAATGGACCAATCTGCAGGATGTGGATGGGGCCAGATAAAGGAATAAAAGCAGGCTGCCAGAGCCAGCTGCGGCAACCGGCTGGGGTCCCATTCCCCGCTGTGGAAGCTTTGTTCTTTCGCTCTTTGCAATGAATCTTGCTGCTGTTCACTCTTTGGGTCCGCACCGCCTTTAAGAGCTGTAACACTCACAGCGAAGGTCTGCAACTTCACTCCTGAAGCCGGAAGCCAGCAAGACCACGAACCCACCAGAAGGAATGAACAATTCCAGAGGCGATGCCTTGTAGAGCTGTAACACTGCGAAGGTCTGCAGCTTCACTCCTGAAGTCAGTGAGACCACGAACCCACCAGAAGGAAGAAACTCCGGACACATCTGAACATCTGAAGGAACAAACTCTGGACACACCATCTTTAAGAACTGTAACACTCACCGCGAGGGTCCGTGGCTTCATTATTGAAGTCAGCAAGACAAAGAACCCACCAATTCCGGACACAGTGGTATGTCATAGTTTTCCGACGTGAGGTTACTAAACGCCACACTGAATAAGTTGTGTGCCCAGTGGCATTTTCACAAGAAAGTCACTGGTCGATAATTCCACAGGTGTTGGCCAGCAACCAGCAGGACATCTGGCTGCCAAAGGTGCACCCAGGCTGGGGTGGAGGAATGGGAGAGAAAAGGAGTAAAGGAGTAGTGTTTTTAGATTCCAAGGCCCAGTATTCTGTCTCTATTCTCCCAGGAGGTGTGTGACCTCAAGCCAGTTACTTATCTCCTCTGCTTAAACCACTTAACCTTTAAAAGACGATGATATTGGAGAGGGTACTAGGTGACTGTAAGGATTAAAGGAGTTAATACAGGAAGAGCTCTAGGGAGACAGGATATCTGCTACTTGGTGAGTTTGTCAATGTAAGGAATTCCCATGACAGCTTCGACACCAGCATGGTGCCCTGCTGGTACTCCAGGCAGAATTTCACTGAGAATCCTGGGTCCCACAGCAGAAAGTTGGAGGGTGACCACCGACGCCTGGAGACCAGCTCTGGAACCAGTTTCCACATGTAACCACACTTTACCTGACTTTAACTTGATAACTGTTGTTATGAAAGGATGTAGGATTCAGGTATTTTATATTTAGTGAGAGTAAACCCATCATTGTTAGTTTCATAACTGATAAGCCTGAAAGATTGTCTTAAACTCTATTATTATTTCTGTAAGAACACAGATTATAGGAAGTATTAGATATTTATTAGACAGTATAATTTATTTTACTCACAAAACTAATCTCACTCTGTCCTTTGGGACATTACTCATTATGCTTCCTTCCCTGTGATATCCTTTCCTCCCCTTTTCATATGGACAAGGTCCATGTTTTATACTCCTTTCGTATATGAGCATATAATAGGAATCAGTAAACCTTACTGGTTCATTAATTATTTAAATTATGCAAGTGTATGGATGGGTTTCACAGCTTTAAAGTCTGCCCTAGTTTTGCTCACACCTCTGCCTTCCTACTCACTACTCCTCTGCTAAATACTCTCCAAAATAATCTTTCAACATGTCACTTCCTTCTTTCGTGTTTTCCATTGCCTCCTGTATCAAATTACATCTCCGTACCTATCCTTCTTTGCTTATCCAGGGATTCTTTCTCACTGTACTGTGAGCCCTGCTCTCCGGGCAGTTGATCAGCTGCTTCTCACAAGACGAGGCTCATTCTTTCCCTCTTTCCTCTGCAACATTATTTTTAGTAGTAGTAGTAGTTTTTTTTTTAAGCGATGGTCTTACTCTGTCACCCAGGCTGGAGTGCATGGTTCACTGCAGCCTCTTAACTCCTAGGCTTGGCCTCCCAAAGTGCTGCGATTTCAGGCATGAGCCACCACAGTCCAGCCTTTCCTCTGTGATGTTATTCTTTGTGATTTCTTCCTCTGCAGTATTGTTCCCTCTTCCTGATTCATTAATTATTTAAATTATACATGTGCATGGATGGGGGAATTAAATCATTGGTTTAACCATCCAAACCACTCATTCACTCATCCAGTGGATATTTTCTGGGTGCTTGCTGTCTATGTACGTAGCCTAGTGCTAGGTGCTACAGATAGAATGGTGAATGAAACAGTCTTTGACTTCATGGAACTTACTGTCCAGTGAGGAAAAGAGATAAGAATTAAATTTTTTACTTAAATATTACGGTAACAGTGTGATCAGTATTTTAAAGAAAAAAGAAAAGGTCCTGTAACAGCGTACGATACAGGATCTAGCCAAGCCTGGGTAACTGGGGAAGAAATTCCTGAGTAGGGATCAGCTGGGTGGAGATCTGAATGGTGACTGAGATAATTAGGGGATGGTGAGGTAGACAATGGGAGGTTTTTAAAAGGCCTGTGGGACTGGAGCACGGAGATCCAGCAAGGAAGAATAACTTGTGATGAGGCCAGAGAAGAAGTTTGGGACTTTTTTTTTTTTTTTTTGAAACAGGGTTTCACTGCTGTGCAGTAGCGAGATCATAGCTCACTGCAGCTTAGAATTCCTGGGCTCATGGCTGGGCACCATGGCTCACACCTGTAATCCCAGCACTTTGGGAGGCTGAGGCAGGTGGATCACTTGAGGTCAGGAGTTCGAGACCAGCCTGATCAACATGGTGAAACCTCGTCTCTACTAAAAATACAAAAAAAATTAGCCAGGCGTGGTGGCTTGTGCCTGTACTCCCAGATACTCCAGAGGCTGAGGTGAGAGAATTGCTTCAGCCCGGGAGGCAGAGGTTGCAGTGAGCTGAGATGTTGCCACTGGACTCCCGCCTGGGTGACAGAGTGAGACTCCATCTCAAAAAAAAAAAAGAACTCCTGGGCTCAAGTGATCCACCTGCCTTGGCCTCCCGAGTGGCTGGGACTACAGGCATGTGTCACCACCCCTGGCTAATTTTTAAATTTTATTGTAGAGACAGGGTTTTGCCCAGGCTGGTCTCCAACTCCTGAGCTCAAGTGATCCTCCCACTTTGGCCTCCCAAAGTGCTAGGATACCAGCATGAGCCACTGTGCCCAGTCTTCTTTGAGACATTTTTGAAGTGGGACCTCAGAGGCCATGGTGACGATTTTGGTGGAAGACCAATGAAAAATTTTAAGCTGGAGAAGGATTTAAATGATCAGTGTTTATATATATATATGCCAATTGACAATAAGTTCAGAAAAAATGGTAGTGGGAATAGGGTGGCTGCCAGATAAACCTCTGAAGCAGTTGCAAGGCTGTTTGCTGTCATCCCTTGAGCCCCAGGGAGAGGGAGGGAGAACCGTCATGGGAGATAGAGAGGTGAAGAAGGGCCTGAGAGGATAGAATCAGCAGGGTTCAGGGACAAGTTGTATGTTGGGGAATATAACGTGGAGGATGTGAGGAGTCAGGAATGATTTCCAGGCCTCTCGAGGATGGAAACTGGGATCTGTCACTCACTGAGATAGGCAAGCAGGAGGCAGAACAAATATTGGAAAAGTCATGAATTCTGAGACTTATTTAGAGTGCCAGTGGGACACCTAAGGAGAGATGTGAGGTAATATTGGAGATCTAAATGTGGAGCTTAAGTGATTAAAGGTTGATGGTTCAGGCTTCGTGATGGCCTTCAGAGTATGTGTGATGTGGAAGGCTCCACACCTAATCAGCAGGCTGAGGACAGGGGAAATGTAGCCGCCTTATGATTGTGGGCCTTTCGTTGTCCTCTACACGTAGGGCCAAGAGAACGGGTCTTCATTCCTGCTTTCAGATCGTTACTCTTCCTCCCTCATGTGAAAGCCCATTTCCTTCTGGAGCTCATGCCTTTCAATACATCACTTCCTAGACTTCCAGTTACTGGATATTTATCCATCCCCTGGTTCTTTTCCCACAGTTATCAGCATCATAGGACACCTGTGAGCTAGATGCCTGTATAATCCTCCTGTTTATCTCTGGAGATTTCAGTGTGTGGGGGTAGTAATTACTTTTTCTCAAAAAAAAAAAATATATATATATATATATTTTTTCTTTAGACAGGATCTCACTCTGTCACTCAGTTTGGAGTGCAGTGGTGTGATCATGGCTCACTACAACCTCCAGCTTTTGGGATTGAGCGATCTTCCCACCTCAGTCTACTGTGTAGCTAGGAGCACAGGCATGTGCCACTACACCCGGCTAATTTTTTGTATTTTTGGTAGAGCAGGGTTTCGCCATGTTTCCCAGGCTGGTCTCAAACTTGTGAGCTCAAGCCATCTGCTTACCTTGGCCTCCCAAAGTGCTGGGATTACAGGCGTGAGCTACTGCTCCTGGCCAACAAATTTTTATTAAGCTCTCACTAAAGGACAGGCTCTGTGTTAGGTACTGGATTTATTAGCAAACAAAACAAAGTGGCTGCTGAGGTGCTTACCTTCTGTTTTGATGGAGGAATGGACAATAAATGCATGTCAGATGATGTTATATGCGGAAACAAAAAACAGAGCAAAATGAAAGAGTAAGGCAGATGAATAAAGTGGTGGTGGGGAAGACAGGGCTTCCTCTCAGGAGATGAGAGCTTCTCCTCTTCACCACTCCAGTAAATCTTGTCTGTCAAAAGTGACCTGGTGATGATAAAAACCAGCAAATCTCTCTTCATTTGACCTGATTTCTCTTATGGTACTTGATAATTCTCTATTTCTCTCTCTGTCTCTCTCTCATGATGAGATGGACAAAGGGAGGTTTTTAAAAGGCCAGTGGGACTGTCTCTATCTCTCTTATCTTGACTGAGACTGTCTCTGTCTCTCTTATTCTGAAACCGTCTCCTCTCTTGACTGCTAGTAAATCCATATTTTTTACTAGCAGTCTACTCTGACACCACCAACCTGCCGTGGATCCAGTTATTTTGCCAAATTTTAAAATGTAGGCATTTCAGAAGATTTTGTCTTGACTCTTTCAGTTTGTTTTTGTTTTTTTTTTTTTTTTAACCATACTTTGTCTCCAAACCTGACCTGTACCGAAACTAAATGGATTTTCCATGACTCTCCCAACATTCACCACCATATACAAATGCACACACATGGGCTTCCACCTATATTCTTTATTTTTGGTTAGTGGAATCTAGACACCCCAGTAAAAAAAAATGGAATTTTCCAATTTTCCCTCTCTTATATTTCCACATTTTGTAAATTACCAAGACACATTCATTCTATTTCCCAAATCCTCTTTAACTCCACTTTTCTCTCTAGCCTAGTCCTAGCCCTTATTGTTTTCCACCAGGTCTGTTGTGTTCATGTGATAACTGATGTCCCAGTGTCTGCTCTGGTCACTTGTTGTCTACCCTTGGTGCTGCCACCAATTACCTAACGTATGCTTCTAACCATTTTAGCACCTTGGCTACCCAGCTACCCTTGACCTCTGCATCACCAGATACAGCCCAGAGTCCTCCCTCCCCCCACGTGGCCCCCACTCTTATAGTGAATGTCCCTGCTAGTATGAAAGTCCTTGTATTTCCCTCAAATGGCCTTGCAGTGTTATTCTTTTGTGCTTTATTGCTGTTGTTCTTTTATTTTCTTTTTCTTGAAGTATCCTTTTTTTTCTCTCTTTCCTTCTCACACAGCTCATGGGTTATTCAAAACATGGGTCCCTTGTCTCTGCCCTGTGCTCCTCTCCTCTCTTACTCTGGCCCCCCAGCAGAGTTAATAACTTCTTTTCTTTTGCCTTTTCTCCCTCTGTGTGGGTTTCCATTGCTGCTGTCGCCCTATTATATTTGCATGTGTATCCTGTCTCTCTCAGGTGCTGTGACTGATTGAGGGCAAGGTCTTTGGTTCATTTCTCATTGTGCCCCCAACACTTAGCAGAATCCCTGAAATGTTGTTGACACTAAATGTTGATTACATTACATCTAATTGGATTGAGTATGGCTTCAGGTATGGTTTTGTAGGGGAAATGAGTTCAAAAATGTAAGTTTCTTGGTGTCCTTGTTTCAAAAATGTGATTTGGTTACTTGGTGGAATCTAGCTCTGACTCTGTTAGGCAGAAGAACTTGGAAAATACAAAATGTCTGCCAACTTAGCATATTAGAAATTAAGCAATTAAAGGGTTTTCTGATGTCCCTCCTAAGATATTCATACTTCACTTATATCTTGCTGGTCAAACTATACATACATTACTAAATTTCTCAAAGGTGGTTGTTTTGACTTAGAATATTTTCCTATAGGGACAATCTTGCAGCTCTTCAGTATTTTTGTATCAGTTAGAGTGCACTGTGAAGACAGAGAACACACAATAATTGAACAGGGAACGCTTAATATAAACAATAACAAATTGGTTAGTATGGGTAAAGAAAACTCTAAAGAATATAGGAGTAGCAGAAATAAGGAGCAGAGTACCCAAAGAGGCACCCCCTCCCCCAGGGCTGGGATCCAGACCTCACTGGAGTAGGTGTGTCTTACTGCATGGCAGAGTAGTTCACCGAAGTGTTGCAGGGAGACTTGCAGGGGATTGGCCTTCTGGGGTTCTAGGGGGAAGCTGTCCACAGTGGGGTGCCACACTGCAGAACTCACTGGGAATCTGCCAGTGGGAATGGTACATTGGGAGACCATTCTCAGGGGTCTGGAGAAAAGCTGCCCACGGGTTGCTGCCACATGCCTTCAGGTAAGAAGAGAACCAGGAAGAAGAGCCCTTTTTCTTCCAGTGTACGTCCTCCGGCAGCCTCTACCGATGTTGCTTAAAATTGTGTTAGCTGGCTGGGCGTGGTGACTCATACCTGTAATCCCAGCACTTTGGGAGGCTGAGGTGGGTGAATCATGAGGTCAGGAGTTTGAGACCAGCCTGGCCAACATGGTGAAACCCTGTCTCTACTAAAAATATAAAAATTAGCCGGCCATGGTGGCACGTGCCAGTAGTCCCAGCTACTCAGGAGGCTGAGGCAGCAGAATTGCCTGAACCTGGGAAGTGGAGTTTGCAGTGAACCGACATGGTGCCATTGCACTCCAGCCTGGGTGACAGAGCAAGACTCCATCTCAAAAAAAAAAAAAAAGTGTTAGCAGACACAGGTAGGGCAATGGAAAGGTGGAAATGGAGCTGAAAAGCAACAGACTGACAGCTGGCAGAGTCCATCCTTTTAACTACTGAGCTTCCCTGAGTTCCACCTTGAGATACAACTTTTGCAGAAATTAGGGTACAGATAGACCAAAATTGTGTGTATATAATGTAATATATAAGGTCATATGTGTAAATACTTCTAATATTTGTGAATATAATTTTAAATTGCATATAAATACTTATGCAGGTTATAAATATACAATTTATGTATGTTAAATGTCACTGCTCAATGAGTGATTAGATGAGGTTGAGAAGGGAGGTAGAGACACATCTGAGTTCTGAAGTAGCTCTTGTCATTCTTAGACAAAACATATTGTTAAACATCTCAATTTCATTGTCTTTGATACATGAATATTTAAAGCACTATGCATATACCTGTCACTTAAGAATTAATTTGTGTTGCCTTAAAAACATAAAAAATAAGACAGGGAGACTTTCCAATAGTAAGTAATTGAGCCAGAGCTGGTAAAGAGAGAGGAAGCATTTTGGGAATGTGTTACACATGCAGAGGATCCCTGACTCATGACAGTTCTGCTTATGATTTTTCAACTTTACAATGGTACAAAAGTGATATAACTCAGTGGAAACCATATTTTGACTGCCTATACAGCCGTCCTGCTTTTCATACTCAGTATAATATTTGACAAATTACATGAGATGTTCAACACTTTATCATAAAGTAAGCTTTGCATTAGATGATTTTGCCCAACTGCAGGCTAATGTAAGTGTTTTGAGCATGTTTCAGGTAAGTTAGGTGTATTAAATGCATTTTTGACATGATATTTTTAACTTATGACAGGCTTATTAGGACATAACCTCATTGTAGTTTGAGGAGCATCTTATTTGACAATGCAGAATTTACTACCAGTGTTTCAGTACGGAAGTCTGTCAGCCGAAATATTTGAGCTCCAGGAATCTTCTTGCCATTGAGTAAAGATAGGAAACAAGAAAAACAGTTTGTGTGAGTGACCTTAAGAGGGAGAACTAAAGTGGTGGGAAAAGGCTTGGGGTCAGGTGGTTGAGCATGCCAGCCCCAGTGGTTCAAGTGAGTCCACTTTGACTGTATCAAGCAGGTGTGCTGCTTGCCCACATGCAGACAGGCGTGGAAGTGTGGTGCAAGTAGTATGATCATAACTTGGGAGTACTTCACTATAATGAGTCAGTTCTTAGGGTAAAAGTTGAGGCCAGGTGTGGTGGCTCATGCCTGTAATCCTAGCACTTTGGGAGTCCAAGGCAGGAGGATTGCCTGAGCCTAGGAGTTTGAGACCAGCCTGAGTCATATAAATGAGACCCCATATCTACAAAAAAAAAAAAAAAAAATACAAAAACTAGCCCAGGCATGATGGTGTGTGTTTGCAGGTCCCAGCTACTTGGGAGGCTGAGGTGGGAGGATTGCTTGAGCCTGGGATGTCAAGGCTGCAGTGAGCTGTGATTGTGTCACTGGGCTCCAGCCTGGGCCACAGAGTGAGACCCTGTTTCAAAAAAAAGAAAAAAAAGTTGACTTGAATTTTTGTTCTGTAAGCTCAATAACAGCATATAATTTATGGAGGTTCTATTAAATTGTCCTGCAGGCTTTTCTGGGAGAGTCTTTTGACATCATAGAAAGAATAAAGCAAGAATAAAAGCAGTCTTATATGGCTTATGGAGGATTCTTAGGAATATTGACAGCATAACAGAAGTTTAATGAATCTTAACTGATACTTAGATACATAACTTAGCAGAACAGAGAGATTTAAGGCCAAATCTCTGGTGTCTCTTCCCAAATATGACCTTATTACTGTACTTATTTTTACCCAACCCTTGCTACCTGTCTCATGAACATCTTACTCTATGGTTGTCTCTATTGTTGTTTTTATTTTATTTTATTTTCCAGTAGTAATGGACAATTAGAAGTCCCTTAGAGGTATTGCTTTCCAAGCCTCCATTCTTTCTAGTTATGATAAGTGTGTGAGAAGTTGCAGAGGTGGTAAAATCAGGGATGGGGACAGGTATATTCTAGCCCCCCAGCTGTTGGGCAATTTTGAGTAAAAATTACATATGATGAATATTGACTTGGATATTAGACTTACCCTACTGTTGATCTTCAAGTCCACACTCAAATAATACATGATTCTTTCCCTGCTGAAAAACCAGCTAGAACTCTCAGACACAGGTATGGATGTTGGGTTCATATCTCCAGTTGTTTTCCTAATCATCTTTTTTTTTTTTTTTTTTTTTGCTTATAAACAATGGTCATTTATTTCTTACAGTTCTGGAGGCTTGGGAAGTCCAAAATCAGGGTGTTAGCCAATTTGGTGTCTGTGAGGACCTGCTTCCTGATTCACAGACAGCTGTCCTTTCACTCTGAACACATGTGGTGGAAGGCATGAGAGAGTTCTGGAGTCTGTGTATAAGAGCACGAATCACATTCATAAGGACATCACTCTAAAGGATTTCGTTGTAGAGGTGGGAGACATACAGGTCAAAGTAAACCATCTTACTGGTATTTTTTACTGTATACTGTGTCTCCTACACATTTTAAAATTTTAGAGAGATTTGGGGCCAACATTATGACATTAGTTACCATGTATTATAAAACATTTTGAATCATTGTGGAGTATTTGGCTGAAATATTTGTAGAAACTCTGGCTGGATTGCTGAAAGCAAGTGGTGTTAGCATCTACACCTAATTGTAATTGTTTTTTGTTTTGTTTTGTTTTGTTTTGTTTTCAGGTTTTTCTAAAGAGTGACCGAGTGGCCAGAATGGTACAGAGTGGAGGGTGTTCTGCTAATGACTTCAGAGAAGTATTTAAGAAAAACATAGAAAAACGTGTGCGGAGTTTGCCAGAAATAGATGGCTTGAGCAAAGAGACAGTGTTGAGCTCATGGATAGCCAAATATGATGCCATTTACAGAGGTGAAGAGGACTTGTGCAAACAGCCAAATAGAATGGCCCTAAGTGCAGTGTCTGAACTTATTCTGAGCAAGGAACAACTCTATGAAATGTTTCAGCAGATTCTGGGTATTAAAAAACTGGAACACCAGCTCCTTTATAATGCATGTCAGGTAAGTGGTCTCTGATATTTTCCCTTCCCCTGTCTGACTCGTGGAATGAACATGAAGTATTTACAAGCCTATGAAGATGTCCTTTACTTGCTATAATCACTTTACTTGGAAAGTTGAGCAAAATTGAATTTGAATAGATCACATAGTGATATTTGAGAGAAGTTTTGAAAAAAGTATTTGGTAGAAGGAGAAGAATATCAGTACTTCTTATCCAGTAAGTAATCATCCCCATGTGTCCTACTGTAGGACATTAGATTTGTGCCTATTAGGTATTAATGGGCCATGCCATGTAGAGTAAAAGGAAAATCATCTCCTATCTGAAGAAGCTTGGCAAATTATAATAAATAGGTATTTCTCACTGCAAAATAATATTTTATAAAGATATGATGCTGGTCTTCTGAGTTGTATGGAAGTAATTAAATTTCAAATTTTTTTATTTAACTCATCCAGATTGAAATAAATTGAGGATGATAGTTGAACTATGTAATTTAAAGAGATGACAGAGTGAATATTATATTTTCTCTTCAGTTGTTATTCTAGTTATACATACAAAAATGGGATAAAGGCCAGGCATGGTGGCTCACGCCTGTAACCCAATGCTTTGGGAGGCTGAGGCGGGCAGATAGTGAGGTCAGGAGATTGAGACCATCGTGGGCAACATGGTGAAACCTGGTTTCTACTAAAAATAGAAAAATTAGCTGGGCGTGGTGGTGCATGCCTGTAGTCCCAGCTACTCAGGAGGCTGAGGCAGGAGAATTGCTTGAACCTGGGAGGCGGAGGTTGCAGTGAGCTGAGATCGTGCCACTGCACTCCAGCCTGGTGACAAAGTAAGACTCGTCTTAAAAAAAAAAAAAAAAAAAAGCAGGGAAGGAGGTATAAAATCATGTTTCACATTTTTCATTTTTTAGACCCAATGATTTGTCTAATAATGTAGTCCTTCTATATTTGCATTTTGTTTGTTTATGTTGAGGGTATAAATTATTTAACTATGCCCTAATATAAAACTTAAATTGATAAAATTCTGACACTTAAAAATTTTTGTGTTACCTTAAGAGTTACACTTCTATAATATACATGTTTGTTTTTAATCTTTTTGCAAATCTTCTCTGAATTTCTGTGTTATATCCATATTGGTTACTTTGCATTGGTAATTTGTGGATCATTTCAAGTCAACAAATTAATAGAGTTAATAGTAAATCACTGAGGCACTTTAACCCTGTGAACAATTTGTGTACTCACTGTAATTGATTTCATTGTTTTATTAAACCAGGTAGTTATTTGATAATAGTGGAAGAAGACTATAAAACCAAAATCTTCTATTTGAAAGATAACTTCAACTGGAACTTTGTATTTTTAGTGAAACAGTAGCTCACTTGTACAAATAAATGTTGATTAACATAATTTAGTGGGAAAACTCAGATTCAGACATTCAGTAGATATTTGTTGAGCTTTATTCAAGTCCAAAACCTCTGTAGGTATTAGGGAATCCAAGTTGAGCGAAAAAACATATTTTTTCCTCTGTAGTGGCTAAAGTCTATATAAGATAAGACTTGATAAGTCCAAGAAAAGTCATTTATTTGCAGCTTGCCCAGCTTTTTATTCTGAGGATGGGAGTGATGACTTTCAAGCTCTTTATATGTCTCAGTTAAAGCTATAATTCCTTTCAGTTCTGAGATTTGAAAGAAAAGCTTATGGATTATTTTTTATTGATTTTAAAACACAAAGATATTATAAGACCTCTAAATGAGTTATTACATATGGATTAGAATATACTAGATGTTACAAGGTTATAAAATATATTTCCATGTTCCTATGAGTTTATGTTATTAACTTAAAATATGTTTAAGTTGTCTGCCTACTAGAGAATCAGCTGGACTGTGGGCACCCTGGTTTTAGTCTTCTGTGATTTGAAACCTACTTGCAATTCAGATCTCCAACTGTAGCAGTGGCTTTGTCCTTGCTCAGAGTTGGCCTGAACAACAATAAAAAATAGCAGTTTTGTTTATTTGTCCTTTCAGTTCTATCAGTATTTGTCTCATATATTTTGATACTCTATTAGGTACATATATTTGTAGTAGGATTGTTATGTTTTATTGTAGAATTGACTCCTTTATCGTGATGTAGTATTCCTTTTTATCCCTGATTATTTTCCTTTTTCTGAAATCTACATTGTCTTAAGCTAATACAGCCACTCCAGCTTTCTTTTTATTAAGGTTAACATGGTATCTCTTTCTCCATCTGTTTACTTTTAACATAAGTCTTTATTTTTAAAGTGGATGTTTTGTAGACAGTGTGCAATTGGGTCTTGAAGTTTTTCTTTTTTTTCCGAGACGAAGTCTTCCTCTGTTGTCCAGGCTGGAGGGCAGTGGTGTGATCTCAACTTACTGCAACCTCCACCTCCCGGGTTCAGGTGATTCTTCTGCCTCAGCCTCCCAAGTAGCTGGGATTACAGGCACCACACCACCATGCCTGGCTAATTTTTGTATTTTTAGTAGAGATGGGGTTTCACCATGTTGGCAGGGATGGTCTCGATCTCCTGACCTCATGATCCGCCCGCCTCGGCCTCCCAAAGTGCTGGGATTACAGGTGTGAGCCACAGCGCTTGGCCCAAGTTTTCTTTTTTTTTTTTTAAATCCAGACTGATCATCTTGGTCTTTTAATGGGTATGTTTAGGCCATTCATATTTAAGGTGATTACTAATGTAGTTGGATTAAATTTTAAAATCTTTGTAGCTTTTACCACTTGATGCATTTGTTCTTTGCCCTCCCCTAGTTTTTGTGCCTTCTGTAATTTTGATTGAACACTTTATATGAATTCCATTTTGTGTCTTTTGGTGTACTGCTTATACATTTTTTTAAAAAACGAAACAAAATTTTGGTGATTCTCCTAGAGTTTAAAATACATATTTTTAAATAATCTAAGCCTACCATCAGATAACACTATACTATAAGGCTTCATGTGTACTGCAGCTACTCCATAATAGAGTATATCCAATTCCTTCCTCGCATCCCTTGTGGCATTGCTGTCATTCACTTCATTTATAATATGCTATAACCCCCAATATATTCTTTCTATTATTGCTTTGAACAGTTATCTTTTAGCTCAATTAAAAATAAGAAAAATAAAAGATTATATGTATTTTACCTTCATTTATTCCTCCTCTGATGCTCTTTCATTTCTTTATGTAGATTCAAATTTCTTACTGATATTATTTTCCTTATCTCTGAAGAACTTTTATCATGTCTTGTAGGCCAAGACTAGTGGTGATGCAGTCTCTCAGTTTTTGTTTGAGAAAGTCCTTGTTTCTTCTTTGCATTTAAAGTATAATTTCACTGGATATAGAATTATCTGTTA
This sequence comes from Homo sapiens, assembly GCF_000001405.40. Classification (NCBI taxonomy): domain Eukaryota; kingdom Metazoa; phylum Chordata; class Mammalia; order Primates; family Hominidae; genus Homo; species Homo sapiens. Next base: position 122,659,882 of record NC_000007.14, on the reverse strand, counting down.
GATTTTTTTTTCTCTTTCAGCGCTCTGAAAATTTCACCACACTGTCTTTTTGTTTGCATGATTTCTGATGAGTTTAATGTAGTTCTTATCCTTTACTCTTTAGAGGTAAGGTGTTATTTTCCCCCTTATGGCTTCCTTCAAGAGTTTTTCCTTCTTTCATTTTTCTGCAATTCGAATATGCTGTGTCTAGGGGTGTGTGTGCTTGTGTGTATTTCTTTTGCTTGGTGTTTTTCTGAGCTTCCTGTATCTGTGGGTCAGTGTCTATTATTAATTTTGGAAAGTTCACTGCTGTTATTACTTCAAATATTCCTTCTGTCCTATCCCCTCTTTATTCTTTTTCTGGTATTCTAGATATGTTTATGTCACCCATGTTTCTGTTACCCATGTTATCCCACAGTCCTGGGATGTCCGTTCTGTTTGTTCAACTCTTTTTCTCTTTGTATTTCAGTTTGGGAAGTTTTTATTGACATGTCTTCAAGCTCACTGATTCTTTCCTCAGCAATGTCAAATCCACTAATGAGCCTATCAAAGGCATTCTTCATTTTTTTCCACGGTGTTTTTTTTTTTTTTTTATGTCTAGCATTTCCTTTTGATTTTTTGGTAGTTTCCGTCTCCTGCTTTTATTATGCATTGTTTTTGCATGTTTTCAACTTTTTACATTAGGGCCCTTAGCCTATTAATAATAGTAATCTAAATTCCTTGTTTGATAATTCTAACATCTGTCTCGTATCTGAATCTAGTTCAGATGCTTGCTTTATCTCTCCAGATTGTGTTTCTTTTGGTTTTGTGCTTTTGACATGCTTCATAATTTTTTGTTGTAAGCCAGATATATTAGGTAATGAGAACTGAGAACTGAGGTAACTAAGGCTTTCATATAAATATTTATGTTAATCTGAGTAGGAGTTGAGCTGTGCTTAATGTTTAGTGTTTCTTGTAGCCATAAGTACGAGAAACTTTTTTTTTTACATATTATTAAATCTCCTTATTTTTAATTTTTTTATTATACTTTAAGTTCTAGGGTACATGTGCACAACGTGCAGGTTAGTTACATATGTATACATGTGCCATGTTGGTGTGCTGCACCCATTAACTCATCATTTACATTAGGTATATCTCCTAATGCTATCCCCTCCCCACTCGTCCACACCACAAAGGGCCCAGTGTGTTTCGTTCCCCTTCCTGTGTCCACGTGTTCTCATTGTTCAATTCCCACCTATGAGTGAGAACATGTGGTGTTTGGTTTTCTGTCCTTGCGATAGTTTGCTGAGAATGATGGTTTCCAGCTTCATCCATGTCCCTACAAAGGACATTAACTCATCCTTTTTTACGGCTGCATAGTATTTCCATGGTGTATATGTGCCACATTTTCTTAATCCAGTCTATCATTGACATTTGGGTTGGTTCCAAGTCTTTGCTATTGTGAATAGTGCCTCAATAAACATACTGTGCCTGTATCTTTATAGCAGCATGATTTCTAATCCTTTGGGTATATACCCAGTAATGGGATGGCTGGTCGAATGGTATTTCTAGTTCTAGATCCTTGAGGAATTGCCACACTGTCTTTCACAGTGGTTGAACTAGTTTACAGTCCCACCAACAGTGTAAAAGTGTTCCTATTTCTCCACATCCTCTCCAGCACCTGTTGTTTCCTGACTTTTTAATGATTGCCATTCTAACTGGTGTGAGATGGTATCTCATTGTGGTTTTGATTTGCATTTCTCTGATGGCCAGTGATGATGAGCATTTTTTCATATGTCTGTTGGCTGCATAAATGTCTTCTTTTGAGAAGTGTCTGTTCATATCCTTTGCCCACTTTTTGATGGGGTTGTTTGTTTTTTTCTTGTAAATTTGTTTGAGTTCTTTGTAGATTCTGGATATTAGCCCTTTATCAGATGAGTAGATTGCAAAAATTTTCTCCCATTCTGTAGGTTGCCTGTTCACTCTGATGGCAGCTTCTGTAATGGGCAAAAAGTGTAAGCATTCCCTTTGAAAACTGGCACAAGACAGGGATGCCCTCTCTCACCACTCCTATTCAACATAGTGTTGGAAGTTCTGGCCAGGGCAATCAGGCAGGAGAAAGAAAGAAAGGGTATTCAATTAGGAAAAGAGGAAGTCAAATTGTCCCTGTTTGCAGATGACATGATTGTATATTTAGAAAACCCCATCATCTCAGCCCCAAATCTCCTTAAGCTGATAAACAATTTCAGCAAAATCTCAGGATACAAAATCAATGTGCAAAAATCACAAGCATTCTTATACACCAATAACAGACAAACAGAGAGCCAAATCACAAATGAACTCCTATTCACAATTGCTTCAAAGAGAACAAAATACCTAGGAATCCAACTTACAAGGGATGTGAAGGACCTCTTCAAGGAGAACTACAAACCACTGCTCAACGAAATAAAAAGAGGACACAAACAAATGGAAGAACATTCCATGCTCATGGATAGAAGAATCAATATCGTGAAAATGGCCATAATGCCCAAGGTAATTTATAGATTCAATGCCATCCCCATCAAGCTACCAATGACTTTCTTCACAGAATCGGAAAGCACTACTTTAAAGTTCATATGGAACCAAAAAAGAGCCTGCATTGCCAAGACAATCCTAAGCCAAAAGAACAAAGCTGGAGGCATCACGCTACCTGATTTCAAACTATACTACAAGGCTACAGTAACCAAAACAGCATGGTACTGGTACCAAAACAGAGATATAGACCTATGGAACAGAGCAGAGTCCTCAGAAATAATACCACACATAAACAACCATCTGATCTTTGACAAACCTGACAAAAACAAGAAATGGGGAAAGGATTCCCTATTTAATAAATGGTGCTGGGAAAACTGGCTAGCCATATGTAGAAAGCTGAAACTGGATCCCTTCCTTACACCTTATACAAAAATTAATTCCAGATGGATTAAAGACTTAAGTGTTAGACCTAAAACCATAAAAACCCTAGAAGAAAACCTAGGCAATACCATTCAGGACATAGGCATGGGCAAGGACTTCATGTCTAAAACACCAGAAGCAATGGCGTCAAAAGCCAAAATTGACAAATGGGATCTAATTAAACTAAAGATCTTCTGCACAGCAAAAGAGAAACTTCAGCTTCCTCCAGTATCCTTGTTTTTGTCTCCCCTTTTGACTGGGCTTCCCTAAGGACTCTGCCCCAGGGAAAGTCTACATCCTGCAGCTCTTTTAGCTGTCACCAATCCACTCTTGTCATCCTAGAGCTGTGTTGGTATTGTGGTAAAGTGTTGGAGAGATGGAGTGTCCTCTAATCTGATTAAATCTCAGTCTTTTAGTGGACCTGTAACCTTCATAAGTGTTTCTGTCCCTGGTCTAGGAGGATTGCTCCCTCCTACTACCATATTCTTCATTCTCTTCCCTGGATGCAGCTTCCCAGTCTCTTTTTTTGAAGTCCTGTCTCCTGTTCTCTCTGTTTTTTGTTTTTGCTTTTCAGTACGTGAGTCAAGAGGGCTGGAGTGGGGTGGTATTCTCTTCTTCCACCTGGGATAAGTTTTCAGTGTTTCCCTCAGGCAAAACCTTTCTGCTTTTGCTAGAGAGAAGGATCTGGGAGATTGAACAATGGCTTTCTCCCCCTTTTTTCTGCCATGGCCATACAGGGATCTTTTTTGGATCCTCACTATTAGAACTTTGTGGGGTAACTGAAAGGAAAGTCCAGCAAAGTTTGGGAGCCTCTTTATGATTGTGGCTCCAGGAATTTCTTACTCTCTGCACCCAGCTTATAGTAATTTTTCAAAATTACTAGACAAGTAAATATTCCTACCACTCATGGCATACAGCAGCTTCTGCTCCAAGTGCTGTGTCTTTCTGGATTTGCCCATCTTTCTAGATTTTGGTTAGTGGTTTCCCCTGCACACTCAGTTCTCTGAGAAGTCCAAGAAAAGTCAATGATTTGCAGCTTGCCCAACTTTTTATTCTGAGGATGGGAGTGATGACTTCCAAGCTCTTTATATGTCTGAACTAAAACTATAGTTTCTTTCAGTTCTGAGATTTGAAAGAAAAGCTTGAGGATTATTTTTGATTGATTTTAAAACAAAAAGAAATTATAAAGAGTACCCCTGTAAATAAGGACATATAATAATAATTATTTTACAGAAATTATGAAAATAAATTGTTTAGAAAGCAACCAAGACACTTTTTTTTTCCTGAATGCTATGCAAGCATACCTTGGAGATATTGTGGGTCCAGTTCCAGACCACTGCCACAAAGTGAATATTGCAATAAAGCAGGTCACACAATTTTTTTTTATTTCACACTGCATATAAAATTTATGTTTTACTGTACTGTGGTCTATTAGGGGTATAATAGAATTATGTTTAAAAAATAACCTATGTATCTTAATTTAAAAATACTTTCTTGTTTTAAAAAATGCTACCAAGCATTTGAGCCTTCAGCAAGTCATAATCTTTTTGCTGGTAGAGGGTCTCGCCTTGATGTGGATGGCTGCTTAATGACTAGGTTGGCTATATTAGTTTCTTTAAATAAGACAACAATGAAATTTGCATAGCGATTCACTCTTCTTTTCACAAAAGATTTCTGAATAGTATGTGATACTGTTTGATAGTATTTTACCCACAGAAGAACATTTTTCAAAATTGGAATTAGTCCTCTCATACCCTGCCACTGCTTTATCAGCTACGTTTATATAAATATTCTAAATCCTTTATCATTTCAACAGTGTTCACAGCATCTTCACTAGGATTAGATTTCACTTCAAGACACAACTTTCTTTGTTCGTCCATAAGAAGCAATACCTCATCCATTCAAGTTTTATCATGAGACTTCAGCAATTTAGTCACATCTTTAGGCTCCACTTCTGTTTCTAATTCTTTTGCTATTTCTAGAACATCTCCAGTTACTTCCTTTACTGAAGTCTTGAATCCCTCAAAGTCGTCTGTGAGGATTGGAATCAACTTCTTCCAAATGCCTGTTCATGTTGACATTTTAACTTCCTCCCTTGAATCACAAGTGTGTTAATGGCATCTAGAATGGTGATCCTTTCCAGAAAGTTTTCCATTTACTTTGCTCTAATCCATCACTATCTGTGGTAGCTATAGCTTTACAAACTGTATTTCTTAAATAATAAGACTCGAAAGTCAAAATTCCTTCTTGGTTAATGAGCTGCAGAATGGATCTTATGTTAGCAGGCATGAAATCAATGTGAATCTTCTTGTACATCTCTATCAGAACCCTTGGGTTACTAAGTGCATTGTCAATGAGCAATACTATTTTGAAAGGAATCTTTATTTTCTTAGAAGTCTCAATATTCAGTATACCATGCTGGAAACATATGTGCTGTCATCCAGGCTTTGTTGTTCCATTTATGGAGCACTAGCAAAGTAGATTTAGCATGATTCTTCAAATCCCTCATGTTTTCAGAATAGTAAGTGAGCATTAGCTTCAACCTAAACTCACCAGCTTCATTAGCCACTAACAAGAGAGTCAGCCTGTCCTTTGCAGCTTTGAAACCAGGCATTGACTTCTTCTCAGTAGCTATGAAAACCCTAGATGGCATCTTCTGACACAAAGCTGTTTCATCTACATTAAAATATGTTGTTTAGTGTAGTCACTTTCATCAATGATCTTAGCTAGATCTTCTGGATAACTTACTGCAGCTTCTACATCAGCACTTGCTGCTTCACCTTGCATTTCCATGTTATGGAGATGGCTTATTGCCTTTTTCCTCATGAACCAACTTCTCCTAGCTTCAAACTTTTCTTCTACACCTTCCTTACCTTTCTCATAGCCTTCAATTTGGCTGTTTGGTGCAAGAGGCCTAGCATTTGACCCGTCTCTTCTTATGACATGCCTTTCTAAGCTTAATCCTTTCTAGCTTTTGACTTAAAATGAGAGATATGCGACTCTTCATTTCACTTGAACACTTACAAGCCATTATTGGGTTATTAATTGGCCTATTTTCAATGTTAGTGTGTTTTAGGGAATAGGCAGGGCTGAGCGGAGGGAAAGAAATGAGGAAGTGGCTGGTCTGTCAGAACACACATAACATTTATTGAATGAATTTGTTGTCTCGTATGGGAGCAGTTCATGGTGCCTCAAAACAGTTCCAATAGTGACATCAAAGATCACGGATCACAGATCACCTTAACAGATATAATAACAATGAAAGAGTTTGAAATGTTGTGAGAATTATCAAAATGAGACACAGAAGTGAGCACATGCTGTTGGAAAAATAGCACCTATAGACTTGCTTGACTCAGGATTGCCACAGACCTTCAATGTGTAAAAAAACCATAATATCTGCAAAGTGCAATAAAGAGAAACTCAATAAAATGATGTACGCCTGTATATTTTTTCTTTTGTTATATTCCAACAAAGGTTAAAAAGAAAAGATAAGGCAAAGCAATAGAAATCACAGAAACTAGCCTGTTCTTTATAGAAAGGAATAGCCTGAGAAGAGAAATAGAAGAGCAGGCCTTGGGGAGGCAGGTAGGATCTAAAGCCAATGGAGCTGCTGGAACCTGGCTCAGGTGTATGTCTGTGAGATTTACCCCACCTTCTCCATGTTTCAGGAAAAGCTTTGAGACTTCTCCTAACTGTAACAGTGTCACTTCTGTATGTGTTTACCCTTGTGTGGCCCCTTGTTTTTGGCAGCACAAATCTAGAAAATCTCAAAGATGTTGCTTGCTTAAGAGTCAGAAGCTCAGGATCGAGGGCTGTTCTGGTGAAATGTGCAGGATGGCAGCAGCCAGGCAATCTCTGGCAACTCAAGAAGGAAAGGACACGAATGGGAAGGGAGCCTTGCCAGGGCTGCCACATGACATCGATGGCCATCGTTTGGTAATATCCTTTGTTCCAGAGCTTCAGGATTAGCATCAGGAGTGGAAAAACAGGAAACTCTCTTCTGAAAAAGGCTATTTACATTACTTTGAGTCAGAGCCAGTAACATATTAATTATCAACATTAAGGCATGAAGGAAACTTTTAAAACACTAAGATAGAAGATAGCACATACCATAGTTAAGATATGAAATTAGGGATAATAGAAAGACAAATTGTTATTGTTATCAAGAAAACATAAAAAAGAATAAAAACAATGTAAGTAGCACCTAGATTAGCTATTGTGCTAATAAAATTTCATACTTTGGATTCTTTGATTTGAGAACAATGTATCTGCAGTGGTGCGCATTCATAGAACAAAATATTAAGAAAAAAGTAAAGATCAACATGTACAGTCTAAAATGAGTGGCATAACAGTACAAGAATCTGAAATTGTTAGCTGTGATTTAATTGAATCAGGATATTATAAAAAGGAACAGGAGTGAAGGAAGAATAATCTGTCAGTGGAAAGTTTAATTTTGGAATATTTTAAGGAAATGCAGTTAATTTCAAATATATATATTCTTTTAGAGAAACAATGTTATATAATATTAAAACTGTATATTTGATAGTCTTAGAATAATTTTATTTCACTTTTTTAAATGAAAATGCTGTTACTTAAGTGGTACCAGTTAATCAACTGCCTTTCCTAAAACAAATGTGTTTATGAAAAGTTATTTTTAAATAAGACATAAGGTAATGCAGTATGTTCAAATTAATTAGTTAACCCATTATCTATAATCATGCAGAGCATATATATATATGTAGAGAGAGAGAGAGAGTTTTCACTAGGCATTGTGTTAAATAATAGGAACCTAGAGACAGATAAAACCTAGATTTTTGCAAGGTTTATAGAAAAAAATGCTGTTGTAAATGCTATAGTGGTGTGGTTAATCTCTGGTTCTGGATACATCATGAAGAGGTTCTCCAAAATGAGTAGATGCTAAGGTGTTCTGGGCAGAGGGACAGGCACATGCAAAGAATGCAGGCATGAAATGCATGGCTTTTTGGGGAACTTCACATCGTTGACTACTGGAGTATGAGCAGGAGATGGGGCTGTATTTGAGATATTAACAGAGGTAGGTAAGCACCTTATGGACTATAGAGAGGCATGTAATCCTAAATGAACAGAGTCTGAAGAGTGGGATACATAGTACCATATCTACTCCTATAATTTTCCTTTAACTTCTATATTTGTCTCTTAAAATGATTAAGTAACTAAATTTTATAGCTATCTAGACCCTGCTCTTTTCTGCCAAAAGCAGCTTTCATTAATCTTTTATAATCTCATTCCATTAACTGAAGAAAGCGACTCACCCAGATTTACCCGAGTGTCAAAGCAAAGTTAACTGAGATCTTGTTCACTTATCCCTCCTCCCACTCAAATTCTTCATGTCTGAAGACTACACCACCCATGTTAAGTAACATCACAGAACTGTTTGGGTATTTGTAAGGGATAAGCAGAAATATTTGTGAATGGTTAAAAAGTAGGCTTCAAGTTTATGATTTCTTTTCCCTAGAAGTTTTTGCTTTGGAGATTAAGTGCTTTGAGTCTAAGAGTTTAAAGAAATCAATAAATAGGCAGTTGCTGTGGTCACCGTGGGTGTCTTCCCCTAGAAGTCCAGGAGCCATGAGGCATTAACCATTTTGGACATCTTCATTCAACATGTGCAGAAAGAAAACAGGGAGAGAAATGTGAATCCCCAAAGGAAACTGGAGACTGACTTCCACCACTGTCTTCTTTTTTTTTTTTTTTCCAACTAGTAGCCTGTGATTGATAATAGGTTTCATTTAACATACAGTAATGTGTCTACTTCAGCAGAAATAATAGCACATTCTACTGACAGTTACATTGGATACCTTTCAAAATGACTTTCAAAAATGACTTCAAAATAGAAAAATAAATGCCATGGTAATGAAAATTAGGGAGGAGTATATTTTTCTCATATATATATAATTTAAAATCTCAAAACATTTGAGGAGAATATTTAAGTAAATGTATTAAATGGCAGATTTGTGTTTGGGGATGCAGCAAGGGAAAAACAAGATCTTAAGAATAGTTAGATTGTTATAGAATTTTTGAAATTCTGAAATTAATCATTGGAGTGGCCATAATATTTATATATGTGTTAAATTTTTGGTAAATAAATGTATCATAATGTAAATTGGATGGATTTAATTTTACTAAAATGAATTTGAGTCTCTGGTAGAATTAAGTTTCCGCTCTCAAAAATTTTTAAATTGTCAGTGTAATTTTAACATATTCCTAACAAATTAAATTATAGGCTTTATTAGTGTTGCTCCATTTGGCTGTGGATTATTTTGTTTCTTACCTTTGGCTTACATGTGGAAGAGTTACATAAGAATATTCTAAAATAAGGTTTCTGCTAAAATGTTTTGTTGAATTTGTCTTTGCTTTCTCCAGCATCTCCCTAGATAATGAATATAGATTACCTTTAGACATTCCTGTATTTATTTTTAGATTTTTCTACTTTATCTAATTCTGCTCCATGGAAATTAGAAAGTTATCCCAACTTTCCACTTTTTAAAAATAAGAGAACACAGCTTTACAAAGAGATCACATCTTTGTGGTAGTAATACTAAAAAGAAAGTGTTTTTGCTGAAGTACTTCAAAGTCTATTCTCAACTACTAATAAATAAGAAAGGATTATATGGGTGTACTGTTTCAAGCATAATAAGCAACTGTATCTTTATTTTTCATGGTTGTTTAATGAAAATATTCTAACAAATTTAAAATTATATATTTGATATATATTTTTTCTTTTATTTATTCAAAAATGTTCATTGGCCGGGCGTAGTAGCTCACACCTGTAATCCCAGCACTTTGGGAGCCTGAGGTGGGTGGATCACTTGAGGTCGGGAGTTCCAGACCAGCCTGGCCAACATGGTGAAACCTGTCTCTACTAAAAATACAAAAAAATTAGCCAGGTGTGGTGGCACGCGCATGTAATCCCAGCTACTCGGGAGGCTGAGGCAGGAGAATTGCTGAACCCAAGAGGCAGAGGTTGCAGTGAGCCGAGATCACACCACTGCACTCCAGCCTGCGCTGGACAAAGTGAGACTCTCTCAAAAAAAAAAAAAAAAAAAAAAAAAAAAATCATTGAATACTTAAGAAAAATGTCAGTTACTAGGTTAAGCAGTGAAAATACATAAATGACAAGATTTGATTCCTTCCCTCAAGGCATTAATATGTGGTCAGTAGACAGATGTATAAAATTGTATAGTTTTATAAATGGTATAGATGTATAAATCATATAGATGTATGAAATGTAATGGTATAGTTGATCAGTGCATTACTGGGAGTATGTATACTGTACAGCAGGAGCACATGGGTGGCAGCATCTTCATTTATATTGGATAGTTGGCATGGATTTCTTTAGTGCTCTCCAACTTTGTATGCACATTAGAATGAATAGAAGAGCTTTAATACTTGGGCCTCACCTCAGACTAAGTGAAATGGTCTGTGGAGGTCAGGCCCAATGCCTCTTTTTTATAATTTTCCCATATAATGCTGGTGCACAGTGAGAATTGAGGACCACTGGCCTGACATCCCATCTGAGGACTTTGTCCTGTGGTCACATCTAATGTAGGGGAAGCTGGGAACAGTCTAGTTGGGTGCCAGGAAATAGAGCTGGTTTGGGAGTGTGGGAACCCAATTCTTTCTTGGACATTTAATTGAAGTTTAATAAAGGTTTTAAGAAAACAGTAATTCTGAGTTTTGGATGATGAACACAAAATTAACCATGAGGGAGAAAACAGCTTTTACAAAGGCATGAGGATCATGAAATGGATTGGAATCTGTTAGGGAGGTATGGTGTGTGTTGCTGGAGTAGCCGAAGAGGCTAAAAAGTTAGGAAATGATTTGAATATTTAGGGCCTTATATACTAGATCAAAGAGCTTGGAATTTACCTTGTGGTAGAGAACACTGTTGGGGTATAAGCAAAGGAATGACTGGAACAAATTGAGGGTCTGGAAAGCTCCTTCTCTGTGATCTGAAGAATGAATTGCAGGTAGCCTCACCCTACTGTGGGCATGGGCCAGTGTTGTTTAAAATGAACAGGAACTACATATTAGCCCTTCAGGTAATCTCTCCAAGCACTACGCATTGTTCTGCTGTAGATCTTTTGCTTGTGGGCCTGGTTTTACCTCTGTGTTGCCTATGAAGTTCTTAGGCTGCTGGACTTCATCTACGAGACTGTTTTTGCATCCTCTTGGGTCTGCACTCTGTATTGTCCTTTGGAATTCCACTGTGCTCCCACACTTGAGAACTATGGCCTGGGTCAAAACACTGAACTACCTACTCTCTAAAGGGACAAGATAAAAGTGTCGGAATTTCTGGCAGGATCTAGGGATTGTCAGTGTTTACCTGCTGGAGCTTTTATATTAAGCATAGTATGATGTGGCTTCTCTGATTAGGGTATTTTTGTTTTAACACAGTGCCCGTTCTACTCGGGCACTTTTCTAGGCTCTTGGTGTATGACGGTTCCTCTTCTTGTGAAGCAACATTATTTTGGCGGGGTGGGCAGAGGGGATCAAGGGTTCTGTTTTGTGTATGCTGAAGTCAAATATTGATTGTCCATGTCGAGATTGCAGGTGATGCCTGGTTATAGAAGTCTGGAATTTTAATCTGTTTAAATTTTAATTTTAACAGATTTGGGAATCATTTAGATAACATTAGTATTTTAAACCATGGGACATCTTCAGAACCCTTTGGGAGGGTCTAGAGCTCAAGGAGAAAAGGAGCCCAGGACAGAGTTCTGTGGACACAAGGATTTAGAGGTTGTACCAAGAGGAAAGAAACAGTGGGGTGGGAGAAGAACTAGAGAGTGAGGCATCAGGGAATCCAAGAGAAGCCATTTCAAGGAGGAGAAAGCTAATCTCTATGCCACCTGCTTACCAAGTCTGGTAAGATGACAACGAAGTAACCTTTGGATTTGTCAAGTTGGAAAACACTATTGACTTTGATAAGGGCAGACTCCTTGGATGGTTGAGAGCAAACCTTATTGAGGTGGGTTTAGAGAAGAACTAACAAGGTAAGGAAATAGTTAAGATGAAAAGCTTCAGAAAATCAGCCAGTAACAAAGAACATTATATATTCAATAAATTCCTTCTATACAGTACATTGAATCATTTATTTTAAAAAATTTATTTGACACTATATGTCAGGCTCATAGCATTAGACTTTGTTTTTAATTGTTTATTTGTTCTGATTAGCACAGCTTCTCATTTTTCATATAAAGCTTTTTTTAAAGCATTTTGAAAAGGCTGTGGCAAAAGTGTTTATGTATACTCACAAAATAGTATCAGTGATATTTAATGCGTTTTATCTGATTAATATCTTCTTGGTTCAAAATATCTTAAATTATCTTTGCTTTAAACTAGAAAAAAGTTAAATGCTTCCATTTTCCCTAATCACCTTAGATGGAGCAGGGCCAACTGATGTTATCTTAGCAGAATATTACTTATGTAATAGATGACAATGATTACTTCTAGCTTTTTGTTACAAACTGGCAGAAAGACTTCTATTATTACTATTAAATGTCTAAAACTACTTCATTGCCTACGTGCAAAGTATTTTCATGATTCTGATATATGATGAACAAGGCTTAAATCTCAGTCTATGAACAATGGTCAAAAGTTTGTGTACTCTCTGTATACATGGTCAGATATGAAGAGCAATAGGATTTGAAAAATATAGATAGGTTCACTACCTTGTAGAGTTTGAGAATTTAGAACATATTGGGATTTTGCTCTTAGTTAGATCCACTGGAAAAAAAAACTGTAGTAAAAAAGAACAAGTTCACTGCGCTTACTGTGAATACCACTGCCCCCTGCTATCCACCTTTTTTAGGTAGATCAATTCCTCGTTTCGCACTGTGTCACTTAAACCCATGGTAAACTGATGGATATGAAACTTCTGAAATTCAGTAGATTTAAATGTCACTTTCTTTTTCATCCAATACCTAGTTCTTCTATTAATGTCATATTCACCTTTCTGACTCATAATCACAAGCCCTTCCTTTTTTATTGCCTTTCCAACTGAATTACTCCATACTGCTGTTTCCTCTATAATACTACATTATCTGCTACTCTTGTCTTATTTCATAGCAATTGCCATAGCTGGAGACTTCATTATCTCACATAGGGAGCATGACAGTAATCTCTTACCTACTTTCTCCTTCTAATCCTACATACTTTTGTTTTTAGATAAACATCATTGAAGCACCTTCCTGATCTCATCATGACTGAACTTTGAATATAGGGAAAAAAATGAAATTTATACTCCTTGGTTAAGCTTTCAGCAGTTGTGGTGTTCAGTGTGGCCCCATCTGCATTTCAACTGTTCCTTCTCATGTAACGATTCTTTATAGTCTGTGTTCTAGATAAAGTGAATTACTCGCTGTTCCTAGTTCACACCATGTATTTTCTTGGATTTTAATTTTACCTCACGTTATTCTCTTCATTTGGAATTCCTACTTCTCCATTCTTCATGACCCATGAAAAATTCCACCTCCTTCAGAAAGCCTTCCTGCCCCTGTGTCTGTTCACTTTTGTTATACTGGGGGAGAGAAAAAATGTATGAAGAGCTTACAGTTTCCCCATTATAACCCAAAAGCCTGTCATATTGTACTTTGCATTGATGTTTACATATGCCTCTTTGACGGCATTTTAACAACTTAAACATCAAATAAATATTAATGCTTGTACTGTTGTACCATATGTACAGTAATGTTACTTGTGTTTCCTATTGTTGGGCACTTACATATAGTAAATGAAAGAATGAAAGATGAGGACGAGACATGGCTCTGAGGTTCAAATGAGATAATGTTTATAAAAATTTAGGACAGTTTTTGGTATGCAAGTGCTGTATAAATTGAACTCTTATTATGTTGAAACTCGAGTTCAAATCTGCTCTGGGAAAGTTTTGGAAAAGTGATAGTGTCTTTGTTACTTTACTTAATGATAAACTCCTTTAATCTCAGCATTATTCACTATTAATGTGAATACAGATTCAACTATTTTATTGAGATAAGTATAGTTAGTAAATAATTATTTTAAAATAATAGCTCATTCCTTTTTTCCAGAAGATGAAATGTTAATACCAAATGAAATACTAAAGAATATTTCATTACATGCAAAAATTTGCCACATTATTGCTGTTGTTTTATATATATACATATATATATCTTCATGTTTATATATATCTCATATATATAGCAGGGGGCAGTGATATTCACAGTAAGCACAGTGAACTTGTTCTTTATTACCGCAGTTTTTTTCCAGTGGATCTAACTAAGAGCAAAATCCCAAGATATATATATATATATATATATATCTTAGAGATATATGTATCTTAGAGTAGAGATATATGTATCTTAGTGTGTGTGTATATATATATATAATCTCTATAGCCTAGAGAATATGCATATATATTCTCTAAGTATATATATAAGTATATATATATACTTATATATATATAAGTATATATATACTTATATATATATACGCTAAATATATATACATATATACACATATATACATATGTGTGTGTATATATACATATATACACACATATACATGTGTGTATATGTACATATATACACACACATGTACATATGTGTGTATACATGTACATGTATACACACACATGTACATGTGTGTATATATGTACATGTATACACACATGTACATATGTGTATATATGTACATATGTGTGTATATATGTACATGTATACACACATGTACATGTGTGTATATATATACTTAGCGTATATATATACTTATGTATATACATATATGTGTATATATATACTTAATATATATGCATATTCTCTAGGTTATAGAAGTCCCACGGTTTTTATGTATGAGGTTAAACTTCTTATGTTCTTGCCTTTGAACATTTTGATCCATTATTTAATATAGTTTAGTTCAGTTCACATAGGGTAATTTTATATCTAATTAACTCATTCATCTTTTCCCTGTTCTAAGTTTTCAAAGGAAAATGTGATTTGGGAAATGCATTTTTAAGACCCTTATAACTGTTCTACAAGAATCCATGAAAAACTGCTATTTGTGAGTCAGATTTTTTAATGCATAATTTAGAAGGTAGCTATAAGAGAGTTCTTTAAAAGCTTTGTATCTGGCAGACAGAATGGTACCTGATTCTTTCATACATAACTTCACACAGGGAATGTGTTGCTCTTGAGAGTTTGGGAATGACTTCATTTCCTTATGTTCTTTTTGTTGTATGAAATTACAAAAAGAACATTAGTTACCTTATAGTTGTTAGCTAATTCTCAATGATTAAGAAAAAGGACCAGTTTTTATTTTTGTTTTTGAGGGGGCTGCCTCTTGGAAAATGGGTCAACACAGAGGGGATATTGGAGTCCAAGAACCTTTCAAATACAGGTGGAATTACTCTGTTTTGGAATAAAATTAACGCAAGTCGTTCACCATTAGAAGTGAATTTGTGTTATTTCTATCATTAGGGTAAGGTGAAATATATAAAGCTCATAAATACCTGAAAAGTTGCACAGTAAGACAACTATGAAGGCTGTGTCATCAGATAGTACCTGCTTTGTTGTTAAGTAATTGGTTTGTCATCTTCCAAGAAGATTTGGAGATTGACCTGGACAATGAAGGTAGTGAAAAAAAGGATCCCAGGCAAGAGAAATACATGATTCAGAAAATGTAACATGTTTGGTAAATAATGGATAAATCTGTATGTGTAGATAATGCAATTATCCAAGAGGCTAGAAAGGTAGATTGCTATAGAATGTGGGAAGTCCCGAATGTTAGGCTAAAGTGTTTGAAGTGTTTGATGTTTGGTGGTCATTCTCTCTTATTCATAGTCTTATATTCTTTTCCTTCGTTTGTTCCTTCCTTCCTTCCTTCCTTCATTCCTTCCTTCCTTTCTTTTCTTTCGAGACAGAGTCTACCTCTGTTGCCCAGGCTGGAGTGCAGTGGCGCCATCTTGGCTCACTGCAATCTCCGCCTCATGCCTCAGCCTCTGGAGTACATGGGATTACAGGCATGAGCTACCACACCTGGTTAATTTTTCATTTTTAGTAGAGAGGGGTTTTGCCATGTTGCCCAAGCTGGTCTCCAACTCCTGGCCTCAAGCAATCTACCCACCTCGGCCTCCTAAAATGCTGGGATTATAGGCATAAGCTACCGTGCCAAGTCCATGGTTTTATATTCTTCTTCACTTGCTTCCTCCCCTCACTCTTTTCATCTCCCCTTCCCTCCTTCCTCATCCCTCTCCCTCTTCCCCTCCTTTTTCTCCCTCTCCTTCTCCCTCCTTTCTCTTCCCTCTGCCCCCTCAGAAATTTTCACCTAATCAAGGGTAATGAGAATCATATGCAGAAATAGGGGAACCATATTGAGGAATGGGTGATAAAATCAGTTCAGTTTTAGTTTGAGGTCATTGTGAGATGCTTGAAAGCAAAGACCTGGCCTTCAGTTGGAAGTGCAAAGCTGAAACTCAAAGCGAGAGGCCCAGCTGTGTTCTGATGTATGACATTGCATTGAGAAATTACTGCAGACACTCTGAAGCCTAGAACAGCTGAGGACAGAGCTCATGTGTTTGTGGGCTGAGAGAGTAGGGAGCCAGCAAAGAAAACAGCAGAAATGATCACAGTCAGTTGGGTAGAGCTATGCTCTATCTTTATTGTAAATAATTTTTGATTCAAGTGATGGTGGAGGATTGACACTTATTGATAAGGTACATTAATTTGCTAATACTTAATAAAACTTTTGACCATTGTTTTGAGGCCGTGTTGCAAAATCTATGCATATTTGGCATTTCCAAATGAAACACTGGGCTGCTAGATATGGTAAGCAAGAAAGTGTTAGGAAGAGTATTCTTTTGGAATCAGCATTAGGTTTGTGCTGATTATTTATTGTAATGTATTATCTACAAATCACTAGATTTACAGATAATATAAATACAGTGAACCAGCTAGGAATTAATCTCAGGGAAGACACCAAATTTGCATAACATCATAAACCCTAATCTACTTATATTTTCACAATAAAGGATAAAGATAAATATTATAAGAAAACAAAAGAGTGCAATTCACTCAAAAAGAGTATGACATAATTGGTGTGGGGACTAAGTGAAAGAACTAATTGATTTTTTTTCAGTAGGAGAAGGAAGAGTGCAGTTAACTAGGATTAACATATACAAAGACATGATTATGGAAAAACAGTTATTAATCCCCCTTTTTAGTGATTGACAATGTTAACATAAGGACATTTATCTTGGTTCTAGAGAACAGATATATTAGAGAGGGCAATGATGCTAAACAGTACTGTGAAAAGCATTTTTAAAAGATCTTTTTTCTTTAAGATATAAGTAAATTTAATGAATTCAAGTTTTTGATGTTCATAGTTTTTAAAGTACTAGAAGAGCAATATAATAAGTTGTAAAAAAAAAAAAAAAAAGCTGTTGGGTGAAACTTAGTAGTTATTTTATGCTACGTTTAACATTTTCTTAATTGTAGGATAGTTGGCTGCCAGCACAGGCTTCCAGTTCTCCCTAGGACTTCTGCAAAGGGAGATTTGCTGATCTCGAAGACCTTCCTATTTCCCAGAGCTGCTCCCATGCAACAGGAGAGTGACTGGGCAAGGAGAGCCTAGGGTTTGATATTTGTAAGGCAAGACTAATAGACTGTTACATTAGGTCATTAATTTCTCCTTTTTTTTTTTTTTTTGAGATGGAGTCTCACTGTGCCTTCCAGGCTGGAGTGCAGTAATGCGATGAAGGCTCACTGCAACCTCTGCCTCCTGGGTTCAAGTGATTCTCCTGCCTCAGTCTCTGGAGTAGCTGGGATTACAGGCGCCTACCACCATGCCTGGCTAATTTTTGTATTTTTACTAGAGATGAGGTTTCACCATGTTGGCCAGGCTGGTCTCGAACTCCTGACCTCAAGTGATCCACCTGCCTCAGCTTCCCAAAGTGCTGGGATTACAGGTTTGAGCCACCACGGCCGGCCTCAATTTCTCCATTTTTAATATTTCTATCTTTGCAAATCCATCCTGATGCTATCATTCCAGAAAAACATTTTTCTCCTAATTGAGTACCCATAATGATATCTGTTTTACTTACTATTTTTACTTTTTTTTTTTTTAACGTAACATATGAACTCCTGGAGAGCCACAACTTTTGTAGTTACTGAAAATCCTGCAACAGGGTATGCTGTACTGTAGGTATAGAAAACATGTATATGGAATTAATAAAATCATGGACCATTCAGGTTAACATTATTAAGACCCTGTGTTTTAGTGTTCCTTTACAAAGAATTTAGAAAATCTCTGTAAGTGTAAGTCTGAAGATGTGTAGGACTGAGGTGACTGTTTTCCCTGGTTGATGTATCAAAAGTCATATGGCCTTTCCTAGAATGAAATAATAGAGGCTTTCATACAGAAGATTCATGGTTCTTTATCTCTTTTCAATTAATCACCCTTTTGAGAACCTCAAGTAAGCTATGAAATTCAAATAATTCCCCAAGGGAAAAAAATATGCATCTCTACAAAATTTTGCTCACAACTTCAAAAGTTTTACAGACTTCCAAAGGTCCAATTCAAGAATTCCCTAACCGAGAGAATTCTGAATGTGGAAACAGTAATCCCTGTGTAATGAACAGGAGGAAAATAAAAGCATATTTTCTGAACTAAATATTTGTCAAGTATTTTGATAATTGAAGTGACAAAATTATCTGTATAATAGAAACTAGAAGCATTGCAGATAATAAAGATACACATTAGGTATCTGTTATGATCAAGGATTAACGGCCCTTTTAAAAAGACCTGTAAAATGTTATCTGCCAGGAAAGGACATCTGTGAGCAAAGTAATCTATTGTTAAATAAAATGTTGAAATCAGAAGTTAAAAGTAAAAAAAAAATGACATTAAAAGGTGAAATTGCCTTGGTAGAGTGAAGCCTTACCTCTGATCTCTATTACAATCCCCAGAGTTCACATATTCTTATTTTATGTATCTCATAGCCTAAATCCGGCACTAGGATCTAGTGGGTCAACAATTTTTTTTTTTTTTTTTTGAGATAGAGTCTTGCTATGTCACCCAGGCTGGAGTGCAGTGGCGTGATCTCGGCTCACTGCAAACTCCACCTCCCGGGTTCACGCCATTCTTCTGCCTCAGCCTCCAGAGTAGCTGGGACTACAGGCGCCCGCCGCCAAGTCCGGCTAATTTTTTGTATTTTTTTTAGTAGAGACGTGGTTTCACCATGTTAGCCAGGATGGTCTTGATCTCCTGACCTTGTGATCCGCCTGCCTCGGCCTCCCAAAGTGCTGGGATTAGAGGCGTGAGCCACCGCGCCCAGCCAACAATATTTTTTTTTATTTTTATTTTTTATTTTTTAGGGAACAGCATGGAAACATTTTAAATTGTAATGCCCTAGACCTAAATTTTGTCCATTCAGGCTTTTATTTATTTCTTCTCCCCTTCCCTTCTTTTTTTTTCTCTCTCTCTCTCTCTATCTCTGTGTGTGTGTGTGTGTGTGTATATGTGTGTGCACACACAACCACTTATTTAAGTTCTGATGGTTCAGTAAAGAAAGATAATTATTTTCACTGTGACAGAGTTTCCAACCATACTGGCAAATTGAAATAGTGCTTTGAAGTGGCTAGAGAAACACTGTAATGTACACACACACCCAAAGAAAGAGAGGGGGTGCAGAAGAGGGAAAGGGAGAGAAAGACCTGGCCACAGACTCATAATACCTGAAAATCCCTGCATACTGGTCTGCCTAGGTCTCAACTATGTGGTTCTAGGTTTCGCTCTACATGACTCTAGGTGGATTGGATGTGGACTGTGAGGGAGAGAGAAGTCGAAGATGACATGTAGGTTTTGGGCCTGAGCAACTGGTAGAGAGGCATGCCATTTATCACACGGCATTACTCATGAATGATCGGGGTACGGAGCTGAAAATTGAGATTCTATTCTGGGCTTGTTAATTTCAATGTGCCTTGTCTTCACATAAGCTGAAACTCGAGTAGGCAATGGGAAATTTAAGTCTGGAACTCCTGCAAGAGTTTCGTGCTATAGATACACACTTGGAAGATCAGAGACTAGATGCTGCTTATGATCATAGGCTTTGAGGAGAGCATCCAGGCAGTGAATATTTAGATTGAGAAGAGGTCAGAGGCTGCAGACCTAAAATCTCCAATGTTTATGAGCGCTCAAGGGACCACATCTCCAGTTTCCTAATGACAATTAAAAGAAAATCATATTTGGCTTAGTATAATTTATTTTGAAGTATTTTGTAAAATGGGGCACATCATTATTAAAACTAACCAACTGGGGACTGGCTAGAGGGAGGTGGATGTGGGTATAAAAGGGCATCATGAGGGTTCATTGTGATGTTAGAGCTATGGAGTGTCTTTATGGTGGTTATTCATGGACCTATGTAAGTAATAAATTGTGGAGAGCTAAACACACACACAAAGGAGCACACATAAAACTGAGGAAATGTGAATTAGATGGGTGATTACGTAGCCAAAGTCAGGATCCTGGTTGTGATAGAATACTATAGTTTTATAAGGTGCTATCATTAGGGAAAACTGGGAAGAGCATATAATGGATGTTTTTCTACTTTTTATAATTATTTGTGAATCAAAATTGTCTCAGTTGAATTCTGCCTTTAGGAAAATGCTCATAAGAATTATATAAACTTCCAATTAAATAAATTATGTCGAAAATAAATTTAAAAAACTCAAAACTCAAAACATGCAACATTAAACTAAGATTCTTACATGTAAAAAAGAACGTTAACCAACTAATTTATCCCCTTCAATTCTAACATTACATAAAATGAGGATTACTGGTTGAATTTTTATCCATTGCCTTCATTAGCTTTTTCCTTTTTTGGTAAACATGTTGCTTGGAAGTATGCTTTTCCAGTTTCACAAAATGACACCAGTGGCCACAGAAGTTAGTACCCTTTGGCCTCTGAAAATTTCGCTTTATGAAGAGAAGGCTACTAAAAGACATGTAGGACTTAGGGTTCAAGGTGGCAGACTAGAGGAGCTAGTGTGTACTGCTCTCGTGGAGAGGAAATAGTGACGAGTAAACATGGACTCTCTAAGTGGATCATCTAAGAAACCACGTCAGGATTCAGGATGCATCAAGGGAGTAATGGGACATGGAGAACAGAGAAAATCGAAGCTGGGCAGCTGCCTGCCTGGGACCAGCATGAAGACAGGAGAAGCTCCTCAACACAGGGATAGAATTAGTGAGTAAGAGTCCTCAGGGGATCCATACTTCCCACAGTGACCTGTGCAATCCTGAGAATGTGAAAAACCCCATGACTCCCTTGGGCCTCTAGACTGATACAGAGAGCTACCCAGAGTTTTTGCAGAGGCAACACTCAAGTCCGTGGGGACCCCCCCAGGCCCTGGACTCTGGAACAGCCTGGTTGAGGTGCCATGGCCCTGACAGAAGCTGCAGTCATGGTGCTGGAGATGGACAGATTGCTCTACTCCCTCTTGACAGAAAACCTGCTAAACCCCTGTGGTTTAGGAGAGCTTTGTGTTCCCCCAGGAAGCACTTCGATGGTGAATTGGGTGACTCCACTCATCCTGCTCCTAACTGGGCAGGATTCAACTTCACCCTGCTCCTAACTTGGGCAGAGCCCCAAGCAGGGGGTGGGGAGGACGCCCTCCCTCTCAGAATACTGAAAAGGGTGAGATCCCTGGGCTCTCAGGATGTTGGGGGAGCAGGGCATGTCTCCCTCTGAAGGGCTTTCCAGAAAGGGTATAGTCTTGTCTACCAGCCACAGTCTCTGCCTTAGGGAGCTCTATAGCCCAGAACACCTAAGAAAGAAAATGTGGACGTGGTGCCAGTGATCAGAAGGGGCTCCTCCAAGGCCTAGGAGCAAACCTGGTGAGGTTGTCAGCTCTCTCTCCCCTGACCACAGAGTACTACTGTGCGTATGCCAAAATACAACAGAGCTACATGGCTGAGTTAGAGGCTATCTGCCAGCCACCACTCTTAAGGAGCACCTACTGGATTACAGCCCAAATGAAACATCAAAAACATTATGCCAGCATACAGCACCTGTGAAACCTAAGGCAAAAATCCAGACATAAATAAAGATTATGTACAGAGCCTTGGCTCTCTGCAAGCACCCAGAAATGGAGCCAACTGACTATACTCAACTTATGTCACAGTTAAAGGAACATCAGCCCTCACACATGAAAAAGAATCAGTGCAAGAAACGCTGGCAATTCAAAAAGGCAGAGTGTCTCTTTATGCCGAAACAAACACATTAACCCATCAGCAGTAGTTCTTAACCAGATTGTAATGACTACTGGACAGACAGAGAATTCAGAATCTGGGTAGCAACAAAGCTCATCAAGATCCAGGAAAAAGTTGAAACCCAATCCAAGGTATTCAAGGAATTCCGTAAAACAGCCCAAGAGCTAAAAGACAAAATAGCTATTTTAAAGAAGAAATCAACTGAACTTCTGGAATTGAAGAATTTACTTCAAGAATTTCATAATAGTCCAGGCACAGTGGCTCATGCTTGTAATCCCAGCACTTTGGGAGGCCAAGGCAAGAGGATCACTTAAGCCCATGAGTTTGAGGTCAGCCTCCTGTTCTCTACAAGAAATTAGCCAGGTATGGTGGTGCACATTTGTAGTCCCAACTACTTGGGAGGCTGAGGTAAGAGGATCACTTGAGTCAGGGAGGTCGAGGCTGCAGTGAGCTGTGATCATGCCACTGCTCTCTAGCCTGGGCCACAGAGTGAGACCCTGTCTCAGGAAAAAAAAAAAAAAAAAAAAAAAAAAAAAAAAAAAAAGCAAAATTTCATAATGCAGTCAGAAGCATTACAGCAGAATAGTCCAAACTGAGGAAGGAATTTCAGAGCTTAAAGACAAGTTCTTCAAGTCAGCTTTGTCAGACAAAAAGAAAAAAATAAATAAACAATTTAAAAAAATAAAACCCTTGAGAAATATGAGTTTATATGAAGACACCAAATCTACAACTCATTGGCATTCCTGACAGAGGAAAGAGAGTAAGCAACTTGGAAAACATTAGAGGATATAGTCCATGAAAATTTCACCAATCTCACTAGAGAGTTGGACGTACAAATTTAAGAAATACAGAGAATTCTGGCAAGATAGTATACAAGATGACCAACCCCAAGGCACATAGCCATCAGATTCACCAAGTTCAACAACAACAAAAAAATCTTAAAAAGGCAGACCGAGTTTGGTGGCTTACACCTGTAATCCCATGCACTTTGGGATACCGAGGCAGGCGGATCACATCAGGTCAGGAGTTCGAGACCAGTCTGGTCAACATGGTGAAACCTTGTCTTTACTAAAAATACAAAAATTAGCTTGGCATGGTGATGTGCACCTGTAATCCCAGCTACTTGGGAAGCTGAGGCAGGAGAATTGCTTGAACCTGGGACGCGGAGATTGCAGTGAGCCAAGATTGCACCATTGCACTCCAGCCTGGGCAACAGAGTGAGACTCCATCTCAAAAAAAAAAAAAAAAAAAAACATCTCTTGTGGAAACCTTACGAGCCGGAAGAGGATGGGGGCCTGTTTTCAGCTTTTTTAAAGAAAAGAAATTCCAACCATGAAATTCATATCCTGCCAAACTAAGCTTCCTAAGTGAAGGAGAAATAAAATACTTCTCAGATAAGCAAGTACTAAAGGAATTCATTAACACTAGACTACCCTTACAAGAGGTCCTTAAAAGAGTGCTAAACATGGAGATGAAACACCAAAACCTGCTACCACAAAAACATACTTAGGCACACAGCCCACAGACAACATAAGACATTTACACAGTCAAGTCTACAAAAACAACCAGCTAACGAAATAACAGGATCAAAATCTCACATATCAATACTATCCATGAATGTAAATGGTCTCAAAACCCCACTTAAATGGCATAGAGTGGCAGGCTAGATAAAAAAGACAAGAACCAACTGTCTGTTGTCTTCAAGAGAGGCATCTCACGTGTAATGACACCACAGGCTCAAAGAGGTAGAGAAAGATCTATCATGCAAATGGAAAACAAAAAAAAATGTGGGAGCTGCTATTCTCATATCAGATAGAATAGATTTGAAACCAATAACAATCAGGAAGGACAAAGAAGGGCATTACATAATGAAAAGTGGTTCAATTCAACAGGAAGACTTAACTATCCTAAATATATACACATCCAACACTGGAGCACAAAGATTCATAAAATGGGTTCTTCTTGACCTGTGAAAAAATTTAGCCACACCACTATTCACAGTAGCAAAGACTTGGAACCAATCCAAATGCCCAACAATGATAGACTGGATTAAGAAAATGTGGCACATATACACCATGGAATACTATGCAGCCATAAAAAATGATGAGTTCATGTCCTTTGTAAGGACATAGATGAAAATGGAAATCATCATTCTCAGTAAACTATCGCAAGAACAAAAAACCAAACACCACATATTCTCACTCATAGGTGGGAATTGAACAATGAGAACACGTGGACACAGGAAGGGGAACATCACACTCTGGGGACTGTTGTGGGGTCTGGGGAGGGGGGAGGGATAGCTTTAGGAGATATACCTAATGCTAAATGACGAGTTAATGGGTGCAGCACACCAGCATGGCACATGTATACATAGTAACTAACCTGCACATTGTGCACATGTACCCTAAAACTTAAAGTATAATAATAATAATTAAAAAAAAAAATTAGCCACACATTAATAGTCAGAGACTTCAGCACCCCACTGACAGCATTAGATCATCCAGGCAGAAAACTATCAAATTCCAGAATTAAACTCAACACTTAACCAATTGGACCTAATAGACATCTACAGAATACTCTATCTAACAATCACAGAATATACATTCTTCTCATCTGCACACAGAACATATTCTAAGATTGACACATGCTTGGTGATAACACAAGTCTCAATAAATTCAAAATATTGAAATACTACCAAGCATCCTTTTGGACGACAGGGCAATAAAAGTAGAAATCAATACCAAGAAGATCTCTCAGACCTATATAAACATGGAAATTAAACAATTTTCTCCTGAATAAATCCTGGGTGAGCAATGAAATTAAGACAGAAATCAAAAACTTCCTTAAAATTAAGGAAAATAGAGACAGAACTTACCAAAATCTTTGGGATGCCGCTAAAGCAGTGTTAAAAGGAAAGTTTACAGTGCTAAACACCTTCATCAAGGAGTTAGGAAGATCTCAAATTAACGATCTAACAATATACCTAGAGGAACTAGGAAAACATCCAACCCCAAAGCTAGCAGAAGAAATAACTAAAATCAGCAAAGAACTGAATGAAATTGACATGTAAAAGTTCATACAAAAAATTAATGAAACTAAGAGTTGCTTTTTGAAAACATAAACAGGATTGATAGACTGCTAGCTAGATTAACAAAGAAGGATACGTACAAGTGTAACCAGAAATGACAAAGATGGATTTACAGAATATCTCAAAGAAATATAAAAAAAGATCCTCAGAGATTATTTTGAAAACCTCTGTATATGCTACATAGAAAATCTGGAGGAAATGGATAAATTACTGGGAGCACACAACCTCCCAAGATTGAACCAGGCAGGAAGTGAAAACCTGAACAGACCAGTAACAAATGCTGAAATTGAATCAGTAATTTAAAAATTACTAACCAAAAAGAGCCCTGAAATAGCAGCTTCTTAGCTCAGCATTTATAGCTGAATTCTACCAGATGTACAAAGAAGAACCGGTACCAATCCTCCTGAAACTATTTTTAAAAATCTTCCCTAACTCATCCTACAAAGCCAGCATTATCCTGATACCAAAATCTGGAAGAGACACAATGAAATAAGAAATCAATATCCCTAATGAATATAGTCACAAACTCCTCAATACAATACTACCAAACAAAATCCAGCTGCATAGCAAACAGTTAATTCACAGCAATCAAGCAGTATTCCTGGGATGCAAGGTTGGCTCAACATAAGCAAATAAATAAAGATAATTCACCACATAAACAGAACCAAAATTAAAAACCATGTAATCTCAATAGATGCAGAAAAAGCCTTCAATAAAGTCCAATTTTCCTTTATGATAAAAACCTTCAACAGGCTAGGTATTGAAGAAACATATAAAAATAAGAGCCATCTATGACAAACTCACAGCCAATATCATACTGGATGGAGAAGAGCTGGAACTATTCCCCTTGAGAACTGGAACATGACAAGAATGTCCACTCGCACCACTCCTGTTCAACGTAGTACTAGAAGCCCAGCCAGAGAAATCAGGCAATAGAAATAAATAAAATGCATCCATGTAGGAAAAGAGGAAGTCAAATTAGCTTTCTTTGTTAATGATATTCTATATGTAGAAAACCCCTAAAGACTCTGCCAAAAAGCTTCTCGAACTGATAAATGACTTCAGTAAAGTTTCACAGCACAAAATCAAAGTACAAAAATCAATAGAACTTCTATACATCAGTAAAATTCTAGCTGAGAGCCAAATCAAGAACACAATCCCATTTACAATAGATACACACACCAAACAAAAAACCCAGGAATACATCTAACCAATGAGGTGAAAGATCTCTACAGGCAGAACTACACAACACTGCTTAGAAAATGACAAAGATGACATAAATAAATGGAAAAATATTCCATATTCATGGAATGGAAAAATCAGTATCATTAAACGGATCATACTGCCCAAAGCAATTTACAGAATCAGTGCTATCCCTATCAAAATAGCAACATGATTTTTCACAGAATTAGAAAAATCTATTCTAAAATTCACATGGAACCTAAAAGCCCAAATAGGCAAAACTATCCTAAGCAAAAAGAACAAAGCCAGAAACATCACACTACCCAAATTCAAAGTATACTATAAGGCTAAAGTAACCAAAACAGCATCGTACTAGTACAAACACAGACACATAGACAAATGGAGCAGCATAGAGAACTCAGAAGTAAACCTGCACACCTACAACTATCTGATCTTTGATAAAATCAACAAAAATAAACAATGGGGAAAGCACTCCCTCTTCAATAAATGGTGCTGGAATAACTGGCTAGCCATATGCAGAAGAATGAAACTAGACCCCTACCTTTCATCATATACGAAAATTAACTCAGGGTGGATTAACGACTTAAATGTAAGACTTCAAAGTTTAAAAATTCTAAAAGAAATACTAGGAAATACCCTTCTCGACCTTAGCTTTGGCAAATAACTTATGGCTAAGTCCACAAAAGCAATTACAGTGAAAACAAAAATTGACAAGTGGGACCTAATTAATCTAAAGAGATTCTGCACAGCGAAAGAAATTACCAACAGAGTCAACCAACAGCCTACAGAATGGGAGAAAATATTTGCAAACTATGCATCTGACAAAGATCTAATATACAGATATCTACAAGGAACTTAAATCAAGCAAAATCAATCCAACTCAAAAATGGGCAAAGGACATGATCAGACACTTCTCAAAAGATGTACAAGTGGCCAAAAAACATGAGCAAATGCTCAACATCACTAATCATCAGAGAAATGCAAATCAAAGCCACAATGAGATAGATACCATCTCACAGCAGTCAGAATGGCTATTATCAAAAAGTCAAAAAAACAACAGATGTTGGTGAGGCTGCAGAGAAAAGCAAATGTTTGTATTCTGTGGGTGGTAATCCAAATTACTTTAGCCACTATAGAAAGTAGTTTAAAGATTTCTCAAAGAAGTTAAAACAGAACTACTGTTACACCTAGAAATCCTACTACTGGGTATGTACCCAAAGAAAAATAATTCATTTGATCAAAAGGACACTTGCACCCATATGGTCATTGACACACTAATGACAATAGCAAAGACCTGGTATTAACATAGGTGCCCATTAATGGTGGGTTGGATAAAGAAAATATTTTATATATACATACACACATATATACCATGGATTATTACACAACCCTAAAAAAGAATGAAATCATATTCTTTGCAGCAATGTCGATGCAGCTGGAAGCCATTATCCTAAGCAAATTAGCACCTTAACATAAAACCAAATATCACACATTCTCACTTATAAATGAAAGCTAAACATTGAATATACATAGATATAAAGATGGGAATAGTACACTGGGGAATGATTGACCAAGGGAAATGTGGGCTGAAAAACTACCTATTGGATACTATGCTCACCACCTGGGTGATGGGACCATCCATATCCCCAACCTCAACCTCAACAACATGTAATATACCCATGAAACCATCCTACACTGTACCCCCTCCAAATCTGAAATTAAAAAAAAAAGAAAAGACAATGTAGTGTCCCAGTGCTCTACATTGTTTTTGGTTTTGTTTTGTTTTGTTGCTTACTTTTTTTTCAGACAAATGTGATCAAGTCATTAATTATTTTTTAAAAAAACAGACCAGGTGCGGTGGCTTATGCCTGTAATTCCAGCACTTAGGAAGGCAGAGGCGGGAAGATCACTTGAGCCCAGGAGTTCAAGACAAGCCTGGGCAACATAGCGAGAACTCCATCTCCACAAAAAGAAAAAATATGTAGTTGTAAATTGTCTCTTACAAACAAAACTACCAAAATTTAGAAATAACTCAAACAATTTCACTTACACTTAAGTAAGAGCTGTTAATCTGGAGATATAGATACAAAAATATGTTAGTGTTTCTAGTGAAGTTTGAAAAACTGTGGCCTTTTAAGATATTAAATGCTATTTTTTGTTGAAGCTGTGAGAAAAATATAATTTCTTTATATGCAAGTAACTTTTTATGTCTTTTGAAGAAATATGTATCAGCATTTAAGCAAAGATCATAATATATTTCATATTACATTTAGTGCATTTGAAGTATTGTTACAGTTTCAGTGTTCTTATGGTTTAGTTTTTAGGAGCTTGGAATGAGAGATTTCAGTTAACCTGGAACCCGTACTTACTGCATATTATTTTTCTTCATAATTACGTTAGTTTTTAATTTTAATCATTTTGATTTTAGACACAGTGAAGAGAAACTTGTTTCTGTTTGATTTTGAATCATATTAATCAATTAAAATTGTTTGTTAGTTTTATGAGATGACATAGAAACTCCTATATAACAAGGATTTACTTTAAGAAAATCTTGCCTGTTTTTTTAACTTATTTTAAAATGAATTTGGTTTTTTAAAAATCAACTTGGAAACATATTTTAGACAGGTAATCTCAGGCCTTTTGTATAGTTTTTCTCCCAAGAGAAAATTAACATGAATATCCTCAATTTAACATTTTGTGTATATCTTTAAAGAAAACAAAATAAGACTTCCGTCTTTCTGACCTATTGTTTGTACTAGAGACAGAGTGATCTTTCCTTTCCAAAGCTTACATCTGATCATATCACTCCTACACTTTAAACCTCTCAAGGAAGTCCCATTGTTGTAGGAACTAACTCCAAATTCCCTAATGTGGCTTGTGAAGAGTAACTTATGAAGTTGCCCTGCTTCTCTCTCCAGTCCTGTCCCTCACCCTGCCTCTTCTGGTATCCCATTCCAAAAGAACCACTGTGTGTGTCTAGTTTTACCTCCTCACCTCCAGACTTTTGGTGTTCTTTTATAGGAACATCTTCCTCTTTTTTTTTTTTTGACTCTTCATATAAATTGCCTTACCACCACTATCCTGTTAATCTGGTTTGCTTCTACTCATCTTTTTGAGGACTCTCTTTGAGGATGTTTTTAAAAATGTAACCTGGTCAATTTGTAGTTCTTTGGGAAAGTGACAAGTAAACTGTTTTCTCATTGGTGTTTAATGTTATACTCAATCGAATCTTTAGATGGTCCTTTACTAAAGTGTATTGTGCAGTCCAGGCTTCTTCGTGATGAGAGTGCAAAAGGAGAAAAAACTAAAGTCAAGAGAAAATTAACACTTAACATCCTCACTTTAACATTTTTATAAAGGGACTAATATTGAGTGAATGGGTGAAAAGGTATCATGAGTAAAGTTAAAATAAGTTATAGAAAAAGTTAAGGATTAGTTCATGAAGTGAAAATAATTTTCCATGTAAATGGGAGATTTCTAAAAAAAATGATGAGAGCACACTTTTCTTGTTTTCAGTCAAATTTAGAACAGGAGAATGGATTTCTAATATGGTGCCAATCCTTAAAAGAATGGAAGGATTT
The DNA here is from genome assembly GCF_000001405.40 of Homo sapiens. Lineage (NCBI taxonomy): Eukaryota > Metazoa > Chordata > Mammalia > Primates > Hominidae > Homo > Homo sapiens. The sequence continues at coordinate 122,629,843 of NC_000007.14, read as the reverse complement.
CTTGGCAGTATTAGTCTACTGGTATTAGAATGAGGAGTATATGAAGACTTAAGTGGTAGAAAGTTGTATCAGTCAATCAAAGAGTACTTTTATAGTTTAGCACTAATACAAACTTATTATTAAAGCAAAGGGAGTTTTTTTAAAGTACAAAGAAAGAAGTGAAACATTAGCATCTCACCCTCCAGAAATACATGGTGAGAACTTGAAAGAACAAAACAAGAGCTTCATCTTTCTGGAACTATTTAGGACTGACTTAATGATCAAGAAATCTAATTTCTTGATTTGGTGGTTTTGTGAGTAAAACCACAATGAGAAAGTACCCAAGAAATTTATCTGGTCTGCCAATCTAATTGAACAACCTCCTGTATTCTCTTTGTAATAGATATCTGATACAATCTATTAAACATTTTTCAGTCATTTAATCTTTGCCTTAGTCTGTGGGACTGCCTCAGTCTGTGGGTCACTGTATATAGATTAAGTAATTACATATGTGTAACTTCTGTTTTATTTTTAAGCTGGATAACGCAGATGAACAAGCAGCCCAGATCAGAAGGGAACTTGATGGCCGGCTGCAATTGGCAGATAAAATGGCAAAGGTAAATTATTAACTTGGACATACTGTATGACATTCCTTTCTTTACCTAGATTTCTGTGAGCTGAAAAAGTGTTTTGTATAGGTTAAAAAAAAAAGAGCCAGCATAATTTTAACATTTTCTCCTCTACACATAGACCTCTTAATCCCAAATATCTGAAAGCATGTTATCTAAATGAAGCATATTATTCATTTTACGTACTCATCCTTAATATGTGAACTGTTTAATTTTAATGATAACTTTTATAGACTTCTCTTAAAGCAATGCATGAGTTTCTCAAACTGCCAGATCTAGAAGAGTTTTAATGTTTTACTAAGCAAAATATAACCAGGGAGAAAAAACTCCTCCCCGCAAAATCATATAATACATTCCTAAGTATACAGTAAAGTTATTGGCACATAGTGGTTCTGACTAACATTTAATTGAATGACTAAATGCATGAAAAAATATTATTTTAAGTATCTAGTATGCAATCTGGCAGATGAAGTGTGCTTGATACAAGAAATTCATCATATTGTACTTATTTTATTTGTGTGATCACTGTGTATCGTGAATAGAGATAAATTTCAGACAAAAGGCATGAGTTTTTTCTAGTACTTAAGGTTTTTAGAGAGAATGGAACCCAATTGTCTAAATCATTCTTTAGTGAATTTATTAACTTACTTCAATGATATGAAAATTTTAGTTCTTTTCAATGGACTTGCAGTTATAGTGCTGTTGATTGCTCTGAACATAAGATTCTCTCCCTTTCCTTTCTGCTTAGCAAAAACTTCCAATATTTGATGGATAGTCTCCCTCTCTATTTCTCTCTCTCGTAACATGTATACAATAAACTGCACACATCTTCATTTTACAGTTTAATGAATGTTTACGCATACATCCTGTGTAGCCACCTCCCAGATCAAGATAATGAACTCTTCCAGCATTCAAGAAGTTATATCCCATACTAATTTTAACAATTATTTTTTTACTTCTGCAAAGAAAATGTGTATTTGTAAATATTAATACATAATGTTTTTAAAATGCTAACACTGTTTAAGTGTTTATTAAAAAGTAGAGGGAAAGTTGAGAAATTAGAAATAAATAATAAAATAGAGAAAAATGTAGATAATTGGGTAACAAGAATGACAGTAAGTTGTAAGAACCAAGCAGGAATTAGATCATGAGGAAGAATCTCTAGATGAATGAAGATACAGTGTGCTATAAATTAGGGGCCAAAGAGTTACATTTGCACAGAGGGCAGTGATTGAAAGGATAGCATGCCTTATTTTTGTCCTCTGGGTTTCTAGAAAGGTGGTATTTCATTCTAGAGATTTGAATGTGGATTTTGTAGAGTAGAAAGCAAGCAACTTGAGGCTATTGAAACCTTTAGAAAGAAAAATATTTTAATGCCAAGTCCTATCCTGTATTGAGCCTGGCTGGAAAAGAAATTGCTTTTCTGAGACCTAAAGCTAATAAAGAACCTGGAGAGATGTGCCTGACAGCAGCAGGAGGGACAGTGGATCTGTGTTCAGCATTTGAAAATTACCTACTTGTATATAGATTGTACCTGAGACTGGGCACATTGTCATATGTAATGCTTTAGAATAAAGTTTAAGTGATTTTCTAGAGAGTTATGGGACTGGAAGAAGAGACTCAGACGTATTCTCAGGTTCATGACTGAGAAGAAGGTGTGTTCATAAACTCCTGGGCTGAGTCAGAAGAAAGGGTTAGTGATGAACACACAAAGGCTTCTCCTTGAGAGAACCCTAATGGTTTCATCAGAGATGTTGATAGAGTGGAAAAAACATGGAGAAAGAAGTAAAGCTGATGGGGTTGGAAAGCAAAATATACCTCTAAAAATAGGATACCTTTTGATGAAAATATTGACATAGATTGAGCAGGTTTAATTGCTTTCCACTTCAAGTTCACCAAAGTGAAGCCGTCTTAATGAAATATTTTTAAGCCTAATAACAATTGACTGACCTTGCTGAATTATTTTCTGACAATAATCCTACAAACCTTGTAAGGGCAGATGATATCATGAAGTCAATTTTATAGAAGAGGAAATTGAGGCTTAGACAAGATTATTTATTTCACCATGATTACATAACAAATAAGTGGCTGAGGCAGGCCTCAAATCCTGGCCTTGCTTCCAGAGCCTGGGCTCGCTCTCTTAACATCCTGCTGCCTCTGCAATCTGATCATTCCAGAAGAGTGGTTAATAAACAGCTATTAGTTGGCATTCAGGAACACCCCCTCCCACACTTCACAGAACAACACAATATAATAACAGTGAAACTACAGGGCAAAATCTCTGTTTCAAGAGACATGTTGACTTTAGTACTTCAGCCAAGAGGTAATTAGGAAGTAGTGAACAAAATGTGTACAGGGCCAGAAAGACCTGTGACCAAATTCATGATAGCTATTTTCTAAACATAATAGTAGGCACGTTACTTAACACTTTCGAGCCTCATTTTTTCTATCCACAAATTAATTGACCAAATATTTATTGAACACCAACTATACAGCCAGGTGCAGTCTTAGCTACTTGGGATACATTGGGATAAAATGAGACAAAAATATTTCTGCCAGGCCCTGGTGGAGCTTACATTTTATTTGCGATAGCCCCACAATAAGGAGTAAACATGCCGTGTAATTGAATTATGGAAGGTGATCATTGTTACTTAGAAAATAGATCAGAAAAAGTGGGATGAGGAGTGTAGGAGAGAGGTGGTGGGTGGTTACAGTTTTCAGTCAAGTGGTCAGGGCAGGCCAGTTCTTGATAGTACAATCCTTCCAGATATTCAGGCCAAAAAACTTGGAATCATCTTTGACTCCTTTTTCTCATACCTCATGCAAAACTTATCAGGAAATCCTTTATCTTTACCTTCACAGTATTTCCAGAATGTGACAGTTGTTACCATCCTTCCCTTTCCACTGTGGTCCATTCATCTTTGTCTCTTGTCTGGATCATTGTTCTGTCCTTTTAGCCAGTCTCCTGGATTCTACCCCTGTCCTCATTAACACAACAGCCAGTGATGTTCTGCACTAAATCTGTGATGATTCCCTATGTTGCTGAGAAAAAAAGAAAAGTTCCTAAAATGGCCTGCAAAGTCCTGTGTGATCTGGTCTTTGTTACCCCAGTCCTGTGTGATCTGGTCTTTTTTACCCCTCTGACTTTATCCTCCACTAAACTCTTGCCCTTGCTCAATCCACTTTGGCGATGGTGGCCTCCTTGCCTTTCCTTGCCACAGGGTCTTGGCCCTGACTCTTCACCTGCAGCGAACTTCCACTGACATTTACATGGCTTTCTCCCTGCTGTAGTCAGGTTCTCCAGAGAGACAGAGCCAATAGGAGATTATATCTGTATTTTCATATATCTAGACCAATATCTAGGTAGATATAATAAATATGTATATAATATTAAAAAGTAGATGTTATGCATACATACATGTTATGTGTGTATATATATGTGTGTGTGTGTGGGAGGGCAGGGAGAGAGAGAGAGAGAGATTGATTGCGTTCAAGGAATTGGCTCCCACGGCTGTGGGCACTGGCAAGTCCAGAATCCATAGGACAAGTAGGCAGGCTGGAAATTCAGGTGAGGGTTGATGTTACAGTCTTAAGTCTGAAATCTGTAGGGCGGACTGGCAGGTGAGAAACTCAGACAGGGTTTCTGTGTTTTAGTCTTGAGGCAAAATTGCTGCTTCTTTAGGAAACCTTCGCCTTTGGTCATAAATCCTTCAGCTGAGTGAATGAGACCTACCTACAGATGTAGGAGGGTGATCCGATTTACTGAATTTACTGATTGTAAATGTTATTCACGTCTAAAGAATATCTTGATAGCAACATTTAAATTCATGTTTGATCCAACAACTGGGCACCATAGCCTAGCCAGACTGACAAACAAAATTAATTGGGCTAGATGCGGTGGCTCATGCCTATAATCCCAGCAGTTTGGGAGGCTGAGGCGGGCGGATTACCTGAGGTCGGGAGTTTGAGACCAGCCTGACCAACATGGAGAAACCCCGTCTCTACTAAAAATACAAAATTAGCCGGGCGTGGTGGCGCCTGCCTGTAATCCCAGCTACTCAGGAGGCTAAGGCAGGAGAATCACTTGAAACTGGGAGGCGGAGGTTGTGGTGAGCCGAGATTGTGCCATTGCACTCCAGCTTGGGCAACAAGAGCGAAACTCTGTCTCAAAAAAAAAAAAAATAATTAATCATCATACTTCCTTATCCACTTTTAGCTCAAAGGGCATCATCTGCTCATTGAGACCTTCCCCTACCACCCCGTTTAAAGCTGCAACCCTTCTCACCACTCACTCTGTGTTCCTCCTTCTAGACTTTTTCTCCATGCCACTTATGACTTTCTATCAGAAGAAATTATTTCCTTGTTTACTAAGTCTATCAGGACTTTGTCCATTATCTTCATGGTTCTATCCAGGGGCTTGGAGCAGAACACATAGCAGACACTCAGGGAATGTCTATCAAATGACTGAGTCTTACATGCTGGCATATTTGTGAGAAATCTGGGGCTGTGAAGAATTCTTGAATTATTTGTAGACTCCCTCCCTTTTCTCCCACTCAAAGGCATATTTGAATTGAAAGGAAGAGAGAATACCAATATGGTAAGGATAACTGAATCTGCTCTAATTTGTAGCAAAAACATTTAAACACTTCAACGATTTAGTTAGGTTTGGAACCAGCTTCACAGCCAGTAGTTCACTTGATGCCATGATGCTGAGATTAGAACCTAAAATTAATGTGGGGCATGGGAAGCAGCAGAGATCAGCTTAGAGAAACAATCCTGTGATATGAACCCCAGATGTCATCTAATGGAAGGTTAAGAGCGCATAAGAAAAAGTGACTATATTTGAATAATGAGAAAAACTTTTTAAAGAAGCAAATATTGTTTTTGTGTATACCATGGGTTAAGACCACTAGGGACCTATGCTGTACAGAGGACCTAATTAGAACACATGACTTGTAAGAGTGACTCACAGTTAGACAACTAGGAAATAACCCTATTTCTCATTCAATTCTAGTTTAAAACAACAAATTTAAAATGTACATTTGTCTGATATACAGTTAGTTTTGTTGTTTGCCAGTGAGGGACAACACAAGCAGGCTGAATAGAGTTAATGAAATATTATCAATAAACCTCAAAGCTTTAAAACTGAATTTTGAGCTTTTTTGGAGAAAAAAATTCAAGTATAGTCTAGTCCCTGAAATGTTTGGAAATACTGATAAAAGAGCCAATTTTGGAGATGCCTGCTTTTCTCCTGTTTGACAGATGATAGATAGTTCATGAAGTGTTTATAGTTAAAGCTAAATACAAATAGATTATTTTTGTTCTTGTGCTAATGCTAGATTTTCCATAACATGTTGAAAATTTGAAAGCAAAGCGTTAGTATATCAGAACTTTCAGATACGTGACATGCTCGCCTTTTTCTTTGTTAAACTCTACTTTTTTAGGGGTAGAATTGTGATTTTCATATAAATATAAAATGGACACACAATAGAGATTTTATTCAACGCATAATTAATAAGCAAACAAGTTAGGTGTTAAAACCAGACCAAAGAGCATATGAGAAACTAGGTGTTTGGGGGCATTACTAAGGTAAGATTAATGGGGTTTAATCAAAAATTGGTTAATTTCTAATACAGATTTAAACTGAACCTGTGGGTTATATTATTCACCAAACTTTATTTGCACCTCTTTCAGACACAGTTTTACAAGGTAACATGTAGCTTTATTGTCTGGAATCTTTAATCAATAATAAATAATAAGGTGAACTAAGAACTTTTCCCCAAATGATCATTGGATGGCCTTCACCTCCATACGACATTGAAAGGATCTGCCCCCTCATTGCTTTGCCTTATTTCTCAGTTTTGGATGCTTTTTCTGGCAGCCTTAAAGTTAGTCCAAAAACGTAAAATATGTTTTTTATGGATCATTTTGCTTTTTTCCCCTCTCTTTGCTTGTACTGAAAAAATATTCTAAAGACAATTCCTTCCCTCCCCCGCCCCACTAAAGGAAACCCAGGTATTTTATAGCTGGGTAGTTGCCTGTTTTTCTTAAGGATACAAATTTGCTGTTTTGGAATGTTGCTTCAAACTGTAGAGAAATTTTAAAAGGATATTTAAGAACCTTCTTTGGGAAAGTTAATTTTTAATGTAGATATTTAATCTGTCTGTGACATTATGCAATTTTAATTTTGATTATATGTAAATTATTTTAAAAAGAAATATGTGAATGTTATATTGGAGGAGAAGAAAAGCAGGTGGCCTGAGACTCTGGGACTGATCTGTGAAGTGGTGCCAGATGTTCCTTCCAATCCCATGAATGAACTGGTGCAAGTGAGTCAGAGACTAGATGCAGGTTGACAAGAGCATGCTGGATGCTTTCAAATTGTACTACACATGCAGATTTCTTAGGTTAGATTTTGAATGATGTCAAGGGAGACAACAGTAAAGGCAGTGCTTTTCTGGAGCATTCAGCAGCCATTTGAAAGATGGCTGCTTTAGGCTTTCATCCTCCAGCCGGTTCTGTGCACTGGTGGTCATTTTAAACTAGGCTTAATGTTGTAAAACTATATACCCTCTGTCTTTAAGAGAGAAAACCTAAGTGCCAGGTTGGCAAACATTAAAGAAAGAGCCAAGAATGTGAGGGAACAAAGTGCTCTCATTTGCTGTTCTGGGGAATATAAATTTATTATAATCTTCTCTAAGAATGATTCGGCACCATCTAAATATCAATATTTGGAACATCCTTTTAATTGAGCAGAAGAAACAAATCTGATTGCAGAGTTAAAATTATTGAATGGCAATGCTGATATAATTTAGCAAGAAAATAGAATCTTCCAAATTGATATTGTTAATTTTTCCCTTAATAGTTTTTATCATAAATTTCCTTTTGCTTTAAACTTAACTTTTTCTAAGCCTTTAGTAAAAAACTGAATTTATAGCCAGAAGAGATCTTGGCACATTAATGTAATGTGAAAATTTACTAATTTTAGAAATATGACCATATCACTCTTCAATAATGTGAGTTTTTAATGCCTATTTATGAAAAAGCATACTCTTCCAACAACGCATATCTGTGGTAAGAAATTGGGCTATTGTTAAAATGTTTGTTTCCTAACTTGGAAAGCTGTGTGTCCTGAACATTTTTTTATAGACCAGTTATCCCAAGCATCGCAAAGCTACTAGTGGCTAAGGTTCATCTATACGCTAAAATATCTTCCATGCATGTTTTCAGAGTTTGTTTTTCCTTAAGCAAATCTTATCACAAATAAATTTAATGTGAAAATATATGCGATTTTTTCATTTTGTACTGCAGTGATCCTCAATAAGATATCTGAAGTACCATAGATATAATCAAAAATGCCAAAGCCTGAGGATTTTACAGCCTAGTGACTCAAGTAGGATAGATATATTGAGAGTGTTGTAATTTCTAAGACAGTGAAGTATATATATCATACAATTTTGTATGATAAAATTGAAATATGACTTATGTAACACTATTATTTTAAAAATTATTTTCAAGGAAAGAAAATTCCCCAAATTTATAGCAAAAGATATGGAGAATATGTATATAGAAGAGTTGCGGTCTTCAGTGAATTTGCTAATGGCCAATTTGGAAAGTCTTCCAGTTTCGAAAGGTGGTCCGGAATTTAAATTACAAAAATTAAAACGTTCACAGAACTCTGCATTTTTGGACATAGGAGATGAGAATGAGATTCAGCTGTCAAAGTCCGACGTGGTACTGTCATTCACCTTAGAGGTAAGTAGCTTTATCTCATGCTCACCTCTGACAGCATAAATGATGATGCACAATAATTTCTGTTGACCTTTGCAGTAACTTTTAGAATTTAAAACAGTGTAATATATGTTGGAGATGTTAAATTATTCTCCATTTGTTGGACACTCAGCTTATATATGCAAATGAATGCAAATTTTCCTTTAAACATAACAACAATATTAGGATTAAATAAAATAATAGAAGTTTTAAGGCAAGTCTTCTTTATGCCAGCGAGGCTATTGTAAATTTACTGATAAAATAAGATGAGCATTGGGGCTCACACCTGTAATCCCAGCACTTTGGGAGGCCGAGGCGAGAGGATCACTTAAGCCAAGAAGTTTAAGACCAGCCTAGGCAACATAGTGAGACCCTGTTTCTAAAAAAAAAAAATTATCCAGTCATGATGATGTGAGCGTGTAGTCCCAGCTACTTGGGAGGCTGAGGCGGAGGATTGCTTGAGCCCAGGAGGTTGAGGGTACATGGAATGGTGATCATGACACTGCATTCCAGCCTGGCTGACAGAGTGAGACCCTGTCTCAAAAATAAAACAATAACAAAAATTCATTGATAAAATAAGCATCAAAACGCACGTGGGTAGAAATAGCAATTCAACATATAATTGAATTCTTTGTAATTTGGGAATTCCTTTCAGATTTTTGGTTAACCTTTCTTTTTAAATCTACTTTACCCATAGGATCATTTTTCTAGGATCATATCAAATAAGCCAGTTCTAATGCACATTATTAGGTATCATGGATGATGAGAAATAGATAATTCTTTTTCAGGACTTCAAGTTTTATTACAGGCACTGTACATATTAGAGCAAGAAGAAAAGTCATACATTTAAAATTGTGTTCTCCAAAACTTCAGAATTTCATTATTTTATGCAAATCACTGGGAACCAAAGACTAATACTCTTTGTACAGCTTTCTGTTGATGGTTTACATGATATCTCTTCATTGATGATGTGTGTATGTGGGCTTATCTAGTTATATGTCTGTGGGTTTGTACACCACAACACATACACACATACACACACACACCTGACATCTTTAGTTCCTAGGAGAAAGAACTTATGTCAGGCATTAAGATAAAAGATTATAACATAATAATTAGGAGTATCAAGTCACCATTTGGCTTAAACTTAAGCTTCCCCTCCCCATGATTTTTATTCCGTGAGTAAATAGTAACAATGTGACACTTTAATTCATAGCTCTCTCAAAAATTATATTGAGGCTTATAGCTCATTCTTTTTATCCTCTCTGCTGGTTCCCAGTGCTGCCATTTGCATTTGCTGATTGACAAAGAAAAGTAAATACAGTCTTACGAAGAACAGTTTTCAATTTTTTTATTGAAACTTCACTTCCTTAGTTTATGGCAGAAAAAGAAAACTTTGATTTTTATTCTTTTTTCTCCATATATTTAACTCTGAGATAAATTCAAACTTCAGGACATCTGCCTCTCACTTTCTTGACTTCAGGATTAATGATTTATTTGTAGGTTAATGGATTAAACTTAGTGTCAGATTAGAACTATGAGTCTTTCTTCTGACTCAAGATTCAATTCTGGGCTTACCTAATGACTTTGCCAAATGGTTTCACTACTGGGTTTCTTCTTAGCCTTTTCAGCCTTTTGACATAAGGATGTCTAATTTGAAACTACATAGCATGTTACCTATAGAATTTCCTCATTATTCCTGTCTCAGATCTCCTGCTGAGTGAAATACAAAACGTCAACTTTTTCTGTTTTTTAAGGCTTTATACAAAACACAATTCGTCCCTTAATTATAGTATAACTTTTTCCAACAAGAGTTTATCTTATTTATTTATTTGTTTGGAGACTGAGTCTCTCTCTGTTGCCCAAACTGGAGTACAGTGGCACTATCTCTGCTCACCACAACCTCCACTTCCTGGGTTCAAGTGATTCTCCCGCTTCAGCCTCCTGAGTAGATGGGACTACAGACATGCAACACAATGCCTGGCTAAATTTTTTTTTTTTTTTTTGTATTTTTTAGTAAAGATGGGGTTTCGCCATGTTGTCCAGGTTGGTCTCAAACTCCTGAGCTCAGACAATCCACCCAAAGTGCTAGGATTACAGGCTTGAGACACCGTGCCTAGTCTATAATTTAAATTTATTGATGAAAAAAATAATTTGTAGAGCAAATAACTTTTATAATTTACAAATCTACCATTATCTTTATATGTAAACATTCAGAACTAAAAGTTCAGAACATTTTATCTTTTCTCTATTGTTCAAAAATCTTAAACAATTGTAATAATTAACTTCTTATGAATTATATTTTGCCTGTTGAAAACAAAATTAGGCTGCTGAGTCAATGTTTAAGTGAAATTATGAATTGTTATTCTGTGCTTTATTGCCAATATGTTTAGGAGGGCTGTTGAGTTGGCAGTAGGTTGTTAGGCAGAGAATATGAGCTAAAACTTCACTTTGCATGGTCTGAGAAGTTTGCATATTTATAAAATTGTTTTGACATCCTCTGTTGCTATGTCTATCTAAGGCAGATATTTTCCTACCATAGCATAATACAAATCTGTTCTCAATGTCCACAGTATTTTAAGCAGGAGTTATGTGTCCAGCAACAAAGTAAAATCGTGTTAAGTGACGATGGTGCAGTGCATGTTTATAGGACACCAGAGAGAATAGATATGCCTCTAGTCACAGGACCTGTGACATCAGCCAAGCTAAACTGAATAATTATCTCTAGTCCTTTCAGCAAGCCTTGCTCCTCAGACCCCATATTTCAGCCTAAGAAGACTCTGAAAGGCAAGCAGTTAAATCAATTTAAAGCTCACACATTTCATTAGTCAGGCTTAGAAGTGGTCCAGTGGAGGAATCTTTTCTAAGAACTATACTGAGTCGAAGGAATAAAGTGCAGATTTGAAAAACTCTCCTCAAATTTCACCTTCTCTTTAAAATTGCTCCCACCCCTCCCTTCTCCCACCATACCCTATTCCCTTACCAAGTTCAGTTTTTGCTGTAGTACTTACCAACTAACATATAGTTCAGTTATTTATTGTGTTTATTGTTAATTAGCTGGCTTTCTCTACTAGAATATAAGTTGCAGGAAGGTTATATTTCTTTCTCTTTCTTTTTTGTTTACTGAAGTATTGAAAGTGCCTAAACAGTGCCTAGCACACAATTGACTCAATAAATACTTACTGGATTAAGGATTTTTATGGTATCAAAAAAACAGCCGTTCAGGATTACTTTTAGGTATCTCTGTTCATTAAGGCTTCAGAAGAAATATTAAAGCAAGAGATGAGCCAATCCACAAAACGCTAAGCTGTTCAATAATGTTAAATGTTCAAGCAATACTAGAAAAACAAACGTTCACTTAAGAAGTGGAAAGTGGGGGAATGTTATCAGTGGCATGAATATAGTTGATTTTTTTTTTTTTTGAGATGGAATCTTGCACTGTCGCCCAGGCTGGAGTGCAGTGGCACGATCTCGGCTCACTGCCAACCTCCGCCTCCCAGGTTAACACCATTCTCCTGCCTCAGCCTCCCTAGTAGCTGGGACTACAGGTGCCTGCCACCAAGCCAGGCTAATTTTTTGTATTTTTAGTAGAGACAAGGTGTCACTGTGTTAGCCAGGATGGTCTCGATCTCCTGAGCTCATGATATGCCCGCCTTGGCCTCCCAAAGTGCTGAGATTACAGGCGTGAGCCACTGTGCCCGGCTTATAGTTGATTTTTTAGACTGAATTCTTTCATTGATATTAGGCTAGCAGATCCCATGACTTTCTCTATGTTTGGTGCTATATGGTCCCCAATTTCACCATATTGCCCAGTGTCATTTTTTTTATAAACTACACATGCTTAAATGTCTCCTAACTCTGTGGTCAGTGTTTCACTTGGAAGAATGTTACCTAGTTTCACATTTTATACATGCCTCTCTTCTTTTTACTTCTAGGACAACTTTATTTTATGCTTATGACATCAGCTACAGAGAGACTGGGGAAGAGAAGATGAAAAATAGGTCAGTTTAGCTTCTGTAGGTCCATTAGCAAGTTTTGCTGGGAATTGAAACACTTAAAATTAGATTAGCTGATGGTCCATGGAATTCTTGGCTGTCTTTATCACTAATTATTAAGGCCACCTATGTTTTATTTTCCTTTTGGATATCAGATCTGTAGAATCATATTGTTTTATTTATACATATAGATTCATCACAGAAGCTGTATCTTTTGAAAATGACGATTCTGCAGGGTAAAACGTTCCCAGCACAGTTGGAAGTATTGTTTTGAAAAGCAGAGTACTGTTTCACAAGTTGTATGTTTTAGGAGGTCATGTTTACAGTAGCTTATAGTAGAGGTGACAGAAATAATGTCAAGCAGATGCTTCCTTTCTTGCATTTGGGTTATTTAAACACACTGCAGAAAGAGATGCAGTGTCAACAATAATATTCTGAAATATGAAGCAATGCTCTTACGATTTCTAGATTTGTGCTACACAATTCTGTTGTTTCATACATTTTAAATGACCATCAAACATTTTTATTATTAAGAAGTTATTAGAGAAATGGTGGTAAGTCCAAGTGTAGTTGCCTTTTAATTAATATGGTTATATATTTGATTTATCTCAGCTTCTGGTTTCATTTTGTATAAGAATCTAACAAATTTCCATATTACTAACAAAAAATCTGAGTCATTAAAAATGCATAACTTCCTTTGCTTATTTTCTTTAATCAAGATTTAGTATTTCATCCCAATTTCCCTGATGAGTATTAGAACAGCTGTGAAAGATACTGCTTTTCTCTATCAATTCTCCATTAATTTTCTTAGTCTGTTTTCAGTTAAGTCCTGATTTTGATTCATATGTTGGTATGTATTTCCATGTGAGAAAATGACAAAAGCCCTGGATGAGGAAGAAAACTTGTTCTGAGTTTGACCTTTTATTTTATTGATAAATAACTGAGTGATCAGTTTCCTATATATTTTATGAAAACAAAATTTAACAAAAAACAAATACACATTCATATTTACAAACATGACCCTTCTCTTGTAACAGAGCTGAAAGGAAGAACACTTTTAAGATGGTTTGTTTTTTGAGCCCTTTTGGATCAAAATTCTTATCATGACTCTAAAAAATGTGATGACTGTAATAAAGTATTACATGATCAGTAACTGATACAGATTATGTTTATGATAGATGTTTTGGTCGCTGCATAACATGAGTTTTATTATTGTTTGTGCAAATACCACATGGGATCAATTAAGACATCAATGTACATATATAAAAATGCATTTTAATCTATTTTATAAATTAAATTTTGAGAATTTAGAAGAGTTCATGATGCAACTTTTGATTGAAAACGCTATGGTAAATAATATTCATATTTGATACATACATCCAATAAGAATGATAGGTTACAGTGTTTTAAGATTGGCAGCCTCTTCGACAAACATTAAAAAGCACACATAAAAAATATATGTTGTCCTTTCTCCCAGGAGTTACAAGTACATAAGGCAATATCAGTTTTTCCACCCTTTTCCAGTGTACTGAATTAAATTAGTACATATCTTTAATGGATAGAAAAAATATTTTTTCTTACCAAGTTAGTATTAAAATGTTCAGTGACAAATTATAATTTTCTATTTAATAAGACACAGTCCATAAATTAAACTCTTTTACAGACAATAATAGTAATCTCAAATAAGTGAATATAGAAAATTTCTGATATCACATATTGATATCAGTGAGTTAGTATGATGGTATCAATGTTTACCAATAATATATACTATATTATTTTATATGGTACTTATCATGTACTGCTGTTATCATCTGCACTGAATTTTCATTTGTGATTCTGCTTAATGTGCAGACTTGCCTTAATTTGTTAAGGATCTGAGTTTAAATTTCATTTAATTCACTATGGCTTATATTTATGACATTTGACCTTACTTTTATTTGTATCTGGCAGCAGATATATTTTCAGTTACCAGATTTCCTAAAAATGTTATTTATTATACCTTCTATGAATAGAGGTGGATTATAAAGAAGATAAAATACCAGTGATGTTAACAAAAAACAAATTTTTTTTCAGTTTTGTCAATCTTCCTTATTACAGTTCATGCTGCTGTTTATGTATATTGCTAAATGTTATCAACTTGATGCATTATTTTAAAATCATTTTATCTTTAGATTGTCATAATGGAAGTGCAAGGCCTGAAGTCAGTTGCTCCCAATCGAATTGTTTACTGTACAATGGAAGTGGAAGGAGAAAAACTTCAGACAGACCAGGCCGAAGCCTCAAGGCCACAGTAAGCCAGTTGAAAAAAGTGTATTATTGTTGTTGTTTGTTTTTTTAATCCTCCCAAAGAAACATGCTCTGTTTATGTGCATAAATGTGTGGTATTACCCTCTAAAACTGCTATTTGGCTAACTTTGTCTCAAATGTGTTAGAACTAGTGTGTCCCTTTCTAGATAATGATGTTATAATTGGAATTTTGGCAGAATCCCTGTGTAGTACAAACAGAAAATCCAACATGCAAATGCAAAGCTAATCATTAGGCAATAAAACATTTATAAGTCATTTCTAAGGAAAGCAAATTTTATCACCATGTGTTATTTGAAAGGTAATACATAATCCTATTTCAGTTCTGAGAATTGTATAATAGCCTTTCCATTTTTGTCTGTTATAGTTTTTGGTGATGTAACAGTAGATACCATGATTCTGCACAATGACTTGGAATACTTAGTGAGCGGGCTAGAGAAGCAGTTAATGTACGACTACCGCACGATATTCAGAGCATAAAGCTGCTTTTTGCCAACAGTTTGATGTTTCAGGTTCTGGCAATGAGTTAATTAAATTAGTAAGTGTTCGCTTTAATTCATTCAAACTTGGGGAACCATCATGGTCTCTAGTAGAAACAACCAGGTTGGCCTGAGGAATTCAGATTCAATTTGCTTGGCCTTCATTTGTGCATTACCTTTAGAAAACATTTTTTTTCTTCTATTTAATCTTTATTCTAAATATCTTATAGGATTTAGGATTTTGCCTTATTATAATACCAATATGTGACCTGTTCATTCAGGAAACCTCTGTTGAGATCCCAAATAGGCACTGAAGATATATGAGAAATGTTCATTTTCTTTAGAGCAGGCAGGATAGGGAGATACAGAGGGTTATGTGTAACAGAAAAGAGGTGCACAGAGTATTAGGGGGTTGAAAAGAAACAAGTTGAAGCTTCTCATCCTAACCTACAAATCCCTACAGGCCTGCCCTTGACCAATCTCTCATGACCTCTGGGATCTCACCTTCTCCCTCTGTTCCCCCGATCTTCTGCAGTTCATCCACCCTGGACTTCATGCAGTCCCTCATACACTTATCCACCCATTCTCAGTGTCGCACTTGCTTTCCCGTCTGCTTGTAGTCATCTTCCCTCTTATCTTTGTATAGCTGCTTTCTTGGCATTGAGAATCTCAACTTAACCATCACTGAGAATAATCCTTCCCTTTAACCCAGTGGGAGGTGTACATTTTCTGGCTGACCACTTTTTAATTTTGGGACTGTGTTAATTACCTGTTTATTTTGCAATGTATTTCCTCCTGAGAAAAGGGCAAAACATCTTATCCTATTTAATCTTATATCTGAGTACTTAGTAAGCATCCAAGCGGAATTATTAATTCAATCGACTAAACTTACTTTTGTGACCTAGTCACAGTATATATTTGGGGGTAATATATTAGTATATTCACAGAATTGTGTAATCATCACCACTATCCAGTTTTGAATATGCTCATCATCTCAAGAAAAAAAAAAAACTGTACCCTTTAGCTATCAACCCCCAACCAATCCAGCCTTAACCAACCACTGATTTACTTTCTGTCTCTTATAGATTTATCTATTCTGGACATTTCGTATAAATAGAATTATATACAGTCATGTGTTACTTAACAGCAGGGATACATTCTGAGAAACGTGTCATTAGGTGATTTTGTTGAACATCATAGAGTATACTTATACAAGCTGATATGGTATAAATATCTTCCATATATATATATTTCATATGGAAAGCTAAATGTCCTAGCACCATTACAATTTTCTTGCCTGACGTGCAATGCCAGTATCAAGTGCCATATATCAAGTTTATTCAAGTGCTTTGCCCATTTCTGTTTTCTCAAGTTTTAAGAGTTCCTCTATTTTGGATACTAGGCCCACATCATATATGTGATTTGCAAATCTTTTCTCTCATTCTGTGAATTTTTTTCACTTTCTTGATTTGTATTTTGAAACACAAAATTTTGATGAAGTTTAATTTATTTTTTTCTTTGTTGCTTGTGCTTTTGTTGTCACCGCTAAGAATTCATTGCCAAACCTAAGGTCACTAAGATTTAGCTCTGTGCTTTCTCCTGAGACTTTCATAGTTTTATATTTAGGTCACTGATCCATTTTAGGTTGATTTTTGTATATGGTGTAATGTAAGAGTCCAGCTTCCTTCTTTTACATGGAACTATTCAGTTGTCCCAACACCATTTGTTGAAAAACCTATTCTTTCCTTATTAAATGTTCTTTTTATCCTTTTTTGAAAATCAGTTGACCATAGATACATGAATTTGTTTCTGGACTCTCAATTCTGTTTTACCAATCTATATGTCTATTCTTATGCCACTACCACACTTTCTGGATTACCATTGCTCTACCATTGCAGTAACTTTTGAAATCAGGATTGCAAGTCCTTCACCTATGTTGCTTTTGAAGATTGTTTTGGCTATTCTGAAATTTGATATGAATTTTAGGAAGAGTTTATCAACTTTTGTAAAGATTATGCAAAGATTACCAGCTGAGATTCCAGTAGGGATTATGTTGTAACTGTAGGTCAATTTGGAGCATACTGCCATCTTAACAATATTAAGTCTTCTGATCCACACATATGGGATGTCTTTCTATGTATTTAGACCTTCAATTTCCCTTTCAACAATGTCTTGTAGTTTTCAAAGTAAAAGTTTTATTTTTTTGTTACATGTATTTCTATTATTTTATTCTTTTTTATGCTATTTTGAGTTGAATTGTTTTCTTAATTTTATCTTTAAATCATTCAAGTTATTAGAAATATAATTATTTTTGTATATAGATTTTATATGCATCAATCAACCTTACTGAGCTTGCTTATTAACTTTAAAATTTTTAGTGGATTTTGTAGACTTTTCTATGTACAAGACCATGTCATCTGCAAATACTGATAGTTTAACTTCTTCCTGTCTAATTTAGATTTCCATTATTTATTTTTTTTGACTAATTGTTTCCAGTTCAATGTTGACTATAAGTGGTAAGAAAAGGCATGTTGGTGTTGTTCCTGATCACAGGGGGGAAGCATATAATCCTTTATAATTAAATCTGATTTTAGCTCTGAATTTTTAATAGAAACTCTTAGCAGTTTAAGGAAGTTCATTTCTATTCCTAGTTTATTGACTGTTTTTATAATGAAAAGGTGTTTGATTTTGTCAAATGCTTTTCCTACATCTATTGAGATGATCATGTGGATTTTGTCTTTTATTCTGTTGATATGATGTAATACATTATTTGATTTTCAGGTGTTAAATGAACCTTGCATTCCTTGCACAATTCCCACTATCATAATATAGGATTTTTAAAATTTGTCACTGGATTTGGTTTTCTAGTGCTTTGTTGAAGTTTTTGGCCTCTATATTCATAAGAGATATTGTCCTTGTAATTTTTTTGTGTGATATCTCTGATTTTGTTATCAGGGTAATAGTGGCCTTGTAGAATAAGTTTTAAGTGGACCCTTCAATTTTTTTCAAAGGTATGAAGAATTTGTATTTTTTAAAAGCATTTGGTAGAATTCACCAGTGGAGCCATCTGGGACTGAGCTTTTCTTTGGTAGTAATTCTCTGATTATTAATTTGATCTCATGTTATAGATCTATTCATTGTCTTTCTTTTGAGTCATTTTGTGTTTTCCTGTTATGTTGGTGCAAAAGTAATTGTGTTTTTTGCCATTAAAAGTTAATGCCATTAATTTTTCAATTCATCCAAGTTCTCTAATTTATTGTTACACATTTGATCATAGTTTTTGTAATTATTTTTAGTTTCTATAAGGTCAGTAATAATGTCCTCTTTTCCGTTTCCGATTCTAGTAATTTGAATAGCCTTTCTTTTTTCTTAGCCCATCTAACTAAAAGTTTGTCCATTAAAAGACTATTTTAAATAACATTTCTAGGATGATTTCTTGGACTCTCTCCTATTTTTCTGTTCTCTATTTTATCTTCATTCTGCACTATTTACTTCCTTCTATTTTAGGTTTAGTTTGCTCTCATTTTTACAGTGTGTTAGGTGAAAGGTTAGGCTTTTGATTTGAGATCTTTCTTTTTTCTTAAAATAGGCAATTGCAGCTATAAATTTCCCTCTAAGCGCTGCTTTAGTTGCATTTGTAAGTAATGATATGATCTCTCTTCATTTTCATTCATCAAGGTGCCTTTGATCAGCAAAATATTTTGTTTCTGTAGTAAATAGAGTCAATGGAAGAAGATTCTTAGCTGCAGGGAATACAAGCCCCAGGTCCTACCATGTCACTCCAGTGGCCGAGAGAATTGAAGTCTTGCCAGTTCTGAAACCCATTGGAAGAACACTAGTGTACCACCACTTGTTGGGAAGCTCTTTCATGGTCCTTAGATTATTTTATTAATTCTACTCTACTAATCCATGAGATTTTGAGGGAGTGCAACTTCTCTAATAATCTCAATGCCATGGTTTTTTTTCCCCACATAATCTTCTCTGTTTTATTTAGGTATAAAATAAAATTCATCTATTGTAGATTAGATGATTTTTAGTAAATTTATACATTTGTGCAGCTATCATCAAAATTCAATTTTTAAACATATCACTTCAGAAAGTTCTGTCATGGCCATTTGCAGTCTATTCCTGCTCCCACTCTCAGTTCCAGGAAACCACTCATCTATTTTCAGGCTCTGTAATTTTACTTTTCCTGGATAGTTTGTAAAAATGGAATCATGCAATATGTAGTCTTTGTATCTGGATTTTTTTTTTTGCTTATCGTAGTTTCTACAGAATCTTATATTTAATTGATACTTAAATATTTGGTTCGTGAGATCAATTAACTTTTATCTGAAGTTACGTTATTTTAACACTTTTTTTTTACAAATAGTAAAAGTTTCATGGGCTGTTATTTAATTTTCAATATATTCATAATGTATTTGAAAGGGCTTCTGATATTGGGGAACAAGTGCATGAACAATATAAGTGAACTAAAATACTTTGAAACCTGAGAGGAAGTATTATAATAAGCCCCCAGTGCTCTTTTTTTTTTTTATTACTCTTTCTATAAGGAAATTTGTCTGATTTAAAATAGCCTTTAATTTAAAATAGCCTTTCTGTGTTTCCCCACGAACACTGAGTTAACTTTTTAAATAAATTAAGAGATTTGTATTTATCATGGTATCCCAGGGGCAGATTACCTTAAAAAGGTATCTCATGAATGCTAACCAACTGCAGCTTTTTAGCAGTGTCACAGTGTCGTTACTTTCATCCTGAACTCATCTTGCATGACAGGAAAGAGATTCATCTCCTCCATCATCATAGTGGATTATGTCTCAGACACGTTTTCCAAATTTTAATGCTTCAACAGTTTGTGCTTTGTTGGAGATAAATTCATCCTTCTGTCTGATACTAATTATAGTGCCTTATTTAGTCCGTATTTCCAATACACTTAATCAAGATTTCTGGCCATTACCTATTTCCTTCCTGTAGTTCTGATTTCCTGCCAGCAATTAGGAGGAAACAGCGTGTGAGGTTGGTACATAACCTAGAATATAGGACCTGGGGTCTAATAAACATGGTATTGATAGACACGTTTGATTTACAAAGAGTAACGGTGAGGCAATGTAATTTGTGAAAGTTTCATTTTAATTTTTATTTTGTAAAATAGGGAAGAGAGTGTGGATAAACTGTATTTTTCAGTTATGGAGAAAATTCCTGTTATTTATGGATTTTTAAGTCATTGTTTCATAGTCTCTTAGTAAACCAGGAAAAGTTTTGTATGAATGAGATACGGAGGAATTGTTTCTACACTTTTATAGCATTTTACCCTTTCCAGACATTTCATTTATTTTAATGTTAGTGCATACCCTTAATGATACCACTGAAAAGGAAATGGAGGGATAGTAGGAGGGATGACCAGCTGTGGGGTGGTGAAGGGAGAATAAGATTTGTTATTTTCATATAGTAGTCCTAAATTTCCTTATATGTACTAGTCTTTTATTCCCTCCAAGTGTTAAGTATCCTTTGAGTGCCTAAACAAACTCAGGAGCTAGTAATACCCTATGGAAGGTGAAGATAGATCTTGGTGCCAGGAAAATAAGGAAATTCATTATTAAAAACAAATAGGGAAAAACATTTAGCATGATATCGAACCTCTTTTTTAATTTTGTCATTTTTTTGTAGAGATGAAGTCTCACTATGTTACCCAGGCTTGTCTCAAATTCCTGGCCTCAAGCAATCCTCCCACCTCAGCTTCCCAAAGTGCTGGGGTTACAGGTGTGAGCTACCATACCCAGCCTTGAAATCTAACCTCTTAACAAATTTTTAAGTGTCCAGTGCAGTACCACAATAAAATATAAGTGCACTGATAATCACAGTAGGCAATTAAATATCAGTAACATTTGTTAGAGAAAAAAATAAAAACACCAGGAAGCCACACTGGGTTTTTGCCACCCTCTCTGTCTCTCCTTCATCCCATAGTGCTGTTTTATTAAAAGCATTTGAAGATTAATGGGTCTCTACTGCCCACCACCTGAAAGTAATAAAAAGACAAGAAGCAATAAGAAAAACTAATGAATTGTGTGTCATTAGAGAACTACATTTATGGATATTATGATAGAGCATCCATTTGCCTCATGAAAATGATGGGAAATACAGTCTCCAGTACCAACTTCTGGAAACTTTAAATTCTTAACCAGAATTGTAATATCTGTCAAACTATTGAAAGAACATTGCAGCTACAAATGGAATGCTTATCAGAATGGCAAGGTACTGAGACAATGTTTAAGAGAGATTAAATACAGACTGCATATAAACCAAGATAATCTAACCGTGCTTTTTAAAAGCATATTAGTTTCCATTTTAATTCAGTAATGTCAGAATTATTTTTGAAGTATAATTCATTAGTCAGATACTCTTATAGACTAGAGATAAAATATGCTACATTTTTATATGATCTATCAAAAACTGTGCCTTCTTTTTTTTTTTTTTAGACGGAGTCTCGCTCTGTCACCAGGCTGGAGTGCAATGGTGCACTCACAGCTCACTGCAATCTCCGCCTCCTGGGTTCAAGCAATTCTCTGCCTCAGCCTCTTGAGTAGCTGGGACTACAGACATGCACCACCACACCCAGCTAATTTTTGTAGTTTTAGTAGAGTCAGGGTTTCACTGTGTTGGCCAGGATGGTCTTGATCTCTTGACCTCGTGATCCACCCACCTCGCCCTCCCAAAGTGCTGGGATTACAGGTGTGAGCCACCGCTGTCAGCCAACTGTGCCTATTTTTAATGAACCAAAGGCAAAACACTCAAACCACACAAAAGTTTTCTCTCCTCTCATTTCCATCTTCAAAATCATGACAGATTGCTTCTTTTTATATAAATAAATTCATTAGAAGTAACATTTCTCTAAGACCGATAGGGTTGGTGCAGAACAAAATGAAGCCTAAAGAGATAAGCATTAGCCAAATACAGAAATTTACATTCATTGAGAATTTATTTATAATAAAGGGAGCAATCTGGGGATCTTTAAAATGAGAGGCATCTGAATTAATAAGAAAATATGATGGATTTAGATTCCAGATGTTAGCTGAAGAGCATTCATGAGCTCCAGTGAAAAACAGCATGAGAAAATTTGGGAGAAAGTTTATAGAATTATGATTAGTAGTATTTGTTGTTGATTTACAGCTTGAAATCACGTCCCCTTATATACTGTGACAGTTTTTTCGGAAAAGTCTTTTATAGTTTTCGTTATTACTTGATTTGGTTTATGTAACAAATTAGTGAGTGGTCTAAATTTGGAAGGGCTTAAGTAGGAAGCTTAATTCTTACCACAGCACAATCCTTAGGTACTCTAGGATCTCTCTCTCTCATACCATCCTTGAAGACATCTTTGCAGATACCATACCTTTTCT
This sequence comes from Homo sapiens, assembly GCF_000001405.40. Taxonomy (NCBI): domain Eukaryota; kingdom Metazoa; phylum Chordata; class Mammalia; order Primates; family Hominidae; genus Homo; species Homo sapiens. The sequence goes on along the minus strand of NC_000007.14, from coordinate 122,607,293 downwards.
GGTTATTTTGGGTATTAAATAACATGTTCAGGTACTAAATTTTTCAGAACAGTTTAAACCAAGACTTACACATTTCAAAACCTTTTTTCTTTCCTTCTAAATCACTCAGAAACCTGTAGTGGGAAAAAGGGACTTTAGTCCCTTTTATCCATTCTTGCTTTTCCTGATCGTCTAATCTGTCTACAACATTTGTTTAGGATTGCAGTTGGTAGGAAGGGGAAGAAGGCGTGAAATGTCTATGTATGTAGGTGCTTTTGTAGTTCTCTCTTGGTTAGCAAATGCCGTTTGTCATATCAGGTGTCCACATGTAACTCTTCTCCGATGAATTCTTAGCAGTTCTCCCACTGCCAGGGACCTCTAACATCACAACATTCCCTCGCCAAATTATACATCCTATGGCTGCCCTCTTTCCTCTTCCCCTGGGCTACTGATTTAATAATATAGACTGTGTGTCCTCTTTCTGCTTAAATTTCATTTCCTTAACAGATAGCTCAAATAAGGTGGAAGATCCTTGAAGACAAGGGCTGTGTATTATACCTTCTTTTTCCCCATTAGCACCAGCCACAATAGTATGGCTCAGTAGGCACTCAGTACTCTAATCATACTACTTTTTGTACTATTTAGAGTATTAAAAAAAGCCTCTCAGTCGGTCTCAGACTATGACACTTGGCCCAGCATCTGCCCAGATTGGTAGAAAGTCCAGTCCTCATTCTCCTACCCCAAGCTCCAATTTTTCTAGAAGTTCCATGTGAAAGATATTCACCATAAAGGGCCAATTCTTTTTCTTGTGTGTGTTCAATTTAGGCCCTAGTTCCATGGTCACTTCCAGACCTTTGCTACCCTAACTGGGACGATGTTTTTCAAACTATGAGGCTACCTGGATAAGCAAGACAACTTCCCCAGGAATACATAGGCACATGTATATTTTTAATAGGACTGAGTAGGAACCCTCTAATTCTGTAAGTACCCTTTCCTAAAGGTCTTCTGCTCAGTCTCATTCTCAGCCTGCCTTTCACAGTCATCCTTCTCCCGCTTTACAAAGGAAAGGTACAACTCTCACTTAACTCAGGTTTTAACAGTGGTGATTCTTGTCCCAGAGTGGAAAAACCTCCAGGGTACCGTTCAAAAGGCAAATGTGTAATATTACCATTGGTTTTGAGGAAGTGATTGATTGATGATGTAATCAATTCTTCTGCAAATTAGATGGCTTGTATTTTACTTTCAGTAAAGTTGGCAAAGAATTTATACAAGTATTCAACTGCTAAATAATTGAAAGAGTTTTTGCTTATTAATCACTGTGTGGTTTGGGGACATTTAAATAGGCAGGAATTAAATTGATGGACATTGCTATAATAATGCTCCCATCTATTTATTTTCTTAGAGCTTACAACAGAAAAAAAAATCCTGGATTAAAATTAATGCTGAACTCTGTTTCAATCTATGGATACATGAACTAATTGGAAGAAATAGCACTATCCATTTCATTGAGATGCATATCTAATAAATGTATTTATTTATTATATGTATTATAAATGCACATTTGTGTGATATATTTGTTTTGGATCACTTGAGCATTACTGTCTAATAAAAACTCAATTCAGTGATTTTTGAGACTAGATCCTTAAGATCAGAGAAAAAATATATATAGATTTGGCATAGGTAATTTTGATAAGGTCATTAATAGTCAGGCATTAACATATATTACAGTAGAAAACAATTCTAAGTTTCTGGAGGAAATGAAATCAAAGTAAGGAGTTCAATGAAAAAAGAAATATTGTAAATTTCTGTAAAGAGTTTGCAGGTATTTTTCATCGGTGGTGGGATCATATTGCTATAAAATAGTCATACACTGCATAATGATGTTTCAGTCAATGATGGACTGCATATATGAATGACCAGTCCAATAAGTTGATAATGGAGCCGAAAAATTCCTATCTCTTAGTGACATCATAGCCGTCGTAACATCGTAGTACAGTTACTTAATTTTTTTACTAGTTCAGTGTAGCCTAAGTGTTCAGTTTTTATAAAGTCTGTAGTAGTGTGCAGTAGTGTCCTAGGCCTTCACATTTACTCACCACTTACTCACTGACTCACCTAGAGCAACTTCCCGTCCTGCAATTTCCTTTCATGGTAAGTGCCCTATACATGTTTACCATTTGTATTGTTTATACCATATTTTCACTGTACCTTTTCTATGTTTAAATATGTTTAGAAATACACATACTTACCTTTGTGTTACAGTTGTCTACAGTATTTAGGACAATACATGCTATACAGGTTTGTAGCCCAGGAGCAATTGGCTATACCAAATACCCTAGGTTTGTGGTAGGCCATACTGCCTAGGTTTGTATAAGTACACTCTGTGATTTTCACACTCTATGATGTTCACATAAGCAAGCACAAAATCGCCTAAGGATGCATTTCTCAGAGCCTATTCCCATCGTTAAGCAATGCATGACTGTAGTTAGATTCCATGGTATTTACTTAAGAGTGACACCACAGTTTTATGTTAAATGTCAATGTTTCAAATGCACCAGAAATTATATTTTTTGTAACTCTTTATGTTAAAAATTTCTAGGTGACCACTTAAAAATGAGTGAAGAAGGTAAATTTTTCAGAATTATTGTGGGAAGTGCATGAGAAAAGGTTTGAAGGGTTGCTTTTCTAGGAGATACCATTTATTTGAGCCTGAACTAAGTCCTGAACTCTAAAGACTTTAGTGTTGTCATACTTCACATGCAAACTTTTGAACCCATACAGTCAGAAGAAATGCCTTTATTCTAAGATGCTGCAACTCTTAAATCTAGAGCTCTGTCCAGCAGTCCAGGAGATATGCCTGGGGCTGGTCCACCCTCAGTGCTGCTGGTGCAGATCTTTACACAGGCAGGGTTCCTAAGGGGGCATTAAAGTACAAATCTTCTGTTGGGACACAAGCACATTAATAACTACTTGAGAGTGTTGCTGTAGAGAGCAAATGGAGATAGCACATGTAAAGGATTTGTCAAGATCTTCAACAATCTGTGAGTGAATAACAATGGTGATATACATAAGTTAGGAAAGGCATTTTAAGAAACCTAGTTGCATAGCTCTTGGTATGAATTGGTAAATAAGTTCATGTTTTGAAAAATTACCGAATTCATAATATTTAAAAACAGAAATACATTGAATGAAAGATAAGGAAGTAGAATTTTTGTGTTGTAAAATTTTAAAATTATCTACTTAACAAATAAAGATTGTATTCAAGGTATCCAACATGATTATTTGATATATGTATATATTGTATAATGATTATTACAATCAAGTTACTATATCCATCATCCCCCATGTTGTACAGAGTTCTTAGAACTTGTTCATCTTATAACTGAAAATGTGTACTCTTTGATCAACATCTCATTTCCCTCACCTTCAGCCTCTGGCAACCACTGTCCTACTCTTCATTCCTATGAGTTTAACTTTTTTAGATTCTACATATAAAGATCATACAGTAGTAGAATTTTTCAAGAATTCAAAATTTCTAGGTTTTAAAATGTTAATGACAGGGGATTATAGTGGGTATTTATCAGTACAAATGGTTTTAAGAGAAAGATTGAGACATTGCAGAGTATAAATCCTAGCTTTGCCACAGATTAGCTGTGTTACTATGGCTATTTATATCTGTTTGAGTCTGTTTCTTCATTGGTATGAAGGAAACAGTGGTACCTATTTCAAGGACTATTTTGTGAGTTAATTGGGGTAATATAGGTAGGAACACCCAATCGTTATATTCTTCAGGTACCTCTGCCCATATATTCACTATTTTTTATTTTAGCCTTTGCTTTGAGTGTTTTTTTTTTCTGCTCATGTATTCATTTCTCTACTTTCTTTAAATCTCTTCTTTTAGCATCCTATTTTTAAGTCCAGGAAATTTACAGGAGGAGTTTCACACTTAATAAACGATTGAGTGTCTTTAACAGTACCAAACTGCAAACGTTATTTTATGAAGCGGAATGTGCTTTTGTTTCCCAAGTCCCTTCTGAGATTTTTGGCTTGGGTGTTTGTATTGTCATATAATATTTATTTGGTAAGCACTTTATAATCTTTTTTTTAAGATTTGAGAGTTAGCTACATTCAAATGGAGGTAGTTTTCAAAATGAATAATGCCTAATTGTCAGTTATGAAGGGAAAAGACTTGTTAGTTGTCATATATTCTCTATCAACATTGGTTTTGTGTCTCAGTTGATGTCATTGAAGATTTATATCTGCTGTGCTAAAGTGTAGCCGTCAAAGGATCTCTAGTGCCTTGCAGCATAATAGCCTGCAGTTGTTGACAGTAATTTTGCAGCCATGTCTTCCATGTTGGCACCATGTTAATACATTACATGAAGAGCACTTGTTATTACCTGTTCTGGAGTTATGAAATTAAGGTGAAGCTGGGATCTTCCTCTGCAACTGACACGTGGATTAGCAAAAGAAAGGATAATCTTAAATTGAATCCAACCTTATATTATTGCTATTCTTTCAGATACAGGGAAATCTGAAAGAGTTCCTAAAAATATCTTGGAACACTTTGTAAGTCCTCAGTGGTAAGAAGAGAATACAGGAAGTTGTTTCTGTGAATCAAAGTATTCATATGACCTCAGTGAACTGGAGATCCAAGCAGAGTGGGAGCCAAAAATGCCATACTGTCTCATGCCTTTGTATGTACACATGGTGCCTCCCTGATCTTTCTCTGCCTAGGAACTCTGATTGATATTTCAAGACCAGTTCAACTTGAAGGTTTTGTACCCACATTGATCTCAGAACCCTCTCTTTTTCATTAGCACAAAGTCAATACAATGTATTATATTTCCATTTTTATATTCATGCTAGTGACTTATGTATAGCTTCAGAGCAAAAGATGTTCATTTTTTAGCTTCCATGGTGTGTTTCTGTATATACACGTTATATAGAGATTTTTTAGTTATGGAGTTGTGTATGCAGTAAAATTGCAATGGTCGTAAGATGAAGATTGACATTCTTTGCAAGTGAAATGTATTTTTAAATGTATGCCCTACACCTCCCATCTCACACATTCAAATGAGGTAATTCCCATATGAAAAAAATAAACTTTTTTTTTTTCCTTAATTTGGCCATGATTCTGATCTATGCATTATGTAATTATTTTATAGGTATGTGAATCTGCTACAGGTTCTCCTGCTTTAACGGAAACTTTTAACTCAAACCACCTAAGTAAAATATTTTTCCTTACTGAGACACTATTATTTATATATCCATGATGGTGATTTTTCTCCTTTTATTTATACATTTTTTGTCAGTAAGTTATTTAGTAAGGTTAATGGCAAGCTGAATGTTTTTAAATTAATACAGTTTTTTAAAATCATAATTTCTAAGCCTTCCCGTTTAAAAGGGAGACTTAAATCTCCTGAAGTACTGACAATTATCAGGTAACTTTTGCAGCATGAGAGCTATTGTCCACAGTAGTTTCTCCTTCTCTTTGAAATTTGAAGAAAATTTTCTAAGTATAGGAACTCTGCGACCTGGATGATAACAGCAATATTTTTTCTTAAGTTTTGTTTTGTTTTCCTGGGAAGAGTACGTCTATGTAAACTTAGGATTTGGGGGTTTTTTTTGCACTTACACGTCTTCCAAATTAAAATTACAGGCTCTAGAAACATTGCTGCAAAGATATTCATGTAACATTATTTAAAGAAATGTTTTTTTAAGGAAGAGAAGATGATCCTATTTTTAATTTATTTTGTTCCCAGAACTTCATTGACTTAAGACCACCAGAGAAATCGCAGTGGTGGTGAAGTGTGGCTAAAAAATAAAAATGAAGAATTAGTCAATTTTTAGACAAGTAACACTTTCGTGTTCCTGGCTCAGACTTCCTTATTACATAAAATGCAAGATGGATCTGGTTGGCGAAGATGTGAAGTCTTTTGGCTTATAAAATAGCAAATTTTACCTGAAGCAAGTCTGTGAAATTCTCACTGTGTTCTAATGTTTAACTTTCCTTTTTTGCCGTAATATAGCTTTGCTGGCAGATGGCAGCATTTGGATCATACTGAATTTGGCAAATTCTCATAAGAATCTTCAAAAATTTTAATATTTGAGTGTGAAAAAAAATCATGAATTTTATATAGTTCTGCCAAAATGGTAGAGATGAAAAATAATCTTTTATGCCCTTTATTACTTCACTTTCAAGTATGGTAGATGTCTAGGAAAAAAAAGTGATACAATATTTATGCACTATGAATATGATTCTAATGATGTAAAAACTTAACCTATCATTATCCACATTTAAAAAATTGTGTTTCTAAAGTGGTGCATTATTTTTGTTAAAATCAGTAGCTAAATGTCAACATCTACATTAATGTTAAATAACTTTAGCTGTTCCCTCTGAAAACCCAAAATGTTCACATCCAGTTATTTGTTTTATATGTGAGCAGTGTTTCAGGTTGCCTCATTCTCGTGTTCTCTGTCTGCAAATACTGGATTCTGGGTGAAGGCCACTGAACCAATATCTGGGAGAGGCTCATTAGTTCTTTATTAAACGAAACTTTTAGTAAATAGGACCCAAACAGACAAAAGTTATTTTAAGTTCAGCTCTGAACAAACTCATGTCATAACAAGTTTTTGTTGGACTTTACTGTTTATTTGAGCTTTTTGTTAAGCATATACCCTACTAATAGTGGCAATAGAATTATACATTGCTTAGAGCAGGGGTCTTGATTTCTGCTGTGGCAAACTCATTAAAATTACAGAAGTAACAGTATTTCTAGAAGGCTCAGAGCAAGTTTGTGGACTTAATGTGATTAGTCACTTTTTTGATGAGACTTACTAACAGATGAACTTGTTTCCCCTATAATCAGACAGATTGGTGATTACATTAAAATTTCATCATTAACATTTTCTTGGGCATATCTATGACTGTTTCATGGCTCAGTTTTTTCAGAGAAGGTCCCCAACCTAGCCAGTGACCTTTGCTGTTTTCCCACAGTTGGTGGGATCTTTAGAAAGAGAAACTTGTTTACACCAATCTCAGCTTAGCTTTGTTGCTTTGACTCCATGGAGCTGCTCTTTCTGTTTGCAAAGAGGCTAATTCCTTGACTTAGCTACTGCATGTGTTGTTTGCTTTGTTTTCTTTCCATCATGTAGCTTCTGACGGCCTGGATGAAAAGTGTCCATCCATTTTTATAGCCATCCTTTTCTTAAAACCAGTCTGAAGATGTAATTGTCAAACAGCAAATTCCTTTAAGTTGATCAAAATAGTTCACAGTTTTATAGCACCACTTATGTGAATTAAGATATATTACGAGGAATATAATCTGATCTAGGAATATTTATCCATATGGCATGGATGAGCAAGAATTTCACAGTAAAATATAATCACTGCCTTTAATTAGATAGGAAACAGTGTAGGTACTGAGATGATAAACAGAAAAGGAGGAGTGTGTTTAGAGGTGAAATATAAATGTTAAAGTAACACAGAATATAGTATATACTGTATCCTATATGTATGTATATTTCATATTATATGTAACATTGTCTATCTGAAATACACTTTTACAAAGGGCCTAAACCTGTGAAAGAATACAAAGAAATAGCTTTCAAGTTTAGAAAGAAAACTGTTACTAAAATAAATTCTACGGTTGACAAAATCTGCTTTTTAGTTATCCAGATTAACACTAGGCAGCCTTCTCTTCCGGGGATATCTTCACATGGATACCTTACTCAACACATTAAAAATAGAAACATTTATATTTCACCTTTAAACACACTCCTCCTTTTCTGTTTATCAACTCAGTATGTGGTATTTCTAGCTGTAAGGATTCCTTAGCCAGAGACTTGGGCATTTATTATTTCTTCCTCTTTTTTGATTTCTATATGTAAATTCTGTTGATTCTGCCTTCTTAATATCCAGCAAATCTTTCTTACCACATCATCCTTGCCTGCCCCTTGGTTTGAGCCCTTGCTAGGTTTATTTCAGGAGCCTCTCTCTGGTTTGGCTTCCACTTACCTCTGTACCTCTTGCATCTCCAGCTTAGATTCTATGCTGTATGGTATTTTCAAGCAGGAATTCTGTTGCGTTTTGGAGGGAGCTGTTTTTATCAGTTGAGCTATCCCCTGCATCTGGAGTTATTGAACTTCCCTGGCCTGTGTCCACACATTAAAAAATGTTGTCCCTACTAGGAGCAGGTCCCATTCCTGGGAAGAACACTGTCCTTGCACATGGCCTGCCTTCCTTTCATTCTGCACCTAACTACTTTCCCTTTACTTTTCCTTGAAGGCTCCAGTTTAGCATGCTTTTCTCTGTGAGGGCTTCCCTGAGCCCTTGCTTCCCTCCTTCCCCAGAGGGCTTCAGTAATACCCTATATGTTCTCAGTCCCCAGAACTCTCACTGTTTGCTCTAGTTGTCTCTCTTTTTATCTGCTCCCCCTCAAAAACTTTGAGCTCACTGAAGACAGAAGGCAGGTCTTATTCAACATCGTATCCTCAGTATCTGGTTCTGTAACTAACCTTTATTTGATGAAGCATTTAACCTCCAATAACTGACAACAGTATTATCTTGAACCTATTAATGAAGTATTAATAAGAGTGCTTCTATAGGGAGGACACTGTTTTACCAAAATTAGTTATGCCTATAAAACTATAGATATTCACTGACTGGCCTGCTAGTATTAATACATGAGAAAGTTAAATGAGTCTGAATGGACTTAATAGCATCTGGGAGCCAGTTGTCACCCTAATTTCCACCCACTACATAATTAAATACAATCTGCTAAGTGACATTGTACGAATCACTTTCTGTGGCCCAAATCTCCCTTCACAAATTGCAACATTAATATTCCATCTTACATATCCAGAATATTTTAGCAGCAACAAAAATGGTATGTATTATTTAAATTTCCTTTATATGTCACTTGGGGTTTCTTGGAGAAACTACTTTTTAAATGTAAGCTAGAATTTGAACGTTTCTAAAGCTATTATAATACTCTCATTTAAAAAACATAGGGGGTATTTTCCTTTTTTCCCAACTCTTATGTGAATACCCAGGGTATTTTTCAAAAAAAAAATCTTTGTAGCAAAGGTAGAATATTTCTATTTAACCAAATACACAACTGTGCTTCTTTTCAATTAAAAATTTTCCACTCACATTGCTTACTTCTGACTTTTGCCTATGGAAATAAGGACTCACAAAACAATTGCTAGAAAATATATTTATGTAAGGAATCTAAGAAAAAAGAAATGGTAGTTCTAAAATAACTAAATACCTAACTAGGCAACAAAATGTCATCTGTTTTGTAAACATATATGATTTTTGTGGTCAAAGGACCCAGATAATATTTTATTAGAATAATGTCCCATGTTTGTGTTATTCTTGTTTCAAAAAAAAAAAATGTTAAAAAGATGCCAAGTCTGCCTTTGCCAAAAGTTCTGTATGCTCTCATTGAAAGATATGCTTAATAGATTTATACCTGAGTAAATTGGAACAAAAATCCACAGTTACATTTTTTATTCTCCCAAAGCATATCAGATACGTTACTTGATTGGTTAGCTTAATGTTTGTGAGTTATTACAGGGGAAATTGAAGGTAAACTCTTTTCTAACCTCTAAGCAGCATTTGATTTTAAAATACGTACAAATGGACTTTGTATTTTACTTTTTATTTCAGGGAAGAATTTTTAGAGAATAAAAAAATGATAAGAGATTCATTTCAGAGACAAAACTATGGTTTCTACTTAAGCAGTCATGTGGTGTTTTATTCGTGTGGAGTATTCTATAATTATTCTCTACTGACACAGGGCATACACACAATGATGACCTAATCATCTTGCAGAGGTCCCACCTGCTAATACCACCATCCTTGGGGAGTTGGGATTTCAACATGTACACTGTAGGGGGACACATACATTCAGACCATAGCAGCAGTGCTCAGGTAAATTAAGAACAAGCATTTATTTACTAAGCCTTCTGATTTGCCAGATATAATGATAGTTATTTTACTTACTGATTTCTTTTTCCGAGTAATTATGTGAGGCAGGACTTATTAGTGTTTCTATTTTTAGAAAAGAAAACAGATACTCAAAAAGTTTAACTGACGTATGATGATAGTTTGGATATTTGACCCCCCAAGCCTCATGTAGTAATGTAATCTCCAGTGTTGGAGGTGGGGCCAAATGAGAGGTGTTTGCTCATAGTGGCAGATCCCTCATGAATGGCTTGAGTGAGTTCTTGCTCTTTTATTTGCTGCAAGAGCTGGTTGTTAAAATGAGCCTGGCATTCACTCTCCCACCCTCTTGTGTCCTCTCTCCCCAGGTAATCTCTGCACATGCCAGCTCCCCTTTGCCTTCCACCAGGTGTGGAAGCAGCCTGATGCCCTCACTGGACACCCAGTCTTCCAGCCAGCTCAATCATGACCCAGATAAATTTTTTTCTCTATAAATTACACAGTCTCAGGTATTTCTTTATAGCAACACACAGTGGGTTTTGTGTTGCTATAAAGGAACCTAGACTAACCCAGCTCTTCAGTAGGGAAACCAGGATTCAAACCCAGTCCTCTTAGATTCGAAAGTCTGTGTTATTTCTGCACATCATTGTCTTCTGTCTTGAATATGTAATGTGTGCCTTTTATGTCCAGAGCACAATGTTGTTTACAGTGGGGATGTAGCTATGATTGCTGAGGGAAATCATAAACATACATAGGTAATGACTTCTGTCTTAAAATGAAGGTCATCGTGAAGCTTTTCTCACTGCTATAGTATTTGTTTACATTTCACGCTTTTCCTTTTAACACAAGCCCGAGTCACGAAGGCCAGAGTCTGTTTGCCTTCATCTTTGTGTTTTCATCATTCATTCCCATAAATGGCACATAATAGGTGCTTATTAAATATCCTTTCAGATTCTGGACAAATGAGGACAAGAATTAACACAAAGTGTCATTATTTAAATGTTCCATTAAGTGCCAGGTAGGTAAATGTTGGAGAAACATAGATCATAGCAGTGATTTCCACCCCTTTAAATTCTTGATGGAGCTCCTGTTATGAGGATCAAATGTTTTCTAACAAAATGAGCTTAAATGTTCTTGAGCTTAAAAGCCTGTGTGTATAGCATTTTTGTTCCAAGGTATCTCAACATTTAGTTGTTACTGTGGCCATGGGAAATCCACAGCAGGTGGGGCTCCCTTCCCTGAGTAACATGTGGGTAGTGCTCACAGGAACCAGCAGCAGCAGGATAACTGGCAGTGACTGTCTGGCCTGTGAAGATTACCAGGTTTCACTGCTTGACCAGACTCCTGAGGCTGCTTGTGACATGTCACTTCTGTACAGTGGACCGCAGTGCTAGTATTCCTCTGGATATTCCTGGGGCTGGTTTTGAGCCCTCACATTGCACTTGAGTATCCACTTGCCTCTGCTCTATGCATCATGCTTTTGTTGAATGCCTGGTGTTTTTGGCTCTTTTCAACTCTCAGAAAAAGTCTCAGGTGATCCTACCCTCTCTGGCATCTGGGATGTTTGTGTAATGCAGAGACTTTCCCTATTGCTCCCATTCTACTTCTGTGTAGTTGGAAATTCTCTTTATTTCAACTAAAGAAACTGTCATTTAGGAAAGAAAAAAAGTTGTTTTATCTGCAGGGGGAGCCCAAAAGGAGCATTCCTAGGGGAAATGCAATAAACCCATATAGATGGTCCATCCTGGCATTCCCCCTGTAAAGTCCTCCACGTTACTGCTCTGATACAGAATTAAGACTCTCTTACCTTTGGAGTAGCTGGAAACAGCTGAGGAATATTTGCTTTTAAATGTAAGCAATTAAGAATAGTATGTACTGACATTATAGTACTTTGCAATTCCAAGATCTTCAAATTAAGAAAATGTAAAGCAAAACATTTTTATAACCCCAAATGACTGGCCCCAAAGAACATAACCCCCACTTAAAGTTCCATCGAATTAGACATCAATTAGGGGAAGATATCTTGTAAAGAAAGTACTAGTTATTGATGGGCACTCTTACTTTTCATATGCTGAACTGATTACCTAGTGATAATTATAACCTCATAGTTTGCAACCCTATATTTTAAATTTCTCTAGTACTTTTTATCTTTAAAAGGTAATATATTAATTATGTTACATTTGAAAGGATTTTTTTTTTTTTGGTTCATATAACACATCTAACTCTTTAGTCCCACAAAATGGGAGCAAGTAGGTTGAGATTCTCACATAGGCATCAAAGTTGAGGGTTTGGGAGCAATATGAACATAACATATTGGTAAATTTCTGTAGATGACTGATTATTGGTGTATACAGTATAGTTGTGCTCATTTCCACACCATTGCATTTTATTATTTAGACATCTGGGGGATTTGTGCATGTTTTATGCTTTGAAGTTAAATTAAGTTATACATCAATTACTTATTCTTTCCTATATGTAAGTTTTTAAAAATCTTGGTTTTCATCTTATAAAGCACTGTGCTTTTTTGTACATTATTTGTTTGTCACATCTTGGATTACAATTTTACTTGGTCAAGTAAAATTGTAAGCCAAGATGTGACCAATTTGTTCTCTTTAAAATTAGGTGCTTCAAGCTAATGTCTTTGAACTGTGCTGCTATGAGGGAGAGAAAGGAAAATGCTTGTGAGAGATTATCTCTTCTGTTATTTCTGAAACCTGATTTTGTGCTAACAGGCTTGCTAGACTTTCCCAGAAGAAAGTGATACAAGTGTAATATGATTTTTCTACTCTGGATGTGGTGGTTTAATGGCATGAATACTTCACAAAAGAAATACAGACTTTAAAGGACAATTTTATCCTATTATTCTGGAGGCCTTTGTAATCCTTAGAGCAACCAAATGAGAACTAGCTCTTTGAAGGGAAAGGGAAACTTCTATGAGACAATAAGGAAGAGAAGGCAGATAAAGCTTGCAGGATTTTTCTTATTATGAAAGTCATTACCCACCCCAACCCATTTCCCAATATTTTTCTGCCTTAAAGTGCAAGATGTCATCTCAGGATTTTGTCTCTTCTTGTAATTTTTTTTTCCCCTTTTTGAGACTGGGTCTCACTATTTTGCCCAAGCTGGTCTTGATCATCTGACCTCAAGCAATCCTCCTATCTCAGCCTCCTGAATAGCTAGGATTACAGATGTGTGCTGCTACACCCAGTTCTTGTCATGTTTGAAGAAACAAATAACTTTGTGTTATCTTTCCATCATAATAAAAAATTTTATTCAGTGTTTTTAAAAGATCCTCCCAAAAGCCTAGAATGATAAAACATAGTTACTTTAAAAGGTATTGTCTAGTTCTTCTATTAAAATTTGTGTCATTTCAGTATTATAGACTGTAAATTATGTTTTAAAGGAAGGTTAAAAGATGATATACAAAAATACATTAAGATTAAAAGTAAATCTCAGTTTGTAACACTTTGCCTATTGTAAGTTGACCTTTCATTAATCATCTCATTTCTTCTCCCCCTTCTCTCCCTTTCTCTTCCTCTCCTCAGATTCTCACATGGCTTCTTTTTCTTCCTCTCTCTTTCTCCTTTGCCATGTTTTGCTGTTAGTTGACGTCTCTATTGCTCTCTCTCTTTTTTTTCATATTGTCTGGATTTTAGTGTCACCATTTTATGAAACAGATGAAAACTTTAATATTCAAAACTGTCAATTTTTTCAGGTAGATATTATTTAGTAAAGCTAAAGCAGTACTAATATGGATGCTAGTAAGAATAACGAACATTCTCTGTGCACTTTCTATGAGATGTGCTGTGCTCTTACATTTATTAACATGAATCATTTTCATTGATGCCTCAAATGTATTATGAGGAACATGTTATTAGGTTGTGGTAAAGTTGCTCGCCCCGGGTCTTTTCACTTATTGGTGGTTTCCAAGCCCAGAATCTGTCTCTTGGGTCTGTACTTGGTAGCCCTATTTCTGTACCATTGTACTCGGCTGTGGGCGAGGGCTCAGGTAATGGCTCTTTTTTATTTCCTTTTGTTATTTAATCGGTCTTTTTTCCACAATGTTTATGTGAAACTATGTAGAATAAATTTGTAGTATTTGTATCACTAATTTCACTTAGATTGTTATCTTTTATATATTGCCATGCAGAATTTTTTTTGTTTTGTTGAAAATATAGAGTAGTATAGTTTGATGTCTTAAATGACAGTGTGATTTGTGGGATGAATGTTATCCTCATGGCCTAGAAAGCCATTCTATTCATTGTCCTCACTGTATTGCATGCAGTATATTATTAAACTCTGTGTAATTCAATTTAGATATCTCAAGTTGGAATTTCAAATACATTTATTTATTTATTTATTTATTTATTTATTCATTTTACTTCAAGTTCTAGGGTACACGTGTACAACGTGCAGGTTTGTTACATATGTATACATGTGCCATGTTGGTGTGCTGCACCCGATAACTCATCATTTACATTAGGTATATCTCCTAATGCTATTCCTCCCCCCTCCCCCCATCCCCCTGGAAGGCCCCAGTGTGTGATGTTCCCCACCCTGTGTCCATGTATTCTTATTGTTCAATTCCCACCTATGAGTGAGAACATGCGGTGTTTGGTTTTCTGTCCTTGTGATAGTTTGCTCAGAATGATGGTTTCCACCTTCATCCATGTCCCCATAAAGGACATGAACTCATCCTTTTTTATGGCTGCATAGTATTCCATGGTGTATATTGCCACATTTTCTTAATCCAGTCTATCATTGATGGACATTTGGGTTGGTTCCAAGTCTTTGCTATTGTGAATTGTGCCACAATAAACATACGTGTGCATGTGTCTTTATAGCAGCATGATTTATAATCCTGTGGGTATATACCCAGTAATGGGATGGCTGGGTCAAATGGTATTTCTAGTTCTAGATCCCTGAGGAATTGCCACACTGTCTTCCACAATGGTTGAACTAGTTTACAGTCCCACCAACAGTGTAAAAGCATTCCTATTTCTCCACATCCTCTCCAGCACCTGTTGTTTCCTGACTTTTTAATGATTGCCATTCTAACTGGTGTGAGATGGTATCTCATTGTGGTTTTGATTTGCATTTCTCTGATGGCCAGTGATGATGAGCATTTTTTCATGTGTCTTTTGGCTGCATAAATGTCTTGTTTTGAGAAGTGTCTGTTCATCTCCTTCGCCCACTTTGTGATGGGGTTGTTTGTTTTTTTCTTGTAAATTTGTTTGAGTTCTTTGTAGATTCTGGATATTAGCCCTTTATCAGATGAGTAGATTGCAAAAATTTTCTCCCATTCTGTAGGTTGCCTGTTCACTCTGATGGTAGTTTCTTTTGCTGTGCAGAAGCTCTTTAGTTTAATTAGATCCCATTTGTCAATTTTGTCTTTTGTTGCCATTGCTTTTGTTGTTTTAGACATGAAGTCCTTGTCCATGCCTATGTCCTGAATGGTATTTCCTAGGTTTTCTTCTAGGGTTTTTATGGTTTTAGGTCTGACATTTGAGTCTTTGATCCATCTTGAGTTAATTTTTGTATAAGGTGTAAGGAAGGAATGTAGTTTCAGCTTTCTACATGTGGCTAGCCAGTTTTCCCAGCACCATTTATTAAATAGGGAATCCTTTCCCCATTTCTTGTTTTTGTCAGGTTTGTCAAAGATCACATGGTTGTAGATGTGTGGTATTATTTCTGAGGGTTCTGTTCTGTTCCATTGGTCTATATCTCTGTTTTGGTACCAGCACCATGCTGTTTTGGTTACTGTAGCCTTGTAGTGTAGTTTGAAATCAGGTAGCATGATGCCTCCAGCTTTGTTCTTTTGGCCTAGGATTGTCTTGGCAATGCAGGCTCTTTTTTGGTTCAATATGAACTTTAAAGTAGTTTTTTCCAATTCTGTGAAGAAAGTCATTGGTAGCTTGATGGGGATGACATTGAATCTATAAATTACCTTGGGCATTATGGCCATTTTCACGATATTGATTCTTCCTAACCATGAGCATGGAATGTTCTTCCATTTGTTTGTGTCCTCTTTTATTTCACTGAGCAGTGGTTTGAAGTTCTCTTTGAAGAGTTCCTTCACATTCCTTATAAGTTGGATTCCTAAGTATTTTATTCGCTTTGAAGCAATTGTGAGTGGGAGTTCATTCATGATTTGGCTCTCTGTTTGTCTGTTATTGGTGTATAGGAATGCTTGTGATTTTTGTACATTGATTTTGTATCCTGAGAGTTTGCTGAAGTTGCTTATCAGCTTAAGGAGATTTTGGGCTGTGATGATGGGGTTTTCTAAATATACAATCATGTCATCTGCAAACAGGGACAATTTGGAATTTCAGATACTTTTATAGTATGTCAACAACAATGATGGTGATAAGTTAGGCAGTTTCTATAAACATTATTGATCACCCAATTTAAACTAATTTAATTAGATGTATAGAAAATTTGTTTTAAAATACATTCAGTAAATAAAAGGAGTTTAAAACTTGCTGTATAAATTAACTATTAAAATTAAGGGAAATAGTATTTGTTTATAATAAAATTTTGAAATTCTAGCTAGTAAATTTGAATTTTGTATTGCAGTGAATTATTTAAAATTTTTGACTTAGGATTATATTGGAGCTATTTGTTGTAAATTTTATTTACTAGATAGGTAAATTTTTTTATGAATCAATCTGTTAGGATGACATTTTTATGTTTAAGAGAAGTTTAAAGTATTGGGCTGCCTTAGAAATCTGTCTCTGATCTTTTATTCTTTTCATCATTTATATATGAATATATATGAAGGTGTCTGTTGCAGCACTGCCTGTAATGGTTAAGACTGGAAACAACCTTACAGTCCATCATTAGAAGAGTGATTGACTAAATTATAGCGCAGCCATACAAGGGGAATGTCTTAAGTCTTGAAAAGAATTACATAAATCCATGTTCTGACACTTGAAGAAGTTCAAGATATAGTGTTACATAAAAGAACATGTTATAGAACAATTTGGATATCCCATTAATTTTTAAATGACTAATAAATATGCATTACATTTGACCATATGTGTGAGGGTTGGTTTCTGGGCTCTCTGTTCCAGTCCATTGGTTTGTATATCTGTCTTTTTGCCAGGACCACACTATTTTGATTGCCATTATTTTTTAGTAGGTTTTGAAATCGGGACATGTGATGCATTCCACTTTGTTTTTTTGTTTGTTTGTTTGTTTTTCTTTAAGATTGTTTTGGCTACTTTGAGTCCCTAGAGATTCCTTATGAATTTTAGGGTAGATTTTCATATTTCTGCAAATGTTAGGATTTTGATGGAATTCACGTTGAACCACTGGTCATTTTGCATAGTGCAAACATCTTAAATAAGGAAATGTTTTGGTGACGGATAAGTTCTGTATACGTGATTGCATGCATTTTTCAAAATTCAGTGCTCTATACTTGAGATGATTACATTTTACTGCATGTAAACTATACCTCAATAAATGATTGCAAACCTTTAAAATATACGTTTAAGTACACACATAAGCATAGAGATACATGTATAAGCCCATACTTGTAAGGTAGAAGTCCCTACTATCATTATTAGTGGGCACCCTTCATAAGCTCATTCATTTTCATAGTTTATACAACAGTTTCTATGTTAATCACTCCCAAATCTGTATCTGGATTTGCAACAGCCTATTGGAATCAAGCACTTGAATTTCCCAAGATAAGTTTCTTTATCTCTTATAGTTTGGATCATAGTAAACGACGTGTCAGCAGCCACCCATGTTCCCATGAAAACTTACTTATCTTCGTCATTTTTCACTGAGTCTTTGGCTGAAGTACATTAGTGTTATATAAGCCTTTTATATACTTGGGCCCTGTGTTGAACTTTTAAAATATTAAAAGCTGCTCTTCCGTAAGTATTGTTTTCTGCTTAGAGTTTTCCACAAGACTGCCTTAATTGCTTATATTAATGAAGAAAGCTATTTTTAAAAACATTTGTACAGTGCTTAACATTGTTTTATAAGTCTTTTAGTGTTTTATTATTTAATTTCCATTTATATAATTGATAATCAGGCTTTTTGTATTTCTCTCTTGTTAAACTTAATTCCCAATTTTCAGAGGTTGTTACATTATTCAATTAAAAGGAGATAATACTGTTTATTAGTAAAGGTGGGATATTGTGTCTACTTGGTACATTTTACACATCTATTAAACATACACATTTTCCCAGTGACTTCAGCATGGCTTTGGAGTATATGTGGCCATTATGTGCAGGGCAATGACTAATAGAAAGACACCAACACATACAGATTTCTTTAATGAAACTAAAGGATACTACAGCTCATTGGCATAAACATAGCTGCAAGAGCAGAGACACATTGTATGCTTTCAGTCAGGCAAGTTTCCTGGCTCCCAGTTCTCAAGAAGGCATGCGGTTAAAAATGATATTGCTTGACACCCTTGAGAATACCATCAGGCCTTTCTGATCAACTCACTATCCTATTTTCAAGAATCTTTATTTCCTCTTGATTCATCATAATGAGTTTGGGGGAGGTGCCCATCTACCTTCTCACCAAATATGAGTCAATGAAAATAACACAGTCCTTACTCATTTTCATGAATTGAGTGAATCCAAAGTCAGTTTCTTCAGCAAATCTCTCATAGGACAGCAGAAAGACCTTAGACCTAGTTAAAGTCCAGTGCAGGAAACTTTTGGAAAGATTTTCTACTTCCCAAGAGAATATCAGAATCAATGCTACCAAATAAATACTGAATGTTTGAGTTTTGAACCAAAACTTTTATTCTATTATTAGAAGAATCTGTTATATCATTTTAATCTTAAAATGGCTAAATTTTAAGAAGGATAATTTAACTAGAGTTGGATTGTTTTAAAAATTTCATCGTGACAAACCTGACAACAAGCAATGGGGAAAGGATTACCTATTTAATAAATGATACTGGGGAAACTGGTTAGCCATATGCAGAAAATTGAAACTGGACCCCTTCTTCACACCTTATTAACAATTAACTCAAGATGGATTAAAGATTTAAATGTAAAACCCAAAAGTATATAAACCCTAGAAGAAAATGTAGGCAATACCATTTAGGCAAAGATTTCATGATAAAATTGACAAAAGCCATTGCAACAGAAGTAAAAATTGACAAATGGCATCTAATTAAACTAAAGAGCTTCTGCACAGCAAAAGAAACTATCATCAGAGTGAACAGACAGCCTACAGAGTGGGAGAAAATCGTTGCAATCCATCCATTCGAGCAAGGTCTAATATCCAGAATCTACAAGGAACTCAAATTTACAAGAAAAAAATTTACGAGAAAAAAAATTTAAAAGTGGGCAAAGGACATAAACAGATACTGTTCAAAAGAAGACATTCATGCAGCCAACAAACATGAGAAAAGCTCAGCATCACTGATCATTAGAGAAATACAAGTCAAAACCACAGTGAGATACCATCTCATGCCAGTCAGAATGGTGATTATTAAAAAGTCAAGAAACAACAGATGTTAGCAAGGTTGCAGAGAAATAGGAACACTTTTACACTGTTGGTGGGAATGTAAATTAGTTCAACCATTGTGGAAGATGATGTGGCGATTCCTCAAAGACCTAGAACCAGAAATCCATTACTGGTTATATACCCAAAGGAATATAAATTATTCTGTTACAAAGATACATGCACACATATATTCATTGCAGCACTATTCACAATAGCAAAGACATGGAATTGACACAGCAATCCCATTACTGGGTATATACCAAAGGAATATAAATCATTCTGTTGCAAAGATACATGCATGCATATGTTCATTGCAGCACTGTTCACAACAGCAAAGATAGGGAATCAACCCAAATGCTCATCAATGATAGACTGGATAAAGAAAATGTGGTATATATACACCATGGAATACCATACAGCCATAAAAAGGAATGAGATCATGTCCTTTGCAGGGACATGGATGAAGCTGGAAGCCATTATCCTCAGCAAACTAATTCAAGAACAGAAAACCAAACACCACATGTTCTCACTTATATGTGGGAGCTGAGCAGTGAGATCACATGGACGTAGGGAGGGGAACAACACACACTGGGGCCTGTCATGGGGTGGGATGGGAGGAGGAAAAGTATTAGGAAAAATAGCTAATGCATGCTGGGCTTAATACCTAGGTGATGTGTTGATAGGCGCAGCAAACCACTGTGGCATACATTACCTATGTAACAAATCTGCACAACCTGCACGTGTACCCCAGAACTAAAAATAAAAAAGTAAAAAAAAAAAATTCAGCATGAAAAATCATAAGAATTATTTGTAATTTTTTATAGGCTTTCATTTATATCCCTGTTGCTGGATCCTTATTTAATGTTTTCTGTTATAAAATTAGTGATGCATTTGGAATATATGTCATTTTTATTTGATAATTTTAATAATCTTTTTAATAGAGTTAATTGGTTATTTGGTGACAAATAATTTTTAAAAGCACTCACTGTATTGGAAATGAAATCATTTGAAAAATGATTAGAGTTTAACCATAACTTTCTTACATATGTGCAACAGTCAGACAATATAAAGGAAATAGATTCTTTAGGATCCCGATATATTAAATACTGTGAAATAAATTAAGGAATGTGTGTTTTTTTCTACATAATGAAGAAAAAAGTTTAAGATTCCAGTAATAAATGTTAGAACAGAGTTTAACAGAGACACCACCTCCCTTCCCTTTTTGTTGAATAGAAATAAGATGAAAATGTCTGTTTTCTTTGTGTTCTAACAGATAACATAACATCTTGCAAAGCTGCAATAATTAAAACAGGGTAACTCGGCTCAGGAGAGATCTGCAGAACATAAAGCTCAAAACCAAACCCAAGTTTATATAATTTTATAAATATATTTGATTTCTTACCCAAATGAGTTTAGGACATGTGGAAAATTAAAACTGTCATTTCATATCACTATCGACTTTCAGACAGGTCAAAAGTGGGCACAAGTTATATCTAGTGCTCTAGCTACTGTAAGAGACCATGGAAATATACAACCTGTTGAGAAGGCAGGGCAGGAGTGAGAAGGAATATATGTTACAGTATAATTATTTATTATCTAAAATCTCCTATTAGAATAGAAATCCCAAGGGGATAGGGACTTCGGTTGCTCACACTAGAATGTCATCTCCACATAAAAGGTACTCCATTTTTTTAAATGAATAAAATGTGCACGTTCAGTTTTGTATCCTCCCTCTTTTTCACTTTATATCATGCATGGTTTTATGTTGCCATTATAGCCATCATTATAAAGTAGCAAAATAGTTCATCACATGCCCCATAATTTACATAATCATTCCCCTAATATTTTATATTTATCTTGCTTAAGTGTTTACTGTTATACATAATGCTGTCATGAATGTTTCTGCTTAGACTCTTTTTAATACTTACAATTATTTTGATAGGATAAGTCCTTAGAAATAACCTTACTAGGTTAAAAGATATGAACATGTATTTTGGCTCCTGATACAAATTTCCAGTACCCTTTATTTAATAGCAAATACATAATTAATGTCAGTTATTTCAGTTGGTATATGAATTACCCTGTGTTTTCAAAGCCAGGAAGTCCTGCTGTTCTCGTAAAGGTGCTTTGTAGATTTTTATTCATTCGAACATTTACCTTGGAATTCTGAATCCTCATAAATAATACATTCAGAGAAGTGGAGAAAGGCAATACGTTTTGAGTCAACACAAAATGACAGCAAGATAATGTATTCTTTTGTCATAAAATATTGAGAAAATGGGAAGACAATAACTGGTATTAATTACCGACAGGGTTTAAATATGCCAATTAAGTAGAAAATAAGGAGATGTCTTGGTGAATATTGAAGGTAGGCCTATTGTCTTCTTTCCTCTTTTCCTGCCTTTTTTTTTTTTTTTTCCTTTGTTGAGTGGGGTTTGGGGAGGCTTGTGTTTTTAATTTATTCATTCTAGAATTTATGATTTTTCTAACTGTGTCTTTTCAACTTTTATTTCCCAAAGAAGAAATTATCAAATTGGTGCCAATTTATGCCTGTATCGTGGAATGTTGGGATTTATATTTTCTTTATAAGAAAGTTTCTTATTTATTGTTTCTTATAAAGAAATGATAAATCCCAACTTTCCAGGATACAAGGATAAATATTTATAAATAACTATTTATGCACCCCCTTAAAATTGTACATTTTTGTTGAATGTCAGTAAAAGCTTTGTCTTCTGGCCTGCTGCAGTCAGGATCTGCTGGTATTTTTGTGCCTCAGCTTCTCCTTTGCCTGAGAACACGTTATTTAAGCCTTCTTCATTTCACAGGAGGTGTTCGTTAGCATTTCCTCCCCTTGACTCAGAAGTCCTAAACCTTGTAAGTAGAACCTCCGGCCATAAATACAATAATGTACCCATAATGGAGAATTTTTTTTTCTTTGTGAGCACTCATGGAAAACTTAGACACACAAAATCTGGAAATTAAAGCCCATTTCAATTATTTTACATGATCAATATTATGCAGGCTATGCTATCTAATCTGATGTAATAAAAATAGAACTTAATAAGAAAAAGGAAAAGATATATATAGAGAGAAATTCTAAATCACACCTGTAAACAGCTGAATGATAGTAAAAATAGCACTTTCTAAATTTATGGGGTGCTGTAGTTAAAGTGTTTAAAGCAAATTTATAGTCACAAATGCTTGCCCGGAATGGAAGAAAGGCTTAAAATTAATGACCATGCATTCAACTTAAAATTTTAAACAGCAGGGTTAAAATAGATAAATTAGAATAATGTAGCAAAGAGCAGAATGCAATAAAATAAAAAACATGAAGTAGAGAGGATTGTCAAAGTCAAGTGACAGGAGTTTGAAAAGAACAATAAAAGTGATGAACCTCTGTTAAGTTTAAAAATGGAAAAAAGAAAACATTAAGAATGAAGAAGGACATAACAGATGCTATAAGGATTCAAAGATGAAAAAATTTACAACTTTGTATAAGTACTTTTGAAAAACTTAGATGAAATAAATAACATAAAACTTAGTGCTTATCAAAATTCACTCAAGGAGAAAGAGAAAACCTGAGTAATTCTGTAGCTACAACCAATAAAGAAATCACTTCATTAGCAAGTATCTTCCCATACAGAAATATCAGGTTTGAATAGCTTAATAGGTGAGTTATAGGAACAGATAATTATCATTTTTTGACAAACTCTTTCAGATAATAAAAATATAGCACTTTTCAACTTATGCAATAAAACCAAACATGGAGAATACAAAAAAGTAAATATACAGGCTAGTCTCAATAATGGACATTATATAAAAGGCTAAATAAAGTATTAGCCTACTCATTCTAGTATTTTTTTTAAAGTTTATCTCAAGAAAGGAAGACAATAGAGTAATCTACTATAATTACAGATTATTTCAATAAATGTAGGGAAATGTTTCATAAACTAGAGCACTCATTTCTGGATCTTTATATGTGTGTGAGTGTATGTATATATACACATATGTTATATACATATGTATATGATGTGATGTATATGATATGAATATACATATGCATATGTATATGATGTGATGTATATGATATGTATGTTATGTATATGATATTGTTATGTACATGATGTATGTGTGTTAGGATGTCTGTTATATATGCTATTGTGAGGTATATGATATGAAGGACATATGTATATACGTATATACACACGTACAATATCTCCTTCATATATAATTGTGATATATATTTTTTATATATTATGTATATATCATATGCATATATTACATATATATACACACACATATATTCTGATATATTTATGTGTGTGTCTAATAAATATGGGAATTTTTTTTACCTATAAAAGACTACTGAAAACCTAGAGCAGTTATCACACTTAAAGGTAAAATGCTGAAAATATTCCTTTTAAGAAGAAATTCAAGGGAGTGATAAATATAAAATTCAGGATGCTAGGTACTTCAGAGTAGTGACGGTGGAGAGGAGAGGAAGATGAGACCAGGGGCACACAAGGGCTTTCCTAATGTTCTAGTACATTCCCCATCTTAACCTGAATGGCAGGAATGTTGGTTTTCACTTTATCATTATTCTTTAACTGAATCTCATTTTATGGACACTTAAAATATATCATTGTATAAAAATATTTTAATGCATAAATGAGAAATGTGCTATGGTGATAAATATTGTAGAATAGTTTTTGAATATACTTGTCTGTGAAGGATCAAAGGTAAAAGATAGTTCTCTGGAAGTTCATGGAACCATGAGTGAGCAGTTTTTTTTTTTCCTCCGCATTCATTGTTATTTGTCTTATTCTATCCAGCAAAGTGGAATTGGGATGCATTTCAGAAGGACCAGGTTCAAAGACAAAGTTCACTTTTCTCTTTGAAGAATCATG
This sequence comes from Homo sapiens, assembly GCF_000001405.40. Taxonomy (NCBI): domain Eukaryota; kingdom Metazoa; phylum Chordata; class Mammalia; order Primates; family Hominidae; genus Homo; species Homo sapiens. Next base: position 122,582,972 of record NC_000007.14, on the reverse strand, counting down.
TATTGCAGGAGGTTTGGGAATTAAAAATGAACATGTAGTGTAAATAGTTTCAAAGGATTTTGAAATTAGAGGAAAAAAATCAGTGTAATACATGGAAGTTTTATGGGGAGGATTTTAAAAAGCAAATTCTATGGAAACCTATTAGACTGTTTCTATATGACTATCAAAAATCTTTTATTTCAGTTATAAGAGAATGCCTCCCAAGGTTATTAGTCTTCTAAATTTAACCATGTGACACTGAATTTAAAAGGGTATGTCATGAGAATTAGCTCCCAGGCTGTTAACCACATTGCCTGACTATATTCAAGGCTTAAGATTCCAAACACTAAACTGAGAATTTTTCTTTATGCCTTATTTTGGTTCTGAATCTATTTTTGTTTTTATTCCTATTTTACCATTGCTTTATGTAAACCATCTTAATTATATGAAATTGCAAAAAGTCTCTTTGCTAACCCCATTCTGGAAGTCTAAAATAGAAATTAAGCTGTTTTCTTCCCTAATTGATTCTTCTCTTCCCTCTGGCTTATGATATTTCAAAAAAAAAGACTGCATCTAGATGCCAGTTTCTTCAGTCATTGAAATGGTCTCTGCTTTACTGTATACATTTATTATAAATGCTGTGATAGGAGAGGAAGGCAATCACAATTATTTGTTCAATTTTTATTATACCTGCTTTACTGAGTTTTCTGTATGTTGTAAGCTCTCCGAATGAGATTTATAAAATAAAATGTAGACAGCTCCGTGAAAATGGTGAATTGTTTTGTTTTTTCAAGACAGCATAAGAAAATTGATATTTATTTGTTGTTTTATTTTTAACATGATCTGTATTTTGTTAAATCTCATTTTTTTCTCTGGTATTTTGCTCAATGGCATCTTCTTCATGCTGTGCTGAGTCTCATTGCATCTGATCTCTCAGAGTTGTGAGAAATATTGATAAGATTTTTTAATATCAGGTGTGTGCCAGTTAAGTTTGTAAATCAGGTAGAATGAACTGGTCTGCAATAAAGGCAAGATGCTATTAATTAAGAGATAAGCCAAGAAAGCATGTTATTTTGTTGTGATGATTTCAAAAGCCAGATGTCTACAGACTTATTCCCTTCCTAAGAGAATGTAGTGGGAAATTAACTACAAAACATTCAGATTCTTATGATGCATATTTCTTTCTTTTTGGCAGGAGCTTCAAAAGTCATATGAAGTAATAGATCTGAGATAATTATGCTTACTTTAAAAAAAGATAATGTTTAATAAAGACCTCTCAGGTGGGGTAAAGTCTTTAGTATATAAAAATCATTTTCTGAGAAACTCTCTCTTACGTAAACAAACCCTGAGCAATTTTCCCAGCTGCCAGTAAAAATGGTGCTATAATTTACATTTGAATTAATAAAGTAATAGATTTCAATAGCTACAACTATATTGCTTTACCTTAACCTAAATTCTCATAACATGCAATTTTTTATAGTCCAACATGCTAATTTTTTGAATAGCTGAGTAACTATTACAAGCTGTAAAGCTTATTGTTCTTTTCCTTCTTGATTGTGCCATCTGCTAGAAACAAAAGCAAAGATAAAAAGCTCATTGAGCACAGAAGATTCTGTATTTAATTTGCCTTCTATGGAGACACATCTCCTTGGGGAAAAAAATAATGCTGCATTTTAAGAAACATTTTTTTTACTTCATTACAGATGGGGGACTCAAGGAGATTTCACCACCACCCATCCTCGGCCTGTGGTCAAAGTGAAACTCTTCACAGAAAGCACTGGAGTTCTGGCCCTGGAAGATAAAGAACTGGGAAGGGTGAGTTGTGGTCAGCCTGTGTGTCCAGGGTAGAACAGTTTTAACTTCTTTGGATTCATGATTAAGGTAGATCAGTATGCCATATGTGAACTTTATGTTCATAAATTACATAAAATAATTTGTTATTTCCCACAAGCCCAGTATACACCTCTAATTTATTAAATCTAATTGTCTATAACACAGAAAGTATTGTGATAGGATTTGGTTGTGTAAGGGGTAAATACAAATTCCTTGTCACCAACTCAGTCATTCTCACACATGTGCTCCACTGGCCATTGAATGTGAATGGTGCTGGCCAACTTGCTCTTGGTGAAGGGTAATTCTCATGTAACATATTTTTGTCCCTGGGTTCAAAGGATCATCTTTATATTTGAAATCATCTGCTCTTCATGTTCATTGTGATTAATCACAGAATATCTCCGAAGTGCATCTGTCTCTCTTATCTTTTCCACTTTCCCCATGAAAAGCCCTTTTTCTCACACCTTTTAACATTATTCTTTTCCTATAGTCACCTCTTCATACCTAGAATATATATATGTTTACCTTCTAATCCCAGTATACCCTTACTATACTCAGCTTGTGCTGTCAGTAAAAGCATTAACATTAGGTAAATCTGTGTGAAAGGTCATCTTCAGACTTATAAATGAAGTAGGTGTTCTAATTGAGTAGTCTATATGAAGATGTCTTCTGTAATGTGAATTTTTTAATGGGTTTTTTTTTTTTTTTGAGACAGAATCTTGCTCTGTTGCCCAGGCTGGAGTGCAGTGGCACAACCTCGGCTCATTGCAACCCACCTCCTAGATTCGAGCGATTCTTGTGCCTCAGACTCCCAAGTAGCTGGGACCACAGGCACATACCACCTTGCCTGGCTAAATTTTGTATTTTTAGTAGAGATGGGGTTTCACCATCTTGGCCAGGCTTGTCTTGAACTCCTGACCTCAAGTGATCCACTCGCTTCAGCCTCCCAAAATGCTGGGATTACAAGCATAAGCCACCAACACCCGCCCTCTGTAATGTGAACCTATCTTACCTAGACCTGAAGACTGTATTCAGAGATATTTTCCAGCAAATAAAACCTTCAGAAATCTTACTTGAAAATTTCTGTCTGGTATTAATGGACTGCTTGTACAGTGCTAGATGCAAAAAGATGCTAGGATCATTCTGTATACTAGAAATTTTTTAAAAAACTGAAGTCAGGATTTCTATTAGTTTCAGACCCTTTTCTTCTACCTCCTTTATACTCTTGGAATTTTTCTATTTCTAGGGATTTGTAAGTCTGTATCTACACTCCAGAGATTTTGACTCTGCATTCATAATCCAGATTTCCTCTTCCATTTTATTGATATGTGTATTTGTTAATACCTAAGAGAGCTGTGTTACTGCTCATTCAGTCATGTGCTTACGTATTTGTGCATTTGTTTTCATTGAACAAAGGTGTGCAGGTAGCATAATCTAATACAAGAGCTTTGGAGACAACATATGGTCTTTTTATTAATCAGGGTTTTTCATTTAAACTATTATTATATTAATTTTAAGGGTAAAATTAATGTTACTTTTCTTATTGTAACTATATCTCACTGTTTAACAGCAGCCATTTTAAGTCTAATGCTATAAGTAATTCTTGAGCTATTTTTAATTTGTTTATCAGCTGGTCAAATAATATAGTTAAGCAGTTTCTAAATTGGATACATAAGTGACATATATATATATATATATATATATATATATTCGATGCAATTTTATATCTGAGAAACCGCTTATGCTCCCTTACTCTCTTCATACTAGAAAGACAACTTTTCTATCTATTACAGGGTTTCCCAACCTTAGCACTATTGATGTTTTGAGCAGGGTAATTCTTTGTTGGCAGGTGCTTTTTTGTATATTTTATGATATTTAACAACATCCCTAACCTCTAGTCAAATAAAAAATGTCTCCAGACATTGCTAAATGTCTCCTGGAGGGTAGTGCAAAATCAACCCTGCCTGAGAGCCATTAATCTATACTAATGACCTCAATAGGTTGGAAGATTATAAATATCATTTGTATCTAATGACTTACAAATTGTTACTATTTTTCTTGTAGATTCAGATTTGTGTATCCAACTTCCGTACTCAGTATTTCCAATTGTATATTGATATCTCAAACCACATATTTTTGTAATAGAACTTATGACTTGTATCCCCATAAAGCCTTCCATAGAGGCAGTTATTAAATAAGCCTGTGACCTAGACATCTCCCTTGTTTCCCCTTTTCTCACCCTAGCACCAGATCCATTTGCAACTTCTGTGAGCTTTTTCTGTATTTGTTCTGAATCCATCCATTTATTAATATCCCCACTACCCTAATTCAAAGCACCATCATTTCACATAAAGAGTCTGTTTACTATTTTCCCATTTACCACCTTGTTCTCTCTGATTTGACCTTCATACCTCAGTCACTATGATCTATTTAAAATTCAAAACAAATCACAACATTCTGTCCTTAAAATATTCCAATGTCTTCCAATTTATTTGGAATAAAAATCAGACTCCTCATTATAGTGTAGCAGGCCCGACAGGTGTTCTCAGGTGTGGCCCTGCACATTAGATATGCAAATTCTCAGACCCCACTCTAGATCTGCTGAGTCAGAAACCCCAGGGGTGCAGGGCTACCTTCTGTTTTAATAAGCCCTCCTAAAGATTTTAAGACACACCAAAGTTGGAGAATCCCTGATCTACATGAACTGACTTCTGTCTCCAAATTCATCTTCTGTTATAACCTCCTTGCCTACTGTCATTCTTTCCTTACACCGTGCTTTCTTTCTTTTCCTCAAACATTGTACACTCATACCTGCTTTAGACTTTAGGTTGTTACATGTGTTTTAATCTGAACACACATGTGCACACACACAATTGGAAAAAATTGGTGTTCGTCTCTGGATGGTAGAGCTACTGGTTTTATATATGTGTGTGTGGGTATATATATATGTGCACACATTACCAATAATGTATATTGTTGGTATACATAATGTATGTGTGTATATATACACATATTAAGTATATACAAAAGTATATACATAAATATATATACTTTTGTGTATATATATGTGTATATATATACACATATATATATCTACTTTTCTAATTAGAACAAATAACTTCTATTAAGTTAAAAGAAAAAACCTTACATGATCTGACATCTGTAGATAAAGTTTTATGAATAGTATATCTGGGGAGCTTGGTTTCAACATGAAGTTTTTTTAATTAAAAATTCGGGTAGCATTTAAATTTGAAAATGAACAACAGAGCACTTAAAATAGGTTTATACCACAGCAAGATACCACTGTACACCTACTAAAATGGCGAAAATGCAGAAAAACTGACAGTGCTTGTGAGAATGCAGAACAGAAACTCTTACTCATTGCTGGTGGCAGTGCAAAATTGTAGTCACTTTGGAAGACAACTTACCAGTTTTTTGTATAAAGTTAAACATAGACTTACTATACAATCCAAAAATTGTACTCCTAGATATTTACCAAAGGGTTTATGAAGGTTGTGTCAACACAAAAATCTGTGTGTGAATGTTTAAACAGCTTTATTCTTAATCACTAAAACTTGGAAGCAACCAAGATGTTCTTTAGTCAGCAAGTGAATAAAACCGTGGCACATCCATACAATGGAATACTATTCAATAATAGAAACAAGCTATTAATTAATGCAGTGGCATAGACGAATGTAAATGCAAATGGAAGAAGTCAAACCCAAAAGATGACATATTTTATTATTCCATTCATTCTAGAAAATTATAGGGGTAGACAACAGTTGCGAGTTTGCCAAGAATTGAGCTGAGGTGGGTTGTCAGCCAGAAAGGGGTACACAGGGGACTTTTAGAGTGAAGGAACTGTTCTGTGTGGTACTGTGTGTTATACGCAGTATTAGCCCATTCTCACGCTGCTGTGAAGAAATACCTAAGGCTAGGTATTTTATGAAGAAAAGAGGTTTAATTGACTCAGTTCTGCATGGCTAGGGAAGCCTCAGGAAACTTACAGTCATGGTGGAAGGCACTTCTTCACAGGGTGGCAGGAGAGAGAATAAGTGCAAGCAGGGGAAATGCCAGAAGCTTATAAAACCACCAGATCAGGCCAGGTATGGTGGCTCATGCCTATAATCCCAGCATTATGGGAGGCCGAGGCAGGGGGATCACCTGAGGTCAGGAGTTCAAGACCAGACTAGCCAACATGGTGAAACCTTATCTCTACTAAAAATACAAAAAATTATCCAGGCGTGGTGGTGGGCACCTGTAACCCCAGCTACTCAGGAGGCTAAGGCAGGAGAATCACTTGAACCCGGGAGGCAGAGGTTTCATGAGCCGAGATCGCGCCACTGGGCAACAGAGCAAGACTCCATCTCAAAAAAAAAAAAAAAAATCAGATCTCCTGAGACCCACTGACTATCACAAGAACAGATCAGGGAAACCATCCCGGTGATCCAGTTACCTCCACCTGGTCTCTCCCTTGACTTGTGGAAATTATGGAGATTATGGGAATTACAATTCAAGATAAGATTTGGGTGGGGACACAAAGCCTAACCATATCAGATGCATACTTGTATGTATTTGCCAAGAGGTATAGAACTTTATGTTACAAAGAATGTACATTAATGTATGCACACTAACATGAACACACACACACTTCCCTAATGAACACATCAACCAGCAGCATCAAAAGGGTGCCAACATAGGATAGAGACTGAGACAGATGAAATTAGTTGTACTCTACAGGTATGACATAGCTCCACTGAAAGGGGTGATGAGAAAAGAAACAGACCTCAGTAACCTAAGGGGGAAACATATGCTGCCAATACTCTCTTGATAACCAAGTGATGAAGATGACCACTACCACTGATGTCATGTGGATATCCTATGCTCTCTATTATGATTTGAGAAGGGACACTTTGCCCCTGTGGTATTCTTGCCCCAAAACCCAGGCTAATCATCAGACAAACATGGATTGGTGACATTATACAGGATAATTGGCCAGTACTCTTCCAGACTGTCAAGGTCATAAAAAAGAAAAGTGAGAAACTGTCACAAATCAGAGGAGACTAAGGAGACATGACAACGAAATGCAATATGCTGCCCTGGATTGGACCTTGGAACAGAAAGAAGGCATTGATGAACAAACTTGTGAAATCCAAATAAAATCTGGAATTCAGTTAATAGTAATGTGCCAATGTAAGTTTCTTGGTTATAACAAATGTACCATGGTAATGTATACTATTCATTCTGAGGGAAACTGAGTGTACAGAAAGTCTCTATACTATCTTTGCAACTTTTCTGTAAGTCTTAAATTATTCTAAAACGTAAAACGTCTATAGTGTTTATTATAAACATTTATAATAAAAAAGGCTTTTAAATATTTTATGAAATGCCTCAGCATATACTGTTTAAGAAATTAACATTTCTGTCCAGGTGCAGTAGCTCATGCTTGTAATCCCAACACTTTGGGAGGCCGAGGCAGGCAGATCACCTGAGGTCAGGAGTTTGAGACCAGCCTGGCCAACATGGTGAAACCTCATCTCTATTAAAAATACAAAAATTATCTGGGTGTGGTGGTGCACACCTGTAATCCCACCTACTTGGGAGGCTGAGGCAGGAGAATCGCTTGAACCCTGGAGGGGGAGGTTGCAGTGAGCCGAGATCGTGCCACTGTGCTTCAGCCTGGGTGACAGAATTAGACTCCATTTCAAAAAAAAAAAAGGAAAAGAAGAGAAAAGAAAAGAAAAAGAATTGAACATTTCCTTACATCACTTCAATTTCTTCATTACACCTAAGAAATTTAATATTGATTCAGAAATATGTGCTATGCAGTCAATATTCAGAGTTCCCTAATTATCCCAACATGTCAATAAAAGCTGGTATTCTCCCCCAGTCTAGGATAGAATCCAGGATCATACATTGCACTGGGCTGTTGTAGCTCTTCAGTCTCCTTTATTTTAGATGCTCCCACCACCTTTTTTTTTTACTTTTATTATAATGACATTTTTAAGCATCCAAATTAGTCTTATAAAATGTTCTTTATTCTGGATTAGAAAAATCCAGAATAAGAAAAAAATAAGACTATTTTTTTCATGACTGGTTTTAGGTAAACATCTTTGCCAAGCATCCACCTACATAATGTTTTGTGCTTCCCGTTGCATCTTATCAAAAGTTACAGAGTGACAGTTTTTTCTAATATTGGGGATTTTAATTAAGTATTATCACTTGGTTAAGGTGGCATCTGCCAGTTCTCTCCATCGTAAAGATATCATTTTCTGTTTTGATTTTAATAAGCTGTGGGGTGTTACTATTAGAGTTTCTCTAACCACCTTTCACTCAGTGTTTTAGCTAAAGATTCATAGATTTAAAAAAAATTTGTGTGTTATAGTCTGTGTCTGTTATTTTTTCATGATCAGATTGTGTCAAAGTTGTGTGTATGCATTTGCGTATGTGTGTTCCTTTACTATCTTCCTTTTCCTTTTTTAAAAATTTCCCCCACAGCACCAATATGTTTTTTTTTTCTTTTAAATCATGTACCTATTGGTCTTTGCTTTCTGGGACATGAAATTTTAGAGGCTCAACTTGTACTCTCCCTGCCCCAGGCCTGTTATTAGCACTGGTTGTTTTTAGTGATGATGGAATTTAGAAACTAACATTCTACATATGTATCAACACTTCTTAGTTGAGAAATATACTTTTTTTTTTTTTTTTTTTTTTTAAGACAGGGTCTCACTCTATCACCCAGGCTGGAGTACGGTGGCACAATCGTGGCTCACTGCAGCCTCCACCTGCTAGGCTCAAGAGATCTTCCTACCTCAGCTTCCAGAGTATCTGAGGCCATAGGTGTATGCCACCGTGCTGGGCAAATTTTTAGATTTTTTGGTAGAACAAGGATTTACTATGTTGCCAAGAGTGGTCTCAAACTCCTGAACTCAAGAAATCCTCCCACCTCAGCCCCCCAGATTGCTTGGATTCCTGGCATGAGCCACTGTTCCCAGCCCAAGAAATACACATTTTTTTTTAAAACATGAGTTTACTGCTTCTCAACGACATCAATATATTTACTCATTTTGCGTAAATAATTTCAAAAATACCGTGTCAGTGCCACCACCAACAAACTTACATAGTAAAGATAAACATTTTTTTTGCCATTTGATTTGTCTTTAGAATGTATTCCAGTAAGTGTGTATGTCTGAATACTCTGTTCAAAAGTAACCCAGTGCAATAGAAGATAAAATTTCTTATTTTTATTCTTACAGTGAAAACCATTTGAAGAAATTGCAGGTTCAGTCATTGCAGAGATTTTTCAGAAATCAAATATTATTTAAGCTAAAGTATTTTTATACATAGTCATTTTAGACATACAGTTTATATCATTTTATAAAATGTTTGAATCTTCTTAGGGTACTATCTGGCTGCCAGTGCACTTTTATTTGTGAATGAATTACTGTGTAATATATTCCTGGTAACTATTTAGTTTGTTGAATGGTATTCTTGAGTACAAAGTACATTTTGGGTATTTTACCAAAATGATTTTTTAATTTTAGAAATGTTGCTATGAAAACATTCTTTCTGACAGTTGTTAGAAAAAGAGCTGCCTGAAGAGGGTTTTTTGTTTGTTTTTGTTATGTTTTGTTTTTGACGGTCTCACTCTGTTGCCCAGGCCGGAGAGCATGGCTTACTGCAGCCTCAATTTCCCAGGCTCAAGCGATCCTCCCACCTCAGCCTCCCAAGTTGCTGGGACTACTGTTGTATGCCACTATGCCCAGCCAATTTTTTGTTTTGTATAGAGATGGAGTCTCACAATGTTTCGAGGCTGGTCTTGAACTCCTGGGCTCAAGTGATCCTCCCATCCCAACCTCCCAAAGTGTAGGGATTACAGGCATGAGCCACTATGCCTGGTCAGAGAAGGTTGTAAAAAGATTCAGTTTCTAGGTCCAAGCATTTCCTTTAGTTGGTTTGGGGTATGCCAAGGAGGGAGTATTTTAAACACTTCCAAGGGGATGCTAATGTGCATACAGAGTTGAGAAGCACTGGTATAAATAGCATCATTGACACAAATGTGCGGACAGGTTCAGAACCTAGTGACTCTTTGTTGTAAGAAAAATATCATAACCTGTAGGTTTGTGAAATGATAGCTCAAATTTCGTAGACATTGGGCAGTTGAAGGTTATATTATTTGGCAAGTACTTGGCATGCAAATTTTGTTTGTGGATGGCAGATGCAAATACCTATTTACGGAAATAGAGGTGGCATATGGAGATTTTTCATCCGAATTGATGGCCAACCCTCCACCAGGTGCTAAGGGAATACCTGGAGGCAGAACAAGGATTTTTTCTCAGGAAACAATTATGATTATGTCCTAGCAGGTAAACAGCTGACCAGTCAAGCATCCCTAAGTATATAGTTTATCATAATGAAGATAATTTTGTCCTGAAAAACTTGAAAAGCAAGTTTTGCCTAACATAGCCATATAAAAATCTAAATAGCAGTCCCAAGGGACATCTATTTGTGGGCAATGCATTTTCCATTGAGTCTTTCACAGTGAAATATTGGGTAGTATATACTCCTGGGTAACTCTTTAACTTGATAAAGGGTCATCTTCAGTACAAAAAAATTTTTGGAGGGTTTGCCAAAATAACTTTTCTTTCATTTTAGAAATTTTGCTATAAAAACATTTCTACAAACAGAAGGAACCTATTGTCCATTAATAGATTGAGTTCATGGCCTTAATACCACATCTTCAGTATATACAGAAGGATGCTGAGTCCTCTGCTTCCATGGGGATGGGGAAAGCATAGATAAAACTATAAAGTCTCATGAAGAATTGCTATCTGAAAGGATTTAAGGAGGAAGGATAACTTTTCTGTGATTTTAAGAAAAGTTGTACCACAAATATAAAAGTCTCCTATATATGAAGAGTTGAATTAGACATACATAGGATGCAAAAGAATTTCCATTCCATCTTGCAGCATATGATATTAATTCACTAGGTAAAGCATCAGTCAGTCATTTAGTGCTGTTTCAATAAAATTAGCCATTAAATTTTGCTTTCAAATTGAAGAAAAATACCTGTGATTATGATTTCACGAGGAGCTTCTCTAATGTTTTCTTCATTCACATGTAGATATATAATGCTGGCATTCTTAAATCCCCAATATAAATTTTGTCTGTGAGAGTTAAGGAAAGGCCTAAAGTGATTATTAATTTTTTTGTAATTATTTGTGAAAAATTAGTATAGTTAATTATTCAATAAAACATCTTTAATCTACTCCTCATCTGTTACTTCATAAGTTTTTTAGAAGTTCCATGATAACTACTTATAAACTAGATAATTAGAGAAAAAATTTTAATTCCGTGGTCCAGTTACATGTATTGGCTACATATGGCTTAAATCCTTTCAGATAGCAATTCTTCATGAGACTTTATAATCATATCTCAGTCACCACACCAGTGACGAAGCAGGAGCGCAGACAGGGAAAGGTCCAGGGCTAATTCACATAAGATGCAAATTCTTTCTAATTAGGTCTGGCTTATTAATCACATGCTTTGAAGTGTTATGGGTTTCTACCTGTCATTCCATGCCTGACTTTGAAAGTTGTTGCTCGGTGTGTCTGCCTTGGTCATTCTCTGAGAAGTTGGCCTGAGTCTTCACTGTAGAGGTAGAGGAAAGTATTTCTTTCCTTATCACCACTTACAGGGGCTGATCATATTATGCACAGCATCCTCTATGGTGTCCTTTGTAGGTGATTATAGTAAAAGTAGTTGACATTTTACTATTTCCTCAGAATAATAGAGGTTTTCCTCTGTCTCGGGTAGAACAAATGTTAGACATGTACACTGTACTAATGCCTTCTAATAGGTATATATTGTTATTTCATTATGGTTTTAATTGGCACTTAGCAAAAACACTAATGATGTTTAGCATCTTTTTGCCATCTGCAGCTTTTCTTTTGTGAAGAATCTGTTCAAATATTTTCCCCAGTTTTTAACTGGGTTGCTTGTTTTCTCATTTTTGAATTTGGAAAGGTCATATTATTTATACCTTCTTTATGAGAGTGTGATATAAATACTTTTCTCTCAGTCTTTGGCTTGTCCTGTTATTCTCTTTTTTAAATTTTTTTATTATTATTATACTTTAAGTTTTAGGGTACATATGCACAATGTGCAGGTTAGTTACATATGTATACATGTGCCATGCTGGTGTGCTGCACCCATTAACTCGTCACTTAGCATTAGGTATATCTCCTAATGCTATCCCTCCCCGCTCCCCCGACCTCACAACAGTCTCCAGAGTGTGATGTTCCCCTTCCTGTGTCCATGTGTTCTCATTGTTCAATTCCCATCTATGAATGAGAACATGTGGTGTTTGGTTTTTTGTCCTTGCGATAGTTTACTGAGAATGATGATTTCCAATTTCATCCATGTCCCTATAAAGGACATGAACTCATCATTTTTTATGGCTGCATAGTATTCTATGGTGTATATGTGCCACATTTTCTTAATCCAGTCTATCATTGTTGGACATTTGGGTTGGTTCCAAGTCTTTGCTATTGTGAATAGTGCCACAATAAACATACATGTGCATGTGTCTTTATAGCAGCATGATTTATAGTCCTTTGGGTATATACCCAGTAATGGGATGGCTGGGTCAAATGGTATTTCTAGTTCTAGATCCCTGAGGAATCGCCACACTGACTTCCACAATGGTTGAACTAGTTTACAGTCCCACCAACAGTGTAAAAGTGTTCCTATTTCTCCACATCCTCTCCAGCACCTGTTGTTTCCTGACTTTTTAATGATTGCCATTCTAACTGGTGTGAGATGGTATCTCATTGTGGTTTTGATTTCAATTTCTCTGATGGTCAGTGACGATGAGCATTTTTTCATGTGTCTTTTGGCTGCATAAATGTCTTCTTTTGAGAAGTGTCTGTTCATCTCCTTTGCCCACTTTTTGATGGGCTTGTTTGTTTTTTTCTTGTAAATTTGTTTGAGTTCATTGTAGATTCTGGATATTAGCCCTTCGTCAGATGAGTAGGTTGCGAAAATTTTCTCCCATTCTGTAGGTTGCCTGTTCACTCTGATGGTAGTTTCTTTTGTTGTGCAGAAGCTCTTTAGTTTAATTAGATCCCATTTGTCAATTTTGGCTTTTGTTGCCATTGCTTTTGGTGTTTTAGACATGAAGTCCTTGCCCACGCCTGTGTCCTGAATGGTATTGCCTAGGTTTTCTTCTAGGGTTTTTATGGTTTTAGGTCTAACGTTTAAGTCTTTAATCCATCTTGAATTGATTTTTGTATAAGGTGTAAGGAAGGGATCCAGTTTCAGCTTTCTCCATATGGCTAGCCAGTTTTCCCAGCACCATTTATTAAATAGGGAATCCTTTCCCCATTGCTTGTTTTTCTCAGGTTTGTCAAAGATCAGATAGTTGTAGGTATGTGGCGTTATTTCTGAGGGCTCTGTTCTGTTCCATTGATCTATATCTCTGTTTTGGTACCAGTACCATGCTGTTTTGGTTACTGTAGCCTTGTAGTATAGTTTGAAGTCAGGTAGTGTGATGCCTCCAGCTTTGTTCTTTTGGCTTAGGATTGTCTTGGCAATGCAGGCTCTTTTTTGGTTCCATATGAACTTTAAAGTAGTTTTTTCCAATTCTGTGAAGAAAGTCATTGGTAGCTTGATGGGGATGGCATTGAATCTATAAATTACCTTGGGCATTATGGCCATTTTCACGGTATTGATTCTTCCTATCCACGAGCATGGAATGGTCTTCCATTTGTTTGTATCTTCTTTTATTTCCTTGAGCAGTGGTTTGTAGTTCTCCTTGAAGAGGTCCTTCACATCCCTTGTAAGCTGGATTCCTAAGTATTTTATTCTCTTTGAAGCAGTTGTGAATGGGAGTTCACTCATGATTTGGCTCTCTGTTTGTCTGTTATTGGTGTATAAGAATGCTTGTTATTTTTGCACATTGATTTTGTATCCTGAGACTTTGCTGAAGTTGCTTATCAGCTTAAGGAGATTTTGGGCTGAGATGATGGGGTTTTCTAGATATACAATCATGTCGTCTGCAAACAGGGACAATTTGACTTCCTCTTTTCCTAATTGGATACACTTTCTTTCTTTCTCCTGCCTAATTGCCCTGGCCAGAACTTCCAACACTATGTTGAATAGGAGTGGTGAGAGAGGGCATCCCTGTCTTGTGCCAGTTTTCAAAGGGAATGCTTCCAGTTTTTGCCCATTCAATATGATATTGGCTGTGGGTTTGTCATAGATAGCTCTCGTTATTCTCTTAATCATATTTCAAAGAACAAAAATTTTTAATTTTGATTAAGTCCAATTTATGATTTTTTTCTTTTTGGCTCAGGTTCTTGGTGCTGTATCTAAGAAATCTTCACCAAACCCAAAGTTGGAATTCTCCTCTGTTTTCTTCTAGAAGCTGTATAGTTTTAGATTTTTACATTTAGTCTTTGATTTATTTTTAGTTAATTTTCAGATCTAGAGCTACATATAGATCAAAGTTTTTATTTGAACATGTTGTTCTAGCACAGTCTGTTGAAATGCTTTCTCCACTGAATTTACTTAACATCTTTGTGAAAAATCAATTATCTATATATCTGTAAGCCTATTCCTGGACTCTCTATTCTGTCCCATTGAGCTCTTTGGTGTAAATATTATATTATATAGCTATTAGGTATTGAAATATCTTGCTATAGTTTTGTATTTGTTTTATCTTTTTTTGCCTCATGTTTTATGAATATCTGATATGGCAGTGTATAGATAGATGGGATTACGATTTCCTTCTCATTAACTGATCTTTTATCATTATGAAATGACCTTCTTTATCCCTGGTAGTATACTTTACTTTAAAAATCTACTTTATCTTAGCTGCCTCAGCTTTCTTTTTGTTGTTATTGTTGTTGTTATTTTTGTTTTTGTAGAGATGGGGTTTTGCCGTGTTGCCCAGGCTGGTCTTGAACTCCTGAGCTCAAGCAGTCCACCCACCTTGGCCTCCCAAAGTGCTGGGATTATAGGCATGAGCCACTGTGCCCAGCCCCCAGCTTTCTTTTGACTAGTATTAGCATGTTCTATTTTTCCCATTTTTTAATCTATTTGTTTCTTTACACTTAGACTATATTTCTTGAAGCAACATATAATTGTGTCTTTATTATCCATTCTGACACACCTCTGCCTTTTAACTGGGTTATTTCAATTATATTTTAATATGAATATTGATATGGTTAAGCTTAAATCTGTCATTTAGATGTTTTTTCTTTCTCTTCTGTTATCCCGTTTCTCCTCTTCTGCTTTTTTTAGGTTGAATGTTCTTTAAGATTCTAGTTTTTCTTCTTTGTTGCTCTGTTACTGATAAATGTCTTGTTATTTTATGTTGTTTTAACTCATCAGAGGCTAAGTCAAGTAATATTATAACATTTAATGTATATTTAAGAACCTTACAATATTATACCTCTAGTTCTTCCCTCCCATCATTTGAGTTATTGTTATGCATTGTACATTGTACTTTTACATATGTTACAAACCCACACTACATTGTTTTTACATTCTTTAAATGGTTAGTTATCTTTTAAACTAGTGTCACATAGTCATCTTTAGGTTCAGAAAAGGTTTAGAAGATTGTACATTTATTTAACAATTGTTGCTTTGAACAAAATCAGAATTGTTTCAGGAAGAAAAAAAGGGGATGTTCAGGAAGCTGGTAGGGGTGTCCTGCATGTGTGCATCACACCAAAGTCGATGCTTTTGTAATCCTTAGGACAAATAAAACAAACAACCTAGCCAGAATAGTCAGTGCCTTTTTTCATATAAATTAAAAGCTGAGTATCTAGTGATGGGAGAGTAGAGGTTATCTTTCAAGGTGCTGATGGGATTGAGTTCGCTGCAAACTGTACTTCCTAAGTCAGTGAAACTGAAATTTTATGTTCAGCTGAATTTTGAAGAAAAGCTACTAGATAAATTAGTTTAGTTTTTACATAATTCATGTGATATTTTATCTATAATTAATTAAGAAACAAAACTAACTGTTATTTCTGGCTATTTCTGTTTTATTGGTTAGTAGAATTTGGAGTTTAAAAGGACACTGGAGCTCACTTAATCCAATCTCTTCACTTTCCAGATAAAGCAACTGTGGCACAAAGATGCAAATTAAATTTTTCCAGTTCATAGTGGCATCTACTGTATTGTTATCCTTTTGAGGGTAAGGCCATGGACATATTATGCACTTTAGCAACAGCAGCTGTCTAGCAGTTTCTGACTCACAGTGTATGTCCAATTAATGTTGGAGGGATAGGTGAACAAATGAATAAATCTGAAATGTGCTTAATTTGGTTTCATTTCTCCTATGCAAAGTTATGCTAGAAAGCAGAATTAGTTACTTTTGTTTGGATGCCTGATATCCCTAATCAAGTAATAAACTAGAACAACAATTATAGAATAATGTACAATTTGGATCCTACAGCGAGTGAAGTTCTAGTATGTTTAGTCTTCTACCTGAAATAGAAGTAAATTGAAACATTCTCAAGTGTATTACTAAGCTCTTTTAGTCACTATATTAATAAAATAAGTCCTGTGTATCTCAGAGCTATTCAAAGTCACTTTAGAATATCCACCCCATTTTATTCATTCACTGATGGACATTTAGGTTGATTTCATATCTTGGCTATTGTCAATAAAGCTGCAATGAACATTGGAGTGCAGATATCTCTTCTATATACAGATTTCATTTCCTTTGGATATATACCTTAAAGTGGGATTTCTGAATCATATAGTAATTCTACTTTTACTTTTTTTGAGGAACCTGCATACTGTTTTCTGAAATGGCTATATTAATGCACATTCCTACCAACAATATGCAAGGGTTCCCTTTCCCCCACATCCTCACCAATGCTTATCTTTTATCTTGTTGATAATAGCCATTCTTATCTTTTATCTTGTTGGTAATAGCCATTCAGGTGTGAGGTGGTTTTATTTGCGTTTCCCTGATGATTAGCGATGTTGAGCATTTCTTTCATATATGCAGTAGGATTTTATTCGGCCTTAAAAACTGAAGAAATCTTGTCATTTAATCAAGCTGGGAGACATTGTGCTAAATGAAATATGCCAAGCACAGAAAGACAGATACCACATGATGTCACTTACATGTAGAATCTAAAAAGGCCAAACTCTTAGAAGCAGAGAGTAGGATGGTGGTTACCAGGGTCATAGGCATGGAGGGGATGAGGAATGGGAAGATGTTGGCCAAAGGCTACAAAGTTTTCGTTAAGATGAATCAGTCCCAGAAATCTGTTGTATGGCATGGTGACTATAGTTAATAATCATGAATTATACGCTTGAAAATTTGCTAAGAGAATATATCTTAAATGTTCTCAGTACATACACAAAAACTATGTTAGATGGATATTAAAACATGTTGTATAGTGTAAATATGTATAATTTTGTCAAGTATACCTCAATAAAGCTGGAAAAAAATATTTACCTCTGTTGCCTTTAGCAGTGGTATGAGAAAACACTCTTATTCCCTGATGGTTTGTATTATATGCGTTGTATGAGTCAAGAACTCCTTAGATCAGAAGAGCAGGATTCAAATTAGTTGGTTATTCAGCATGACAAACTGAAAACTTTGAAACCTGATTTTGAAGACATTAATTCTGGTATTGGCTCTGCCATAGTAGCCATGAGGCCATGAACAAGTCACATAACATCTCTTCTGCCCATGAATCATTCCATGTCCTGACCTTATTCCCCACTATCTTCCTGTGTTATTTACTTTTCTGAATTTATTTGATTTTTTGAGCATATGAAAATGTATCGCAGAGATTTCTCAACCTCATACTCCCTGTCCATCTTCCTTTCCCATTGCTTAAGTGACTACTGACTAGTTTGCATACATATAAAATGGCAAATTGGGAAGTTTTTTTTTTTTTAATTCTATAAATTCAGGGGGTATAAGTGCAGTCGTGTTACATGGTTATACTGCATAGCGGTGAAGTCTGGGCTTTTAGTGTACCCATTACCTGAATAGTGATCATCATATCGAGTAAGTAATTTTTCAGTGCTCACCCTCCTTTCCCACTGCCCCCTTTTGGAGTCTCCAGTGTCTATTATTCCCTTCCTCTCCATATATCTATGTATACCCATTGTTTCACTCCCATTTGTGAGAACATGCTGTATTTGACTTTCTGTTTCTGAATTATTTCACTTAGGATAATGGCCTCCAGCTCCATCCATGTTGCTGTAAAAGACATAATTTCATTCTCTCTTATGTCTGGGTAGTGTTTTGTGTGTGTGTGTGTGTGTGTGTGTGTGTGCATGTGTGTGTATGTGTGTGTCTGTGTACACACATATGTTTATGCAATTAAAAATTTTATGCAGTTATCTGTTGATAGACATTTTGGTTGATTCTATGACTTTGTTATTGTGACTAACGCTGTGATAAACGTAGGCATGCAGGTGTCTTTTTGATATACTGATTTCTTTTACTTTGGGTACTTAGTAGTGGGATTGCTGGATCTAATGATATTTCTATTTTTAGTTCTTTAAGAAATCTCCAGCCAGGTATGGTGGCTCACACCTGTAATCCCAGCACTTTGGGAGTCCGAGGTAGGTGGATCACGAGGTTAGGAGTTGGAGACTAGCCTGGCCAGTATGGTGAAAATGGATCTCTAATAAAAGTACAAAAATTAGCCAGGCATGGTGGTGTGCACCTGTAGTCCCAGCTACTCCGGAGGCTGAGGCAGGAGAATTGCTTGAACCTAGGAGGCAGAGGTTGCAGTGAGCCAAGATCATGCCACTGCACTCCAGCCTGCCTGGGCAACAGAGTGAGACTCCATCTCTAAATAAATAAATAAATAAATAAGAAATTTCCATACTGTTTTCCATAGAGGTTGTACTAATTTACATTCCCACCAACAGTATATAAGTATTCCAACTTGGAAAGGTTTTCATTAGTGTTATTTTGGTACATTATTATGTTGTGATTGTTAGACCTTGCATGGATCCCTTATTCATATGAAGAACAAGAGCTCACCTTCACAGTTTAAGGTGGTACAGGTTGAGTATCCCTTATCCAAAGTGCAACCAGAAGTATTCTAGTTTTTTTATTTTTTCAGAATTTGGAATATTTTTATTATACTTAATGGTTGATCATCCCTAATCCAAAAATTTGATATCCAAAATGCTCCAATGAGCATTTCCTTTAGGCACGACCTTTGAGTACCATATGGATGCTCAAAAAGTTTAGGGTTTTGGAGCATTTCTGATTTTGGATTTTCAGGTTAGGAATGCACAACCTGTAGTTGGTTTTTAATTTAAATACCCACATCTATCAGTAGTCCATGAATTAGCTAGCCAATCCCAAAACATTTTGCCATAACTTTATGTTCCATGCTCTTCACTTTAAGGATACAGCTAAAATAATTGTCCAAGTCTAGATATTGTTTATACCTCCCTCTTTTCCATCCGACCACCGTATGTTATGGATTGACTGACATTGAATTGGCTCTAAAAATTCTTATTGTACTTAATAACCAAAGATTAAGAACAAAACTAAATTTGTTATATTTATGAAATAATTAAGGAGATAATATGTTGAATTGAGGGGGGCGATATAAAATTGAAAGTGTCTGTTGTTATCTTGAAGTGATTTGAAGTGATTTGCCTCTAGATATTTATTTAACTTCAGTGCCAAGTTTACATAACAAAATAGTGCCTACCTTTGAGGGGTGATGTGGGAATTGATTTAAATTTCACAAAGCATTCCAAGACACTCAGTTGATAGATTCTCCATAAATGGCAAGCATTATTATAATCAGACTAGTAAAAAGAAAAATGATAAAGCTACTCAAGCAGTATCCTCTAATAGAAACTGTTTTGATAAAGTAATGTAAAGGTTATGCTATTCATAATTTATGGCTGAGGGCAATAGATCAAGAATAGTGATGCTTTCCTGTCTATATACATATTAAAAACACAGATATAGCTGTGTTGGAGTATATTGCTCTATCTAAGAAGGATGAAATCAATACCTTATAAACAAGAAAAGTGATCTATGTATATTAATAAAAGACACTATCCTTAATTGAGCCTTGAAAAATACAGTGACTGACAAACTTGATTATGTCTTTTGGAATCTTCAAGAAAGGCTTTGAAATAGCAGAAATAATTCTTAATCGTTAGGTTGTGTGGAACTTGAACTTTGTTAGTAATATAAACATAATGGTCTTCATTCTGGTAACCAAAATAATCAGCTTCATTGTTAAACCTTTAAAAAAATTTTTCAGTTTATTGTAAGAAAAGTCAAAACTTTAACTACATTAATACAAAATGAGAGAAAATTAAGCATTTCAAAATATTTTTTACAAGCAGAATGCTTCAGGTGTGTGCAAGATATAAGCACACACAAAGTAAGCAAAGCTGATGATAGAAATCAATATGTAAAAATATCTTTAAATCACACACTTATGAGGAGAAATTTAAAAGGTAAATTTAATTTTCCTTTATGATG
Organism: Homo sapiens; assembly: GCF_000001405.40. Taxonomy (NCBI): domain Eukaryota; kingdom Metazoa; phylum Chordata; class Mammalia; order Primates; family Hominidae; genus Homo; species Homo sapiens. The sequence goes on along the minus strand of NC_000007.14, from coordinate 122,562,652 downwards.
AAATTTTAGCTTTCATTGTCTACACATTAGTTTCTTGTTGCTGCTGCAACAGTTTACCAAAAACTTAGTGACTTAAAACAATATAAATTTGTTATCTTATAGTTCTGAAGTCAGAAGTTCAAAATGGATCTCTGTGAGCTAAAATCAAGCTCTCAGCAGGGTTCTGTTCCTTTCTAGATGCTCTAGAGGATAATCTGTTTGTTGTGTGTTTTGTTTTGCCTTTTCCCATTTCTGCGGGTTGCCTACATTCTTTGACTTGTTTCTCTCTTCAATTATGAAGCTAGTAATGGCTGGTCAAGTCCTTTTCACATCAACACTGACTCTTCTGCCTTCCTCTGCCGTGTTTCAGAACCCTTGTGATTGTATTGGGCCCACCTGGATAGGTGAATAATTGCCTAGTTAGCAATCTTAATTTCACCTGCTACCTTAATTCTCCTTTGCCATTTAAGGTAAAAACATATTCACAAGTCCTGGGGATTAGGATCTGGGCATCTTTGGGAAGCCAGTATTCTACCTGTTACATTCCAGATATGGAAGGATGAAAGTTTCATAGATTTTGAGAGACTGTTAAGTAAACAACACACTGTAGAATTAATTACCATCATTCTCTGTTATCAAATTTTGGCAGTAATTTAGTTATCAAGACTTTTTCTCTTTTCACCACAGTGAAGTATTAATTTTAGGTTTACATTTTTATTTCTAATTTTTCTAAGCATCCACCCACCCATTCATTCATCCATCCATCTTTCCAGCCAATCATCCAACCAACAAATACTTGGTGAGTGTTTACAATAGACTGTGAAGGAAACTGTGATTAAGAAGGCTTAGAGATTTTTTTAAAATGGTAACAGTCAAGAAATGGATATGTTAATTAGCTTGACTGTAGTGATCAGTTCACTATGTATCAGAACATCAGGATGCATACTTTAAATATAGTAATTTCAATAAAAAACTGGTGAAAAAAAATGTCTTAAAGATACTCATTTAAGTGACTCTATGTGGTACAAATGAATTACCCTGTCTACTACACAATAGCTCTTGCTCTCAAGGAGCGTAGACTACTAACGGCTTGCCTAATGCCCCCTTCATATCATTATTAAATAGAGATGTCAGGAAAAACTGGAGAATGATTGACACATCTTACTTTTCTTTTCCTTGCTTTATCCTTAATCCTCCCATCATGCAAATAACAAAGCTTCTAATCTTGATCTTTTAACAAGCTAATGTCAAGGAAAATATATCCACTTAGGATAATACTTTGTTTTTCTTCTACCCCATTTTGTTTTTTCAAAAAAAGGCCTTTCTTGTTTAAAAAAAAAAGTGTATAGAAGGAAGGAGATGTGGTGTGTGGTTCTCTGTTGGGCCAAGTACACATTTGGTAAAAGGTTGGGAGTTTGAATAATTGCATATTGTAAATTCCAAAATTCTTTCCAGCTTTGAAAATAAAAGAACTCAATTTAGCCCATGGAAAATAAGGTTGACAAGATTTAATGCTAATCTTTCAGTATACAAAAGAGCACTGTGTCTGTAAGAGTGAGCAGGTGTTCTTTGTTTTCACTAAGTAGGACAGGAAGCCATGATATTAAATCAAATAAGAAATAATTTAGATTTAGCAACCTCAAGTGTATTAAAACACGAGAAACTGTTACTAAGGAATAATATAGATTTCCCTTAGACAAATCATCTGATCCATCTTCACATACTATAAGGGTTCTGATATTGGGGCAAATATTAATATATGTGGTTATTAACATCTGCTAAATAAATACTGAAGTGAAAAAAACTTCAGGTAGTCCTTTCATAATATATGCTACCTCAAGGTTCTACACTCTCAAGAAGGTATTTGAAAGATTTGCTAGAGACTGTCTTTATGAATCTTTGCTAAAGTATAAAATCTCTGTCAATTGAAAGAGAAAAAGAAACATCAACTAAACCCAAAAAGTCAAGGTTTCTTGTAGAGATAGGCTCTACTTATCTGGAAAGATGTTCCCTCAGCCATTTGCCTAAAATATCCTTTGTCTCAAGGACACCTGTTTGTAAGCAGAAGTGATTTTTAATCAAAAATTGAACCATGATTTCTGCTAATTGTGTTTTTAGTTCCTTCTTCCTCTGTTTGAGGCTAGTTCATCACTTAGTTGGATATGAGAAACCTGATCATTGAGTCACATGACTCATCTCTGAGATGTATGTAGCTAGAGAGAGGGGAATTATTCTTTACTTGAGTATGAAAATTTGATTTTCATTCTCTGGTTTGTAAACATTGTTTTACTAAATGTTACCTATATAGGATAACACACGCTTAGCAAAACACATTTCTTACAGTCTATCCCTAATCTTCCATAATTACTGGTTTTATCCATAAGCTTAACCTTCTGGTATCTCCTTCAACCTACCTTCTTGTATCTCCTTCAACCTACCTGTCTGTATTGTCATCCTCCCTGCCTTTACACACAGTAACCTTCTAGCCAAAATGATTTTGCCCAACTTACCTGATTTTGCCAACTTAAACCTTAAATGAAGTCTTATTCTATTCCTCAAACATGATATGTCCCTCACACCATTGCTATCTGGCCGCAACTAAACTTTTTCCTGCTCAGGTCTCCAGTCACCTCTCTCTTTTTTAACCAGGCAATAGCCTTTCAGACCCAACAATGTGCAGCCTCTTGATCCCCATGTGACCCTGATGCCCCCTTCCTACTACCTAAAAAACTCTCCCCCTTAAATTTGGTACATCACAAACTTCAGCTTTCTTCTGCCTCCTTGGTGACTGGTCTCAGTTATAGAGTCTTGTCCCTTTTCCTAACTCTAGAAAGGTGGTGCCCAGAGGGTTCTCGGGTTATCTTCTCTCTTTTTCTTTTCCTTTTTTTTTTTTTTTTTTTTTTGAGGTGGAGTCTCGCACTGTCACCCAGGCTGGAGTGCAATGGCACAGTCTCGGCTCACTGCAACCTCTGCCTCCTGGGTTCAAGCTATTCTCCTGTCTCAGCCTCCCAAGTAGCTGGGATTACAGGCACCCGCCACCATGCCTGACTAATTTTTTGTATTTTTAGTAGAGACGAGGTTTCACTATGTTGGTCAGGCTGGTCTCAAACTCCTGGCCTCGTGATCCACCTGCCTCGGCTTCCCAAAAGTGCTGGGATTACAGGCATGAGCCACCGCACCTGGCCCTCTCTTCTTATCTTTTAAGAACATAAAGAGAATTGACATGGCAGAAAATGTAATGAGTGTTTGTACTGATTGAAGTTCTTTTCGTGGAGAGCGGTGGAAACGGACTGAGGCTAAGTCCAGGGAACAGAGAAAAAGTTGAACAGCCAAGCTTGGGGAAGAGCTTGAGAACCTAGAGTAATGTTACAAATGTCAGCATTGGAATCATGTGTTTTTTTCTAGGGTGCCGCTGTTACAGTGTTTGGTTTCAACAGCCCCCATATCTTTATTTTTCATCCCCTACCCCATGTCAGCCTTATAAATCTTAGGTGTTCTTTTAGACTTCCAAGTGAAACTGTAATTCCTCTATGAAAGCTGTCATGATTTTTTCAAGAATTGCTGAATGCACTCATCTTTGAGCTAGAATTGTACCAACTGTGTGTCTGCTGTTTTGCCATAAGATATGGTGCAATTATTGTGGTCCCAGGGTCTTTTTTCCTTTCTCTAAGCTAAGAGACATATATGGGAGAAGGTAGTGAATTGTCTGTCTAGCCCCTCTGTTTTTCTAGCTTGTCTCCCCCAGCACCCAGTGCTGTTTTGTTTTTTGTTTTAGTTTTTCAGGTGCTTGTTGAAACAGAGTTTAGCAATTTAAATAGTCTTGATTTCACAGATCACAGAGTTTATGCACAAATGTATGTAGTTTGGCCTCAATCAGGTATCTCAGTAGAAAAGAAACAATGTAGAAGTGACAGCTTATATATTTTAAGAGAAAGCTACTTCTGAACCCCATATCACTCTAAACATTTCTGTGTGTAAATGTGTATTTTATATTTCATTTTTTTAAGTCTTAGTTTTTCCTCCTGTATATTAAATTTGATGGAATTTTTAACAAATCCTAAAAATCCATTTTGTGGTTTCCATTACACCTTAGCAAAGATGACAAGTGACACTGACATTTTATTATGAAGAAGATACATTAGCTTTATGTTTAAGACAAGAAATCATTTTTGTGCCATGCTGACAAGACATTTAAAGTGTTGGTGACAAAAATAAATGAGAAGAAGCAGAAATGCATACGGAAAGGTTAAGAGAAACGAATGGTAAAGAACAAAATAGTTTGCTAAATAATATTAAAAGTTATTTGTACAGAGCTATAGTTTAATTTAAATGCGAATTTAGGATACAGAAGGATCCTTAGTAAGCTTTTATATCTGTTAAATATTTTAATTATTATGACTGTCAACATCAGACACAATCTCTAAACATGAACTGAGTCCTATTGAAGTGGAACTGCTTCTAATAAAAAAAAACAATTCTTCATTATTTACTTTTGAAAGATTTTGAAACAAAATACCTTGTTGATATACTAGTTAGGATACTGCTAAATGCTATAACAAGAAAGTCGTTACATTTCAATAATTCAAAATAATATCAGGTTTGTAAGAGTTTACCACAGGTATTCCTGATAGAAGTGTGACTTTCTTCCACATGGTGATTTAGGGCTCTGATTTCTTTCGTTTCCTAGGTATTGGTGTTCTCTGAACTTGGCTGGCAGTGGAATAAAGTGGGGTAAAGACATCAAACCTGTATCTTGATCACCTTTTCCCAAGGTGACACATGTCACCTTTAACAAGAACTTTCATATGTCCCTACTTAGAAGCAGGAGGAGCTAGAAAACCTGGTTGTTGGCTAATTAGCTGTTTACTAGCAACAGTTCTATACTGGTGAAAGCATGAATCGTGGCAAATAGCCAGCCGGTGTGCCATAGTTCACCCTTGTGGCCACCAAGTTGTTTTGTTGCCTTTCTTCCTAAACCTAGAACACATTCACCTTATCTCAAGAGAAACAGCCCAAAGTCCTATTTCATTTTTATATCCAGTCCAATATCTGTGTCACAGCTAGCAGTGGCCCTTTGCAGGCTGGAAACCTGTGAACTAAAGTTCATGGTAACTGCCTACGACATCTTCCCTCCCCATTCTGCCTCAGGATAAATCCAATATACAGTAACGGAACAGGGACAGGAGAGCTATGGGTAAGTTTGCCACGTGGAAAAAGGAAAAATGGGAAACGCATGGCAGTAATTGTCCAATTACAATAATGAAATCCTATCTGGCAGGCACTGTGAAGACACCCTGCCAAGGAAGTGTCCCAGATCTCTTGATTAGAGCTGTATTGTGTGTTCTGAAAAGAACTCCCTTGTCCTTTATTCTCCATGGCCCTCTGGGCTCTGCACCTTGGGAGCTGCTTCCTTATCTATTCATTCATGGCGAAATTGGATAAAGGAGTATGACCACTTTTTTGCTTGTGCAATTTGGGAGCCTGAAAACTATTTTACAGACCATTTTGAAGTTTAAGTTCAGCATTTATTTACCAATGCACTTCTCTTAGAAACAGAAGATTTCGTATCTGTGGACCTCCCCTTGTTACACGTGCCAATGTTCACACCTTTATCAGTCAGTCTGTCCAGAAAAACAAACATTCCCACGTCTTTCCAGTGGAGGGAACATAACATAGGGAATTAGATATACATATGATAGGGAGAAGCCAAGCAGATGATTGTGAATATACCCAGAAATTAACTAAATCAGGAAACCATTGCATACTCTAGGGAAAGAAGAGCAATAGGAAGAAGTGATATTATCAGAGCTAAGAGTGCTATTAATAAAAGACATAAACTAAGCCCTATTGAAGAGGAACTGAGCTCTTGAGAGATGTGAGCCATTCATGTTCTTTAATCTTTGTGTATCCTCACATAGTAAGAACTCAGTGTTTATTTAATTGAACAGAGCTGAGCAATAAATCCTTCCACTGACTTCAGTTAGAAATACCCATCAAAAAATAAAATGTGGCAGAAAAAATGGTATTCGATATTGGGATAGCCTTTAATTTGTGGATCAGCCAAAATCAGTTATTTTGGGACCTAATTTAGCAAGCCATCATCAGCATTTGCAGAATGAGAAATTGTCAAAAGTTTTAATTTAAATATTCCCTTCCTGTATAAGAGTTCAGAGTTTGGTACAATACCAATTTTTATATAAACATAGAAGGAAGAATTAAAAAACAATAAAGTCTGTAAGTGGCTCATGCCAAATAATTTTTTTAAAGTTGGTGTGGGGGATGGGTGTGGAGAAAGAGAAAAAGCTTTCCAGACTTATTAGGAAAATAGCAGCTATAGCTACAGAGGATATAGAGATCTATCTTAGTCTTTTATTCTTTTTTGGAATAATCTTCTAAGTTGATAATGATATTCCTTTGTCTACTGGTTTGAGCCAAAAGCTATCAGCTTATTTTTCTTTACTGTCACTTAAGAAAGAATCTGTAAAATATTACACTGGATATTTTAGCAGTCAAAATGAATTCTAGAGTATGATCATAATTGTGAAAACATTGTAAATGTCATTTAGTTTGTTCTTAGATGTCCTTTATATACTTGAGTATATAGATATGCTGGATTCAACACAGCTATGGCTTTATAGGAAGGACTTGAGAAAAGTCTCAAAATAGTAGATACATTTAACAACTTGCAAGTTGAGAATAGTTTGAGAAGCTTTTATGACTGTGTTGTCTTTCCTAGAGAGAAGGGGAGTCTTGCTTAAAGATTTCTCAGTGAAGATTTCTGCTTATACTGCAAATGAGGATTTGAGGGTAGGGGAAGGGCATGACAAAGTCAATTGCCATGAATGCTTTCAAAACATTTTAGTATTAGAATCTAAGAATAGAAGGCAGCCTTATTAAATTGGTAAAGACTATCCCTAACAACTTGAGACTGGACTTAGTTTTGTTATATTAAAGTAAAATTATAACAGTATTACAAAGAAATTTCAGATTCACAATCACTTTGTGTTGCCTCAAGATTTATGCACAAGAAGATATGTTTCAATATAGTTTTAATGAACATATTTATTTTGTTTGTGAAAAAATTAGAATACCTGAGAATGTTTATAATTCTTCCATTCATATCTAAACTTCAGGTTTATGGCTTAAAATATAATGCAGTGCACTTCACATATTTTGTATTTTAGCCTATACAAATGAGCATTCTCCCATTTAAAAATATTAAGGCTTAGATGTAAACTGTGCCTAAATATGTCATAACTGATTTTAAAAGGGGGAGAATACCTTGTGTTATCTGCATGGCACCTAACATCTGAAGAGTAGGCTTGTCTTTCCTGGGTTGATTCTGTGAAGTGAGGGTTGTGAAATAATCACTTGTCAATTTGGCAGTTTTGTTAAAAATAATTACTTTGTTTCAGTCATTATAATATCTATAGTTTTGAAAACATGTCAGGAAAAAGTCCTTCTTTGGTATTGATCTACAGCAGAAAATGTGCTGTTTTCCATCTCTAATTGAGTTGATTTCCTTTTATACTATTTTACAATGATAATATTAAAACATGAGGCATATTTGTGCTGTTTCAAATAATTGACTTTGGTTTTTAAGCATGTTATCCATAATGTCAAAGAATATCTTTCTGAACGGCTTTGCCCTGAGGAGTTTAGAATTTTCTTGAAATTATGGGTGTCTCTTGAGTATTTTTCAACGTCAATTCAACTGTGGCTTGTTGTGCTATTAATTCGTTATGAAGTGACACAGGAAGAAAACTCATTATGTGATAATGTGAAAACACATATTTGTCAAAAAAATAAATTGAGTCTGTATTGAAAATCCATCAGCTATTGTAGTAGGGAGTCAAATTGTTTATTGGATACATTTGGGTGTTGACATCATTTTTTCAAACAGGAAAACATAGAAAATATTTTAGTTCCAACCCATAGACACTCCGTATCATGCGTTTAAATGTGGGTTTTTTTTTCCATACAGGTGATATTATACCCAACTTCTAATAGCTCCAAATCAGCTGAATTACACCGAATGGTAGTTCCAAAAAATAGCCAGGATTCTGACTTAAAAATCAAACTGGCAGTGCGAATGGATAAACCAGCACATATGAAGCATAGTGGGTGAGTATAAATTTGAGGATTTTTTTCCTGAATTATTGAATTTCATTTCAGTGTATTATTTTTGTCAGTTTAGTGAGAGAACCAGTATAGCAGGCTTTCACATGGAGTTTTCTCAAAAAGTGACATACGTAAGTTATCTTACTCAATGTTTTTATACCCATAGACGGCTTTATAGCTCAATACATGAGTCCTTAGTTAAGATAACTGTATGCGAGCTACCACGATATTGGAACTTGATTGTGTTAGTATTACTCATCAGTCATATTGATACAGGGCACCAGGGCACTGATACCTTCTAAGAAACATTCTTCAAATTACAATAATAGTTGAAACAAGCTTAGCATTGAGGTTCCTAGAAATAGTTAAACTTCCATAGACTGTATAAAAACTAAAACATAGTGTAGATGTAACCCAACGAGGCTATATACATTTTAACAAGAGGGATATGAGTGTTGATCCAAACATGTGAGTGAGAATTGAATCAATATTGGAGAAAACTGCTACTGTTGCCTGGGGAAGAAATGCAGGGACTGTCTCCTGGGGATCACCAGGGGTCAGAGTCAGCCTTCATCTCTGCCAAGGTTCTTTGTCTGTTGCAGCTGGTGATGAAACAGGTCTGAACTCTTGAATAAAATGAATTGCCAAAAATCCAGGACTTCCTCAGAATAACACTTTGGACTTACTATGGCCAAATCCCAGCATAGGGGTATTAGCCATTAGGAAAGAAAAGGGGCCATTTTTCTTACTATGGAGAAAAGCAGTTGTTGAAGTGGCTTACCCTGAGTTAGTAGCAACAGACATAGAGGTCTAAGAAAGTGCATCCTTGTAACAAGCAGAGTCTGCTGGCATTAGGGCCCAATCACTAACATCAGGGTGGAGCGAACTGATGATTCAAAAAATGAGGAGGATTCTTTAGATGACCATTAGGGGAAACAAAGTTAGGCTCTGGGCAGGGGGAAACCCAAGGTATACATTACAGTTGGGATGGTGCTAAGGACTGTATTGCTTTTTGGTTTAGTAGGCAGCATGTGCAGTGTCAGAACAGACCTCACCAAAGGGAAAAAGTACATGAGAGGGTGGGCTCTTAGAAATGGAACCATGATTTGGATAAACAACATTATGCATCTTTAATGTAGTAATGTAAAGTCAAGTCTAACTATGACTCAGATTATAATGCACATGGAGTATCTGGGATTTAATATTTAATTCATGCATCCATCTACCTGCTCACCAGTAATTTATGCAGCAGGCATGTATTGAGCACTACTGTCTTCCAACTAGGACAAACTTTAATGTGATATTATTGCAGGCCTATAGGAACTGGCTAGTCAGGAATTCAGACTTGTATGCAAATAATTATGATAGTGATAAGTGCTGTAAGACAGAAATGGGAACCTGGGAGAAATAATACCTGATTTTTGCCAGGTATAGTGAATGAAAGTCTCACAGGACACCTGACTTTTGAGATAAAACTTGAAGGATAAATTTATCAGGTAGACAGTGGGAGAACTGGCATTCCAGCTACATGACAGCATGTACAAAGGCAGGGAGTCCTGGAAGGAGTTTTAGCTGATGATGACAAGTTCAGTGAAACTGTCATAGAGTGCTTTGAGACTAGAGAGAGTGCTAGTGCTCTAAAGTGCTTAGAGACTAGTAGAGTTACACATAAAAGAACACAGTATGTTCCAGGAACTGCAGTTGTTTCTCTACCCTTTTTCACTCAGTCCCTTTTTCTTTTGATGAATGGCACAATAATAAAAAAAAAAAAAAAAAACAGGAACCTATCATAGTGCCGAGATGACCCTAATTTACCCATGGCCAGTACTATGCCATGGTGAATACTCCTGGACCTTCAGCTTGTCTCAAGAACAAAGACTGAACATGCATAGGGCAGGTCCTGTAACCTTTAGCTCCAGTGGGAAGAAACCCTTGCTCTTACCTGGCAGTTCCTTGGTTTAGCATACTCCAGGATAGGTGAGACAATCCAGACCCCTTACAAGGCTTGATTTGGGGGTAGGGTATGTTTTTATCACATCTCTTTGACTAAATCAGTACCCCTAGAAAGGCCTGCAATTGCCTTCTGCCCAAGACTAAAGGTGAAGGAAAAGACTAAAGAGGATATATCATCGTCTCTTAATTTAATCCATAAAGCTCAGGAACTCACTGAAGGACACGGACCAGAAATGCCTCATAGCCCAATTATCTAACATTGCTAAGAGATACAGGCATTTCCAGATATTTAAATATCTCTTCAGTTTCTGATGTATACATTGAAGCAATGTTAGAACTGAAAATTATCTGTGATGATGTTATGCTAAGATAGTGTGTTATGTAGCAGAATTAAGAATATCATATTCCAAAATAGTGGTTCAATTAAAATATTTTAATACTAATATTAGAAGAATTAAACATTTTCAGCAATGCTATAATAGTAATTGCTCCCTATGGACAGGGACAGTTAGAGGTGCTTTAACCTAAGCATCTGTTCTGTTTTCTCAGTACCCATGTGGTAACAGTTTTAAACATTTTGAATAATACACCTGTGTGTAAACATGTATTGGCAAACATTTCACCTACAGCATAGCTATATTCGTCTTTTTCTGAGGTACTTCATCAATGGATTTTACTGCACTTAATTACATTTAAGAAGAGAAAGTAAGTTAATCTTTTTCTTCCAAGTATTCCATCATACACCAAAGCAATAACATAACAGGAATAGTAGATTAATAGCATTTCGCTTTGGGCCTGGATCGTGTTTTGTCAATCATTTCTCCTATAATCAATAATTAACAGATGGATAATAATTTTGAGAGACAAGTCAAGTTTTAAAAATATTAATTTATCTTTAAAATATAGCAAACTCCTGTTACAGATAGAGTTGTTAGGTGGATTAAAAATAAATTGGAGGATAATGGATTTTTATCTTCAGAGCACTTTAGACTTTGAAATCTTTAGGACTTCAGTAGTAAAAACCTATTCTCTGTTTTAATAATGTGGACGTCAAATAGATCTTTCTTGCGTGAACTATTGTAACATGTATTCTCTGTTTTATTCATTTATCACTTATCTATGGCCCCTAAAAAATATTTTTATCAATGTTATTTATATTTTTCTGTGTGTTCTCAACTGTACTCTAAGTTTCTTAGACCTATTTGAATTCTCAATGCCTCCCACAGTGTATAATCAGAGATAGATATTAATGTGAATAATGATGGTGAAAATGTAATATTGTGCTCCCTAGAGTATTAAGGGAAAAGTAATACAAATGAGAGTAAGCTTTATTCACAAATGGAACCTTAAAAGATTCTAAACACAGTTTATTGAGAATAGAACATAATTTTAATGTAAAAAAATGCCTAAAATAAATGAAATAAATGGTGTTTAGTTCTCAATGTTGCATTTTAATATGACTATTTTTTTAAACCAGAAGGTAAAATGCATCCAATCTAAAGCTCATGTTTCTGATAACTAATCAGTCCACGACTATATATTATAGTTTATTTAAGTAGGACTAACTACATGTAAATGAAAATAGATATTTAATTTGGATCAAATAAGCATAACTATGATTCCATCCTTTTAAAACCAAACTGGGCATTACCACAAGACGTATATTTAGCAAAAACTTGAGTTTATTTATTCTTTTGGAATATGTCATCTAAACTAATTATAGAAACTAACCCTTAGATAAATCTATTGAACAAATTACCAGCTATGTTTTGAATGGTTAAATGATTCACATCCAGCTTTTGAATTTATTTTCCTGGTTTGTGTGTGTGTGTGTGTCTGTAGCATGAAGATAGAAGTGTTCTTGAACAAATGGGCTATACCTTAGCATAGCCTAGTGGCTAAGTAACAGTATTAACTTAAAACTCAAATAACTATTCCTGTTTTTATTAAATAAAATTATTTTCCTAATTCAAAGGTTACTTTCTCAACCAAAAAAAGTAAAATAAAATGGAACTAATAAATGACTGTTATGACAATTAAATCTATAACTGAAAAAGAGAAAATTGGCTTTCACAAATATGTGGAAGCATTATGACCATGATCTATGAGAAGTCTGCATGCAACTGATTACTTTTATAGTAAAAATAGAGTTTCGTAACTATATAACTATAATAGAAGACTTTTATCATAGTTTCTAATTGGTAAGATAAAATTTTAGCAAAACTACTCTGAGATGAATCTCATATTTCTCTTTGTGTAGAGTCATGCTTGGCTATTTACACATTTTGTTGAATGAACGGATGGATTAAAATATTTTGACATTGTCACAGATAAAACTCTGTAGTTTAATTTCCATCATAAAGATAGAAAAGGCATTGGGCTCATCTCTTGTTGCAAGGAGAGACAATAGTTAAACTTCCAGCAGAAAAACGAGACAAGCCCCACACCGGCTGCTTTGTGGCCCCACCATTTCCCAGAGAGAGGGCCAGCTGGGCATCCAGAGGTTGGGACAGCATGCCTACATAAACTGCATTCACACACTAAATATTCAGACATTGTATTTCCTCATAAAGTGAAATGACTGCACTCTAGTAAAGTTTCATTGTTTAGATTATTATTCAGGGTTTATGATCTCCAACTAATTTAGGGGAGGAAAATCTTAGCTGCGTCGAGGTAGTATTTGCTCAAAGAGTCCAGGCTTTAAACAAAGCCAAGTCTGTTCTTTCACAAAGCAAATTGATATTTCATTTTTAAATGTACCTTTTAGAATGACTTTCCCCTGTGTCCTTGTCTAAAATAACTATGTTTCGACATCTGACCTTGACTTGAACCTATGTATGTATGTATGTGTAGGTCTACTTGCATTCCCAGGTTGAACTTGGCCCAGCCTGGCTTATCCTGATTTCACCGAAATCCTACTTGAGTCCCTTGAACTATAATAATAATAATAATATTAATTAATACTAATCTTTTTTTTTTAAGACAGAGTCTCACTCTGTCGCCCAGGCTGAATTGCAGTGGCACCATCTCCGCTCACTGCAACCTCCACCTCCTAGGCTTAAGCAGTCCTCCCACTTCAGTCTCCCAAGTAGCTGAGACTACAGGCATGCACCACCACACCTGGCTAAATTTTGTATTAATTAGGCTAATTATACAATCACACGAATGTCTTGAGTGCGATGGTAACTACAAAATAAAAGTCATGTAGACGGTAAGTATTGAGTCAGCTGTTTAGGTTTATCAATCCTTGATTTTTTTGTATTAATTAGTGCAGTGGTAACTACAAAATAAATGTCATGTAGACAGTAAGTATTGAGTTAGCTGTTTAGGTTTATCAATCCCCAATTTTTTTGTATTAGAGACAGGGTAGAGACAGGGTTTCGCTATGTTGCCCAGGCTGGACTCAAACTACTGCACTCAAGCGATCCTCCTGCCTCAGCCTCCCACAGTGCTGGAAATACAGACGTGAGCCACTGTGCTCGGCCTTATGATATTCTTCAAGTTTTAACCACATCATTTGACTTTATTCAAAAGAAAATGCTTGAAGACAAATGAGAAAAATAGAAATGTACAAATCATCATTAATTCATTGAGAGTATAACAGTTATATCCCTATTAGGTCCTTTGCTTAATTGTTAGACTTTAATTTACATTTTTATTTGACAGCTATTATGGATGTAGATATGGTAGTTCGTTGCTCTTTGTGTGTTTATTTTTCTGCTAACTTTATTTTGTCTTCTCTCTATGTCCAAGGGAGAAAAATGAAAATATTACATAAGGGCTTTGAACCATGTCTGAGCAACTGACTTGAGTGATTTATCTAAGAAATAAGCTCAGGTTCTAAAAATAAAGAGCATCTGGAGATTATTTCATGGCAAGTGAGAGGAATAAGAAAGCACTTTCACTTTATTTCAGTCTAATGCTGTCTAACACTTTTTAAATAACTGGTGGTGCTCATTGTATGTTTTACTACAATTTGCTAGTTTAACTTGTAATTTTCTTGCTTAAATCATTAAATAAGTATGATTTGATCCATATAGCTCTACCAGTCTATCAAATCTTGCTAGTTGTGATATTAAAATTTGTCAAGTTTTATGATACATTGTTGATCTCATTAGATTTACATACCAGGTGAGTTAGTTTTAATTTCATCTCAGGTTGTTTTTGTTTATTTTTAGTTATAGTTTTATGTGTGATTCATTTTTATTTTAATTTAAAAAAATTTTTTAGACAGGGTCTTATCCTGTCTCCCAGGCTGTAGTGCAGTGGTGTGAACAGAGCTCACTGCAGCCTCCACCTCCTGGGCTCAAGTGACCCTCCCATCTCAGCCTCGTGAGTAGCTGGGACCACAGGTGTGTGCCACCATACCTGACTAGTTTTTTTAAAAAAATTTTTATAGAGATGGGGTCTCCCTATATTGCCCAGGCTGTTCTTGAACTCCTGGACTCAGGTGATCCTCCTTCCTCAGCCTCCCAAAGTGCTGAGATTACAAGTGTGAGCCACCACACCCAGCTAAATTGCTTTATTTGAAGAGGGATTGATAAACCTAAACAGCTGACTCAATACTTACTGTCTACATGACTTTTATTTTGTAGTTACCATCACACTCAAGACATTCATGTGATTGTATAATTAGCCTAATTAAATGTTTTGTGGAAAGAATCAGTGAGAGAGACTAGTGTCATTGAAATTAGCATTCTAAAGACCTTTGCCAGCTCTACTCTAGAATGCTCATAGTACTCACTTCCTCTGTTTCTTCTGTCTCTTATCAGGTGCTGTCTCTACAGCAGCCCATCCTGTTCACCCTACAAAGAACCCTTCTCTCTCTGCTTCCAATTCTACTTTTAACTGGCTTCATTCTTTTTTTTAAGCTCTTATTATCTGTGTGATATTTATTGTTTATTAACTGTATCCTCAACTAGAATGCTATTGCCATGGTGTAATTTGCTATTGATTAGCTTCCCAACTAAATTTGATTGCCATAGAATAGGAACCTTGTCTCACTTGCTATTTTTAAACCCAATTTTTAGAACATTGCCTAGTATTTAGTAGAAGCTAAACAAATATTTGTTGAATTGATGAATTTTTTTTAGAAAAGAATAGAATGCAGAAATTATGCTCACAGTTGTAAGTGGACTGATTGTTTGGATATTAACTTCAAATTATCTAATTGGTACCACTGTAAGGTGGATTTGTTGGAGTGTGTTTCAAAACATTATTGCCCCAGAAGAATTACAGGAAGTCTCCTTTTTTCACAAATTTAAATTTGACTATAAATCTAAAGACTGTATTAAAAAGAAATATATTATTTCCCCAAAACTTTAAATTGAAATTAATTACTGTCTGCAGGGAGGCTTGTTGCCTGTCAACATTTATTCTTAGACCATCCCTGTGGTTGAACTGTAGGAAGAAGTTTTAGCAACATTTCTTGTGGGTAGAGTATACCCCAGGGTTAATATGTTTTAATTTGTAAGAATGATGTATTATGTAACCAATACTTATAAAAATTAAAGGCAAAAAAAAAACACCCTAGATTTGAGCTTCGTTCATATTATCTTTATGGACTAAATAAAAGTAATTTGCTTTCTTTCTGCTACAGTGACCCCTGAATTTGAATAGTCATGCTATATTTATTTCAGTATTTATTCTGTCAATTCTATTTGGTGTACACTTTTTTTTCACATTTAGATAGGCTCAAAAATAATTCATGAAAATATTTTCCCCAACAGCTGACAAGAATGAGGAGAAATATACAAGGAACCAGTGTTTTAATGATGAGACAGGCAGGAAGAGTCCTAGACTGTATACGGAGAGGAATGGACTAAGCAAGCAAAAGCATGGGCTGACAGTACCAAGACTTGCAAAGATTTCAGAGTCAGAGCATGGCAGTGGGCCAAAGTCGGGATGAAACTTAGGAGCAGAAGGTTACATAAACCAGAAAGCATCATACATGGCAGTAGTGAAGGGCAATAGCAGCAAAAGTACAGCATATGGCAGCAAAGCTGGCCTTACTTGAAAGTCCCTGAAAAAAGGAAGGAAAAAGCTTAAGATCAGCAGAGGTCTAAAGAGGAGAAAATGAGTGTTTATGGAACATAGCAAAGGATAGGACATGGCCTAAAAATACAGGAATGATGAAAAGGAATCTCTTCAAAAGTAGTCCAAGCTTGTCTATTAGTGTATTTAATTTTGGCATTCTTTCCATAGATGTTAACATACGGGTATAAGGGTCCTAAAGAGTATTCCTACTCCTCTCTATATAATCATAACTAGAACTTACTTGAATGGGGCGTTGTTAATAGGGTATAATATCACGGCCACAGCCCCCTATGTAGACTGTATCTGAAGCACTTGAAAATCATAAGTAAACAATACTGGGGAAGATTATACAATGAACTTGCTTTAGCGTGATAGATGTGTGTTCAGATTATAAAAAGAAACATCACCACAATTTTAACATTAATACCAGTGTCGATGACATGAACAGAGGAAAGGGTTTACAAACATTATATTTCTAAGTATTCATCCTGCATTCATTTATATCCTTAAGGTTAGTACATTAGTAATTCAGAAGAGAAAAGCACATCTTATTCTCATGATTTAAAAAAAGATCGGCTTGTTACTTAAAAAAATACAAATGTATTTTTAATGCCTCTGGTTATTTTACGTATCAATATTAATACTTCTAAAACACATTTCAAAACATGGTTTTGACAGTGGATTAGAAGGATATAACAGTAGTCCACAGGTCAATCAAAGAAAAGTTGAATACCACCTATTTCCACCTTTGTGAAACTGGCAGCCTCATCTTTTCTGTCAGTTCGATTGATCTTTAGGTTTATCTTCAATTTACAACTTCCTCTTCACTGACATTAGTTAATCTCTATCTCTCTGTAGTACTTCCCACAACTAAATCCCTTTTTATTCCTTCTGCCAACCCTAATTCAGTCTCCATCCTAACAAACAAAACTTGTTCAAGGACTTTTCTACGATGTTCCCATTTTCCACACCATTTAGGAATTTAGGAATACAATTATATCTCTACTAAAAAAAAAATTCAGTTGCTTCCCAAGTGCCTGTGGGATTAGATGCAAATCCTTTAAGCTAGCATTCAGATTCTTCAAAAATCTGGTTCGTCTAGATTTTATACCCAACACGAACTCCTAACTTTGCCAAGTGGATCAGTTCATGTACCCTGAGCATGCTTTTATTTGCTCAAATCTATTTCTTTCACTCTTTTACCAAATCCTGCCACTCTAGTACCAGGTTACACATTTTCTCATACATATGTGCCAAGAGAGGCAGTTTATTTTCTGTGTAACTAATGTTTCCTCAGAAGCAGACTCTCCGCTAACTGCAAGCCATCTTGTCCCCACTCCCTTGATTTTTGAGAGAACTATTGAGTCTTTTTTATACCAAGATAATCGAAAGAGATGCTGGCCCTCCCTCTGCCTCATGAAGATTACTCCACATTTGTTACCTTACAAGCTGCACAAGAGAATCTGGAATGGGAGGTGGGGCAGAAGCCCTTCTACCCAAGGCATTCTCAACCACCTGTGTTCCCTATTCCGTCTCTTTACTTTTTACCACAGCCTACAGACACCAGAAGAATGGACTTTCTTCCTTTTTTCTGGCTGTCTAGGACCTTACTTAGTAAAATTTTTGATTAAGTCAGCCAGACTTGCCCTTTGCTATATTAAAGGGGGAGATAAGTGAATTACAAAGTTATTTGTACGTATGGTAGGTTGATCACATAAATAGAACCAATAAACAGGCTTCCTAAATTCATACCTTGTGCCCTAAATCTTTCTTGTCCCCTCCAACTTTGGGTTTGGCTATGTGGCTTGCTTTGGTCCCTGAGACAGAAGCAGATTTGACATAAGCATATACTTCAAAAAGCACATGTGCATTTTCACTTCCTCTCTTGCTCACTTCCTTCACCATGAGGACACACATGGGCTAGCCCACTGGTAAAGCAGAACTAAATCAGCCTAGTTGTGCTGACCTGGGTTTCAGGCATATGAATGAGTCCAGATGAAATGAACAAAGCCAGCTAGCCAGCGTGAAACTGACCACAGACCCACGAGTTGGTCATGGCCTGCCCAGCTCAGGTCAATAGAACTGCTTAATAAACTATAGGCTCATAAGAAATAATAAATCGTTGTCGTTTTAAGTCACGAGGTTTTAGGGCAGTATGCTATACAGCAAAGGTTAGATACTGTGCACTCTTGTCTTACAAAATCCTATTCAATTTATTTTTTCTATTATACATCAAATGCATGGAGCTGGATTAATCATAATCCTTAGCCCATGATGTATGTCACATTGATCTATACATTTATTTGTGCATATATATAATCTTTCCTGCACAATATGGCTTGCTACAAACATACTGTACTTTATCCATTTCATCAAAATGGACATTTGAATCATTCAAGATTCTTGCTATTTCATGTATTGCTACTGTGAACATTCTTGTACATGTCTCCTGGTATATATATGCATAGTTTCTCTTGAGTGGACACGTAGGAGTGGAACTGCTGAGCTCGTAAGAATGTGAATGTTTATCTTTACAAGATAATACAAAACTTTTTCAAGTTTTACTAGATAGTTCTACCAGTATACATTTCTTCCAGCAATATATAAGATCTTTCAGTTCTTCTCTTTTTTTGGCTTTTACCATCCACTGCCTTCTTTTGATACTTTTCACATGTTTTTGTTTATAGTTATATTATTGTCTCTTGAAGGCAGAGATCCTGACTCTTATTTCATTACTTAGTCCAAATGCTTCAGAACATAGTGGATACACATTATCGTCTGATAATTGGTTGATTTTTATATACTTTTGATTGTTCAGAATTTCAGATTAAGAGACAATATGAAAATTCCCTTGATATTTTTCATTTTTCCATCACAGACTGACTTGGGAATCCCAAATTGTGTTCCCAGATAATCTTGAATACTCCCTACTATAAAATTATAACATCCACCCTCCTATTTGTCTCACCAGCTCAGATCAACTTCTTGTGGGCTGGACCTTATTGTTCACCATTATTTGACCAAGCACTGAATGCATGCTTGATTTCATCAAATCAGTTATTCAACACATGTTTATTGATGTGTCAGACTCAATAAATGAGTAAATTTATTGAGACTATGTGTCAGACTCAAATGAGTGAATGAGTGAAATTTGCTGTAATAATAGTGATACTTAAAAAACCATCAAGAGTAATGCATTAGATACAGTAGAGCTAATTACTTGCCCCACTGAAATGGAACAGCTGTTAACCAAATAGCATAGACTAGAAAATTTTTAAAACTGTAAAATTGAAAACAGTTTAAGCTGGCAAAACACAGCATAATCATATGTAAAAAGTGTAGTGTACTGTTAGATATTAATTGCTTCTTCCATGACTTTGGCATCCATTTGGAAAGATACCATAAATAAGGGGTTCACAGAATCTATTTTAACTGGTAGCTTGAAGCTGTTTCCAAAATATCCTTATACCAGAATTCACAGATTATTAAAAAAAAATAACTTACTTTATTCTTCCTTGAGTGTTAATGTATATTAACACTATACATGATAGTGTTGCCCCAAGTCACTTAGATGGAATTTTCATTGGTCACCCTAGTCAGGGAAAGAACAAATATAAAATGATTATTTGAGAACAGTAACTGAAAAATACTGTCTTTGTTGGTAGTGGTTGTGAGAACTGTATGTGTTTATGGATGTTTATTAAACATGGAATGCATTTAAGAATAGAAAGGGCTTAACTCCTCTTATGAAATGTGAAAAACTGTAAAAGGGAAGATGATAAAACCGGAGTGATCAGAGAGATTCTAGACTGATGTAGACTATGATGAACAGGGCAGAAAAAAAAATAATGAATAAAGTGAATGAGGATTGAACCTGAAATGTGTAAAACATTAAAATGAATCAGAGAGCTACAATAAAACAGGAAAGTAATGTTACAGTTGAAAATACTGCAAAGAATATAGATAAAGTTATCCTCCACAATATCTATTTGTCCATTGGACACAAATATGCATGTTTTATTTATAGAAAGACAAGTTCCCATTTGTTTAGCCTTTCCCTTGATCTTAAAATGAAAGTTATGAACATTTAATAGAATCTGCTAATAATACCTTCCCAAACTTGCACTTAGTTATAGAAAACCATGTGTTGTTTACCCAAAGATTTAGCCATTTGACTTACTATCATATCTGAGAGAACGAGAGTGTTAGGTGTGTTTGTAGTAATATATATGAATAATGAAATGTTAATACATAATTAAAATTTACTAAAGGATAGTGTAATATCATAGTAGGACAGCTTAATTGTAGTTCCTAGAGTCTGCAGCCAGCATGCCAATTATAGCCTCATCACTGTGTGATCTTAAGGCAAGTTACTTAACCTCCCTGTGCCTCCCTTCTTCCCCTGTAAAATTGAATATGACAATCACCAATTTCAAAATGATGCTGTAAGGATTAAATGAACTAGTATCACTAAAGTGACTAAAACATTGCCTGGCACGTTGTTAGCTGTCCATTTTAGCTGTTATCATTACACAATAGATAATTTATGATTTACAAATAAATGATGATTTGATTTTATGCTACTATTACACATATGATATATTCCATGTAACTTTTAGATATTCTTCTGTTGCAATAGTTATATATAAATATATATGAATATATAAATATATATGAATATATATAAATATATATGCATATATATAAATATATATGAATATATAAACATATGAATATATAAACATATGAATATATAAATATATATGAATATATAAATATATGAATATATGTGAATATATAAATATATGAATATATGTAAATATATGAATAAATATATATGAATATATGTAAATATATGAATATATAAACATATATGAATAAATATATAAACATATATGAATATATAAAGATATGAATATATATGAATATATGAAAATATATATGGATATATGTGAATATATAAATATATATGAATATATAAATATATATGAATATATGTATATTCATTACAGAAAAATGGAATTATAAGAGAAGCATAAAAAAAAAAAAACAAAAATTGGCTGGGCACAATGACACATGCCTGTAATCCCAGCACTTTGGGAGGCTGAGGCGGGCGGATCACCTGAGGCCAGGAGTTCAAGACCAGCCTGACCAACATGGTAAAACCCCATCTCTGCTAAAAATACAAAAAAAAAAAAAAATAGCTGGGTGTGGTGGTGGGCGCCTGTAATCCTAGCTACTCGGGAGGCTGAGGCAGGAAAATTGCTTGAATCCAGGAGGTGGAGGTTGCAGTGAGCCGAGATCACACCATTGCACTCCAACCTGGGCAACAGTGAGACTCCGTCTCAAAAAAAAAAAAAAAAATCATCTCATAATACCAGTTTAAAAAATATTCTTAGGTATATGAAAGTTAAAAGTGCTGCTTTTTCTATTTCATTCTGAACCACAGTATCACCTATTTGGTGCACATATTTTTGTTTCTCTGTGTGTATATCTTTGTTATATTAACATACTCAATTTACAGTAATTTTAGACATTTTCTATTTCCAACACTAACATTTTCTGCCAGCATTAAGTACTCTCTATGTATTTATAGTGTTCAGACCGTAAAAGTCATATTATGAATAAATGGGTTAAAAATTATTTCTTAATTAAAATCATTGCTATAACTTACATTTCTATAAAATCAATTGGTTTTTATAAGTCATATAAAATGAAAACTGGAACTTTGTGATACAGAGCACAAATTGCGTTAATGATTGATAGGTATTATGAGTGAAATGAAAAATTACTAGACAAGGAGAAGAAAGAAGAAAGTGTTTATCCTGCTACCAAATATTCAGTGAATGGATTATAACTACAATCTTGTCTTTAATGTTTCCCATGGTAATTGTCAGGAAGAGGTATGAAGAATTGTGGGACCTTAATAATATGCCTTGCCGTTTTAATTGCTGAGAGAAGCAAGAGAATTTTAATTGCCAGGAGATACATTACTAATTAAAGTGTCATTCTACATTTATTCTGAAATAATTAGTTTGAATATTTGTAAGAGCCGAGATATAAATTTAGTTCCAAATTGAGGAGCATACCCACAACAGACTTTGTTAAAATGATCTATGGTTAAGAAAGGTTAACAATCATAAAACTTTAAATGTTTCTTTAATTTGATACCATTTAATTTTTTATTGGATTATTCAACTTGAAAAATGGAATTCACAGTATTTTAAAACTTAGTATTCCTTTTAAATTACTATAATACTAAGTTAAAGTCCTAAATTGCTTTCAGATTTCTGGGGTATCGGTATTCTAAATTTTTTAGTTTTAGCATTTATTACAGTTCAGGGAAAATCTTCTTTTGTAAATGATGCCAACATGAGTATAATGTCATATATGAATTATAAATTCTGTTGATACCACATGGAAACTTGTAATGTAGTCATGATTCAGTGGACTTTTAAAATTCTAGACTAAATCTCAAATACGCAGCTAAAATAAATTAACTGAAAATGACATGTACTTGAAATGAGCTTAAACAGTAAACTTAACACAAAAGAGTAAATATATTAAATATAAAATGTGACTTGAAACATTTTGAACATATGGTTACCTAAAATCATCAGTTGAAGTTTTATGAAGATTAAGGACACATTAGGAAAATGGAAAAAAAAGGTGAAAAAATGTTTTTCTTCATATGATTATTGCATAAAATTAAAGCATGCTTTACTAAAGAAAGAAAGAGAGAGACAGAAAGACAGAGATGGACAAAGAGAGATGGAGAGAAACAGAAAGAGAGAGACAGAGACAGAGAGAGACAGAGAGAGAGGGACAGACAGGCAGAGTTATAAGATTTACATTTAAATTTACAACATTCTAAATACTCATTTTTTTCCCTTTATGACTGGTACACAATTACATTGGTTACAAAGGCTGTTGATGGATTTACCTTGATTGCCTTTTTGTTTTCCTTAGGATTTGGAGCACAGAGCATTGAATACTGTTATTTCTCTTTTAATGACTCACCATCACCAGCCCCTCTTTTGTTTTACTTAAATATTTCATTTCTGATCCCATCTCTTATTTCGCTCCTGCCCACATAGGTATCTGTCTTAGTCCATTTTGTGTTGCTCTAATGGAATACCACAGACTGGGTCGTTTATAATGAACAGAAATTTATTTAGCTCAGTTTTAGAAGCTGGAAAGTCCAAGATTAAGGGGCCAGCATCTGGTGAAGGCATTTTTGCTGTATTAAAATATGGTGAAAGGCGTCACATGGGTCAAAGAGAGAGGGGGGCTGAATTCATCATTTCATCAGGATCTCACTGCCATAATAATGGTGTTAATCCATTTGTGAGGGCAGAGTCCTTTGTGATCTTAAAGGTCCCACTTCTCAACACTGTTGCATTAGGTTTTAAGTGTCTGACACATGAACTTTGGGAGACACATTCAAACCATAGCAGTATCCACTTTGTATTGGTTAATATAGCCATGGATGTTGTGTATCCTTGTAAAATGTGTAGTATGTGTGTGTGTTAAATATTGATGTTTTGTGCTATAGATATTTAATTTTTTTCATTAAACATCCAGTATTTAAGACCTACATTCATTGTTATATATTCTTTTAGGTCACTGCTTCTTGTACTACCTGGCATACCACAGTGTCTACTACATTTTACCTATTTGATCCTCTAATGATAAACACCTGAATTGTCTCCAACTCCCATCGTTATAAATAGTGTTCCAGTAGTTGTCCTTGATCATGTCCACTCACAGTCCTGTGCAAGAATTTCTCCACTATGTATAATCAGGAATGAGGCATACAGATACTTAATTTCACTAAGTATTTCAAGATTGCTTTCCAGATTATCTGTTCCTACTTACAGTGTACTTTCCTATCTCCTTACCCAAAATTGGTTTTACTGGCCTTTCTAATTTTTGCTTTTCTGGTAAGGGGAAGCAATGATATTTTTCTCCTTGAACTATCAATATAGTAATTTATATTGGTGGAGTTTTTTTGTGTTAAAACATCCTTACATTCATGGAAAACAATATTTTTATTTAAATGTTACGAAAATTTTTTAAAATTAAATAAAATTTAAATAATACCCTTCAATTTATCTGACTGCTAATGAGTTAAGGTAAATGTTCTTTTTTTTTTTTTTAAACTAATTAAGCTTCTCCTTGTGTTTTTAAAAAAAAAAAACAAAAAACCTAATTAAGCTTCTCCTTGTGTGTTTATATTCACCTCCACTGCCAAATTTCACATCTCTGCTTATAAGTTAAATTGGTCTATAATTTTTTTCTTCACTGTTCTGAAGTGATTTTCAGTCTAGGAATCAAAGGTATATTAACCTCATTAAATCAGTTGGACAGTAATTTTTTTGCATTCTCTTTTTCACTTTGTTTCTCTTTTTTTTTTTACTGAATTTGTATAAGTGGGATTTTTCAGTCATTGGGAGTTTGTTAGAAATGTATTTTCAATAATATCTGGATTGGAAACTTCGGTTGGAGGTAAGGGGAGGTATTTTTGAATACCTTTGGTGGCCATTTCAAGTTTTTTAGTAATTGTTGATCGGTTTAAATTTTTGCATTTTATGTTAGTTTTTCCTTTGGAAAGTATTTTTTTCCAGATTATTATTAGATTTAGCTATTAATATTATTTAAAATCTTCTCTTGCGTTTTTATCCTTTTTTAAAATTATTTTTTATTTCATTTTTCTCACTTCAAATATTCTGTTTAATTTCTGTTATTCCTGCAGAAGTTTGTCTGCAATACTAATCTTTTCAAAGGACTAATACATTTGTATTAATTTCGTCTCTCTTAAAAAATCTTAGTTCCATTAATTTCCTCCCAAATCTTCATTATTTCCTTTCTTCTATTTCCCTAGGATTGTTGGGTTGTGTTTTTTCCAAATCCTTGAGTTGAATAATTCAGCTTATTTTTCCCAGTATTTCTTATATCCCAATAGCCTTGAGTTTTTAATATGAAATTTTTGTTTTTGTTTTTATTTGTTTTATTTTATTACTCAAGGAAAAGTTTTTTTTCTAATTCTTTTGCAGTTGTTTCACCTCAAAAGAGCTTTTTTTCTGCTTATGTTGAGTTTTTGTGTAAAATTTTCACCTAGTTTTATCTTTAATTTCATTCTCTATTAGCATAAGAAAGAATCTTCTTCATCATAGCATTACACTTTATAATTTTCTTTTAGAATTTTTCCTCTGTTATGTAGTGCTTCTGTATTCTCTGGAGCATAATCTTTTGTTTTTTGTTTGTTTGTTTTTTTTTTGCTTGTATTACCATTCATAGATACTTATCTAAACAACCTAGGACAAATAGTTGTAAATATACTTCTTTGATAAATAGTTGTATACATGCTTCTTGAAAGTCTTTTTTTTTTCACTTTTAAGATTGGAGTACAAGTGTAGGTTTGTTACATAGGTAAACTTTTGTCATGGAGGTTTGTTATACAGATTATTTTATCATCTAGATATTAAGCCTAGTAAATAGTTATTTTTCCTGATCTTCTTCCCTCCTCCCATCCTCCACCCTCAAAAAAGTCTCAGTATGTGGTCTTCTCCTCTATGTGCCCATGTGTTCTCATCATTTATCTCCCGCTTATAAGTGAAAACATGTGGTATTTTCAGATATCAGCTTCCCTTAATCTCATTCATCAGGCATTTCATTACTATCATCAATGAATTATTTTGACCAGTGGTGACCAAGTCTGACCAAGGTAGCTTGAGAGCTTAGGCCCCCTGTCCCTTAATCTTCATTAGCACCCTTTCAGACCTCTGATGTGAGAGTTGAGGTTTTCTGAATCTGAAAGCGCTGTGCAAACTCAACTGCTAAAAGAATCCTTTAGGTCCCTCTTTTCCCCTTGACATCCCATTCATATAAAAAGATTGTTTTCCATAAGACCCACCTGTGTAGAAATTTCAGACTCCAGTTACTGACCCTCATCAGTAAATGGTCTCTCGCCTGTTTGTGTGCTTATTTTTTCTCCATGCATTAAGCATTAAGCTTCTAGTTTAGAAATGCAATGGATTGGGTACTTTTTCATCTTATTGATCCTCACAGATGTGATTTCTACTCAAAGTAGGAAGTAACCTTGATCTTTTATGGGCCCAATTGATACAAAACAGATTTTCATCTTCAGAATCCTATAGCACTTTCTACTATATATTTTTAATTATATCTGAAGGTATCTTTCTTAGCTCTCTTACTCGTTAAGTGTCCTGTGGCAATGATCTGTGTCATTTTCATCTTTAATTCCTCATTTTAATTCCTAACACACTGTTTTGCAATTAACAGGTCCCTAATAAATAATCTTAAATACTTCTATTTTTCTAGTCTGTTCATTATTCAGTAACTATAATTTATAACTATTCTACAACTATTCATTTTTCTTAAAAGCAAAAGGATATCATTTGTCTAATATTGTTTTGTTTTGCTTTATTCTGTGGAGATAAATTTACATTATAAAATTTAGGTTTGGAGAAACCCAATTACAAAAGGCAATTTGTATAAGGATGCCTTGTCATGCTACAGGTTCTGTCTCTCTTCCCAGTAGGGAGATAGTTTAGGACTGCCTCACAGCAGCCACTTAGTTCAGTTGGGTAGATATGGTGCTAATAGTCTAGGGTTTCCTCTAAGGTCTTGTTATCCTTCTTTATCCTCACTTTATCAAATGCTTGATAAAGTATTATTGGAAAACGTGAGAGTAAGACTCGCAGTGGAATTTTTGTAAAAGTTTTAAAAGGTCCCAAGAGACACAAGTCACTTTCACTGATGTGGGGCTCAGTATATCAT
The DNA here is from genome assembly GCF_000001405.40 of Homo sapiens. NCBI lineage: Eukaryota > Metazoa > Chordata > Mammalia > Primates > Hominidae > Homo > Homo sapiens. Next base: position 122,535,760 of record NC_000007.14, on the reverse strand, counting down.
CCCATCAATCTACAACTCTTGCCATTAGGCTTTAAAACAAGATCTATTTGCATGAGTTATTATCAAAAATCCAAATATATATTTGTTTTCATCAATGATACAGCAATATTCTCTACTAGTTCTTACAGGAATGTGTGGTCAATATCAATAGGATAATTCTGGTAATTATGCCTGTTTTGTAAAAGTCTTGTGAACATACTGGAAAGGTTCTTTAACAGACTTTATAAAAATAAAACATATTTATTATCTGGTATACTATTACCTTTTTAGAGTACTCAGCTACTACTCTAATTAGCAAGCTGATCCAAACATATGACTTCTTACATCTCTGACATCCAGATATAGTAGATTAAATACATTTGAAGAATCTATCACATTAAATAATATTCTTATTTAGTTCTTACAACACTATGTGATAGGTATGATGATACCAACTTACAAACAAGATCACTGAGTCATAAGGAGGTTAAGAAATTTGCCCAAAGCCATATAGCTAATAAGTGACCATGATTTGAACTCACTTGTCTGATTCCAGAGCTTATTCTCTAAACTGCTAGGCAACACCACCTACTAATACAAAATACTTTTCTCTTTAAGTGATCACTGTCAGTTCACGATACTCAAGTACCACCAGAGGCCAGGCAACTCAAATACTTGTGTAAAGTGATTAGGTTAAAAGTCATGAGGACTGGAAGTATCAGGATTATAGAAATCAGGAGAACATGTCCTGCAAAAGGGATTTCAAAATATATTTTTAAATGCTCAGCTTTCAAAGCACATTGGCAAGCCAGATTTGGTCCATGAGTCACCATTTTTTATTTTTTGGTTTATAGAAACATCCCTCCCCATTACTACTTTTGAATAATTTAGAGGTTCTGCTAATTGCCACATACTCAGAAACTGTATTTGCTTCTTTTCTTAGTGGCTAAGGAACCTTGGATATTCACATATTTTGAAATTGATTTCATTGAAATAAGAGAATGAAAGGAATTAAAAATGCACTTTTTTCCTGTTTAAATCTTTCTTCATGTCATTTATTAAAAATAATGACATTTCCATTGATGTACATTACTGTTAATCTGCCATCAAATCAATTATCTCTTCTGTGGCTATCTGAGGCCTGGCCTATATTTACTCAATAATTTACAAACTCTAAATATTAGGGTCTTGAGTTAGGACATAAAATTCATCATCAGTTTGACATTTATTTCTCATCTCAGAATTGTATCAGTTTGTAAGTTTGGCATGGTGAATATCTCAATTTATAACTATGCCTTAAGCCTGTGACTTTGTAGTGAATTATATGAAAAACAAATCTGCATAATATCTTTCAGCCTAGTAAATATATTTGCTCTCCTCTGTGTAGTTACTTTGCTGAAATATCACTTAGAGACTATGTTGGGAGGCATTGTTGAAATAGTCTTGATATGTTAAAAGCTTAGCCTATTTTGAACTGATCATATCAGTTCAAGGAATTTACCTTACTACAAAAGCAAATGATTTTGATTGTTTAAATGTAAGATTAGGAAACAAAATCCCTCATATTAAAGTTGTCTAGAGTTTAGATAAAAATCAGAATCACGCTTTTAAAAGAATTCAGGTGCAATAAATAGAATTCAGATCAGCAAATGTTCAGACTCCTAAATCATTGGCAAATTAGGTAATACACAGAGCTGGAGATGTGAATATTATATAATGAGGATAATAAAGGAGTTGAATGTGATGTGCCTTGGGTGCATGTTAGTAGCTAATTCCAATATGAATGCTTTGCAATCATTTGCCAGCAGAGATGCATGCGTTCGGCTAAATGGAAATCTTGGACGTTCTCTCATACACCCCATTATTTGTAATTGAACACCTGATTTCTATCATGCAACAAATTAACATCTGCACTGGATCTGTCTTTTATGCATATGGATACACTGATTAGAATTTTGCAGATAGGCAGATACTTGAAAACAAAAAGACAACATTGTGAAACACTTCCAGCCATAATTTTTGATTACATATTGAGAATCGTTTAATTATCTTACTCCATGTAATTAGCTCTTCTACTTAGGTCAATTGCTTTTTTTATTAACATGACATGTTAGCAATTTGTTAATTGGCATAAAATAACATGAGACTTCTGGATATTTCATATGAGAAATACATGTGCTTAAGGAAGCTAAGGGAAACACAAAGAGGTAAATGCATTCATTAGCCCCATTATATTGGTGCCACCAAAAGGTGTGCTTCTATTCTTTGAATTTCTGTCCTTCCGTTAAGCAGTGTGAGTTTGTTGATTTGAGTGGTTACAAAAATTTAAGACCATGGGTGTACATTTAAAATAGAAGAGTATTTTCTGAAATTAAAAGAATGATAAAGAAATGGATATAAAAATGCTAGCTGGTGGCAGGGAGCTAGGTAGAGAGTTACATACATTCAGGTAAGACAATTATTAATTGTTAAAGAGATTTGTCGTTATCAAGCCTTTAAGCTCCAGGCTATTTTTTTAACTACTGCTTTATATTAATAATTTCTACATATTAATAAAGATATTATTGGTTTTATCTAGAAAGAAAAATTGATTTTCTTTCAAGGAATTTCTCTAGCATCTGGCACAAATAGACAACTGCCAGTATCCTACATATTAGATATGTAGGAATTTAAGAGCTAAAAGAGATTTGAGGGTTACTTAGCCCCACATCTCTAGAGGGCAAGAGTGATAGGCCTTTCTAAAAATGGGGGTGGGGGTGCGGAGCATTTATGTATTAACCCTGTTACTGAGTATGTTATGGGCAAAGCACTAGGTTGGGCATTCTGACAAATAAAAAGATAAATTCGCATAACCCTATCCCAGTGAGAAATGTTTAGTGTTCCTTTTTTGTAAGTAATGTTTTTATCCACTTGGGGGCACTATGATCAAATTTAAAAAGCAAACAAGAAAAATGTTATTTTGGTTTATTTCCATTAAAATTGTTTATCGTACTCTCGGGAAATATAACTGTATACTTTTAGATAAAATACCTTTTAAATATACAGAGATGGTTGGCTTTTATTCTTTTCATTTTTTTAAGTTTCAGAATAGGTACAGATTAAAACAGCAGTTCTCAAAAGTGTGGATACTGGATACCAGGCCAGCAGCGTCAGCATCACCTGAGAACTTGAACATGCAAATTCTCAGGCCTGATCTGTCGATCTGGAACTCTGGGAGGTTGTGGGGTTGGCGGGGTAGGGGGGTGGGGGTGGGGAGAGGTCGGAGTGCGGCAGTGTGTATATTCACAAGCTGTCCATGTAAGATTTTTGTTGCTTATTAACATTTGAAAACCCCTGAATTAGAATATGTGCAATTTGAAATACTTTATTTCCAACTCTTTAAAAATTAAGTTATCAATTAGCTTATTAATATGTTTGGAATATTGTAGAAAATGTGTTTCTTAGGAAAGTTACCTACATTAGCAATAGATAAATAGATGAGCCTGAAGACTTAAGGTAATTTTTTTGCCCGTGATTGTGCAACTGTGTCCATATAAGTCAGAGTAGTTAGTTGAATGGTCATTTTTATCTCCTCCTCAAAAAGGAACAATTTGAGATAAATCATTTGTTGTATTATGTAGAAAAATCAGCCAATTGATAGAATTTCCCAAATCTAACTTTTTGCAATGTCGGGGCATAGCCTAGATGTCAAGATAATGCTAACAGGCTAACAGTATTTTGTTTGTTTGTTTGTTTTGTTTTTTTTTTTTTTGAGACGGAGTCTTGCTCTGTCACCCAGGCTGGAGTGCAATGGCACGATCTTGGCTCACTGCAACCTCCGCCTCCTGGGCTCAAGCAATTCTCCTGCCTCAACCTCCTGAGCAGCTGGGATTACAGGCACCTGTCACCACACCCAGCTAATTTTTGTATTTTTAGTAGAGATGGGGTTTCACCATATTGGCCAGGCTGGTCTTGAACTCCTGACCTTGTGATCTGCCTACCTCAGCCTCCCAAAGTGCTGGGACAACAGGAGTGAGCCACCGTGCCCAGCCTGCTAACAGTATTTTTTAAAACATCTCTGTAGTATCTTTATACTTATTACAAGGGATAATACATATATTGGGTCATTTGATCCTCTGGATAATTCTTTGAAGCAATTAGGAAACCAATCGTTATCTCCATTTACAATTAGAAAAAACTGATTGAGACTCAACTGAGACCAGTTTTAGAATTCTTAGAATTCTTATCTGTAAGTATATTAGTATAGGGACTCTACTCATTCTCTTTTTAATAAGTAGGTAATTTTGTTGCCCCATTCTTAAGAGTTAGTGGGAACAACTAAAAGAGAATACTGTTGCCCTTAAGAGAAGAACTTCAAACCTCTGGTTTTAGGAAGGAGAATCTTGCAGGTGTAGATGACTAGACTGTGAGGCTGGAACTTGAATTCTGAGGGTTCCCCTCCTGGGGGGATTCTCACATCCTTTCCACAATACTGTGCTTGACCTCAGACATACCCTAACTTCACCTCTTCTTCTTTCTCTTCCATTGTGGACACTCTTTTCTTTGACGCTCTCTGCAGTTAAAGCAGTGTAGAACTTCTGAAAGTCTTTATGCTAAAGGACAACAAATGAGAAAGTAATCACAAAGAATATAATAAACTACCAGTACAGCTTGCTGTCACTGATGGATTCTGAGCTGTTTCTCTACTGCAGTGTGACACTGTACTCTCTCAAGATTGCTGACTTTAAATGGCACCTCAGTGAGGCTTCCCTACTACTTAACTCTTAGTTGTTGTTGGTTTTTTCTCAGTGAAGATTCCTATCTTACGCCCACCAGGGATGGCATTCTATACATGTGAACACTTTCCCATTCACAATCAATCCAGCATCTAGCACAGGAGGTCCCTCTCCCCAGAATACAAGGAATGGTCTTGATCCTGTTGTTCTGAGATCAAGACCATCTCCTCCGTATAAAAGAGGTAAAAAGCTTACTTGAAGACAATTTTATATATATGGTAGCTGGAAGCCATTGCTTCAAAATTAAATAGAATGCTAAAGTGAATCTTGTAGCAAAGTCAGAAAGTATAAATATTTAATGAATATTGTGTATTAATAGTTATGTGTAGTTTTTAGCACAGTCTTTTGTAGTATTAAAAGTATCAGAAGTTGGTTATAACTTACTGTTGTCTGTAGTGATAATTGAAACCTTATAAGATTGTTATATTAACTGAGATATGTAAAGCATAAAGCACAATACTTAGAATATAGAAAATTTATCTTTTGAAAGGTAAGTTGTTATAAGGAAAATGATGGTGATAAAATGCAGTGGGGATAGTTATTTTAACAACATTAGTAGAGTATACTATGGCATAGAATATTTCCTAATGTAACATAGTCTCATTTTACTCACTTTTTAAAATTTGTTTTTACTTTCAGATAGAGTGAAGCTTAATTAACTTGAAAGCTAGTGGGAAAAAAAAAAAAAAAAGCTAACTTAAGCCTAAGTGGAAACCTTTTCTTATTTCAAAGCTTATTGTTGAAAACTATATTGAAATTTGTTAGAATTTTGTGCTTTTTAGAGTTCACAAATATATTTTATTTTTAGATTACTAAGGATCATTTACTCACCTGTGTTCATCTGTCTGAAAGTCTGTCTTGTAGGAACTACCATGGTAATTTATCTTTACCTTTTATAATATCTTCTGCATTATTTTTGTATTAAGTATGAGGATATCTTCTGTTCTAAACTGCCCAAAGTAAATATTAAGTGAGTCAAATAGCACTAATTCCAAAATATGTCTTATAGAGTCTAAAGTAAGTTTTTCATGCCAGTTTTCTAATTGTAGATCAAAGGAAGGAAATAAAAAATAAAAACCTCTGAAGAGTTAAAGAATTATTTGGATTCTAATCTATTAACATTATAGTGCAATTCTTGTTAACTTTCCAATTATTTATGTATCTCCCTGAAAAGCAGATATAAATGTGCCAGCAATTGAATCAAACCTCATACCCAGGAATGTAATTTTGGCGTGGATCTTCAAGCGGGATCCACATTTTATTTTCCTGTGGAAAAATAACATACCTTCTTAATTGAAGCTGAATAAATCTTATGTTTCTTTTCAATTCTGCTGTTTAGATGGTGCCATCCAAAAGACAGGGAGGAAAAATATATTTAAAAGTCATTTTCTTCCAAAGGCTGATTTTCCTCCCATTCCATTTAATGGTTGTTACTCATTAAGAAAAATCCAGAGACACCACCAGACTGGCTTTAACTCTTTTATTCTTTTCTATTAATTAGTATTGTTCCTCTACAAGTTCATGTAACAGATTTCTAGTCTTTATCCCTAGTTTTATGTGTAATAGGAGAAGGATTTCTGCTTATAATAGTTGTAAAATTAGGGATGGGTATACTTTTTTCAGTGAAATAAATGCCTTACTTATTTCTTTTACTCCAAATGTGTTTTTATGCCTCTTTCATTTGTATGCCTATGAATGTATGAGTCTGTGAAATGATTCCATTAAAATAGAAATATTTAGTTATTTGAACTAATATATCTTAGTGTTGCTTTTTTGGGGTGGGAAGGTACTGATTTCCTGTGCTGAAATGTGCCGTAAGAAAAAAGAAAGAAAAGGAATAGATTTTGTTTCGGAGTGGTTTATAAGGAACAACTTCACAAGTACCTTTGGACATGGCATTGTAATTCTTGTAGGACAAAAGTAATAATATGTATATGTCCAGTAGATGGCGCAAACATTCCCCCAAATAGAAAATAATTGTCTTAAAGTACAAAACTTGGTATTAATAATAAAAGTGGCACTTATTTAAGTAGAATTAAGTAATTTTCAACACATTTTCTTTTTCAAAAATGTAAAAAGAAAAGGTTAAAAGGAAGTGAAGTGGTAGTTCATTTTGGACATATCAAACTTGTCAAGAAAGTATCAAATTAATATAGAAAAACTTTAATGTTTAGTAGTTTATGAATAATCAAAGATATCACAAGGTCAGTTTTAACAAAAAATATCCAAAACTTGAAATTTGGAATATGTTGTGTAAATGTCAAAAGCTATTTTTCCTACTATCTTGGTTTCATTTTTATGTGTCCTACATTCATAAGCAGAAGCACTGTGAATATAGTTTTGTCAGCAAATAAATAAATGGAATTCTTAAGCTTTAAGTTAAAAAGGAAAAGAAACATTATATAAATCTAGTCCTATGTAGTCCATCCTTACTGCCCATGGATTCTTTATGACTACTGGCTTTACTTAGTTATTCATTCTCCCCTAAATAAAGATACATGAGAGAGAAGCTGAACGTTATAATTTTTGTAGTAGTCTAGAATTTGTTAGTTGGTTGATAAGTAGCAATTTCTTAAGAACTTAAGAAATTCTGTAGCTTGCAACATAATACAGGTACTCTTTAGAAACATTGCTTTTATCTAATGAATAAGAAGAGCTAGTTTTTGTTGTTGTAATGTGTGACATTGTAGGTATTCTTCATTTTAGAAAAAGATATACTTACATTCTTGCCCCATTCTTGGAAAGCTTTTTTCCTTAAATGGGACAAAGCTGAAAAGTTTATTACCATCCTCACACCCCAAAGAGTCCTTCAAACAAGTTAAGTTGAAATATTTTCTGTTCTGCTTACCACCACCACCACCACCACCACCACCACCACCACCACCACCACCACCACTAATGCCTTCATCTACATTGTGTTTTATAGTTACAAAGGCCCCTTTCATACATCATTGCAGCAGATTTTTGTAATGACCCCATCTATTATAGCAAGGGAGCTAATATTGCTATTCTTGTTTTACAAATGAGAAAAGTAAATCTTATACCTGGCACTTAGCCATTTAGAGAATCATTTAGGTTCTCTCTCTTTCTCTGTTTGTCTGTCTCTCTCATTATTTTCACCCTTCTCTCTCTGTTTTGGGGGAAACATTTATTCTCCATTCCCAATACTTGCTTCCATGTAAGGGATATTCATTACCGTAATGAATGTTCTCTGTTCATTCTGCACAAGCCTGTCATGGGCAAGATCTTCTCATGGAACAGCCTGTCCTCTTAGCACTATCTGTGACTGGGCTGGGGAAAATACGTGTCATAATAATACTGAACCTCATAAGGAAGCCCACCACTTGCAGGAAACACACACACACACACACACACACACACACACACACTCTCTCTCTCTCTCTCTCTCTCTCTCTCTCTCTCTATTCAGTATTATCTTTACCAGTATTAAAGGTGATGTTTTGTACTCTGTCTACTCTTTTAAGTCAATTTGTTCAGAACTCGGGCAAAGAAAAGAGATACTGAATTACTTGGTCTCCTCAGAGATTCCAACTGTCAATATCAGACAGTTTTGTGTTTTTTTTTTTTTTAGCATATTAGTGAGAGTTAGAAATCTGGTAGCATTTTGAGATCTTTAGACATATAATATATTCTGTTCCATTTTGACTGAAAGGTCCTTGTGATGCTGTGAGATTGAAGCCATTTTCAGCGGTGGTTGAAGAGCCCTGGAAGTCCCTTTTCGGCATAAAGGGGCTTAAGGTGCACTAGATTCCTGAACCTCCAAGCCTGTTTTCACAGCAGCTGCTCCATGCTTCCTTAATGTTTTCATCATTCACATTAAGTTAAAATTCAGGGTAATATTCTGCTGCTAAAATTATTTGAATACTCTTGATCTAAATATACTACCTTTATCAAAAATCCAAAGGCTATCCAAGACTTTTTAACATTTTTGATATATGTTGTATAATTTTTGCAAAATATTTACTTCCTTTATTATAGTTTTATTACAATTGTTCCTAATGACAAACTAGGAAAAGACCATTCAGTCATTCCAAAAATGTTTATGGAGTGTCTGCCATATGAAGGAACAGTGCTGGACAATGAGGATAGAGTGGTGAGTCACAGCTGATATGGCCCTTGCCCTCATGGAGTTTGCAGTCTTGTGTGGGGAGTAAACATTAGTCAAACAATCTGCTGGCCATGACTTTGTGGAAGAAATGTCTACATGTCACCTAGTTGGTATAATAAAGGAATATGACCTAATTAGCAATGCAGAAAGTTCTCTGAGAAAATGATAGTTGAGCTAAGAAGACGGTAATAAATGGGAAATATGAGACTCAAGAACTAAATCAATTTAAAAATAAGTGTTAGAAATGGATGAAATTGTACAATGTGTGGGACAAATGGGGTGAAACACACTACATGTGAACAATTGGAAGAGTAGTGAGAACCCAGAGAGTATTTGTACAGAGGAGTTCTTCGTGTCAAAGGAAGACAATAAAAATATCAAAGAAGACCAGGCGGGATGGCTCATGCCTGTATTCCCAGCACTTTGGGAGACTGAGGCAGGCAGATCACCTGAGGCGAGGAGTTGGAGACCAGCCTGGCCAACATGGTGAAACCCCATCTCTACTAAAAATACGAAAAATTAGCTGGGCATGGTGGTGCATGGCTATAATCCCAGCTACTCAGGAGGCTGAGGCATGAGAATTACTTGAACCCGGGAGGTGGAGGTTGCAGTGAGCCGAGATTATGCCATAGCACTACAGCCTGGGCAACAGAGTGAGACTCTGCCTCAAATAAATAAATAAATAAATAAATAAATAAGTGTATCAAAGGATATCAACACAGTGTTTATCCATGTGAGCAACTGCAGAAATGTCTCTGACCAACTAACACGTCAAGAATTCAAGCACAAAGTATCAGAGAAAGTTTAGCAAGAACAAGAGCAAAGCTGTGTCCTCAGCCTGGGGTATTGGGCAGCTTATCAAAACAACTGCTGGCACACAGCTCATAATGATATTTTGTCAATGACTGATGGCATATATGACAGTGATCCCATAAGATTATAACCTTTTTTACTGTAGCCTATGTTTAGATATGCTTAGAAACACAAATACTTGCCATTGTGTTACAATTCCTACAGTCACAAGCTGTACAGGTTTATAGCCTAGGAGAAATGGGCTGTACCATGTAGCCCAGTTAATTTCTCAATTAACCATAATATAATAACCAGTTAATAACTCAACCGTATGGTCCAGTTAATTTCTCAAAGTATGTGCTAGGTATGTAGTAGGCTGTACCATCTGGGTTTACGTAAGTCTACTCTGTTACCTTCTCACAAAGACAAAATTGCCTCATGATGCATTTTTCAGAAGGCCTCCATCATTCAGCGATGTATGACTGTATTTAAACACAAGGGAGCAGGGCAGGGACTGAGACACTGAAGCCAAAGGATGATATCAGAGCTGGATTAACAGCAAGCGTATCTTACTGCTCAGTTCCTCCAGCCTTGAATCAGAACTCCACAAGCCTCCTTGACTACCGACAAGATTGGTCACAAAGTGTAAAGTTGAAGTTCAAGTGACATAGTTTTCGTAGAAGAGGCTATTGGGAAGGGAAATCTGTGAAACATGCTGAGTGTTAGGAGGAATTTAGGTACCTTTGTAAATAAGTTACAGGAAGATGTTACTCTAAAGACAGACATAGTTTGTTTACTAAATTTCAGAGCTCTGCTAAAATGTCCTCATTAGCCAAGACCAGAGAGCAACATACTAGAAGAAGAGGCCTTTCAGGAACCAAGTATAGTCCATGGAGATTATGATCAAAATTTTAAAGAAAACTTTTTAAAGAATTTTTTTTTTTTTGAGACAGGGTCTCACTGTGTTGTCCATGCTGTGGTCCAGTGGCACTATCATGGCTCACCACAGCCTGGACCTCCTAGGCTCAGGTGATTCCTCCCACCTCAGCCTCCTGAGCAGCTGGGTCCACAGACACATGGCTAATTTTTTTATGTTTCTTGTAGAGATGGGGTTTTTGCCATGTTGCCCAGGCTGGTCTCAAGCCCCTTGGCTCAACAATCCGCCTACCTCAGCCTTCCGAAGTGCTGGGATTATAGGCGTGAACCACCACACCCAGCCCCAAACATACATTTTTATAGATACGTAGTAAAAATATGTTAGAAGTGAAGATGGTATTTTAATTATGACTAGGATATTAGTTAATTCCAAACAATGTAAAAACCCAGTTATATAATTTTATTGCTTAAAGACTCATTAACAGTAATCTAGTCCAGTTAATTTCTCAAAGTATGTGCTAGAGAACATGACTGTTACAGATATTCTATGGAAAATATTCTGCACTTTTGGAGATACCACATACACTATTCTCCCCTACCTTTGCACATGTCTGCTACAGGCTCTTAGAAGTCCTTAATAAATACAGAACTTGCTTAGTTTTGTTTAACTGAGTATTCCTCACATTTATTTGCCATTCTTTTTCTTCACAGTACCTCCTTGTATCCAGATGTTCCAAGACACACACTGTGGAAAACACTGTATCTCAAACTGTCATCTTAATTATTTTTTTAGAGTGTATGTAGTTTATAGAATGGGCATTTTATGTACATATTTCACTTGAAATTCTGAATATGAAAAAGGGAGACCGATACCTACATTTCCAAAAAAAAGGAAATGAAGGCCTAACATATTTGTGTTAATTCAGGATTACCTGTATTACATGTAATGTTAAATAACATTTGATCATTTTGTTATATCTTGGGAATAATGTGCCCTAAAAGAGAATGTATTTTTATTAGTCAACATGATATGGTTTGACACATAAAAGCCTTTGCTAAACCTTTTGTTTCTTGCTAAACTATTTACGTTTTCAGGGAAAGGAAAGCTTAATAGAGTATCTCACAAAAATGTCTAGGATTGCATAAGTAAATCATTTCCTTTTAATTGTTAGATGCCTCAGAGACTTTTTGCCAAGAGATGCAAAATGTCCTTTTCTTTGGAATGTGCCATAGGCTTACTCCCAGAGACATTCAGATTTTCACAGTCCCAGTCCTCTTCCTAGAGGATGGAGGAATAGACCTCTCTGCAAGTTTGCCTGGTTGGGGTAGAGGGGGCTACTCAGTAAATTCTTTGGACATTTTTCCCATTTATTTACTTCTGAGACATTTTATAATCAGCTTGGAAAGCCTACTAATTTTCTTTAACTTTTAGCAAACAGTGAAGCATGTGTAGACAAAAATTTTGAAGGGTATTTAAATTGAGGAAAAACATGAAACCATGCTTTATGAAATATGCCTCCTGTGGTAGAATATATTGAGGTAATGCATATATTAATTAACTTCATTTAGCCATTTCACAATGTACACATATTTCAAAACATGTTGCACACCATAAATATATACAATTTGTTGGTTGATTTTTAAAAATAAAAAGGAATAAAGACCTAACATATTTATACAGTCGTATAAATATCAGCACTGATCATGAACCACTTAAAAATATTTATCAAGGTACTTCTTTTCTGCTAATTGAGATATAAAAGAATGCCAATGACCAGTTAGCAAAGAAAAATATCAGGAAAAACTGTCTTTTAATAAAATATTTATCTGCACAGTTTGATTTAGTTGGGTTATTTGGCTTATATTTATTGAAAACTACATTTTATAGAATTAATTATTTTTCTAGTTGTTTTATTTCTAGGTGACAGTGCATTGACATCTATATTAAGATATATCCTTTAATAATGATCAATTGTAAAATGCTGGAGAAGATATGGAGAATGGGAACTCTTATATACTGTTGGTGGGAATGTAAACTAGTACAGCCATTATGGAAAACAGCTTGGAAGTTTCTCAGAAAACTAAAAATAGAACTATCATGTGATCCAACAATCCCACTAATGTCTGTTTATTAAAAAAGAAACAGAAATCAGTGAATCAAAGAGATACCTGTACCTCCATGTTTATCGTAGCATTGTTCTCAGTAGCCAACATATGAAATCAGCCTGTTTATCAACAAATGAATGGATCAAGAAAATGTGGTACATGTACACAATGGAATACTATGTAGCTATAAAAAAGAATGAAATCCTGTCGTTTGCAGCCACATGGGTGAAACTGGAGGTTATTATATAAAGTGAAATAAGCCAGGCATAGAAAGACAGATGGCACATGTTCTCACATGTAAAAGCTAAAAAAGTTGATCTGTGGAGATAGAAGTTAGAATGATAATTACCAGAGGCTGGGAAGGGTGTTGGGGGTGGGGGATGGGGAGGATGGGGCTGAAGAGAGGTTGGTTAATGTGTTCAAACATATAGTCACATAGAAGGAATAAGTTCTACTGTTTAATAGCACAATAGGGTGACTATAGTTAATAATAATTTATTGTATGTTTTTAAATAGCTAGAAGAGAAGATTTGAAATGTTCCCACTACAAAGAAATAAATGTTTGAGGTGATGGAGATCCCAAATATCCCGATTTTACCATTACACATTTTATGCATGTATCAAAATGTCACATGTATCCCATAAACATGTAAAATACATATCAGTAAAATTTTTTTTTAATAAAAAGGGGCCAGATGCAGTGGCTCACACCTGTAATCCCAGCACTTTGGGAGGCTGAGGTGGGCAGATCACTTGAGCTCAGGAGTTCCAGACCAGCCTGAGCAACATGGTGAAACCCCGTCTCTACCAAAAGTACAAAAATTAGCTGGGTATGGTGACATGCCTCTGTCATCCCAGCTACTCAAGAGGCTGAAGCACGAGAATCTCTTGAATCTGGGAAGTGGAGTTTTCAGTGAGCCAAGATCACACCACTGTACTCCAGCCTGGGCAACAGAGTGAGACTCTGTCTCAAAAATAAATAAAATAAAATGAATTATTTTGCAAAAAGAGAAAAAAAAGAATGATCAGCTAGAACTGCATCAGCAGTTCTTGATGTCTTATCTGAGGGTGGAATGGGGTTTTATGGTCTTATCTGGGCAGTTTGCCTTCATTCATTTTCTAGATTTTGCTATAGCAAGCAAATTTTTAGTATAGTTTTATACTGTCTTAAACTGTTTTAAACTGTTACAGTGCTGATATGAGCTGAGGCTTAACTTGGATTTAACTGAGATGAAACTAACAGAAGGTAGAACTTCTCAGGAAAAGGAAGAGGGACAATTCTATAAAATGTGATACCTAATATAAGTGAAGAACTCTATGTTTTATGCATTTGCTTTTAGGAATCTCCTGTTTATATAGCACATAAATTTTAAGTTCTTGCTCAACAATAGGAGTTATTGGTTTTTCTTTAGTCATAATTTCTCCACAAATGTTATGTAATTTTGTTTGATGAAGATCCTTTCCATGCATCCCCACCTCTCTTTTACTGTTTCCCATAATAATTCAAGCCTATAATAACCAACCAGAAAGTATTTACTTCTAAGTTTCTTAATGCCCAGGTCCCAGTGTTGTCTGGAATCAGTTTCTTTTTTCATCCTTAGTTGAAACAAGCCCCCCCACCTCACCCCCCCGCAAAAAAGTCTTAATCTTGTGGGGTCAAATAAAAGAAAGAATGTAGTGAAAGGAAGATTCCTTTTATGCAAGCAGCAGAGAACTTGTAGGGATGACTGAAAGTGCCTGAGGGCATTTGGTCCCTATTGGTTTTCACTTCAAATGCAATGGTGCCCACAGATAGCCTGTATTGTTGTCAGTTAAATGGGATCATGAGTGTCTGAAAGGTGTTTGAGAATGAACCGAAAATCATTTTCACAAGTGGATGATTACTTCTGCCACATGTTAACCGAACTCTATCCGAATGGCCCAGATTTTTGAGCCTGCATTAATTGCTCTTTCAACCTTGACTGAGGTTTCTCTTATGAAAGCCCTTTCCAGGACTAAACTACTCTATATATTGATTTTTTTTTCTTTCTGTATTGTTCCTTGAAAAATGAAGGCTTGTAGAAGAAAAGGCTTTATCATTCAACATGTAAATTGATTGTTGCATTTCTTTGAATAAAGCGCTAGACTCATAAGTGATCCACCAAAATTAATAGTTCTTTTTTTCAGGCACCAAATAATTCCCATCTTCTGTATACAATTATGTTTTTCAAATATTCATTAGTGATGATTTTTCATCATAAAGTAAAACCATGAACTCTCACAGCATGGACTGAGTGCAAATAAATTGTCATATTCTCATTTCTATTAGAATTGTGTGCTACCATTCTAATTGAAACTAAACTACAATATTTAGTAATGTGTTTGGAGAATTTGTGTGTGTTGAAGTATTCTTTGAACAATCTTCAAGTTAGAAAGGTTTGATAAAGTGCTTTTAAAGTGTTTGGGTAAGCGAGTTCTTTATTTCATTTTACTCTTTTCTATATAAAATCTGGCATAGAGAATATTAGCTATGTCTTTACTATTACTAGAATAATATGGGATATAGTTCAAACATATTGTGATATGAAGATGAGTTAAATCTCAATTTTTTAATCAGAAAATGAGTTCTTAAAATGTCATTGACTTTTGTGATTATAAATGTTAGCCAAGAATATATAGTATTTAAAGGAAAATGGCTTAATGGTTAAACTTACTTCTGATGTTTTTGGCTTAAAAGAAAAGAAATCAGAATATTACATATGAATCTACTTAAAAAAAAAACACACACATTCAACCGGGTACTATGTAAAGACAAGCATTTTAAAATAGTTTTGTCGTATAAGCATTGCAGCGTTAATGCTTGAAATTTATTTTTACTAAACTTCATTTTACTCAATAAATCTATTGCCAAGAACCATTTTATTGGTACTAAAATACATATGTTAATGATCAGGAAATCTTTCTAAAGAAAAGTTTTTGTTCCTGCTGTCACGGAACATTCTGATGGATTTCATAAAGACTATTTTTGTTTGCAAATGAAAGCTTTTAGAAGTAATTGTGGTGTTATCTTCCAGCTACCTTATTAATAGTTGACTCTTTTAAGAATCATGTTGACATGTTTACACCAAAAAGATTGTAGGTACTGAGATATGCTAATGATTATATATAACTACAGATATAGAAGATTTTTAAAATATACTATTTGCCTTGTTGGTAGTAACTATTTTGGCTTAAGGACTGGCCATTTCCTTTAAAAAAAAATCAATTAGGCAAATACCATTTAAAAAAATGTTTTCTCTTAACTTTTTTCCCAAACAGCATAAAATATATTCTACACATCTACAT
The DNA here is from genome assembly GCF_000001405.40 of Homo sapiens. Taxonomy (NCBI): domain Eukaryota; kingdom Metazoa; phylum Chordata; class Mammalia; order Primates; family Hominidae; genus Homo; species Homo sapiens. The sequence goes on along the minus strand of NC_000007.14, from coordinate 122,519,779 downwards.
CATATATTAAATATATAATCAAAAATTTGAAAGTTTAGTTTCTTCATATCTCTGATATTTGATGATACAGTGTGACCTAAGGATAGCTGGATTTTTTTTTTAAGTCATAGATGAATGAAACTGGAATATATTTAGTTGTCTTTGTGCTTTGTTTCCTAGCAATCAGTTGTGTGTTTCTTTGGAGCAAATAGTGCTCTCCGTTTGAAATAACCCAAGAGAGGGATTAATACTTTATGATTATTGCTATGTTTATACTGACTGATAGAACTAAATGCTTCAAGGCTTTACTCTTGTGTGTTAAATCTGAGCTTTGTTTCAGTGCTGCTAATTTCTTTGTTACCTAATCCCATGCAAGAAGAAAAGATTTTAAAGTTAAGCAGGCAATTGTTGTTGTTGTTGTTGTTCAAAGGGAACAACTGCTTAATACCTTGCTTTAAGTTGGATGTGTTCATGAAAACAAATACTTTAAATAGTATCTGGGCAGTTATTTTAAAATAATCCAGAACACTCTAGTTACCTGAGTATTGTGATGCATTGGAAATAGTTCAATAGAAAAAGTGTTATATTTAAATTAGCTTTGGAAATATGTGCTTGTGAAAATGTCATGTACAATGGGATACCTCTTTTAACCCCATTCAAATAATTCTTGGATCAAATTTAACTTTGATTGGGGATTCCCTCCCCCGCCCCAACCCAGGGCCATTTGCTAATAGAGTACTGGAGAATGTAGCATGGCCATGAAAACTGATGATATTTGTGTTCTTTTGTTTTTCCATATATTTCTGATTTAACTAAAAGAATTTGACAAAGATGACAACAAAATATTTAAAACCAAATTCTGTAGGTTGGTGGAAATTAATGTTAAAAAGCCCTCAGACACACACACAAAATCTGCTTTCCTCTTTAAAATCACGTGAAAAAAATTCACAGTACTCATTAGAAAATGCTTCTCTCATGCTGTGTGATAGATACTTATTTTATTGGATAACATCATAAATTGTCACATAAAACCCAGTTAAATGTGTGTTCCCAGTTTGACTGGTATTTGGCAGGTCTCATTTACATACCCTTAAAAAAAAACTTCTTTGAGTTAATCACACAATCATGAGGAAGGTAGTAATGACTCAGCAGGTTACAAAATATTGAGGGAGAATACAGCTGCAGCATAGACCCGCTAGCAAATCTCTAGTACACCTAGCCGAGGTACTCTCTCTTCAGCCTGACACACGCATTTCTTAGATAATATTTTTCTATATGTTTATTTGGTAGACTCATACTTTATGAAGCAGTAAAATGCCAATTGTCCAGAATGCAAATGATAATAACATAAAAAACAAATTTTTTAAGACAAGTTAATAGCTATTGAAGATCTGTTAAATTAATGCCATTTCCATTATATGTCAAATAAATGGTTACATTTAATTTTATCAGCTGTGCATTTTCCTTTTACAGCATTATGTAGTTATTATAATTTATTTTTATAACAGTGACTCTCAGATGCTATGGGATCCTTCCTAATCATTAAAGATCAAGTTATATTTTCTAACTATTTGAGGTCAACTTGATTTTTATATGCAAAGTCTTTAAAAATTGGCTATAGATATATATACAGTCTTTCTATATAGAGTAACTCATGTTTCTGTAATTAAAGATACTGGAACCTGTAAATGTAATGAACAAAATCTATTGCCTAGTGGAGCATAATATCAGGTTAAATGTAACTTTTGTATATTTTTCTGAAATAGAAATCATTTTGGCCTTAGATACCATAAAAAAAATCATAACAACACTGAACATTAAGAAACAACAACAACAAAGAATAGTAATTCAACAGCAATGCCAAGCATAAGATGGGTTAGGAGAAAATGCTTTTTTAGTTTTGTAGATGTTTTCTAATAAATGGATTATCTGATAGTTACCAAACAGTAAAAAGATTTTCGCTCCATTTTCCTCATTCCCTCCACATTCCAGCCCTTCTGAGGTAAAAAGATTACCCATCTACAAGGAATTTAGACTACTCTAAATTCCAAAACTTGAGAATGACCTTGGAAACTAGAAAACCCATTTAAGCATGAAAGCTTATAGGATGTCTCCACTGTACTCAAGATAATGAGATAAAGGACTTTATCTTTGGTCTCTAAATATTCAACTTGGTTGTACCAGAAATACATATTTATAGTCATAATGACTACATCCCCCTAATATTTAATAATGGTAACCTTCTCTGATTACAAAAGTAAGATGTACCTTTATACATTTGCTGATGGTAACTCAAAATGGTATAGCCAGTTTGGAAAACAATTTGGCAGTTTCTTGTAAAGTTAAACATGTACTTTCAATACGACCCTACAATCCCACTCCTAGGTATTTACCCAGGAGAAATGAAGACATGCCTACACAAAAAGACTTGTACACAAGTGTTCATAATAGCTTTATTTATGATATCCAAAGAAGTGAAAACAACTTAAATGTCCACCAACTAGTGAATAAACACATTCTTGCAAATCCCTACAATGGAATATATTGCTTAGCAATGAAAGGAGTGGGCTTCTGATATTAACTACGTACAGCAATATGGATGAATCACCAAAGCATTCTACTCAATGAAAGAAGTCAGACAGAAAGGCTACATACTGAATAATTCCAATTATATGTTGTTCTGGAAAAAGAAAAATTATAAAATCAGAAATCAAATGAGGGGTTGCCAGAGCTAGGGATGTAAGGAGGGGATTGATCATAAAGGGCATAAGGGAACTTTTGGGGAGGTGGAAATGTTCTATAAGTTGATTGTGGTGGTGGTTACATGACTGTGTCAATACTTATCAAATTAGATACCTGAAACAGGTAATTTTACTTTATGTAAACTATACCAATAAACTACTCAAACAATAAAAGGAAGACATGGCCAATATAGACATTGTGGAATTATAGAAAGGCATAAAGAATAATATGAAATTCATCTTTAATTTCACTTGCCAGATATTAACTATAAGATTAACATTTTGTTGCATTTTTCCGGATATTTCTCTATGCATATAATATGAATTTGTATGACTGCTTTTTTAAAACCTAACATTATAAGAATTTTCCCATATCATTAGTAATTCTTTATCTGGCCTCACTTTTAATGGCAAAATTATTATTTTTTAATTTTTGATTTTTAGATTGTTTTTGAGTGTTTATTCTTAAATAATATTGATGAACATTTTTATCTTCATTCCTTCTTCATGTATTTACTCTAAGAGACAGGATCTTGCTCTGTCACCCAGGCCGGAGTGCAGTGGCATGGTCATAGCTCAGTGCAGCCTCCAAAACCTAAGCTTAAGGGATTATCCTGCCTCAGCCTCCTCCCAAGTAGCAAAGACAAGTGTGTACCACTGCATCCAGCTAATTTTTATTTTTATTTTTGTACAGACAGAGTCTGGCTATGTTGCCTAAGCTGATTTTGAACTCCTGTTCTCAAGCAATCCTCCTGCCTTGACTTCCCACAGTTCTGGGACTACAGGCATGAGCCACTGCATCTGGCTCTTCACTCATTTTTCAATGTGTTTCTTATGCTAAGAAACTGCTTTCATACCAGTGAAATAGCAGCTAGATAGGGATACTTGATACCTAATCCCAGAAATCATCATTTAAATGCTTACCTTGGTTCCAATCACAAATTCTCTTTTATTCTGTTCCTTATAACATCTTCTACTAACCCCTAATACAACATGTATGTATCCATCTGTCCCCCTGCTTTCTGTCTTCAAAGAAACCATATATTTTAATCCAATTTTGTTAATCTGTCATTTTGATGATGTTGCAGCTGATTATTATTCTTTTTTTGCATGTTTTTTTTCCAAATATATTTTTAAACTTTTTAATAAAGAAATTAACAAAATTGACCAAATGTCAGGTGAAAGAAAGCATATTAATCTTAAATACATATAATTATTATTATTTTTTAATTAATTTTTTTATTATACTTTTAAGTTTTAGGGTACATGTGCACATTGTGCAGGTTAGTTACATATATATACATGTGCAATGCTGATTATTATTCTTTATGCAGGACCTTCACTGTCAGCAAGACTGACACTGAGTAGCTTGTGGTGTTGATGGTTTGTGTATCACTATTTACTTTCACTTGTATATGACCCAGTTGCCCAACAGTCTGCAAAGTGAGACACTTGGAAAGAGCTGAGAAGCAGGCTGTGGTTCCAGGCAAAGGTCATTCCAGATGCTCTCTGTGGCTCCAAGCCAGCTATTTGGTGCATATCTTGCTAGTTCACTTTCATAAAAGGCACCTGTCATGTCCACAGCATCTAGCTCCCGAGGTCATTGCTGTTAACCCTGAAATAAGAGCTTGGATATGTGCATTTCAAAACAGGAAATTGCAGAGAAAGACAGAAAGAGAGCAACTAAATACCTGTCACTAGAACCACAGAGAAGAAATTAGAAGCTAGAGCAAAGGTGGAGCAAAGGGTTTTAAGGGGTCCTTGAGAAAAAACAATGAACAGGTAAGAATAAGAGCAGTAATGTCTCAGCCAGTCATTAAATGAATTCACATTCCATCCACAAGCACAGATAATGGAATGAATTAACGGTATCATAAATGCTGAATAGAAGTTCACCAAAAACTTCAGTTAGCTGATGTGCTGAAAGAAAATATATAATTGGTTTGGACCATTTGGGTGATGTTTTACAATGCAAGAACTTTGTTTTTATTTTGACTTTTAGTAACTCCATGTTTTTTTCTCCCCCCTGGATTCTGAAAATTTCTGTGAATTTTCAGGGAATAAAGAAGGAAACTTAAATCTGCCATAACTCTACCACTCAAAGATACTATTAGTAATATTTTGGAATTATTTTTACATATTCTTTTACAAGTTCCAAATCATTAACTATGTGTGTAGTTTTGAATCCTACTCTTTTCATGTAATATTACACAATGTGATACTTTCTATGTTATTAATTTTATCAAAAACATAATTTCATTGGCAGCATGGTATTTCTCTGTGGATATGCCAGCACGTATTGACTAATTTTACTGCTGTTGGACATTTGTTATCAGTTTCCAATAATATAAACAACACTGTTCTATGTATCCCTACAGCATACACCTTTATGTGCACCTCCTTATTACCTTAATACATTCAGGAATGAAAGAGTATGACTATTTCGATGTATTGACATGTTATCCTACAAGAAGATCATCTCCCAAGATGTTACACTCCCACTAGTAGTGAATGAGTGCGCATTAATTCCCCACACCTTAGCCAACTCCCTATGTCACTGTTTCTAAAGGGGGGAGGGGGGCAAACAGTATGTTTGTTATGTTTTGCAAAATAGGATTATTTTAATAAGACAGAAATTAAAGATTCAGCCTAAGATTTTAGTTTTAAAAGTTGTGAAAGTCTAAAAATCTTAAGCCCCTAAATAAATAATCATAATGCTCCTTTAAAAAAATCACTCAGAATTGTATATAAATTTCGTTTGAACAGCCTCTGCACTGTTAATCCTTCATTTCAGAATAAAGGATTATAAAATATTGAAAAATCTTTCTTTAGTCTTAAAATTAGGCCTCTGTCATATTTTAAACTTCTAGCAATATTTTCCACTTTTGTAGGGAGTGTGTTTATAATTTTGTGGCATAATTTTGGAATAGCTCTCCACAACATGGTCACACTAATTTTTAATTTCTTCTTTTTCCTCCCTGATATTTCAGTATATCATTTGTATATTCAGTAAGAATAATATTCTCAAATGATTGGCTAATCATTTCAATTCAGCTTACTAAGGTCAATGCAAAGTTGAAGAAAAGCCATGGTTGAAACTATGTAAAACTACCCAATGGCATCTTCGTTACTATCAGAATTTTATAGTTAAAACATTTGCAGTGAGATGCTTTCATAAGTCAGGTAAATCCCATAATGATGGAGCTAGCAGAGACCTTAGAAATCAGCAAATCCATCCTTTCGTTTGATAGGTGAGGACATGGAGACTGAGATTGGTGCAGGCACATTTTGGGGTCACCCAGCTGGACAGTGACCCTTCACCCTGGATTCTTGGCTCTGCAGCTGGCTGCTCCTCAGGGCGCACTACTCAGCTCCAGTCATCTGAGAACTGAAGCATTGATAACCATGTCCTCAATTAATAGCCTTTGTCTCTCCTAAGAATTGCATGTAAGAATAAAATTCCTACTGGTTCTTTGATTATCCTTTCTAATTCCTACTTTGCTCAATTTGTGGTAAGGACTGACAAATTGATAAGTCACATAAATCAATTCCCTTTCGAGAACCCAGAATAAGCTAACTCATTTTGTATCACAGAAGCTGCAGGTTGTCTCACTTTCCAAATGAGCTAAACTTTGCCTTTAGCAGGCTGGTCTCAAAAATAAATACCTATGGAAGAAATGTGATTACATGGAAGCACAACATTATTCATCTGAAGTATTCTTTGGCTTTTGTTTTTCTTTCCAGATATCTGTATGCCCTTGGACAGAAGGTTTGGAAAAGATGGAAAAAACGTTACTTTGTTCTAGTTCAGGTTAGTCATTTTTTCCTGTTAAATAATCACTCTAAGATAGCAGTTCTCAAAATTTGTTTATGTGGGTTATATCTATCAAAATTTACTGTTTTAGAAATTAAAATATGTTTAAGCCACTTTAAATAAAAGCAGTACATTCATTACATGCTAACACTAAAGTTTTTATGTAAAATAACTGTTTTCCAAGCCAAACAATTTAGTGAAATAAGTGGCATTGTTTTATGCTTTTGGACTCTTTACCCTCTGGCTTAATAGAAGGTAACTGTTTTCTTGCATCAGCTTCTGCATTCAATTTTTTGCAATATCAGATAAAATGTAACCTCTGGAAAACTCACCTTTATACTAATGGGAGAAAAAGTGTGAAAAAGACAAATAACTTCTGAATATTCTTATAAAGACAGTTTTGACCTCGTAGACCCTCTGAAAAGATATTGGAGATCTCTGGGATTCCAAGACTATACCTTGAGAACCACTGCATCATTCTATATTTTATATATAAAGCATAATACATATAATCACTGATTTTAATATAAATATATTTGTACTAACTGGCATATTTAATGCAAATATGCTGCCATTTAATGCAAATATGCCACATTTAGTACAAATAAGCCAAGAAATCACCTGTTCACATAAATATGTTTTTAAGTCAACTTGACTGGTGTGTATTTGCTTACGATTGGATTCTGAACATATATTATCAGAACATGCAGTTTGGCTGACTCTTCTTTTGTAGTCATGGATAACTTTGCTCATAGAACATACTAATTAAGTTAAATTTATATTAAAGAATACCCTTCTAAGTAATAGTCATTCCAGTCCATGATAAATCCAAGCTATTTTGTTCCCAATATATGAAAAGAGTATCACTCTTGGAATTCTTAACACAAAACATTCTGTAAAAATCTCATTGATTCCAATGGCACACATTAAACAAGCTTAACTGGACTAGATCAGAATGACATAGTAAAATGCCAAGGAAGGAAAATGATCATTTGCTGTCTTCCAGTGAGTACGTACAGCCATCCATCAATTGCTGGATAAAATTACTTTATTGATGTCCCATGATAGCCTGGTAACTCCATGAAAAGTGTGAAAACTCAGTGAAAAGTAGTTTTATCTACATGGCAAACAACCAGCCTATTTTTTTTTTCCTGGCTAAAAAGTAACCTCTTCTTACATGATTAGAACTAATAGTTGGTCAACTTTAATAAAAGATACATACACGTGCACACACAGATTTAATTTGTTTGTATAGAGCCCTAGCATTTGCTTTGAAAAAGGTTACCTGTTTGGGGTTGTGGGTCATCTATTTTTCAAAAACCTTAAGCCATCTTCTACAGTTTCCACATTTCGTTTCTGACATTGGTGCATGAATTAAAATGTGTTTCCTAAGCAATTTTAATAGATACTTCTGGACACATTTATATCTTATGGATATATTTCATTCATATCTAATTTGACAAAGTTGTGTTAGTGACTTGTCTTTATCAAGTTTTTCTAAAGCATTCAACTGATTTTTCATGGAAACAGCAGCTTCTTTTTCAGTTATTTTATGCATTTATGTAAAATCTCATTTAACTACATGATTTCAATGGCTAATGTTGTTAGCATAAACTAGTTTGGGAACAAACCCAGCTAACTTAGCAAGCATAGGTCTTAACTGGTGGAAATAGGCATGAAAGAACGTGGGAATGTAACCCAATAACCACAGATGTTCAGTATGTTATTTGCATTAGTCGCTGGTTTTTTTTTATTTGATTGTTTTAACTGATTTTTTGAATATGAAAGTTAGGCTTTTGTAGATCAGTCTTAAGAGGTCAAATGATCACCTCATGCTTTTTGCCAGGTAAGGTTCCAAGTAATCTTTTGCCCCTTATCTTATTTTCTAGCATATGATTGTAAGACTCAGAAGTTATAGGGCAAATATGTATACTTTGATTATTACTCATAAGAGAGTTTGGAAATGAAGGAATTGTAAAACTTTGAGACTGTTAATTGGTAGGTTTTTGGGGGAAGATTAACCATGTCTTTGGGGAGCTAAAAGTGTTTTCTCAGTAACAAACATATGCTTTATATCTTAAAAGGGATATCTAAGTTAATTCAAAGTAGGCAAACCCATATGTTTCATAATTTAAATTTAAGAAAGTACCACCAAACTATAATGAATTTGAATTTATTCTACCTGAGGTTTCTTTTTAAAATTTGAAGTCATGTTTAAGCATTATGTATTTACTTTGCACACATATATGTGCATATATCCACATGCATTCATGCAGAGAATTCCATGCCCAAATGAACTGAGAATCCATGCGAGTATTCTGACAAGTTTTAAACACAAGTGAATCTTACATTCAATTCCAAACGTAATGGGAAGGCAAATTGAGGGCACACACTTCAAAATCAAGATGGATATGTATGGAGATTCAATGAGAATTACCCATTGGGAGGAACTGGGTAGTTTTTATTAATATTTTTAAAGGCAGCTCTGATTCTATCCACACACAGTTTGTAGGTCCATACCTGCAGGCTGCATTATTGAAAGGTGAAGGAATCGTTTTCACAGGGAGGACAGTATACCCCTGCTGTGTCTGCCGCTGCCATCGGCAGAATGATGCTCTGTTGATAATGTGAATCTCATCACCACTTGTGAGTGTGTATTATGAGTGATATCACTGGAAATCCAACCATCAGCTCAAGAATTTGTCCTCATAAAAATTGATTGAGAGTAAGGTTTGGCCAGCTGCAAAGTCATTGTTCAAAGTGAACACTCGAGGAGCCACTGAGGTGAAAAGACGTTTCAAAGACTCTCATGTAAACATTTAAATTGGAGTCAAAAGGTGGGAAAATAAATGAGTTGTTAATATTGAGTGTTTATTTGGCTTCCAAGTAAGATCATTTTGGTCTCTGTTTATATTCTGATGCCAATATAGTTATAATAATAAATAGAATTTAATGCTTTCTAAGAGGCCTCTTTTTTTAATGAAGGTAAATTTTGGTTCAAGCCAAATTGAAAGAACAGTGATTTCGAAGAATATGCTTGAAATACTACCAGAATTAAACTTGTATATGTTTGTTACTTATTTTTCTTGTGCTTGCTCAGTGTTTTATTATTAGATTTGGAAGATATCATTGGTGTAAAGTACTTAAGATACTTTAATATATTGTAGTTCATTATTATAAAATAATCTGTTACCTTTAACACTCTGTATTTGAGATTTGAACAAATGAATTATTACTTCATTCTATATTTTGCTAATGCCTATTCAAAAATGTATGTCCCAGGTATTCCATATTCTGTAGTAAATAATTCTGAAGCACTCCCCAATTAACATAATTATTGTTATATTAAATCTAATACTTATTAAGCAAGTACTTTGTGGCAAGCATTTATGTAAAACATTTGTAATACTTTATCTTATCAGAATAAGCCCGTGAAGGTAGGTATTATTATTATACCCATTGTACAGATAAGAAAATAATACAGAGGGGTTATGGAACTTACTCAGGATTATGCAGTTTAGTAAGTTGTAGAGTCAAGCAAATCCAGTTCTGTCAAACTTCTCTTTCCTCTGCCATACTGCTATGATTACATTGATGCACATAACTACAGTTCATCTGAAGACAAACAGATATGTGATTAATCACTATGGATCATTCATTTCATGAAGTACAAAACAGTGTTACTCTATTGGAAAAATGGCCAGGGAGTGATGGTATAATTTGAGTCCTGTGCTCATGAAGGCCACTGACTGTGTGACATCATTGGAAACTGAGTAGACGTCTGTGTTGTTTTGGCCCTGTATCAAAGTGTTCACTGCTTGTTGTTGATGTGTCAGAATCATGACTTGAAGTTTCTGCAAACAACAGTAGGCTATCAAGACATAATGTTAATTACATATCAGCTGAGTTGGCACGGGATGTAAACAGTCAGCCATGCCACAGAGTGATCCATACCTGCTGCAGATGTATGAGAGGCACTCTGTTAGTGGGATGTCATCAAGATCTGCTTTCAACATAAAGAAGTGGCTGCCCATCCTATTGATTTCTGAAATATTCAGCACACATGGGGACCCATTACAGCAGACTCCTCTCACTCACTTGAGAATGAAACTACCACCTGAAGAACATGAAGTTCTGTTATATCCTCTAGGTTTAGTTTGGGACACTAGCTGATGTTTGCTAATGGCAGTAAGATAAAGTGAAGTGAACAGAGATATTGTTGCCAAATCAAGAAAATCATGGCATAATGACTTTATAGCTTTATGCTTTAAATGGGATTAAAATTTACAAACCCAGAACATACTCAGTGTAGGATAAAAATCAAACCATGCAATTTTTATGGTAGAAAATGAAAGGCCCCTTCAACACTCCTGCCAGCACTACCACATTATTCTACTATCCTTTGCAAAAGTCGCCAAGTAGCCATTGCTAATAGTGTGGCCTTCCAAACTTGTTTGAAGGAGTTAGGCACCTTTAATTCATCATTATGTGAAACACACATCCATTCATTCCTAATGGAATCATTTCATATATTTTTATTCTGTGAGTTGCTTTGTTTCCCCTTTAAAAATATATCCATGAGAAGTTGCCATATCAACATATAAGAATCTACCTAAGGCTAGGTGCCATGGCTCCCACCTGTAATCCTAGCATGTTGGGAGGCTGAAGCAGGAGAATCACTTGAGGCCAGGAGTTCAAGGCTGCAGTAGGCCATGATTGCACCACTGCACTCTAGCCTGGGTAACAGAGCAAAACGCTGTCTCCAGAAAAAAAAAAAAAAAAAAAAAAAAAAAAAACTTAAATGAATAAATAAATAACTGGATTCTATATTATAAGTTTATGTACTTTAACAATCCTCCTTCTTTGAACATTTAAGTTTTTTTAATCAAACAATGACACTTTGAATGTGGTTTTTGTTGTGGAGGAGAAAAAAACAATGCCATCATCAATATATGTATAATTCTTGTATATTAATCTTCATATATATGTGGGAGTATTCTTGTAGAAATGAAATTGCTGGCTAAAAATCCACAAAAGTTTACATTTTTGTGAGCTTAATTTTTTTTGAAAATTGTTCTACAAGACTCCATTTCAAAACGCTCTGAGTGTGTGCATGTGTGTATTTGTAAGTATTCATATGCATATATATGTCTTTATATCTACAGGTATGTGTATAAAATTTTCTACACAAGTAGTGTGCCTGAATCTGTACATAGTGGAGAATCTGTAAATATTTGTTATATAAATGAATATTCCCCTTTTAATTTAGGTTACTTCCCAAACTTCTGTAAGGAATATAAAATTGACTTATATTTGAACATACTTAAATCAAAACCTAGGTGTCATGTTTGATCCCTCTTTTTTCCTTACCCTCATGGCAGAAAAGATTGCTGTTCCATAGCAAAAACAGCATTCCATTTACATCCAGTCATCTCCATCTTCTCCACCACCATACTAGTTGAAACCACCATCATCACATGGATTCCTACAATAGCATCCTAGCTGTTCTCTCTGCTTCCACTTCCCTCGTTCTTAACAATAGGTTCTTCACATTGTGGGATAATCTATTTAAAGCATAACTCACATTATGACAATTTGCTGCTTAAATTCTTCCAGGGACTCCCTTTGCACTTAGAATAACTCATAACCGTGTCTTAGAGGAGGTCCTAAATATTCTGGCCTCAAGCTTCCTCTTTGAATAGTTATTTTCTGTCACTGAGCCACGTCTTGACTTCTGCAGCTCTTTCCTCAGATTAATTAGAGTGCCAAGAGTAGGAGTTTAGCACCTTCAAGTCACCAGATACCCCCACCAAAGGCACCTCAAATAAATATATAAACTGGGGTTATTTTTAAATGTGATTGTTGTGTAAATACACCTTTGGATTAAGTCCCTTACTTTTCTTCCACCTAGATTGTTAGGCCACCTCTAAGTCCCTTTATAGAAATTCTGAACATCCTACAGCTTTTATTTTCCCCATGCATGGCTCATTCCTTCATGTCCATTTAGATATCCGTTCAAATGTTGCCTTTTCGAATGTGCCTTTTCCACCCAGGCGACCTGAAGTACCCCTCAACTCATTCTCTGTCACATTATTCTGTTTGATATTGTTAGGGGCATTTATATCCAATTAAATTTTTTTTACATTTATATGTTTATTATTATTATTTTTGTTGTTATCTCTTTACTCCTTCTAGAATGTATACTCCATGAAAAGAAGGATCTTATCTTTCTTTTAGTCTACTTTATCTGTGGAATTTTAAACACTGCCTGGTACATGAGTAGAAACTAAGTATTTGTTAAGTAAATAAATATATGCAAATCATTCTCAACATTGTTCTGAAAAGACTGACTTTTCTTTCTCTAATTTGTACACCGAATACTAACTCTTTTTACACCATTTGGACAACACAGTTAACAATAAATATTCCTGTCCAATCTATCTGGATCTTGAAGATTTATTCATTT